>NC_000008.11:70302265-70927265 GCF_000001405.40 Homo sapiens | reverse complement strand
TTAGCTCCTGTGTCTATCTTAAACCACTCCTGGCTGCTTTCTGCTTGTCTCCCTAGACTGAGCATTTACACTGTGTCTCATCTTGTTTTTAGCTTACTGTCAAATAATCCCTGCTCAGGATCTTACAACTCCTTTTAGACCAAGTTCCTTGTGTGTATGTGCATATATACATACACATTTCATATTTATGTATAAGATACATTTTATAAAATGTATCTTATACATAAATACACCTACCTCATAAATACATAAAATGGATTTTATTTTATACATATGAAATGTAAGTGAAACAAAACTATAACTCTAGAAATAATGGTAGAAGCTCTTGGTTTTCATATATATATGAATGTGAAGTCTTGAAAGTTCATATAACTTTCCTAAACCCACACACTTAATGGCAAGATTAGTTGTAAAACCCAAGTTTCCTGGGTCGCCTGACTCCTAGTCTATAGTCTGGTCATGCTGCTGTCCTAAATTTTTCCAATGCATTTTCAAAGGTGCTGTTTCTCTCTATTTTCACAAGTTGGTAGAGCACTTAGTTATCACCATACCAAAGAGGAGAAAATATATCTTCAGATAGTAAGTGACCTGTGCATATTTTGTCTTTGTGATTACTAAAAATTAAGATTGGTTGAAATAAACAATTCTCCTCCATGTCACACTCTGGGCCCTCTTTGAAGTGAATCAGATCAAATACATATTTTTGCGAGATTGTGTTCTAAAGAAAATTATTATCCTTTTATAGCATCATAAATATTTTATAAAAGAAGTATTCAGTGGTTGGGTGTGTTTGGTAAAACTTGGGTTAATAAAAGAGAAAAAGTTTTTCAATGCAGAACTTCTCAGAGCCTTTAGTATGTAAGTAAATATAGTGAAGGTATAAGAAATTGGTTATGGCCAGGTGCAGTGGCTCACGCCTGTAATCCCAACATTTTGGGAGGCCAAGGTGGGTGGATCACTTGAGGTCAGAAGTTCAAGACCAGCCTGGCCAACATGGTGAAACACCATCTCTACTAAAACTACAAAAGCCGGGCATGGTGCTGGGTGCCTGTAATCCCAGCTACTCAGGAGGTTGAGGCAGGAGAATCGCTTGAACCTGGGAGGTGGAGGTTGCAGTGAGCCGAGATCGCGCCATTGCACTCCAGCCTAGGCAACAAGAGCAAAATTCCATCTCAAAAAAAGTTTAGAAAAAAGAAATTGGTTATAATATATGTGGTATATTTTTTCCAGTATAACAAGTATTATCATCTTGAAGACATTAGTGTTCCACAAAACAGTTCTGGAAACATCAATCATATAATGTGTACTTATAATGTATAAGAAAGTGTTCTATAAATCAGTCTGAAATTAGTGCCTCCAATCATCTCATTCATTTGTCACTTAGTTTACTAGATACTTTTTGTTATAAATATTTGTTTCTTTCCTCCTTCCTGTGCCCTATCCCAGTTATTTCCTACATACCCAGTAACAAGTGTGTCTATCTTATCACAAATACCTCTTCTGGATTTCCTTTGCATGGTGCTTTTCCTTCTCCTTTCTCTTAGCTTACCACGTGTTCTTGCAGTTGGCTTTGTTTATCCTCCTCTTAACTCTTAGTTTGCTTTAGATGCACATCACATAACCACTACATTCATAAGCCAGGCTTCTATTCTAGTGACATTTCTCCTATTATGCCAACCATATTTTTTTGTAGTGTTTAAAATTTATTATATCAAGAATAAAGATTAATTTCATAAAAGTGTTATGTTTGTAAACATTAATAGTCACAAAACCAAGAGCTTCCACAGTTAATTTATAGAGTTATTGTTTGATTTTATCATCTCGAAAATAGAGTATTCTGATTGCCACATGTATAGACATGAAAAAACTGATCCCTCCTAGCCTGACCACTGCCTTATCTTCTTCAACTTTTCTTTTTTTTGAATCCATCTATTCGTTCTTTATTCAACACATATTTATAGGAGGCTTATATATGCTATTGAGGGCCCATTTTAGGAATGCCTAGATTAACATGTCATAGTGTGTATTTTGGAGGAGCATATAGTCTAGTCGTAGGAGATAAATTTAAGTACATGATTACCTACATCCTTGTACTATAAAAAGTACAGAAAGAATCTCACAGCAGAACCTATGAACATTAGGAAATTGAGGAAACTTCTCAGGAAATGTGACTGAAAGTACAAGAGAGGCATAGAATGATTTTTGAATGTGACAATGTGATGCAGCTCATGAGTTCAATAAGCAGAGAGCATGATTTTAATGACTATCCCTGAAAATTTACTTGGGCAAAAAAAATTAACATTAAATTTTGATGCTCCTGCCTTGGAGAGCCCATATCCCAGCTCAGTTTCTTTTAATCCTTCAAGTGACTTGTTTTACAGCAGCAGTGAAAAAAGTAGTCACATACAATGTGACAGCATCTTATTTGGTGCTATTTGATTAGGTATAAAGGAAGTTTGCAGAAATGTAACTTTTAACAATGAGATATTTTGTTCTTTTGTCCCTCTTTTTGTCCTGGGTCTTCAAGCAAACTTTTGTGAGTTTAATGAGTTCCCACAGAAGACATCCTTGAGGTTGCCTCAATGGAGAGAAACTTTTCCACAGTCTGAAAACAACCAGTGAATATACATATGTGTAGGAATCTGCCACGTGGAGAAAGGAAAGAAGCAGAATCCAGACAGAGAGGTACAGGAAAATGGTGGCTTCGGCACGTTTGGGGAATGTTGAGTTCACTCAGTAAGTCTCAGTAGTATGGAAGAAGATGAGGCCAGATGATAGGTTAAGAGTTAGAGGATGAAGGAGTTTATAAACCAAATTGAGTATTGACATTTTCCCCCTATAGATAATAGAGAAGCCAGAAAAGATTAAAACCAGAGGCTTACATGGTCAAATTTGCATTTTAAGAAGTAAATCTTGTGGTATTTTAGAAAGTGGACTGAGCTCGGAACAGCCAGGTGGAAGAAAAACAGGATAAGAAGCTGTTACAATGGTCTTGGGGAGACAGGGTTGAGGAGAGATGAAAGTCTAAACTAAGATAATCAGAAGGCAAGACAAAGAAAAAAGGCCAGTTCACGGAACTATTTCTGAGGGAGAATAAGTGGCATACGGGAGCCATCTTTTACCATCTTGCAATAGTTGGTTGTTACATATTCAGAAATTCTGTGAGCTGGTTGTTAAACCATTGATCCCCGGGAATTAGCAATGAAATCAGGCAAGGAAATTAGCAGATGCTGTAAATAAGGGCTTTTTAGTTTTTGAGAGAACCAGTTCACCAACATTACCACTAGATGGAATTGACAGGATTTGGTGTAGATACAGGAAGCAAATAGGAGATATCAGATTTACTAAGGCCTGAAGTTTTTTCAATTTGGAGGGTCCACCTTAAGATACAGAATATAGAACATAGAATTCAAAAATAGGCATAAATAATAGACACTATGAGTATTCCTGGAAGCCAGAAATACAGACATAAGAGCCTGCAAACCACATAAAAATATCCCACAAAACCCAAACTAAATGTGTCCCCAACTCAGCTTCCCCTTAGCCAGACACTAAAAGTGCCCACAACCACTTCAACACCACATCACATGATGGGAAGTATGTCAGAGGAGAAGTCAGTGTGGAAAGAAACAGCAGGCTTAACCCACTGTGGTTGAAACGTCTTACTTTTGCACATTTTACAAAAACATATAACCATGTGAACCCCTTGCTAGGGCAACTCTCAGAACCTGGGAAGGGCCCATGCAAGTACAAGGATCTGAAGCTTGAGCTTCATCAACTTCACAGTGAATTTGCCTCTGAGAGTGAGACAGGGATCCAGAGTAACATCAAGGTTCAGGAGACTTGGGGGATGGCTCATTGATTTACTTATTGATACCCCTATCTAGTTCCAAAACAGATTCAAGATGGCTGGATGCATGCTGATACTATTATCCAAAGAACAGGCAAGGGCCAAGTGTCACTGTAAGATTAGAGAGCTCTCTCCCTGATTCATGGAGGAAACAAGCATTGTTCATATATCTGTGTTAACTGTTGTCAAGAAAGAATCTTCACTAATAATCTTGTCAGCCTCAACATCCCAGAGCCATTTTCAAAAGCACACTGGTTCTTCCTTCAGTGGGCCGTCATAGAGAGCCTTCTGGTCTTCAGGCTGTGATGCTTCTGCAGGACGTCACTCTGAAGAAAGGCGAAATGTGTCTGGCACAAGCCAGAATAATCCATTCCAAACACATGTGTAATGAAGGGGAAACAGGTGCAAACAATTGAACCAGCTGTCAGCAAGCTACAGGGATTGCTTTTGATATCTTAATCGTTAGTTGATCCATGAGCCCCGTCGGCAGCATCACTGTCATAGCTGACTGCACATCTGTAAACCCTTTTGAGTCTTTTCTGATGTCCGTGTGAGTCCATGAAAAGCCTGACATCATGAGAGACTTAAATTGAGCATGATTGCTGCTGTTTCCATTTTCTTGCCACAGAACCAGAGTTGACACATGCCAATAACTGCTAAAATTTTACTACTGGTTGTCATGTGCCACACAAGGCAAGAGCAGAGAGAGATCCCTCTGTCCCTGTGAGCATCCTGTTATTGTTGGTTTGACAGACTGCACATAATTTCTCTGTCAGATAAAGAAGCTATTTGCCCAGTAGCTAGTTGAGGGAGTTTATATGTTTATCTTGCCCTCTTCATCTCTTCAACAATGCTAACACTCCATAATCACTGGGAAAATACTTTAAATGGATGGATGTTTACATTGATAAAATATCTTCATTCTCTTTTCTGTCTAAGGAAAAATGTCACCATCATAATTAGCACAGTAGGTAATTATCCCCCCAAAAGGGGATTGGAAATCAATGGAATTATCTGTAGTGACCCATTATCTAAGATATTTGGGTTGATAACATCCTCTGGAGCTCAACAAACTATGGTACATACACAAAGTGGTGAATGAAAATTTTGAGTGGCGCTTCTAAATGTTTACCCCATCAGCTCTGCCAAAAAGACTAAGTTCTGTGGAATTGCTGGCACAGGGACAAGTTATTGGAATCAGGAAGGGAGAAAAGAGAAACTTGTGTTCTGGTGCTGAGTCCATAGCATGCAGGAGGTAGGATGTGGTTATTCCTCAGAGGTATACAGAGGGTAGAGGAGGTGAATTCCCCAACTCTGCTCTTGTTTCCATGACATCTTTACTCATTGCTTCTGAACCCATAGTTTCTCTATACCCACTACCTGCTTCTTCTCCCCCTTCCCTTTCCCCAGTACCTCCCCAAGACCAGTCATTACAAAGTCACTTCATTTTCCAGATATCATCATGTATATTTAGTAAGTAGTATCCACAGTGAAATCTTACTTCAATTCTTCTAGTCCTAAGCTGACATGAAAGTGCCCAATTTCTGGAGATTAGAAAAAAAGGGTATCTGGTGTTAAGAAAACAAAATTTGGGGATTTTGCTTTATTTTGAAAGTGGGTATTGCTGCCACCTAAAATGTATAATTAGCAGAAGCAGAGACTTGGCACATCTCTTCTGAAAGCCTGCCAGCCGCTCCTTTGTACTTTATTAAGATATAAGATATAAACTTGTCTGCCATAAAATTACACAGCCCATCACATTTTTGACAGGAATTTTTGGTTCTTCCTTTTCAAAAATTTGTGTAAAGAATTCAACTGAAAGTACCTGTGGGAGAAACTTAAATAATAAAACTAAATCTTCTATAAATAAAAGAGAAATGAGCTGGATATTAAGTTATTTTTGCAAAAATTGAAAAAAATGACACTTGATATTAGGAAGCTAGGCCATCCCACAACTCTGACAGTTTAAACTCAATTCACTTTAATGCTGATTTCATTTTAGTTTGCTACCCAAAGAGCAAACACACAGAGTGTGAATACATAAAACAAAAGCAAAGGTAGGGAGTAGATGCAGCTTTCTTAGTCTCCCTTCATCATGGAGGGTCCCTGAAGGTCAGACATTGCAGAGGCCTCCACAGAAAGGGGCATTCTCCAGGCCAGAGGGCCCCAGTATAGCAGCCTCCTTGCCTTTAACTTGGGTGGCTGGCAAGGAGCCATCTCAGCACTCGAGGAATTGTTCTTTTTGTGCTCCTATTACATCCTTCCATTTTCATATGCATCATTAGGCCTACAGATTTCTGGCTATAGTCCACCACAATTAGGACTTGCATTTATTAAGTATGGAACTTCTCTTTTGCTGATTGAGTATATGGAATGAGGAACTGGTATGGAATGAAATCCTGGTGTGTGGCTCACAGCAACCCACAATCTGGTTGCCCACAAGAGAACTCTGCGAGGTGATGTGGCTCACTGGTTTATCTCATACCATGGTTTCCCGGGTTTGTCTATTCATCGGTGTTACTGAAACAATGATTCTTGCTTAATATTCATATTTCTAAATATGCTTTAATTTAAAAAAGAAAAAGGATCTCCTCATAACAAAATGGATTACTTGTCATAGAAACCTAAGTGACTTTTTATTTTCAAAATTAATACATACAAAATATAAACAGGTTGCTTTTTAACAGCTAACAGAAAAGAAAAGGAAAAAAATAAAAAATATATATAAAGAGGGGCTGGGGTCAGTTTTTACAAGCATGGAACATAGAAAAGGATATGGCCATGTATGGTCTTTTAACCTCTGCTTAAAATCAAATGGCTCATTATCAAAGCACTTCTTATGATGTATAAAATGCCACATATGTAGACATGTGTATCCCACAAAAAGGGCTTTAAAAATTCAACTAATGGTCTTTTTCAGGTTATTTTTTATGATCAAAAAATATTTTTTTCAATTACTATTTCTTTTAAAAATTTGTTTACTTAACAAAATCGTAATGAAAGTTAAAATAGGAACATATTTTATTGTAAATATGCTTTGTAAGGAGGGGTTTTATATTTTCATTCTTCAGTAAATCTCATACTTCACAATATTATTGACTAAATTTTGTTTATCATTAATGTAATGTCTGGCTTTCACAATGAGATTCCACTCTTAGATGCTGTGAAGGACATAATTTCATTGATTTAAAAACATGTATTCCTAAAAGTATATAGGACAGACAAAGCTGCATTATTATTAAAAGAGCATATTTTTCAAAGGTTTATTAAGGTGTAGATAATCTTATATTGATTCTCTTTAAAACAGCTACAGCAGCCATAAAATATAAGCATTGTCTCATAGGCATGCACTGCTGCTGATATCAGCAGAGATTTTATAAGTAACTACGTCAAGACCGTCCAAAAAAGGAAATGATGCCCATGATATAGACAATGAACAGAGTTTATAAGTCTCCAAGACCTCTCAAATAAAACTTAATATCTGTGTACAATTTTACCCACTCTAATAGCCCTGTGCAAAAAACTATGAAGGAAGAAAAGTTTGTTTGAAATGATCTCAATATTTCCAAATTTTCACATTCCTCTTGATCTGGTGCCCCTTTCCTGCGTGCTGGGTGCTGCTGTAGTTGCTATGCATCCTGTGGCCACACTGCATACAGACAGTTCCTGACCCTCATGGAGCAGGCAGGTGGCCCAGGGAGGAAGATAGCCAGTCATCAAAGAATCATAAATGTAAATGCATACTCTGGGATCACTGTGATAGGGCAGGGAAATAAGGAAAGAAAAGACTTCTAGAGAAATTGAAGGGAAAGATGAGGAGGAGTTAACTAGGGCATATGCAAGTCACCCTTCCCAGTTGTTAAAGCGCTATCCTGGAGTACCCTAGAGCAATACCCTACTGGATATCTCACCCAAGCCTGACATTCATTATTATCTATTCTTCCTGTCTTCTCTCATTTCCCCTAATCAAACCATTCATTGCTATAATATTTTTGCCCTTGGCAAGCAAAAAGAACTGTTACTAGGAGAGCAAACCAAAAAATCTCACCCTAAGATAGATAATAGGGAGAGAAACTATCATTTATTGAGCATCTCTGAGATTCTGGGAACCCTGATGCATGTTTTCACATATCAGCTCACTTAATCTTCCCCCTGAAAAAAGTATTCTATGATATATATTATTTCCTTTTCAACAGATAAAGAAACTGAGGCTCAGAGAAGTGAAGTAACTTTCCCAAAGACAGACTATGAATTGCAGAGTCGAAATGTAAATGTCTGATTCTAGCCCCAGTCCTTGTCACTGTACCAATCATGCTACCACTGTAAAGATCCCATGATCGGCCGGGCGCAGTGGCTCACGCCTGTAATCCCAGCACTTTGGGAGGCAGAGGTGGGTGGATCACGAGGTCAGGAAATTGAGACCATCCTGGCAAACACAGTGAAACCCTGTCTCTACTAGAAATACAAAAAATTAGCCGGGCGTGGTGGCGGGCGCCTGTAGTCACAGCTACTCAGGAGGCTGAGGCAAGAGAATGGCATGAACCTGGGAGGTGGAGCTTGCAGTGAGCCGAGACAGCGCCACTGCACTCCAGCCTGGGCGACAGAGCAAGACTCCATCTCCAAAAAAAAAAAAAAAAAAAAAAAAAAGGATCCCATGATCTATTTGGATGCCAGCTCTTCAAAAACCTCTAGTTTTTTGTTTTTGTTTTTATTTTTGTTTTCTGAGACAGAGTCTTGCTCTGTCACCCAGGCTGGAGTGCAGTGGCATGATCTCAGCTCAGTGCAATCTCTGCCTCCTAGGAAACCTTTAGTTTTATTATAGCCAAATGACCACATCTGAGACTAATACTGTTACCTTTACAGGAGCTCTGGAAGACCTATTAGCTCAACCTTAAGGGCAACTGAGTTCACACCCCAGTTGCACTGTCTTATACTTCAGTCCAGAAACTAGATTTTTACCTAGGCCTTAATCCCTGACTTGGTTCCTGAAATCCAGTTCCTTTGTATCTGAGGGCTTTGTTTCCTTCAAGTCCTTCTAAAAACAGAAGCTCTCCTTCTGAAGTAAAGTCTGCACCCATGTTCCCATCCTCTCCAGATCTCCCCGATAGAATCTACCTTCTACATGCACCCATCTTTGTTGGGTTCCTTCTACATTGGCCTCCCCTAATCTCTGGATACTTTGTCTTCTGTCTTCAAACCCCTGATCATCCTTTGTGTAACCAGCATAGCTGCTTGGTGAGGACAAACCACAACTAAATCCACAAGAAAAAATACCCAAAGATAAAATGTGAAGGAATTTAGCAGCCATGTAAAACTTTTGAAGCAGAAGAACTTTCTCACTGTCCCTCAACGCTTTCCACACCAATTTCTGCTGATCCTACCCATATTTAAGGCAAGATCACATAATTATCTATACTATCCTTATATTACAATTAATAACCAACACTTAAGAGTACTTATGATCTATGTGGCTTTGTTCTAAGTGTGGGGCATGGATTATCTTGTATAATCCTCTTAATAACCCTTCAGGTAGATACCAATATTATTCCCATAGGAAGAAGAGAATGATGAAAGAAGCTTACAGAGACATGTAATTTGCTCAATGTGAGTTTAATAATCTCAATGTGCATTTAATAATCTATAAAAGTGGTATTTGAACCCAGGTAATCTGGCTTAAAACTCACATGCATAACTGCTACTACACTTTTAAAGATTACGACAGTTGATGTTTTTAAGATGCCAACATTTGGAGAAAGCTGAATAGATTCAGCCATGTCATTCGTTCATTGTTTGAATAAATATTAATAAAGCCAGAAACTATAGATGTTCCTCCACTTATGATGGGGTTACATCCTGATAAGCCCATCATTAAGCCAAAAATATCAAAAGTCAAAATGCATTTAATACCCAAATAAACCCATCATAGAGTCAAAAAAAAAAGTATAAATTGAACCATCATGAGTTGGGAACCATTAATATGCTCTTTTAGGAGCAGGACATAGACGTGAACAAAACAGATAAGGGACCTGACTACTGTGGCTTATATTCCACCAGAGTGAGAAAGATAATAAGCAAATAACAAATAAGATAATTTCAAATAAGAAAAAGCGGTACAAGGAAAATGTGATGAAAAGAGGAAAACTATTTTTGGTAGGATGACCAGGGAAAGTCTTTCAGAAAAGGTATTATTTGAACTAAACAATGAAACTGAACCAGCCAAGGATCTGGGAAGACAATCTAGGTAAAGGAAAGAGGAGGAAAAAGCCCTGAAGCAGGAACAGGTTGGATCAAGGAACAGACAGACCTGGAGTAAAGGTAAGAATAATAGAAAACAATACCAGAGAAGAGAACCAGTCAGTTCATGCAAAGCCTTGCTAGTGAGCAAGATTCATGGACAGTGAAGCAACATATAAAAAGGAACATCTTGTCAAATATATCAACAGTAAAGAATTAGAAAATAAAAATGTTTTAATGATACAATTTACATTAGCATTAAAAACATAAAGTACCTAGAGATAAATCTCATGAAAGATGTAAAAAAAAAAAAGCTTTTTCACAGAAAGATATAAAGTATTGCTAAGGGAAATTAAGGAAGACTTCAATACTCCAATCAATGGAATAAATGATATAACCTGTTCATGGATTGGAAGATGAAATATTATAAAAAATATTAATTATCTACAAATTTACCTATAGATTAAATACAAAGTCAATTCAAAATCCAACAAGACAGCTTATGAAAATTATTGAACTGATTCTAAAATTTTTATAGAAGTGCCAAGGATCAAGAATAAGAAGCTAATCTTGAAGAAGAAAAACAAAGTTGAAGGACTTATACTATAAGATATCAAGAGTTATTATAAAGCTACAGTAATTAAAATAGGGTAGTTTTTTAAAAGTCTAGAACACCCAATATTCCCAGGTTATCTCCCATTCAAGTAGTTAAAAAATAGATCAGTGGAACAAAATAGAGAAGAGAGAAACAGATCCATATACACATAACCACTTGATTTGTCAAAGATGGCACTGTAGTGCAATGGAGAATGTGCAGGGGCCAAGGAAAAACTTACCCCTTGCCCTCTAAAGGTTTGCTGAAAATCAACGGACAAAGATAAATTAATACAAGAAAAGGCACACAAACTTAATTTTAACATGCAGAGCATAGGAAAATTGCAGGAGGATAATTACCCAATAACCCAGTGGAATGCAGAAGCTTATATATCCTTCATAGGGTAGCGGGAAATAGGGAATGTAGACAATTCTTTTGAGGAACAGTAAATGATTTTCATGGGAAATGAATGAGTCCAAAGAACAATGGCCTGAGATCAAGTTTCTCTGGGCTCTGGCAGAGGTGGCATCACAGGTTATGGGATAGTAAAGGAGGGAAACCATGTCAAGCAAAGGCTTTTATTCATCATTTATACAAATGAAAATAGCTCAGGTAATCTCAGAGCTGCCCTCTGAAAGAATAGATGTTAGCTTGTGGTTGACTTAATCATTCCTAGATCTGGACAAGGGATGGAGTGACTTCGGAAAAGCCTGGCTATTTATTGCACCAATGCAGATTTTTCTCTACAGATGCAAGTCTCCTCCACAAAAGGCGGCTTTTCAGGACTATTTCTGTCTACAAGTCCTCTGAATACCCATCTCAAAATATGTCAAAGAAGTATATTTTGGAGTGTAATATTTTAGTTTCCTTTAAATGGGTAGTGAATGATACTGGATCAATTAAATATTCCTATGAAAACAAATCTTCATCTCTACTTCATCCTATAGACAAAATCAGTTCTAGATAGAGTGTAGATTAATATGAAAAAGCAATAAAAATCAATCTTCTAGAATATGATTGAAACTACCTTTGCAAAAATTATAGCAGTAAGAAAAATCAGACATAGAAAAATCATGACAATGAAAGAAATCTGACCTAACTGACCCCATATTGCTTTTAATCTCCAAGCTGCCCTGTTAATTCCTGGACATAGACTTAGCTAACTATAGCAGGAATTTAGTTTATAGTTTAATTTTGAAACTAAGATGATAATAGCCCCTTCCCTAAACAAACCCCCTCCTTACCTGGGAACAAGACTACCTTTGGAAAACTAACAAACTAGTCACCAGATTAGAAATTATGGCCCTGGAGTCATGCGGCCAAAGGCCACAAGATTCCCAACCTCCCCAGTTGCCCCTATGTATAGCATCACTATTGTAAAACCTAAGATTAGTGTTATAAGATATTTTTCAGACCCTGTATTCTAATGGACCTGCTGGTACCACCCAGATTGGTAAACTGGCTCAACTAGTTCTGCAAGCCCACCAAGAAACTGAAGACAGCAAGAAGAACCCACTTCAACCCCCATCCTTGACCTAATTAATCACATTCCCCATTCCCTAGCCCCCTGCTCACCAAACTATCCTTGAAAAACCCAACCTTTGAGCCTTCAGGGAGACTGTTTTGAATAATAACTCCAGTTATCCTGCATGGCTAGGCTCATGTCAATTAAACTCTTTCTTCACTGCAATATCACAGTTGTAGTGAATTGATTTTGCCTGTGCAGCAAGCAGGAAGAATCCATTTGGTGATTACATAGTTTTAGAAAATCTATCTTCATGACTTTAGGGTAGAAAAATATCTTTTAAACTGGTTATAAAAGCAGTAGCCATAAAGGAAAAAATTTATAAATTGGGCTTAATTAAAATTAAGGACTTCTTTTCATTAAAAGACACCGTTAAGGAAGTAAAAATGGAAGCCAATGAGTGGTAGAAAATCACTGTCATACATATATCCAACAAAAGACGTGTGCAGAATGTATACAGAAATCCTACAAATTAATAAGAGAAAAGCAAACAATACAATAGAAAAAATGGGCAAAAGATTTGTACAATGCACTTTATAATTTAGGATATCCAAATGGCCAATAAACCTCATAAATCTAAAAGTAAATAAAAATGAAAGCCACAAGAAGATATTACTACTTACCTTCCAGATCTAAAACTAAAAAGACTGACAATGCTAAATATTGACAAGTACACAAAACAACTGAAATTCACATACATTACTGGTGGAAGTAATATATGTAAATTGGTGCCACTACTTTGGAAAACTGTTAGTGTCTACTAAAATTAAACATATGTATCTGCTATGATGCAGAAATCCTACTTCTATGTGTATACTCAACCAAAATGTTTGGCTAGGCACAGTGGCTTGTGCCTATAATCCCAACACGTTAGGAGGCTGAGGCAGAAGGATCACTTGAGCTCAGAAAACCAAGGCTACAGTGAGCTATGATCATGCCACTGCATTCGAGTCTCAGCAACAGAGTGAGACTCTATCTTTAAAAACAAAAAATGTATAAATATAATCATCAAAATATATTTTTAAATGTTCATATCATAATAGCCCAAACTGGAAACAGCCCATGTGTCTATCAACAGTATATAAATTATGGTATATTGATACAAGGAATACTATCAGCTGTAAAAATGAATAAACTACTGTTACACACAACATAGATAAATCCCAAGCATAACATTGAATATGAGAGGCCAGGCATAAAGGAATATACAATTTAAAAGTATACTATAAGATCCCATTTTATATAACTTTCCAAAACAGCCAAAGTAAACTAAGGTAGCTACCTTTGGGAAGGAGGGATGCTAGTGACTGGGGAAGGAAAGGCCAACATAGGACTTCTGGAGGGTGAATAATATTCTATTTCTTAATCCGTGTCCTAAGCTCACTTTGTGACAATTCATCCTGCTGTATGTTTATGATTAGCATACTTTTATGTATGTTGAACTCAATACAAATGCATTTAAAATATAGGCTAAAACTATGATGTTTTATATTTCTAGTTAATAATTTTTTGATTACTGGAAATTGTTTTCCTACTAAGTTTTTCTTTTTGATAAATTCTATGCCATGTTTTCTCTTCTAGAAATACATAGAGGGAGTATTATTATATAAATTTTATATGTTTATTGTTATATATCAGAAGCATAATGCTTCACTGGTACCTTTCAGTATTTCTAATAATTCTCAATTGCAGTTTCCACTATGTAGTAACACTTTGTATTTTATTCAAATCAACCTTAATATATGCTTTTTCTTTGCTTTTCTAACTCTCTGAGAATAGATTTTCAACATTTAAAAAGCTATTGCATTTCTTGAAGACTAGTGGCTCTCAATTGAAAATGTACACAAAAATCAGCTGGGAAACATTTAAAATGTATGTTTCTTATTCTCAGCAGAAATTCCCACTCAATAGGATTTGGGTTAGAAACTGGGAATTTTCATTTTTCACACATACCTTAACTGGTTGTGATGCAATAGGTCTTCCATTAATCCTTGGAAAACAGCCATGGGCCATTTTGATGATTTTTAATTTCCTGAACTGTTAGTTTTTTTCATGTGCTAGAAAACTTTCCACTAGTCTGCATCATTTGGGGGAAGTGGAGTGAGTAGTCCAGGAAAGGTTAGTATTCTTTGTTACTTGAACTTAATTACTTGATCTTTGCTGTTTAATTACTTTGTTATTTCAGAAGATGTAGTAGACTTTTTAAGGTATTAAAACTAAATAATTCTTGAAATTCCCCTGGCTTCTGTGACACTACCTACCTCTTCTTCTTGGTTTCTCTTTTTGCACTTCTCTCTTAAGCCCATTTTCTCTTCCCATCATGTACATTTTTTCCTAGGTGACATCAGTCTGCGGTTTCAACTATCGTCAATATAATGACCACCCCTAATTTCTGCGGTCTGAGCTCCAGACAAGAATATCCAATTGCCTGTTGAAAATATTCATTTAACTATGCCTTGAAAATCCAGATTCAATATGTCAAAAACTTAATTCCTCAATTTTTACCCCAAATCTATTCTTCCTCCAGTATTTCCTATCTCCATGAATTGCTATACCCAGTTAACCATGGCAGATACTTGATTCTGTCCTCTCTCATCATTTACCTCCAGAAGACTTTCAAATCCTATTTATTTTATGCTCCTATTGTGTCTAGATTCTGCCCCCTCCTCTTCATTCTCACCAGAGCCACCTTGGTATAGTCTTCATGTAATGCATCTACAGTTCTTCTCCCATCTTCTGGTCTTGCCCCATTTGTATTCATATTTCACACTACTAGTGATGTTATGAAATTATGAATCTGATCATGTCACAAAATGTTTTCAAGCAGTCTTCTGTATGAAACTTCTAATTACAGCAAACACCATCCTTATGATTTGATTTAGCCTACATCACTAGCCTCACCTCCCATCATTCTCCCCCACCCCAAACTCGTGCACAGCCATCCTGAACCATATATAATTTTCTCTCTGCCTTTTGTAACATATATACTTTTGCCAAATACTGCTCATTTGGCTTTCAACACCTTCCTTCTCCACCCAAGTAGCTAATTCATATCCATCTTTCAGGTGTTGACTTAGGTATTAACTCCTACAGGCTTCCTGGCCCCTGGCTTAGATGTGCCCTCTGTGTGCCTTTATTCTCTTATGTGTATGTTCACTTCTCTCATAACCTTTACTGCACTGTGTGGTCATTGTCATCCTATTTTTCTGTCCTCTTAACTAGAATTTTCTAACTTTACTCAGGTTTATACCTAAAAGGAGCCTTCTCTGACTATCCCTTCTGCAACAGCACCCAACACACTGCCTTATCACCTTCTATTCCATTATCCAGCTTTATTTTTCCTCATGACACTCATAACCATCTACCAATGTATTATCCATTCACTTGCTCATCTGTTTGGTTTCATACTTCTTATTTTGCTGTATGCTCCATCAGAACAATGTCTTATTCCGCCACTCTATTTTCAAAACATAGAAGAATCTTGACACGTGATAAGTGCTAGAGAAATATGTGAGAAGTAAAAGAATGTGTTCTTTGTATGTAAAGCTTCCAACTTTTCCATTATTTTATCTTCAGCACTGAGAACTAGTATTACTGACACAAAGTAAATATTTAATAAGTGATAAATTAACAATGGATAGCCCTAATAACTGCACCATCAAAAATACATTATAAATTTGTATTATCTTACATATATGAGGTTTGTTGGGAGGGTATATTTGTAAGTAAGTTTTCTGAATAAGCAAGATGTTGAAAATGATTGAATATCAAGAAAGTCAAACTTGTATTAGGATATAAGTAATAATGGCAAGCACCTTTCCTTAAAGATCAAGTAATTTGAGCTTTGTTGCAGGCAGGATTCTAAAAATGTCACCCAAGATTCCCATCCCCTGGTTATTCCATCAACAGTAGTCTAGGCACTGTTATGAAGAGACACTGCAGACATGTCATAAAGATTACTAATCAGCTGACCTTAACAGAAGGAGCTAAGCCTGGATTATACAGGTGTGCCCAATGTAATCACATGATTGTTAAAAGCAAAAGAAGCAGACAGAGTCAAAAGAGAAGCAACAGAAGAGAAGGTCAGTAAGCAGACCCTAGGTGCTGGACTTGAAGATGGGTGAAGGGGATTGTAAGCTAAAGAATATGTAGCTTCTAGAAGCTGAGAACAGCCTTCAGCTGACAGCCAACAAGGAAATGAGGACGTCAGTCCTACAAGCACATGAAACTGAATTCTTCCAACTTGGATGAGCCTGAAGACCAGTTCTTCCTCAGAACCTCCAGATAAGACACTTTGATTTTAGCCTTGTGAGACTCTAAGCAGAGAAGCCAGCTAAGCCACTGAAACTTCTAACTTGTAGAACAGTGAGATAATAAACTTACATTGTTTTAAGCTGCAACGTTTGTAGTAATTTATCATGGCAGCAATAGAAAACTAATAGAGGCTTGTTCCTGAGTTCTACTCCCAGGTTGCAGAGAGTCTTTGAACAAAGTAGTTCACATTTCTGTGCTTTCATTTTGTAATAGGGTTCTAATAAATGGGCTTGAAAACTAAGTAAAAATAACTATTTGACAGAACTTAATTTTTTTAAGAATTAAATAATCTTAAAAACCTAATTGAATCTCCTCATTTTACATACTAGGAAACTGGAGCCCATATCCCCAATTAGTAGAAAAGCTGAGATTTGAGGCCAGATTTCATGACTGTCAACTCTAGTGTACATGTAATTGCAGTGCTTGCAGTGTCCACAACAACATATAATTGCAGTGCTCACAGATGACTTGCAGCCATACTAGAGAGGCAGCTGGGGTAACAAGAAGAAGGCCTGGAGCTGGAAAGGTGCCTTTTACTCTCTGACTTAGTTGTTGGGAGAGCCCTTAAGAAAGTCATTCACTGCCTCAGACCCTCAGTCATCTTGTCTGTACAATAGCAACAATGAGAACCTGCCCTGCTTTTTTTTTTTTTCCCCACAGGGTTCAGGTTAATAAGCATTTATTGAGCACCTACTATACATCAAATATTTCACTAAGTGCTATGATATAAAGATAAATCAGGCCGGTCATGGTGCCTCATGCCTGTAATCCCAGCACTTTGGGAGGCCAAGGCAGGTAGATGACTTGAGGTCAGGAGTTTGAGACAGCCTGGCCAACATGATAAAACCCTGTCTCTACAAACAATACAAAAATTAGCCAGGCATGGTGGCACATACCTGTAGTCCCAGCTACTTGGGAGGCTGAGACATGAGAATCACTTGAACCCAGGAGGCAGAGGTGGCAGCGAGCTGAGATCATGCCACTGTATTCCAGCCTTGGTGACAGAGTGAGACTCTGTTAAAAAAAAAAAAAAAAAAAAAAAAAGGATAAATCGAACTGGGTTTCATTTGTTTTTTGTTGTTGTTGTTTTTGTTTTTTTTCTTTTGAGACTGGGTCTCACTCTGTCACACAGGCTGGAGTGCAGTGGCGAGATCTCGGCATCTTGGCTCACTACAACCTCTGCCTCCTGGGCGAACTGGGTTTCTGATGTCAAATAATTCACTTATAAACAGATTACTTCAATGTCAAGTAATATATGTTATACAAAACGTAAACAAATGGCCTATTGGAACACAGAGTGGGACCATCTGACCCACACATCTAACCCAGACACGAAGAAAGAGGCACTAGAGAATATTGCTGCATTTTGAAGGACAAGTAGACATTTGCCACCAGAAAAGGGCTTTTCAGACAGGGGGACCAATATGAGACAAAACATACAAACAAGAAACAGCATGGTATGAACTATAAATAGCCCATTTTACCAAGAACCAAGAGCACGAGGAGGCAATTCACAGGAAAAGGCCAGATAATGAAAACCATTGTATGAGTTGCTAGGCAGTGGAAGCCATTGGAAGGTTTAAAGCAAGGTAAGAAATGTGGCAGTGTAGAAGATTGATTAGTGAGAATCTGGACTGAAAATACAGGTAAAGGACTACATGGTAATATAGTCCAGGTGCAAGGTAATAAAAAAACCTAAAATGGGGAAATGGTGGTAGGGATTTGGAAATAAAAAAATATTCAATAAATCTTTAGAACAGAAATTAAAGCCTGCCTGCACAACATACAGACCTCCTGAATCAGAGTCTCCAGAGTTAAGGCAAGGAACTTTACTAAAAATTCCACATATGACTCTTAGGTTTATAAGTTGTTCTAGAGCAGGGGTTGGCAAACTATGGCCCATGGACTAAATATGACTTAATGCCTTTTTTTTATACAGCCCATGATCTAAGAATGGTTATTAACATCTTTAATGGTTAAAAATAATCAAAAGAAGATTTTATGACACACAAAAATTAAATGAAATTCAAATTTCAGTGTCCATAAATAAAGTTTAATTGGAACACAGCCACACTCATTTGTTTACATAGTGTCTATGGCTGCTTTCCCACTGCAGTGGAATAATTGAATAGTAACAACAAAGACCATATGGCTCCAAAGCCTGAGATATTTACTATCCAATTCCTTACAGGAAAAGTTGCCAACTCCTGATCTAGAGCAACCATTCTCATTCTTGACTACACATTGGAATCAACTGCATATTTCAAGTCAGGTCTCTGGCAGTGGAACCCAGGCATCAATATTTTTTTAAAAACTCCCTGGTGAGCTTCTTATGTAGTCAATGTTGAGAACCACTGATTTAGAGGGTTATATTGACAGAACTTCGTGATCATTTAGATGTGATTATGAAGGAAAAAAAGATTACATGGATTTAAAAAAACACTTTTGAGGCTTATAGTTGTAATTATAAAATATAAAATTTCCTTTCTGTATACTCAGTACCTCACATTGTATCTGGTACATTAATGATAGTCAGGTAAAAGTTTACTATAGTATGAATGCATGAATTAATTACTCCTCATTGAAACAGTCTCTATCCAAGACACTTGGAATACAGTTTATGTTCATTTCAATGTCACTGGAAACTTTTTTTAAATGAACCTTATCCATTTATACAAAAAATATAGATTTAACTTGAACAAGACTCCAGAGATTAACTTAATAAAGTTTCAACGAATTAAGAGTAAATTATGCATAAGATTACAAGACAATTGTCATGAAAAAACAATTATTTGTATCTACTCAATTTTCTGAAACAAAATAATTTCCTTTTAACTCTGGAACAAATTATTTTTATAACTTTCTATTTTGAGCATTTAAACTAATTCAAATAGATAAGATCAGGTTAGATAAGAATATTGTTGGTTTTGGCCAAGGGCCATTGCAAAACTTAGAAAGCAAAGAATAAATATGACATGATATTTAAAACAAATGATAAAGATCAAAACAGAATAAAGTTAGAGGTCATGTTTAAGCAAAAGAAAAACTAACAGCTTTTCAGAAATGATTATTGTGGTATCTAAAGTAGGTCTAAATATCAATAGCAGACAGTTAACCATTTCTTACTGCACAGGAATTAATACTAGCTAAAGTATAAACCCCTCTCCCCCAAATCTGTTATGCTCATCAATATTTTCTACCTTTCTTCAGTGCATATATGCTGTTTTGGAGACAGGGAAAGAAACAGAAAGTGGGCAGAATTCTAAATATATGAATACAGCAAGGTATAAAAAGGCCTTAATCATAGCAATGGGTGTAGTTTCAGTACAGACTGTCATAAAAGCATGACTGAGTTTTGAAAAGCCATGTAAAATAGGAAGTGTGATCTATTCTATCACTATTAACTTTTTAACTGCACAAACTTTTATACAGAACAGCATAATAGCAATGCTTTGACCAAAGATCTTAAGATTACTGACTCTGAGAAAATATCTATTAGTCCACAGAGAGTGAGCAGAGATGAAATAGTCCATATAATTTCAAATAGAATCCTTATATGTCACTAGCAGGCAAAACATAAATTTTATGAGAAATGGTGACTAAAATATATTAGCATATTTTACACATCCATTTTGAAGCATACATGATTCAGGAAGGGCAAAGCTATAAGGACAGATAACAGATAACAACAGTTGTTGCTGGGATGGAGACAGGAAAGGTGTTAACTGCAAAGGGGCAGCACAAGTGAAATTGGGGAGTAATAATGGAATTATATCTTGGTAGTGGTAGTTATACAAACTATGCATTTATCAAAACTCATAGACCTGTGTGCCAAAAACAATGAATGTTACTATATATAAAGTTTAAAATAAATTTAAAAATTTTAATATTATATACAGATAAATCTAATTATCTTGGAAAATTTTTTACATATTTATTGTAGAAAAGGACACATCATTTACATAGATGCCAATATTAAAAGGTATTTGCATAAAAGGAACACATTTATTCTCTCTGTATCTCTTAAGCCAGTATTTCAGAACGAATGCAGAAAGGATGGAAAACCCATTTTCTGCTTTCTCAATTTATCATTCAAGCTGAATGGCACATAATTTATGTAGATAAGTGTTTACCTTTGAGCAAATGGCATTATGGCCAACATTCACTATATCCATCAAATAACTGCTAAAATCCCTGCAAGTCGGCAAATGATGCAGAGTAGCCCAGCCTCGGCAACCACAGGTACTAGCTCTATAAACAAAAGGGACACATGCATGGACAGAAGCTAATGTGTTACAATATTTTTCTTTCATTTTGCCCTGTCAGTCTTCATAGGCTACCCTATAAAGTTTAATAGTACGCTAACCTCAAGTCTAAAAATTAAATAATTAAGTTCTTTCTATTCTGAACATTAGACTCAGACCTGTAAGACATATATGAAAAATTTACTTACAGATACATTAGGAACTGGGTGGAGGCCACCGCAGCTCAAGGAGGCCTGCCTGCCTCTGCAGACTCCACCTCTAGGGGCAGGGCAAAGCTGAACAAAAGGCAGCAGAAACTTCTGCAGACTTAAACGCCCCTGTCTGACAGCTTTGAAGAGAGTAGTGCTTCTCCCAGCACAGAGTTTGAGATATGAGAACGGACAGACTGCCTTCTCAAGTGGGTCCCTGACCCCCGAGTAGCCTAACTGGGAGATGCCTCCCAGTAGTGGCCGACTGACACCTCATACAGCTGGGTGCCCCTCCAAGACTAAGCTTCCAGAAGAAGGATCAGCCAGCAACATTTGCTGTTCTGCAATATTTGCTGTTCTGCAGCCTCCGCTGGTGATAACACAGGCAAACAGGGTCTGGAGTGGACCTCAAGCAAACTCCAACAGACCTGCAGCTGAGAGTCTTGACTGTTAGAAGAAAAATTAACAAACAGAAAGGACATCCACACCAAAACCCCATCCGTGCGTCACCATCGTCAAAGACCAAAGGTAGATAAAACCACAAAGATGGGGAGAAACCAGAGCAGAAAAGCTGAAAATTCTAATAATCAGAGCACCTCTTCTCCTCCAAAGGAACGCAGCTCCTTGCCAGCAGCAGAACAAAGCTGGAGGGAGAATGACTTTGACGAGTTGAGAGAAGAAGGCTTCAGATGATTGGTAATAACAAACATCTCTGAAATAAAGGAGGATGTCTGAACTCATCACAAGGAAGCTAAAAACCTTGAAAAAAGATTAGACGAATGGCTAACTAGAATAAACAGTGTAGAGAAGACCTTAAATGACCTGATGGAGCTGAAAAACATGGCATGAGAACTACGTGAGGCATGCACAAGATTCAGTAGCCAATTTGATCAAGTGGAAGGAAGGGTATCAGTGATTAAGATCAAATTAATGAAATGAAGCAAGAAGAGAAGTTTAGAGAAAAAGGAGTAAAAAGAAACGAACAAAGCCTCCAAGAAATATGGGACTATGTGAAAACACCAAATCTACATCTGATTGGTGTACCTGAAATTGACAGAGAGAATGGAACCAAGTTGGATAACACTCTTCAGGATTTTATCCAGGAGAACATCCCAACCTAGCAAGGCAGGCAAACATTCAAATTCAGGAAATACAGAGAACGCCACAAAGATACTCCTCCAGAAGAGCAACTCCAAGACACATAATTATCAGATTCACCAAAGTTGAAATGAAGGAAAAAATGTTAAGGGCAGCCAGAGAGAAAGGTCGAATTACCCACAAAGGCAAGCCCATCAGACTAACAGCTGATCTCTCAGCAGAAACTCTACAAGCCAGAAGAGAGTGGGGGCCAATATCCAACATTCTTAAAGAAAACAATTTT
Source organism: Homo sapiens (assembly GCF_000001405.40). Lineage (NCBI taxonomy): Eukaryota > Metazoa > Chordata > Mammalia > Primates > Hominidae > Homo > Homo sapiens. The sequence goes on along the minus strand of NC_000008.11, from coordinate 70,904,913 downwards.
CAACCCAGAATTTCATATCAAGACAAACTAAGCTTCATAAGTGAAGGAGAAATAAAATCCTTTACAGACAAATAACTGCCGAGAGATTTTGTCACCACCAGGCCTGCCTTAGAAGAGCTCCCAAAGGAAGCACTAAACATGGAAAGGAACAACCAGTACCAGCCACTCCAAAAACATGCCAAAATGTAAAGACCATTGATGCTAGTAAGAAGCTGCATCAACTAACAGGCAAAATAACCAGCTAACATCATAATGACAGGATCAAATTCACACATAACAATATAACCCTTAAATGTAAATGGACTAAATGCTCCAATTAAAAAACACAGACTGGCAAATTGGATAAAGAGTCAAGACCCATCAGTGTGCTGTATTCAGGAGACCCATCTCACGTGCAGAGATACAAATAGGCTCAAAATAAAGGGATGGAGGAAGATTCCATTTCCAAGCAAATGGAAAGCAAAAAAAAGCAGGGTTTGTAATCCCAGTCTCTGACAAAAGAGACTTTAAACCAACAAAGATCAAAAGAGACAAAGAAGGCCATTACATAATGGTAAAGGGATCAATTCAACAAGAAGAGCTCACTATCCCAAATATACATGCACCCAATACAGGAGCAACCAGATTCATAAAGCAAGCCCTTAGAAACCTACAGAGAGACTTAGACTCCCACACAATAATAATGGGAGACTTTAACACCCCACTGTCATTAGACAGATCAACAAGACAGAAAGTTAACAAGGATATCCAGGAATTGAACTCAGCTCTGCACCAAGTGGGCCTAACAGACATCTGCAGAACTCTCCACCCTAAATCAACAGAGTATACATTCTTCTCAGCACCACATCACACTTATTCCAATATTGACGACATAGTTGGAAGTAAAGCACTCCACAGCAAATGCAAACTGTCTCTCAGACCACAGTGTAATCAAATTAGAACTCAGGATTAAGAAACTCACTCAAAACCACTCAACTAGATAGAAACTGAACAACCTGCTACTGAAGGACTACTGGGTACATAATGAAATGAAGGCACAAATAAAGATGTTCTTTGAAACCAACGAGAACAAAGACACAACATACCAGAATCTCTGGGACATATTTAGAGCAGTGTGTAGAGTGAAATTTATAGCACTAAATGCCCACAAGATAAAGCAGGAAAGATCTAAAATTGAAACCTTAACATCACAATTAAAAGAACTAGAGAAGCAAGAGCAAACACAATTCAAAAGCTAGCGGAAGGCAAGAAATAACTAAGATCAGAGCAGAATTGAACGAGAGAGAGACACAAAAAACCCTTTAAAAAATCAATGAATCCAGGAGCTGGTTTTTTGAAAAGATCAACAAAATTGATAGACTGCCAGCAAGACTAATAAAGAAGAAAAGAAAGAAGAATAAAATATACACAATAAAAAATGATAAAGGGGATATCACCACCAACCCCACAGAAATACAAACTACCATCAGAGAATACTATAAACACCTCTACACAAATAAACTAGAAAATCTAGAAGAAATGGATAAATTCCTGGACACATGCACCCTCCCAAGACTAAACCAGGAAGTTGAATCCCTGAATAGGCCAATAACAGGCTCTGAAATTGAGGCAATAATTAGTAGCCTACCAACCAAAAAAAGTCCAGGATCACACGGATTCACAGCCGAATTCTACCAGAGGTACAAAGAGGAGCTGGTACCATTCCTTCTGAAACTACACCAATCAGTAGAAAAAGAGAGAATGCTCCCTAACTCATTTTATGAGGCCAGCATCATCCTGATACCAAAGCCTGGCGGAACCACAACAAAAAAAAAAGAATTTTAGACCAATATCCCTAATGAACATCAATGCAAAAATCTTCATAAAATACTGGAAAACCAAATCCAGCAGCACATCAAGAAGCCTATCAAACATGATCAAGTTGGCTTCATCCCTGGGATGCAAGGCTGGTTCAACATATGCAAATCAATACACATAATCCATCATATAAACAGAACCAAAAAAGAAACCACATGATTATCTCAATAGATGCAGAAATAGATGCAGAAAAGGCCTTCAACAAAATTCAACAGCGCTTCATGCTAAAAACTCTCAATAAACAAGGTACTGATGAGACGTTATCTCAAAATAATAAGAGCTATTTATGACAAACCCACAGCCAATATCATACTGAATGGACAAAAGCAGAAAGCATTCCCTTTGAAAACTGGCACAAGACAGGGATGCCCTCTCTCACCACTCAACAGAGTGTTGGAAGTTCTGGCCAGGGCAATCAGGCAGTAGAAAGAAACAAAGGGTATTCAAATTTTCCCTGTTTGCAAATGACATGATTGTATATTTACAAAACCCCATCAACTCAGCCCAAAATCTCCTTAAGCTGATAAGCAACTTCAGCAAAGTCTCAGGATACAAAATCAATGTGCAAAAATCACAAGCATTCCTATACACCAAGAACAGACAAACAGAGAGCCAAATCATGAGTGAACTCCCATTCACAATTGCTTCAAAGAGAATAAAATACTTAGGAATCCAACTTACAAGGGATGTGAAGGACCTCTTCAAGGAGAACTACAAACCACTGCTCAATGAAATAAAAGAGGACACAAACAAATCGAAGAACATTCCATGCTCATGGATAGGAAGAATCAATCTTGTGAAAATGGCCATACTGCCCAAGATAATTTATAGATTCAATGCCATCCCCATCAAGATACCAATGACTTTCTTCACAGAATTGGAAAAAACTACCTTAAAGTTCATATGGAACCAAAAAAGAGCCCACATAGCAAAGACAATCCTAAGCAAAAAGAACAAAGCTGGAGGTATCATGCTACCTGACTTCAAACTATACTACAAGGCTACAGTAACCAAAACAGCATGGTACCAAAACAGATATATAGACCAATGGAACAAAATGGAGACCTCAGAAATAATACCCCACATCTACAGCCATCTGATCTTTGACAAACCTGACAAAAACAAGCAATGGGGAAAGGATTCCGTATTTAATAAATGGTGCTGGGAAAACTGGCTAGCCTTATGTAGAAAGCTGAAACTGGATCCCTTCCTTCACCTTACACAAAAGCTAATTCAAGATGGATTAAAGACTTAAATGTTAGACCTAAACCACAAAAACCCTTGAAGAGAACCTAGGCAATACCATTCAGAACACAGGCATGGGCAAGGACTTCATGACTAAAACACCAAAAGCAATGGCAACAAAAGACAAAATTGACAAATTGGATCTAATTAAACTAAAGAGCTTCTGCACAGCAAAAGAAACTACCATCAGAGTGAACAGGCAACCTACAGAATGGGAGAAAATTTTTACAATCTACCTGTCTGACAAAGGGCTAATATCCAGAATCTACAAAGAACTTCAACAAATTTACAAGGAAAAAAACCAAACACCCCTTCAAAAAGTGGGTGAAGGATATGAACAGACACTTCTCAAAAGAAGACATTTATGCAGCCAACAGACACATGAAAAAATGCTCATCATCACTGGCCATCAGAGAAATGCAAATCAAAACCACAATGAGATACCATCTCACACCAGTTAGAATGCTGATCATTAAAAAGTCAGGAAACAACAGATGCTGGAGGGGATGTGGAGAAATAGGAACACTTTAACACTGTTGCTGGGACTGTAAACTAGTTCAACTATTGTGGAAGACAGTGTGGCGATTCCTCAGGGATCTAGAACTAGAAATACCATTTGACCCAGCAATCCCATTACTGGGTATATACCCAAAAGATTATAAATCATGCTGCTATAAAGACACATGCACACGTATGTTTATTGAAGCACTATTCACAATAGCAAAGACTTGGAACCAACGCAAAGGTCCATCAATGATAGACTGGATTAAGAAAACGTGGCACATATATACCATGAAATACTATGCAGCCATAAAAAAGGATGAGTTCATGTCCTTCGTAGGGACATGGATGAAGCTGGAAACCATCATTCTCAGCAAACTATAGCAAGGACAGAAAACTAAACACCACATGTTCTCACTCATAGGTGGGAATTGAACAATGAGAACACTTGGACACAGGTGGGGAATATCACACACCAGGGCCTGTAGTGGGGTCGGGGGTAGGGGAGGGATAGCATTAGGAGATATACCTAATGTAAATGTCAAGTTAACCGGTGCAGTACACCAACATGGCACATGTGTACATATGTAACAAACCTGCACGTTGCACCCATGTACCCTAGAACTTAAAGTATAATAATTTAAAAAAGGATACATGAGCCAAGTATGCTAAAATATTGGAGTTCCTATTTATTTATTTATTTATTTATTCATTTAATTTTTTAGACAGAGTCTCACTCTTTTGCCCAGGCTGGAGTACAGTGGCATGATCTCGGCTCACTGCAATCTCTGTCCCCCAGGTTCAAGCGATTCTCCTGCCTCAGACTCCCGAGTGGCTGGGATTACAGGCACCCACCACCATGCCTGGCTAATTTTGTATTTTTAGTAGATATGGGGTTTCACCATGTTAGCCAGGCTGGTCTTGAACTCCTGACCTCAAGTGATCGACCCACCTCGGCCTCCCAAAGTGCTGGGATTACAAGCGCGAGCACTGCACCCAGCGTGGAGTTCCTTTTTAATTCACCATTTTTGCATTGGCTGCCAGGGGTAAAGAATGCAGACTGAATAAAATTATATAAAGTAACCAGTGGAAGATCTGGGTGAATTTATTTAAAATCTCTATTAAGGGTTTGGGAGTGGGAAGTAACCTTTCTAAAGAAACATGAACCCCAAGCAGTTATCAGAAAAAAAAAGACTAATTTTTTTTTTTACACAGAGTTTCACTCCCATCACCCAGGCTGGAGTGCACATTTTTAGGCATCCAGTCAAGCAATGAGTGTGGAAAAATGAGCATTCTCAGGCACTGTTCATAGAAGTGTACATTTTTAGATGCTAATTGTGTATGCACATCTTTTTTGAATCATTATTCTGTAGCTAGAAATGCACTCTACAGATACTCTCAAAAAATATAACAAGATATATGTATTAAAATGATCTCAGCTTTGTTATTAGCAACAAAATAAACAATTTATTATATAAACAATAATATATCCAAAAAAGGGAGAACTCTGTCACTTTAAAATGAGTAAAGCAAATTTGTATGTGCTGACATGGAAGCATCTGCAAGATGTATTATTAAATTTTAAAAAATCAGTGGTGACACTTACAGCCAAAAGGAGCAAGCGTACTACAGCCCCTCTCTGCCACTTACTGCAACTAAGAACTCTGGACATAATTAAAAAGCAACTATAGGGAAACTGAAAAATCAATAGGAGCCAAAGTGCAAAGAGAGCCCAAGCTTAAAGATGGATCTGCAATAGGGGTGAGTTTTACAGTTTTATTTACACATTTATCATCCAGCTTGTACTAACAAGTGACTCCCCATGCAAAATTGAGCAGTGGATACAGGCAGCAAAATCTCTCTTAAAAAAAAAAAAAAAACTGTCTTCCTGGCAAAGGGATTGGAAAAAGGGATCCCAGTGAGTTGAGGAGTATGGGAAGATGCTCAATTTCTCTTGTTTTCTCATTAAAGTCACTAAAGGAAAGGAAAAAGACACTGGTGCAGAAATAAATCCTTGAAAAAATTCAATGAAAGTAATAAATTTAGAGAGTCATGAAGTTCAGCAAACCCCAAATAGGATAAACTTAAAGAAAAGCATGCACAGACACAGCACAATAAAATGCCTTACACCGAAGACAAATTTTTTTAATCTTGGAAGCCACCACAGAAAAATGATACATAGCCTGAGCAACATAGTGAGACCCCATCACTACAAAAATAAAATAAAATTCTAGCTAGGCATAGTGGTGCACAATTTTAGTCCCAGCTATTTGGGAAGCTAAGGCAGAAGGATCTCTTGAGCCTGGGAAGTCAAGGCTGCAGTGAGCTATGATTGCACCACTACACTCTAAGCCTAGGCAACAGAACAAGACCCTGTCTCAAAAAGAAAAAGAAAAATGGCATATCACATATAGGAGATCAAAAATTTGACTGCAGAACTCTCATCAGAAAACACAGAAGTCAAAAGAGAGTAGGACATCTTTAAAGTGATGAAAGAAAAGAACTATTGAGTTCTATATCCAGTGAAAATATCCATTGTAAATTATGATAAAATAAGAACACTCTCAGATAAAGAAAAATAATATAAAACAGTAACACATTTTAAAAAAGAGAAATGTTAAAGTATGTTCTTGAACCATAAAGGAATTAAACTAGATATTAATAACAGAAATATATCAGGAAAATTCCCAAATATGTGAAACTTACACAAAACATTTCTAAATAAGCCATAGGTCAAAGAGGAAGTCTCAAAGAAAATTAGAAAATATTTTGAACTGAATTAAAATGACAGTACAATATAGCAAAGTTTGCAGGGTAAAACTCTATACAACCCCACATCAAAATACCAAAGACATTCGTCACAGAAATAGAAAAAATCAATCCTAAAATGTATATGGAACCACTAAAGACCCAGAATAGCCAAAGCTGTCCTGCGCAAAAAGACCAAAGGTGAAGGAATCACAATACATAACTTCAAATTATGCTAGAGCTATAGTAACCAAAACAGCATGGTACTGGCATAGAAAGAGACACATCGATCAATGGAATAAAATAGGGAACCCAGAAACAAATCCATACATTTAACAGTTACAGTGAACTCATTTTTGACAAAGAAGCCAAGAATGTTTATTGGAGAAAGGATAGTCTCTTCAATAAATACTGCTGGGAAAACTGGATATCCATATGTAAAAGAATGAAACTAGACCCCTATCCCTCACCATATACAAAAATCAAATCAAAATGGATTACAGACTTAAATCTAAGACCTCAAACTATGAAACTACTGAAAGAAAACATTGGGGAAAAGCTTCAGGACATTGAAGTGGGCAAAGATTTTTTGAGTAATCCTCTACATTAAATAAATGTAAAAGTAATTACATTTCTTGAGTAATATCCCATTTGGTTGCACAGGCAACCAAAGCAAAATGGTATCACATCAAGTTAAAAAGCTTTTGCACAGCAAAGGAAACAATCCACAAAGTGAAGAGATAACCCACGGAATGGGAGAAAATATTTGCAAGCTATTCATCTGACAAAGGAGTAATAACCAGAATAGCTCAAACAACTCTACAGAAAAAAATCTAATAATCCTATTTAAAAGTGGGTAAAAGGTCTGAATAGACATTTCTCAAAAGAGATATACAAATGGCAAATAAGTATATGAAAAGGTGCTCAAAGTCACTGATCATCAAAGAAAAGCAAATTAAAACTACAATATCATCTCATCCCAGTTAAAATGGCTTTTATCCAAAAGACAGGCAAAATAATAAATGCTGGTGAAGATGTGGAGGAAAGGAACCCTTGTACCCTGTTGGTGGTAATGTAAATTAGTATAACCACTATGGAGAATAGTACAGAGGTTTCTCAAAAAACTAAAAATAGAGCTACCATGATTCAGGAATTCACTGCTGGGTATATACCCAAAAGAAAGGAAATCAGTATACTGAAGAGATATCTGCACTCCTGCGTTAATTGCAGCACTATTCACAATAGTCAAGTTTTGGAAGCAACCTAAGTGTCCATCAACAGATAAATGGATAAAGAAAAAGTGGTACATACACATAATGGAGTATATTCAACCATAAAAAAAGAGATCCTGTCATTTGCAACAACAGCATGGATGGAAGTGGGAGTCATTATGTAAAGTGAAATAAGCCAGGCACAGAAAGACAAACATCACATGTTCTCACTTTTCTGCAGGAGCTAAAAATTAAAACAATTGAACTCATGGAGATAGAGGGTAGAATGATGGGTAGAACAGGCTGGGAAGGGTAGTGGGGAATGGGGTGAAGAAGAAGGGGGGATGGTCCATTGGTACAAAAAATTGGTTAGAATGAATAAGATTTAGTATTTGCTCGCAAAACAGGGTGACTATAGGCAACAATAATTTAATTGTACATTTTTAAATAACTAAAAGAGTATAATTGGATTGTTTGTAACATAAAGGATAAATGCTTTGAGGTGATGGGTACCTCATTTACCCTGATGTGATTATTACACATTGTATGGCTGATTCAAAATATCTCATACATCCCATTAATATATATACCTACTATATGCCCACAAAAATTTAAAAAGTAAAAAAAGAACAATATAAACCCAAACCAAGCAGAAAGAAGGAAAAAATATATCTAAGAACCAGGGATCCATAAAATTTTTTAAACAAAACAATGAAGAAAATCAATGAACTGAAAGCTGGTTCTTTGAAAGATTAAATAAATTTGTAAGCCTGTAGACAGACTGACCAAGAAAAAAAAAAACAGAACATACGCATTACCAATATCAAGAATGAGTCCCCATATACATTAAAAGGATAATAATACTACAAACGACCGTCGGCCCATAAATTTAACAACTTATGTCAAATGGACCAGTGTCTTGAAAGACAGAATAACAAAACTCACTCAAAAAGAGATAGAAAATCTAAATATTACTGTATATATTAAAGAAATTAAAAATATTTCTATAAAATCCAGGTCCAGATAATTTCATTGGCAATTTCTACCAAACATTTATGGAACAAACAATATTAATTCTACACTATCTCTTCTAGAAAATGCAGGAGGGAAAAACACTTCCCAACTCATTTTATGAGGTCAACATCACACTAATATCAAAACCAGAAAAAGACATTATATTTTAAAAACTGCAACCACTATCTTTATGAATATAGATGTATAAATCCTCAACAAAACATGAGTAAATTGAATCCAGCAACATATAAAAGTACAATTCATCATGAGCAAACTGGAGGTTATCTAGAAATGCAAAGCTGGTTCAATATTAAAAAATCTTCTTTTTTTAAAGTAGGGTCTTTCTCTGTCACCCAGGCTGGATTGCAGTGGTGCGATCTCAGCTCACCGCAGCCTCGACTTCCTGGGCTCAAGCAATCCTCTTGCCTCAACACCGCCCGCCCCCAGTGGTTGGGACTATTACAGATGCACGCCATCACACCCGGCTAATTTTTTTTTCTTTTTTTTTTTTTTTTTGTAGAGGTAGGGTTTTGCCATGTTGCCCAGGCTGATCTCAAACTCCAGGGCTCAAGTGATCTGCCCACGTTGGCCTCCCAAAGCGCTGGGATTGCAGGCATGAACCATTGCACACAGCCTACAAGAGAACTTTCTTCCTCAACCTGATAATGTGCATCTGCAAAAAATCTATAGCTAACATCATAATAAGTAATGGTGAAAGACAGTGCATTATCCTTAAGATGGGGGTGAAGAAAAGGATATCTTTTTCAGCATATCTATTTAAAAATTCATCTATACATTCAAAGTAATCTGAATCAAAATTCCAACTTTTGTAGATGTTAAGCTGATTCTTAAAATTGTATAAATATTTAGGGCAAAGGAACTAGAATAGCCAAATTAAGAGAGAGTGACATCAGCAAGAGAGCCAATTAATTAGAAGCCCCTAGTGCCCATTCCCCTCACAAAGACATCCAGAACAATGAATAAACAGCGATATTTTCATGAAAATAACTGAGGGAGAGTGCTGGAGTGCATCTGAGGCATAACAAAAACCCTGGTAAGCACAGAAACTAGGGATAGACACACAGAGAACAGAAGGAAATTCTGATCCTTCACCACCCCATCCCCCAAATGGGATCAGCTGGAAACTAGGAGAAACCTCTCTCTACAATGAGGAGGTAAGCAAGGGGAGCCTAGCAACCCCCATCAACACATTGGACACCTAGAGAACTCACCAATGGGGTCCCCTGCAGTGCTCACAGGCAGTAAGCCCAACTGAGGTAGCTGCCTGGAGCACTTAGCTGTGCTCCCCACAGAGAAGAAACCAATATTATACCCCAACCCCTGTGGCCTGTGCAGCTATTGCACTACACCATCTTGGAATTGGAACTACAGCTGGAGTGTATCTTGTTCTGGAGGCAAATAGCCACAGATCCCCTTCATCCCTGATGCTAAGCCACCACCAAACCACCCCAGGCTGGTGTCCCAACAGCCCCAAGCTGAGCTGTAAACAGCTATTACAGCTTCCTCATAGGCAAGCAGAAGTGGAGTCGTTTCACCTACCCAAGTTGAAGTGATTCCCTGCCTGCTAAAAAAAACCACCTTAGCCACACAGAGCAGCCTTTCCAGTACCTAGACTGAAGAAGTACCCTGCATCCTAAGAAATGGTGCCTTGGTCGCCCAGAGTGGTTGCATACCCTAGCACCTAAGCTGAAGTGGTGCCCTGCATCCCAGGGAAATGGTGCCTGGGCCACTCAGAATAGTTCCTGCCCCACAAGGCCTGAGCAGAAGCAACACACTGCCCCCTGGGGAATTGGTATCATGGCTGAGCTGAATAGCTGGGCATCCCAGGACTGAGGTGACACAGTACATTACATCCCAAATAAACAGAGAAGTGGCTGGGTTGAGACACCTCACCCTACAGGCGTAAGAACTCTGATGCCCTGCTTCCCTGGAACTGAACTAGCTCCCTTTAGACCGAACTGTGACACATCCCTCTACTTGGGAAGTGGAGCCATTAGCATGTTGTTGTCTGCCCCCAGGGCCCAAACAACAGCTGTGCTCTGCCATTTTGGGGTACTTGCTGTTGCTGCACCTGGTCTCACCGAATCTAGTATACTGTCAAACCCTAAATTCCAGGGTATAGTGTCACTACTACACAGTGACTCATCCCCTGGTACCCAAGTTGCCACTGAGATCTATTGGCTCAGGTTCCTGAATTGCAGCCATACCCTACTACTTCCAAGACCCAAATATTCCAAACACCTGTTCTTCCTCAGAATCAGGCAAGTGCTATGCCTTGCTTCTCAGAGGTATAATAACAGCTACAACCAACTCCCTGGGCCCAAGATGCCAGGGAGTGCCTCAGTCACAGATCCTGACTCTCCGGGCAATCTATATTCAACCCTGCCACAGAGAGTGAACTTGCACCCCAAGAACCAGGTGCCACAATAGGTTCATGAGACCCTGAGCCTAGGACCCTGTCCCTGTAGGTACTCTGAGCACCTGCACCTGGAAACTGCACTGTTATTGCTGCTTGTAGGCCATGTCAGACCTGACATCAAGATGGATCCCCTTGGCTAAGTCTCATCATTGTTGGGAAAATAAGAATAGAAGAACCCCAAAAGACCTTGACACTAAGGATGTTAACAGCCTACACCACTGCCACTGTTACCACAAACTTCTACAGCCTAGACCACTAAGGGACCCACAGTTATTGCAAATGTCGAACACAGCTGCTGAAGTATCTGCACAGAGGCTATAGCACTGCACCTGTCTGGAAGCAGAACCACCATAACCTTCCCAACTGGCACACTAAAATTAACTACAGGTGAAATTCTTAATCTATGAAAGCCACACTAGAAAGTTTGAAAGAGATGATTGTTCCACCAGATGCATAAGCATGAATCCAGGGACACAATAAACATGAAAAAGCAAGGAAATATGACAGCACCAGAGGAACATCGTAACTGTGTAGTAAGAGAACCCAATGAAAAGGAAATCAATGAATTACCAAAAAAAGAAGCTAAAATAATAATCCTAAGGAAACTCAATGAAATATAAGAAAATACAGATGAACAATTCAACAAAATCAGAAATACAATTCACAATATGAATGAAAATTCAACAGATAGGAATCGTTTTTTACAAAAGAACCAAATAGAAATCTCACAGCTGAATAATTTGATGAATGAAGTACAATGAAAAAATACGATAGAGAGTTTCAATACCAGATTTGATCAAGAGAAAAAGGTCTCTGAAGATAGGTCATTAGAAATTAGTCAGAGAGAAAAAAAGAAATAAGAATGAAAAAAACATGAAGAAAATCTACAAGACTTATATAACACCACTAAGCAAACAAATGTTGGTATTACGGGAGTTCCAGAAGGAGAAGATAAAGAAAAATATATAGAAATCCTATTTAATGACATGATATTTTAAAACTTCCCAAGTCTCGGGAAAGATATGGGCATCCAGATCCAAGAATCTCAAAGATCCTCAAATAGATTCAACCCCAAAGGGACCTCCTTGAATTACATTATAGTCAAATCATCAAAAGTCAAAAACAAAGTGAGAATTCCAGAAACAGCAAGAGAATAGAGTCAAGTCACATGTAAGAGAATCCATATTCACATACAGCAGACTTCTCCACAGAAACCTTACAGGCCAGGAAAGAATGGAATGATACATTCAAATTGCTGAAAGAAAACTATTGCCGAGAAAGAATACTATACCCAGCAAGGCTATCCTTCAAAAATGAGAGAGAAATAAAGTCATTTGCAGACAAGCATAAACTAAGGAAATTCATCACTGTTAGACCAGCCCTATAAGAAATGCTCAAGGGACTCCCACATCTGGATGTGAAAAAATAATAATCACTATCATAAAAACATGCAAAAGTAAAAAACTCACTAATAAAGCAGTTACACAAAGGAAAAAAGAAAATAATCAAAACTTATCACTGCATAAAATCTCCAAACTGTAATGATAAACAATAAAACAGGAACAAAAGAACAAAATATATGTAAAACAACCAGAAAATAATTAACAAAATAACATGAGTAAGTCCTTGCCTATCAGTAATAATCTTGAATGTAAATGGATTAAATTCCCCTATTAAAAGATGCACACTGGCTAAATGGATTTTAAGTGACCTAACCATATGTTACCTACAAGAAACTCATGTCACCTAAAAAGACACATATAGACTGAAAGTAAAGGGATGGAAAAAGATATTCCATGCAAATGGAAACCAAAGAGCAAGAGTAGCTTTATTTATATTGGATAAAACAGACTTTAAGTGGAAAATTGTGAAAAGAGATGAAAAGGTCATTGTATAATAATGAAGGAATCAATGCAGCAAAAGCATATAACAATTGTAAATATATACACACCCAACACCACAGCACTCAGGTATATAAAGCAAATATTGTTAGATCTAAAGAGAGGGATAGATGCCAATGAAATCATAGCTTGGGGACTTCAACATCCCCCTGTCAGCATTAGACAAATTATCTAGACAGAAAATCAAAAGAAACATTGGATTTAAACTGCACTTTAGACCAAATGGACCTAATAGACATTTACAAAACATTTCATCTAACAGCTATGAAATGCATATTCTTTTCATCAGCACATAGAACATTCTCCAGTATAAACCACATGTTAGGCCACAAAACGAGTCTCAAATATTTTTTCTGACCACAGTGGAATTAACTTGGAAATAATAACAAGAGAACTTTCAAAATAGTACAAATACATAAAAATTAAACAATGTGCTATGAATGTCCAATGAGTCAATTAAGAAATGAAGAAGAATATTTGAAAATTTCATGAAACAAATAAAAAAAGAAATACAACACACCAAAACCTATGTGGTACAGCAAAGGCAGTATTAAGAGGAAGTTTATGGAATAAATGCCTACATCAAAAAAGTAGAAATATTTTAAATAAGCAACCTAACAATTCATCTCAAAGGGCTAGAAAAGTAAGAACAAACCAAACCCAAAATTAGTCTAAGGAAGAAATAATAAATATCAGAGCAAAAGTAAACAAAATTGAGACTAAAAAATACAAAAGATCAATGAAACAAAAAGTTGGTTTCTTTGAAAAAATAAACAAAAGCATGAAACCTTTCACTAGACAAATAACAAAAAAAAAGACAAAAGGCCTGAATAAATAAAAGCAAAAACAAAACAGGAGGCATTAAAACTAATGCCAGAAATACAAAATCTCATTAGAGATTATTCCAGATAACTATATGCCAACAAACTAAAAAACCTAATGGAAATGGTTAAATTTCTGGACACATACAAACTGCCAAGATTGAACCACGAAGAAATAGAAAGCCTGAACAGAACAATTATGAGTAAGAAGATTAAACCTGTAATCAACAGTCTCCCAACAAAGAAAAGCCAAATAACTAATTGATCTGCTGCAGAATTCTGCCAAACATTTAAAGAACTAATACCAAGACTTTTTAAACTCTTCCAGAAAATTGAAGAGGAGGCAATTTTTCTAAGCTCATTCTATGAGGCCAACATTATCCTGATACTAAGACCAGATAAAGACACAACAACAACAAACTATAGGACAATATCCCTGATGATAGATGCAAAATCCTCAGCAAAATACTAGCAAACCAAATTTGGTGACACATTAAAAAGATCATTCGTCATGATCAAGTGGAATTTATCCCAGGAACACAAGGCTGGTTCAATATATGCAAATCAATAAACATGGTACTTCCTATCAACAAAATGAAGGACAAAAATCACATGATCATCTCAATAGACACAGAAGTATTTAATAAAATTCAACATCCTTTATAATAAAACTCTCAACAAGTTAGGTATAGGAGGAGTGTATCTCAGCATTCTAAAGACTATATATAACAAACCCACAGCCAACATTATACTGAAAGGGGAAAAGTTGAAAGCTTTTCTTGTAAGATCTAGAACAAGACAAGGATGTCTAGTCTCACTATTTCTATTCAATATAGTATTGGATATGCTTGCCACAGCAATTAGACAAAAGAAAGTAATAAATGCCATCCAAATTGGAAAGGAGTGAGTCAAATTGTCAATTGTTTACAAATGGCATGATCTTATATATAGAAAACTCTAAAAGCTACACCCCAACAAACATATGAAAAAATGTTCCACAGCACTAATCATCAGAGAAATGCAAATCAAAAATGACAATGAGACCATCTCACATCACTCAGAATACCTATCATTAAAAAGTCAAAAAACAACAGATACTGGTGAGGCTTCAGAAAAAAATTCAATGCTGATACACTGGTTGTGGGAATGTAAATTAGCTCAGCCACTGTGGAAAGCAGTTTGTAGATTCCTCAAGGAACTTAAAACAGAACTACCATTCAACCCCAGCAGTCCCATTACTGGGTATATATCCAAAAGAAAATAAATTATTCTACCAAAAAGACACATTCACTCTTATGTTCATTGCAGCACTATTCACAATAGCAAAGACGTGGAATCAACCTAAGTGCCTATCAACAATGGACTGGATAAAGAAAATGTGGTCATATACACCACGGAATACTACACAGCCATAAAAAATAATGAAATGATGTCCTTTGAAGCAACGTGTATGCAGCTGGAGGCCACTATCCTAAGCAAATGCATGCAGAAACAAAAAATCAAATATTACATATAATATTTGTAATATTATAAGTGAAATAATAAGTGAAAACTAAATATCAGGTACTCATGGACATAAAGATGGCAACCATAGACACTGGGGACTACTAGAGTGGCAAGAGAGGAGTAACTGTTGAAAAACTAACTATTGGATATTATGCTCAGGACCTGGGTGATGAGATCAATCACACCCTAAACCTCAGCATTACACACTATACCCAGGTAACAAACCTACACATGTACCCCCTGAATCTAAAATAAAAGGTGAAACGATAAAAGTTTTTAAAATTAAAAAATAAAGAGGAAAAAATGAAGGAAAAAAGCTCCAACCAAAACTCTTAGAACTGACAAATTGAGTAAATTTGTAGGGCACTAAATCACCATATGAAAATCAGTAGCATTTCTATATGCCAACAACAAACTAGAGGAAAAAGAAATCAAGATGGCGATCCCATTTACAATAACTAAAAAAAATAAAATAAACCACCGAGGAATAAATGTAATTAAGGAGGTGAAAGATCTTGACAACAAAATCTATAAAACACTGATGAAAGAAATTGACAGGGCACAAAAAAATGAGAAGAAATCCAATATTTATAAATTGGAAGACTCAATACTGTGAAAATTACCATACTACCAAAAGCAATCTGCGGCTTCAATGCAATACCTATGCAAATACCAATAACATTATTCGTAGAAATTGAAAAAATTCTAAAATTTAAATGGAACTACAAAAGACTCTGAATAGCCAAAGCAATGCTGAGCAAAAAGACCAAAGTTGGAGGAATCACATACCAGATCTCAAAATATGCTACAAATCTATTGTAACAAAGACAGCATGGTATTGGTATAAAAACAGAAACACAGACCAATCAAACAGAATAGACAGCCCACATATAAGTCCATGCATTTACAGTAAACTGAGTTTCTACAAATGTGCCAAGAACATTTATTAGGGAATGAACATCCTCTTCAAAAAATAGTGCTGGGAAAACTGGATATACATATGCAAAAAAAATTAAAGTAGACCCCTATCTCTCACGATATATAAAAATCAAATCTAAATGGATGAAAGACTTACATGAAATACCTGAAACTATAAAAATAGTAGAAGAAAACATAAGGAAAATATTTTTGTCTGGGTCTGTGTAAAGATTTTATAAATGAGACCTCAAAAGCACAGGCAACAAAAGCAAAAATAGAGTAATGGGATTACCTCAAATGAAAAAGTGTCTGCACAGCAAAGAAAACAATCAACAGACTGAAGAAACAACCTGAAAAATGGAAGAAAACATTTGCAAACTATATATCTGACAAGGAATTCATATCCAAAATATAAAAGGAACTCAAACAACGCAATAGCCAACTAAAAAAAAAAGCAAATAATCTAATTTAAACATGGGTAAATAAGCTGAATAGATATCGCTCAAAAAAAGATACACAAATGGGCTACAGATATATGAAAAAATGCTCAACATCACTAAGAGACTGGTTAACAGATTCAAAAGTACAGCTAGATAGTTGGAATAAGTTCTAGTGTTTATAACACTATAGTGTGATACAATTATTGTATATTAAAAAAGAGCTAGAAGAATGAATTTTGAATGTTCTCAACACAAAGAGGCCAATATCATACTGAATGGGCAAAAGCTGGAAGCATTCCCTTTGAAAACTAGCAAAAGACAAGGATGCCCTGTCTTACCACTCCTATTCAACATAGGATTGGAAGTTCTGGCCGGAGAAATCAAGCAAGATGAAGAAATAAAGGGTATTCAAATAGGAAGAGAGGAAGTCAAATTGTCTCTGTTTGCAGACGACATGATTATATATTAAGAAAACCCCATTGTCTCAGCCCCAAAGCTCCTTAAGCTGATAAATAACTTCAGAAAAGTCTCAGGATACAATAAAATGTGCAAAAATCAAAAGCATTTCTATACACCAAAAACAGACAAGCAGAGAGCCAAATCATGAGTGAACTCCTATTCATGACTGCTATAAAGAAAATAAAATACCTAGGAATACAACTTAAAGGGACGTGAAGGACCTCTTCAAGGAGAACTACAAACCACTGCTCAACGAAATAAAAGAGGACACAAACAAATAGAAAAACATTCAATGCTCATGGACAGGAAGAATCAATATCGTGAAAATGGCCATACTGCCCAAAGTAGTATATAGATTCAATGCTATTCCCATCAAGCTACCATTGAGTTTCTTCACGGAATTAGAAAAAAACTACTTTAAATTTCATATGAAACCAAAAAAAAAGCCCATATAGCCAAGACAATTCTAAGCAAAAAGAACAAAGCTGGAGGCATCACACTGCCTGACTTCAAACTGCACTACAAGACTACAGTAACCAAAACAGCACAGTACTGGTACCAAAACAGATATATAGACCAATGGAACAGAACAGAGGCCTCAGAAATAACACCACACATCTACAACCATCTGATCTTTGACAAATCTGACAAAAACAAGCAATGGGAAAATAATTCCTTATTTAACAAATAGTGCTGAGAAAACTGGCTAGCCATATGCAGAAAACTGGAACTGGACCCCTTCCTTAAACATTACACAAAAATTAACTCAAGATGGACTAAAGACTTAAATGTAAAACTTAAAACTATAAAAACCCTGGAAGGAAACCTAGGCGACACCATTCAGAACATTCTGTAAGAATAAGAGAGCTGACTAGGTAAAGAACATAGGCATAAGCGAAGATTTCATGACTAAAACACCAAAAGCAATTGCAACAGAAGCCAAAATTGACAAACGGGATCTAATTAAACTAAAGAGTTTCTGCTCAGCAAAAGAAAATATCATCAGAGTGAACAAGCAACCTACAGAATGGGAGAAAATTTTTGCAATCTCTCCACCTGACAAAGGTCTAATATCCAGAGTCTACAAGGAACTTAAACAAATTTACAAGAAAAAAAAAACATCAAAAAGTGGGTGAAGGATATGAACAGACACTTCTCAAAAGAAGACATTTATGTGGCCAATAAACATATGAAAAAAAAAGCTTATCATCACTGGTCATTAGAGAAATGCAAATCAAAACCACAATGAGATACCATCTCACGCCAGTTAGAATGACAATTATTAAAAAGTCTGGAAACTACAGATGCTGGCAAGGATGCAGAGAAATAGGAACTCTTTTACACTGTTGGTAGGAGTGTACATTAGTTCAACCATTGTGGAAAACCATGTGGTGATTCCTCAAGGATATAGAACCAGAAATACCATTTGACCCAGCAACCCCATTATTTGGTATACACCCAAAGATTATAAATCATTCTACTATAAAGACACATGCACATGTATGTTTATTGCAGCATGATGTACAATAGCAAAGACTTGGAATCAACCCAAATGCCCATCAATGACAGACTGGATTAAGAAAATGTGACACATATACACCATGAAATACTATGCAGCCATAAAAAAAGATGAGTTCATGTCCTTTGCAGGGACATGGATGAAGCTGGAAACGATCATTCTCAGCAAAATAACACAGGAAGGGAAAACCAAACACCACATGTTCTCACTCATTAGTAGGAGCTGAACAATGAGAACACATGGACACCAGGTGGGGAACATCACACATCAAGGCCTGTGCGGGGGTAGGGGACTAGGGGAGGGATAGCATTAGGAGAAATACCTAATGTCGGTGATGGGTTGACGGGTGCAGAAAACCACCATGGCACGTGTATACCTATGTAACAAAACTGCACGTTCTGCACATGTACCCCAGAACTTAAAGTATAATTAAAAAAAGTCCGGGCGCAATGGCTCACGCCTGTAATCCCAGCACTTTGGGAGGCCAAGGTGGGCATATCATGAAGTCAGGAGATCGAGACCATCCTGGCTAACACAGTGAAACCCCATCTCTACTAAAAATACAAAAAATTAGCCGGGCGTGGTGGCAGGTGCCTGTAGTCCCAGCTACTTAGGAGGCTGAGGCAGGAGAATGGCGTGATCCCGGGAGGCGGAGCTTGCAGTGAGCTGAGATCGCGCCACTGCACTCCAGCCTGGATGACAGAGCAAGACGCAGTCTCAAAGAAAAAAAAAAATCACACACCAGAGCCTGTCATGGATCAACGGAAAGGGGAGGGAGAGCATTAGGACAAATACATAATGCATGCGGAGCTTAAAACCTAGATGACAGATTGATAGGTGCGGCAAACCTCCATGGCACATGTATACCTATGTAACAAACTTGCACTTTCAGCACATGTATCCCAGAACTTAAAGTAAAATTTTAAAAAAATGTATATTGACATAAAAACCTATATATGCTACTTATAGTAGTTTTATTAATAATCAACAGAAAATCAATCAACCCATAAGTCATTGCACTGGAAGGACGTACCTTGTATATTATCCATACAATAGAATACTAATCAGCAATAAAAAGGAATGAACCAACCAAGTTTGCAGCATACAAGGTCAAGATACAAAAGTCAATTGCTTTCCTACTTACCAGCAATTTTTAAATAATTAGAAATTGAAATTTAAAACACAACATCACTTACATTAGCACCCCAGAAAATGAAATAATTAGGTATAAACTGAAAAAAAAAAGTATAAGATCTGTGTAAGGAAAACTACAAAACTCTGTGAAAGAAATAAAACAAGTACTAAACAAATGGAGAGTTATTCCATGTTCATGGATAGAAAGATTCAATATTAAGATGTCAATTCTTCCCAATTTAATTTATAGATTTAATGCAATCACAATCAAAATCCCAGAAAACTATTTTGTAGGTATCAACAAACGGATTGTAAATTTCATATGGAAAGGCAAAAGTACTAGAATAGCTAACACGATATTAAAAGAGAAGAATTTATTGACACTACCTGACTTTAAGACTTACTATAAAGCTACAGTTATGAAGACAAGGAAGTACTGACAAAAGAATAAATAGAGACACGAATGGAACAAGATAGAGGATCCAGAAACAGACCCACACAAATATAGCCAACTGATCCCTGACAAAGGATAAAAGGCAATTTAATGGTGATAGAAGAGGCTTTTCAACAAGTGGTTCTAGAACAACTGGACATCCACAAGCAAAATAATTTTTAAAAAAATAATCTAGACACAGACTTTACATATTTCACAAAAATTAACTCAAAATGGGTCATAGACCTAAATTTAAAATGCAAAACTATAAAATTGCTAGAAGAAAACATAGAAAATAATCTAAGTAATGTTGGGATAGGTGATAATGTTTTAGATATAAGACCAAAAGCAAAGCATCATCTGTAAAAAATATTAATAAATTGGACTTCATTAATGTTCAAAACTTCTGCTCTACAAAAGACACAATTCAAAGAGTGATAAGTCATAGACTGGGATAAAATATTTGCAAAACATATTGAATAAAGGATTAATATCCAAATATACAAAAATAACTTAATACTCAACAATGATAAACTAAAATCCAATTTAAAACTAGGCAAAGATCTGAAAAAACACATCACCAAAGATGTACAGATTATGAACAAGCATATGAGAACACATTCCATACCATATGACCTTACAAAATTGGAAATTTTTTTAAAATGAAATACCACTACACCCCTATTAGAATAGCTAAAACCCCAAACACTGACAACACCAAATGCTGACAAGAATGTGGAGCAACAGGAACTTTCATTCATTTCTGGTGGGAATGCAAAATGGTACAGCCATTTTGAAAGACAGTCTAGCTGTTTCTTACAAAACTAAGTATACTTTTATTACATAATTGAGCAATCACACTCCTTGATATTTACCCAAATGAGCTGAAAACTTGCATCTACCAAAAAACCTGAACACAAATGTTTATATTAGCTTTCTCTTTATAGGTGTCAAAACTTGGAACTAACTAGGATGTCCTTCAACAGGTGAATGGAAAAACAAACTATGGTACATCTAGACAATGGAATATTATTCAGCAATTAAAACTAGGCTATGAAGCCACAAAAAGATATAAAATAACTTTAAATCATATAGCTAAGTGAAAGAAGCCAATCTGAAAAGGCTACATAATGTATAATTTCAACTATATGATATTTTTCAAAGACCAACCTGTAGAGACAATGGAAAGATCAGTGGTTCTATGGGAAACAGTATGGAGATTCCTTAAGGAACTAAAAATAGATCTACCATTCTATCTAGCAATCCCACTACTGGGTATCTACCCAAAGGAAAGAAGTCATTATATGAAGAAGACACATACACACACAAGTCTATAGCAGCACAATTCACAATTGCAAAGATATGAAACCAACCTAAGAGTCTATTGACCAACAAGTAGATTAAAAAAAAATGTGGTATATATACACCAAGGAATACTACTCAGCCATGAAAAGGAATGAAATGTCTTTTGCAGCAACTTGAATGGAGCTGGAGGCCATTATTCTAAGTGAAGTAACTCTGAAATGGAAAACCAAATACTATATGTTCTCACTTATAAGTGGGAGCCTAAGCTATGAGGACTCAAGGACATATAGAGTGATAAAATAGACTTTGGGGAATTGTTGGGGGAGGTTGGGAAGGGGGGTGAGGAACAAAAGAATACACATTCAGTACAGTGTACACTGCTTGGGTGACAGGTGCATTAAATTTCAGAATTCACCATTATAGAACTCATCCATGTAACCAAAAACTATCTCTACCCCAAAAACTACTGAAATTTTTAAAACAACATAGAAGAAATAAAAGATCAATGGCTGCTGAAGGTTCAGGGGGAGAATAAGACAGCTAACTAGATAAAGCACAGGGGGATTTAGGACAGTAAAACTATTCTGCGTGATACTAGAATTGTGTATATATTTAATTACACATTTGGCAAAACTCATAAAATGTACAGTGCAAAAATGAACTCTAATGTAAACTGTCTATGTTTATTAATAATAAAGTATAAATATGGCCTCATCAATTGTAATAAATGTACAACACTAGTGCACTATGTTAATAATAGGAAAAGTAGAGTGGGAGTAGTGGGGAAGGAAGGAAACAAAGATATGAAATTCTGTACCTTCTACGCAGTTTTCCAAAAACCTAAAATTGCTCTGAAAAGTCATCTATTAATTTTTAAAAGTATATTCTTATAGTAAAATAAAGAAAAAATTTTAAACTCATACTATACCAAAAGAGTGAATTTTGTCATATGTAAATTAAAAATAAACAATTTTTACAAGGGTCAGTACTGTACATTATCACATTTATATATACATAAATATATATGTATATAAAGTATACGCATTTGAAAAATTCTTAACTAGAAACAGGAGAGGGGAAAAGAGGAAATTTCTCTCTTATTTTGTGCCCTTCTGCATTTTTTAAATCTTACCACATGCCTTAATTTTTTTATAATACAAATATTTTTGTAAATAAAAGTTTATTTTATTTATTTTTTATTATTATACTTTAAGTTCTAGGGTACATGTGCACAATGTGCAAGTTTGATACATAGGTATACATGAACCATGTTGGTTTGCTGCACCCATCAACTCATCATTTACATTAGGTATTTCTCTTAATGCTATCCCTCCCCAGCCCCCCACCACCAACAGGCCCCATTGTGTGATGTTCCCCGCCCTGTGTCCAAGTGATTTCATTGTTCAATTCCCACCTATGAGTGAGAACATGTGGTGTTTGGTTTTCTGTCCTGGCAATAGTTTGCTGAGAATGATGGTTTCCAGCTTCATCCATGTCCCTGCAAAGGACATGAACTCATCCTTTTTTATGGCTGCATAGTATTCCATGGTGTATGTGCCACATTTTCTTAATCAAGTCTATCATTGATGGACATTTGGGTTGGTTCCAAGTCTTTGCTATTGTGAATAGTGCCGCAATAAACATACGTTTGCAAGTGTCTTTATAGTAGCATGATTTATAATCCTTTGGGTGTATACCCAGTAATGGGATTGCTGGGTCAAATGGTAATTCTAGTTCTATATCCTCGAGGAAAAGCCACATTGTCTTCCACAATGGTTGAACTAGTTTACAGTCCCAGCAACAGTGTAAAAGTGTTCCTATTTCTCCACATCCTCTCCAGCATCAGTTGTTTCCTGACTTTTTAATGACTGCCATTCTAACTGGCATGAGATGTTATCTCATTGTGGTTTTGATTTGCATTTCTCTGATGACAAGTGATGATGAGCATTTTTTCATATGTCTGTTGGCTGCATAGATGTCTTATTTTGAGAAGTGTCTGTTCATATTCTTTGCCCATTTTTGATGGGGTTGTTTTTTTCTTGTAAATTTGTTTGAGTTCATAGTAGATCCTGGATATTAGCCCTTCATCAGATGGGTAGATTGGAAAAATTTTCTCCCATTCTGTAAGTTGCTTGTTTACTCTGATCATAGTTTCTTTTGCTGTGCAGAAGCTCTTTAGTTTAATTAGATCCCATTTGTCTATTTTGGCTTTTGTTGACATTACTTTTGGTGTTTTAGTCATGAAGTCCTTGCCCATGCCTATGTACTGAATGGTATTGCCTAGGTTCTCTTCAAGGGTTTTTGTGGTTTAGGTCTAACATTTAAGTCTTTAATCCATCTTGAATTAATTTTTGTATAAGGTGAAGGAAGGGATCCAGTTTCAGTTTTCTACATATGGCTAGCCAGTTTTCCCAGCACCATTTATTAAATAGGGAATCTTTTCCCCATTGCTTGTTTTTGTCAGGTTTGTCAAAGATCAGATGGCTGTAGATGAGTGATGTTATTTCTGAGGCCTCGGTTCTGTTCCATTTGAAAATATATCTGTTTTGGTACCAGTACCATGCTGTTTTGGTTACTGTAGCCTTGTAGTACATTTGAAGTCAGGTAGCGTGATGCCTCCAGCTTTGTTCTTTTTGCTTAGGATTGTCTTGGTTATACGGGCTCTTTTTTGGTTCCATATGAACTTTAAGGTAGTTTTTTCCAATCCTGTGAAGAAAGTCATTGGTAGCTTGATGGGGATGGCATTGAATCTATAAATTACTTTGGGCAGTACGGCCATTTTCATGATATTGATTCTTCCTATCGATGAGCATGGAATATTCTTCCATTTGTTTGTGTCCTCTTTTATTTCATTGAGCAGTGGTTTGTTGTTCTCCTGAAGAGGTCCTTCACATTCCTTGTAAGTTGGATTCCTAGGTATTTTATTCTCTTTGTAGCAATTCTGAATGGGAGTTTGCTCATGATTTGGCTCTCTGTTTGTCTGTTAATGGTGTATAAGAATGCTTGTGATTTTTGCACATTGATTTGCATCCTGACACTTTGCCTAAGTTGCTTATCAGGTTAAGGAGATTTGGGGCTGAGATGATGGGGTTTTCTAAATATGCAACCATGTCATTTGCAAACAGGGACAATTTGACTTCCTCATTTCCAATTGAATACCCTTTATTTCTTTTTCTTGCCTGATTGCCCTGGCCAGAACTTCCAACACTATATTGAATAGGAGTGGTGAGAGAGGGCATCCCTGTCTTGTGCCGGTTTTCAAAGGGAATGCTTCCAGTTTTTGCCCATTCAGTATGATATTGACTATGGGTGTGTCATAAACAGCTCTTATTATTTGAGATACATTCCATTAATACCTAGTTTATTGATAGTTTTTAGCATGAAAAGCTGTTGAATTTTGTCAAAGGCCTTTTCTGCATCTATTGAGATAATTGTGTGGCTTTGTCATTGGTTCTGTTTATGTGATGGATTACATTTATTGATTTGCATATGTTGAACCTGTCTTGCATCCCAGGGATGAAGCCGATTCGATCGTGGTGGATAAGCTTTTTGATATGCTGCTGGATTCGGTTTGCCAGTATTTTATTGAGGATTTTCGCATCAACGTTCATCAGGGATATTGGTCTAAAATTCTCTTTTTTTGCTGTGTCTCTGCCAGGCTTTGGTATCAGGATGACGTTGGCCTCGTAAAATGAGTTAGGGAGGATTCCCTCTTTCCAGATCCTCTTTGCACCTCTGGTAGAATTCAGCTGTTAATCCATCTGGTCCTGCGCTTTTTTTTTGGTTGGTAGGCTATTAATTATTACCTCTATTTCAGAGCCTGTTATTGGTCTATTCAGAGATTCAAATTCTTTCTGGTTTAGTCTTGGGAGGGTGTATGTGTCCAGGAATTTATCCATTTCTTCTAGATTTTCTAGTTTATTTGCATAAAGGTGTTTATAGTATTCTCTGATGGTAGTTTGTATTTCTGTGGGATCAGTGGTGATATCCCTTTTATCATTTTTTATTTTGTCTATTTGATTCTTCTCTCTTTTCTTCTTCATTAGTCTTACTAGTGGTCTATCAATTTTGTTGATCTTTTCAAAAAACCAGCTCCTGGATTCATTGTTTTTTTTAAAGGGATTTTTGTGTCTCTATCTCTTTCAGTTCTGCTCTGCTCTTAGTTATTTCTTGCCTTCTGCTAGCTTTTGAGTTTGTTTGCTCTTGCTTCTCTAGTTCTTTTAATTATGATATTAAGGTGTCAATTTTAGACCTTTCCTGCTTTCTCTTGGGAGTATTTAGTGCTATAAATTTGCCTCTACCCACTGCTTTAAATGTGTCCCCAGAGATTCTGGTATGTTGTGTCTTTGTTCTCATTGGTTTCAAAGAGCATCTTTATTTCTACCTTCATTTTGTTATTTACCAAGTAGTCATTCAGGAGCAAGTTGTTCAGTTTCCATGTAGTTATGCGGTTTTGAGTGAGTTTCTTAATCCTGAGTTCTAGTTTGATTGTACTGTGGTCTGAGAGACAGTTTGTTATAATTTCTGTTCTTTTACATTTGCTGAGGAGTGCTTTACTTCCAACTATGTGGTCAATTTTGGAGTAGTTGAGGTGCAGTGCTGAAAAGAATGTATATTCTGTTGATTTGGGGTGGAGAGTTCTGTAGATATCTATTAGGTCTGCTTGGTGCAGAGTTGAGTTCAATTCCTGGGTACCCTTGTTAACTTTCTGTCTCGTTGATCTGTCTAATGTTGACAGTGGGGTGTTAAAGTCTCCCATTATTATTGTGTGGGAGTCTAAGCCTCTTTGTAGGTCTCTAAGGACTTGCTTTATGAATCTGGGTGCTCCTGTATTGGGTGCATATATATTTAGGATAGTTAGCTCTTCTTGTTGAATTGGTCCCTTTACCATTATGTAGTGGTCTTCTTTGTCTCTTTTGATCTTTGTTGGTTTAAAGTCTGTTTTATCAGAGACTAGGATTGCAACCCTGCTTTTTTTTTGCTTTCCATTTGCTTGGTAGATCTTCCTCCACCCCTTTATTTTGAGCCTATGTGCATCTTTGCACGTAGGTGGGTCTCCTGAATATAGCACATTGATGGGGCTTGACTCTTTATCCAATTTGGCAGTCTGAGTCTTTTAATTGGGGCATTCAGCACATTTACATTTAAGGTTAATATTGTTATGTGTGATTTTGATCCTCTCATTATGATGTTCGCTGGTTATTTTGCCCATTAATTAATGCAGTTTCTTCATAGCATCGATGGTCTTTACAAATTGGCCTATTTTTGCAGCAGCTGGTACTGGTTGTTTCCATGTTTAGTGCTTCCTTCAGGAGTTCCTGTAAGGCAGGCCTGGTGGTGACAAATCTCTCAGCATTTGCTTGTCTGTAAAGGATTTTATTTCTCCTGCACTTATGAAGCTTAGTTTTGCTGGCTATGAAATTCTGGGTTGAAAATTATTTTTGTTAAGAATGTTGAATATTGGCCCCCACTCTCTTCTGGCTTATAGGGTTTCTTCTGAGAGATCCACTGTTAGTCTGATGGGCTTCCCTTTGTGAGTAACTCGACCTTTCTCTCTGGCTGCCCTTAACACTTTTTCCTTCATTTCAACCTTGGGTGAAACTGACAATTATGTCTTGGGTTGCTCTTCTTGTGGAGTATCTTTGAGGTGTTCTCTGTATTTCCTGAATTTGAATGTTGGCCTGCCTTGCTATGTTGGGGAAGTTCTCCTGGATAATATCCTGCAGAGTGTTTTCCAACTTGGTTCCATTCTCCCCATCACTTTCAGGTACACCAATCAAATGTAGATTTGGTCTTTTCACATAGTCCCATATTTCTTGGAAGCTTTGTTCGTTTCTTTTTACTCTTTTTTCTTTAACCTTGTTTTCTTGCTTTATTTCATTAATTTGATCTTCAATCACTGATACCTATAATACAAACTTTTTAAGACTTTGGAGTCCAGAAAATCTGAGTCTGTATCCTAGCTCTGACCTTTATTAGCCAAGTGATCTTGAGTAAATCACTTAAATTATCTAGGCCTCAATTATGTAATCTGTAAAATGAGGATGGAAATATTCATCTCTTAGGTTTGTTATGAAGGTTAAAGTAATGTGCCATAATGTCTGGCAGATTAAAAATGATGAAAATAGTAACTACTTGATATGATTTGGCTGTGTCCCCACCCAAATCTAACCTTAAATTGTAATAATCCCCATGTGTCAAGGGTGGGACCAGGTGGAGATAAATGAATCATGGGGGCAGTTTCCCACAGACTGTTCTTGTGATAGTGAATGAGTTCTCATGAGATCTGATGGTTTTCAAAGGAAAACCTTCAGATCCACTCTCATTCTCTCTCCTTGCCACCCTGTGAAGAGGTGCCTTCTGCCATGATTGTAAGTTTCCTGAGGCCTCCCCAGCCATGCAGAACTGAGTCAATTAAACCTCTTTCCTTTATAAATTACCCAGTCTTGGGTATTTCTTCCTGGCAGTATGAGAACAGACTAATACACTACTATTACAGATGCAATGATAATAAAATTTATGTTTATTATCATTTTTTACAAAACAGTACGACATTATTATTTTACACAACAGTACTACATTATTTATTAGAATACTTCATAGTCCAGATCTCAACACGTCTCCAGTATTATAATTAAAAACACACACACACAAGTTGTATAAAAACAAATCTAATGAGAAAGAACCCAATGCAAGACTCATAGCTTCAGACTCAGAAACTCAGGGTTTCTGAGTGAAGGTGTTACTCTTTTGGTTTTTACTAAATCAGTATTCATTTACTAAATGTCATTTTACTAAATCAGAATTGTCATTCATGAAAATTTCAGTCTTCTGAAATTTGTATCAGTTATGGATTTATTTCTTTTAGGGAGTTTACCCAGAGGTTGCCCAGATTTCTTCAAAGTAGAGATTTTTATTAATAAAAGCTAAGGACCATTTTTTGCACTGGACAGATTAAACCAAAAGTCAATTCTATGCAAGAGTCAAGAGAGAAAAAGTGTGCTTGCCTACTCACCCACTTCTGAAGAACGAGACCAGCCTGACCAACATGGTGAAACCCCGTCTCTACTAAAAATACAAAAATTAGCTGGGGGTGGTGGTGCACACCTGTAATCCTAGCTACTCAGGAGGAGAATTGCTTGAACCTAGGAGGCGGAGGTTGCAGTGAGCTGAGATCACACCACTGCCCTCCAGCCTGGGCCACTGGGCAAGACTTCATCTCAAAAAAAAAAAAAAAAAAAAAGAACGAATCTTCTGATAAAGAAAAGCAAACCTTCTGAGGTTCCTACTTGCTGCATCCAAGACTTATTAGACTCTTAAATAGTTCTAAAAGTTCAGGCAGTAAAAATAGTTCTGATATGTTATGCTTTATTTCATAGTATGGAATTGAATACCACTCTAAGAATCCAATGTTTTAAACATAAAGTTTAAACCTTTATATTATGTTTGAATTGTTTCTGTATTAAATATGCTTATGTGTTTATGTGCCTGGCTTTTCTGATGGAGTCTGAGTTTTTTTTTCCTCTACATTTATGGTTTGCTGATATATTAGGAATCTAGCTCAGTTTCTATCAACCCCATAAGAGTTTTTAAATTAAAATTCAATTATGGTTTGGTTTTCTAAATCTTGACTATCTCATATTATGACAAAGTTAAAGAATTTTCGTCTTTAGGAATGCAAAAACTGTTATAGAAATAAATTACTGAAAGGTAGTCAGCAACACAATGAAACTTCATTTAATAATTCCAAATATATTCTTAAATGGAGTATGTTGATCTTGCATCCTCATTGAAAGATATATAAAACTTTCATCCTGTTCTATTGTTATGATGTACCAATTCCCTTATGCCTCCCTTGGCAGATATTAACCATCCTTGAACACTCAGAAATCCACTAGACTAAACAGAACCACACAATTGAATGAAGCTTAATTTTCAAATAAAAAAATGATTTCTAACATAATTCACACAGCTTCATAATTCTCTTTCTTTGAGGAGGCACCAGTATTAGAAGTTCCTTGTGAAGAGAACACAAAATATGTGTCCTGCTCTATAAAGTTGATTTTATATCAATATCAGGGGATTTTGATGATGTAAGAATACATGCCTTCACACCAAGGCAAGTCATGTGCCTAAACAGCATAGGACAATTTTTCTGCTATAAACGGAGGCATTCTCCACTTAAGGATTTCATATTTCTGAAAATCTCTGGTTATAAACCACGATCTTGTAGAGAAACTAGTGAGCAAATCCAAATATGTAATATAGGGGAAAATGTGTACACGAGGATGAGAGACAGTCAAATGTGAAATCCTCATCTGTGATATAAGGCAGAGAACAAGTAGGACCTCCCTCTATGTTAACATTAATAAAAGAAATGTAATGAACATTTATTTTCAGTCCCTCGCTTTCTAGTAACAGAAATCTGATTTTTCCCTTTCTTTATTCTCAGTTCATATGGTTTGGGTAAGACTGACACTAAACTAGTTCCAAGGACGAGCATGTGACCGAAGGCAGAACAACCAGAATCAATAAAACTCAATCTTTACATTTTGATTGGAACTATTGGGAAAAAAGGCATGCTCTTCCACTTCAATTGCTGGGAAAACAGGACATAAACCTGAACTACTAATACCCACTTTATTATCATGAGGGAAGAACCCACTCAAAATAAAGCCAATAAAGAGAATAGCAGAGCTGAGCAAGAAAAAATAATCTTATTGACATTACACGAGTCTCTGGATCAGACTATGTCTGAAACCTTAAGCTTTTCAGATACGAAGTCAATACATTCCTGTTTTTCAGCTTCAAGCCAGTTATCAACTGATAGAGAATCCTCTCAAAGAAGAGATGTCCTAAAGAATTAGTCAAATAAATACTCATGGTTCACACCTTTAAATACAAGAGAAGAGTCAGTTCAAGTCACATAGCTTTTGTTTTCATCTTAAAATATTCTTCTGTTTGCAATACAAAGAGTCTCTAGCAAGCACCATAATTTTATATTACTATCTTACTGGTTTATTCAATTTAGTAACATTTCTACTTATTACAGATATATCAGAGTATTCAAGGCTTTCCTCCTTCATAGGGATCTATCATACAGAATAAATTTCTTCATCAATACAGAAAATCTTACATAATTAGCAGGAATATCAGAAAAGTAAAAGTAACCTTCATACGTTATTTACTGATGTATATATTATAAATATAGGCATACTTTAGAGATATTGCAGGTTCAATGCCAGACCACCACGATAAAGCAAATATCACAATAAAGTAAGTCACACAAACTTCTTGGTTTCCCTGTGCATATAAAAGTTTACACTATACTGTGGTCTATTAAGTGTGCAATAGCATTATGTCTTAAAAAAGAGTACATACCTTAATTTAAAAATATTTTACTCTTAAAAAATGCTAACAACAATCTGAGCCTTCAATAAGTCATAATCTTCTTGTTAGTGGAGGGTTACACCTCAGGGTTGGTGGCTGCTGACTCATCAGGAGGGGGGTTGCTGGAGATTGGGATGATGTGGCAATTTGTTAAAATAAGACAACAATGAAGTTGGCCACATTGATTGACTCTTCCTTTCATGAAAGATTTCTCTGTAGCATGCAATGCTGCTTGATAGCATTTTATACACAATAGAACTTCTTTCAAAATTGGAGTAAGTCCTCTCAAACTCTGCTGTGAGTTATCCACTAACTTTATATAAGATTCGAAATCCTTTGTTTTCATTTCAATGATGTTTACAGCATCTTCACCAGTAGATTCATCTCAAGAAACCACTTTTTCTTCTCATCCGTAAGAAGCAACTCCTCATCCTTTCAAGTTTGATTATGAGATTGCAGCAATTCAGTCACATCTCAGGCTCCACTTCTAATTCTAGTTCTGCTGCTATTTACACCACACCTACAGTTATTCTTTCATTGAAGCCTTGAATCCCTGAAAGTCAACCATGAGGGTTGGAATAACTTCTTCCAAATTCCTGCTAATGTTGATATTTTGACTTTCTCTCATGTATCACAAATGTTCTTAATGACATCTAGAAGGGTGACTCTTTTTTAGAAGTTTTCCATTTATTTTGCCAGGTCCATCACAGGACTTACTCGGTAAGGCAGCTATAGCCTTATTAAATGTATTACTTAAATCATGAGATTTGAAAGTTGAAATTACTCCTTGATCCATAGACTGAAAAATGGAAATTGTGTTAGCAGGCATGAAAACAACATTCATCTCCTGTACATCTCCATCAGAGCTCTTGCATGACCTGGTGCATTGTCAATGAGAAGTAATCTTTTGAGAGGAATCTTTATCTGAGCAGTAGGTCTTAACAGTGGGCTTAAACTATTCAGTAAACTATGCTGTAAACATATGTGCTGTCATCCAGACTTTGCTCTTCCATTTCTAGAGCACAGGCAGAGTCAATTCAGCACCAATCTTATGGGCCATAAGATTTTTAGAATGGTAAATAAGCACTAGCTTCAACCTAAGTACCAGCTGTGGCCAGATGCAGTGGCTCATACCTGTAATCCTAGCACTTTAGGAGGCCAAGGCAGGCAGATCACCTGAGGTCAGGAGTTTGAGACCAGCCTGTCCAACATGGAGAAACCCCATCTCTACTAAAAATACAAAATTAGCTGGGCGTGGTGGCACATGCCTGTAATTCCAGCTACTCAGGAGGCTGAGGCAGGAGAATCGCTTGCACCTGGGAGGAAGAGGTTGCAGTGAGCTGAGATGGCACCATTGCACTCCAGCCTGAGCAACAAGAGCAAAACTAGGTCTGAAAAAAAAAGCCACCAGCTGCATTAGCCCCTAACAAGACAGTCAGCCTGTCCTTTGAAGCTTTGAAGCCAGGCATTGATTTCTCCTTTATATCTGTGAAAGTCCTAGAAGCTATCTTCTACCAATGTAAGGCAGTTTCATCTATAGTGAAAGTCTATTCTTTAGTGTAGTCCCCTCATCAATGATCTTAGCTAAATCTTCTGAATAACTTGTTGCAGATTCTACATTAACACTTGCTGCTTCATCTTGCACTTTGATGTAATGGAAATGGCTTCTTTCCTTAATCTTTATGAACCAACCTCTGCTAGCTTCAAACTTTTCTTCTGCAGCTTTATTAGCTCTCTCAGCTTCATAGAATTGAAGAGAGTTGTGGCTTTGCTCTGGGCTGGGCTTTGGCTTAAGGGAATGTTGTGGCTGCTTTTCTCTTCTATCCAGATCACTCAAAGTTTGTTCATATAATCAATAAGGCTGTTTCACTTTCTTATTATTTGTGTGTTCACTGGAGTATCACTTTTAATTTCCTTCAAGAAATTATGGAAAGTTCCAGTTGGAACTAGAACTAGAACATGGAACTAGAAGTTTCTTTGCATTCACAATTTGGCTGTTTGGCACAAGAGACCTAGTTCCATGTTCTAGTTCTAGTTCCAAGAAAGTTCCAGTTCCATAGCAATGATGTGCATATTGCAAAATTTGGAAGTTTGGAAAGTCCCAAATTGGAAAAGTTG
This sequence comes from Homo sapiens, assembly GCF_000001405.40. Lineage (NCBI taxonomy): Eukaryota > Metazoa > Chordata > Mammalia > Primates > Hominidae > Homo > Homo sapiens. The sequence continues at coordinate 70,871,953 of NC_000008.11, read as the reverse complement.
GAACTTTCTAGTTGTAAATTTATCTTGGAACTAAAACTAGAACTAGAACTAGAATATGGAACTAGAACTTTCTTTGCATTCACAATTTGGCTAATGTTTGGCACAAGAAGTCTAGCTTTCAACCTGTCTCAGGTTTCAACATGCCTGCCTCACATAGCTTAATCACTTCCAGCTTTTGATTTAAAATGAGAGACATGCAAATCTTCCTTTTATTTGAATACTTATAGGCCATTGTATGGTTATTAAGTGGCCTAATTTCAATACTGTTGTGTCTCAGGGAACAGGAAGGCCCAAGGAGAAGCAAGGAGATGGAGGAAAGATTGGTCAGTAGGGCAATCAGAACACACACAACACATATCTATTAAGTTTGCTTTCTTATATGAGGGTGGTGTGCAGTGCCTCAGAACAATTACAATAGTAACATCAAAGATCACTGATTGCTGATCACCATAGAAGCTATATAATAATGAAAAAGTTTGAAATATTATGAGAATTTCCAAAATGTGACACAGAGACACAAAGTGAGCATGTGCTATTGGAAAAATGGCACTGATAGATGCTTAATGCAGGGTTGCCACAAACCTTTGATTTTTAAAAAACCCAGTATCTGCAAAGTGCAATACAATGAACCCCAATAAAACAAGCTGTTCCTGAATTAATAAGAAAGAAATTAAATGAGAAAGCTTATGATTAGTTATCTCTTTATCTTCTTCACCTAGCTCAGTAGGTGAAATTTAATAATATTGATTGAATGAATACATATATGAATTAGTAAGGAGATAAATAAATTTTTTAAATAATAGAAAATCATTATGCAACATCTGAGTTTTCTATTTTTCCATGAAACATTATTCCTTTACTGTTTCAAATTCTCTGCAAGTAAAAGATAAGATATAAATTACAACTTGAAATAACTATATGTTATTAGTACAATTCTGGAGAATATAACAACACATTTACAAATAGTCCCCACTTGTGGTTGAAGAAAGTACCACAGTTTCAGGAGGTTTTGCAAATTATACACTTCTTAATGCTACTGTTGTGAACAAACAGTTTCCCCCTTATCTTTCTTTTCTTTTGTTATTAAGACTTTTAGAAAAGAAGAGTAACAGAATCACATGGTTCAAGTTCCACTGAAACACTTCAATGAATATGAGCTAAAGATTTATTTTGATCTTTTCATAGGACTGGAAATTTTGCAATATGCATATCATTGCCATGGAACTAGAACTTTCTTGGATTATTCTATAGTCATTCATTATGAATCTCCACAATAAACTGATGATGCAAACACTTCTATCAACTTTTCCAAGTGAGTAAACTGAGAATCAAGATGCGATTGGTCTTTACACGGCAAATTACCGACTTTTGGACTTTTCCTATATAAGCACAAAGCAGCTGGCTTCCATACTTTATGAGACCACATATCAGTGCCTAACATTCCAAACCACAACAACAAGAAGCAAAGAAAAAGTCCCACCAATAGAATAGGCTTTTAGAGAACTGTCTTCTCTCTGGTGATGTCTGGGCTGATTTCAATCTGAATCTTTTCTGTGCTACAATATATGTGACCAGACTCTGGAATGTAGTCACTTTTAAACTTAGTCATTAATATTGATGCCATGAAATTCTTCAGACTGTGAACCTGTGGGACAGGTCCTATTTTCTCTAGAGTACCCATCACATTTGTGGCATTTGTTCAATACAAATTATTAATAAATTATCATAACTCTTTCAAAGGAAAGACATGGTGTTGTTATCTTTTGCTAGAAGACCCTTATTTATATCTTACAAAATATCATACTAGTTAAGACCTTACAAGAGAGATTGATGTGATTTTCCTCAAGTAAATCATCAAAAAACAAAAGTTACTATGCCTGAGTCACAGAATTTTATAACTGAAGGCAACTAAAAATTAGCAGTCCCAGCCTCCTCATTCATATCATATATCTCATTCCTACTATATGCCAGACACTGCAATAGAAAGAGGATAAAACAAAACAGATATGAGAATTGGGCTCAGTGAAGTTATGTGACTTGGAAGCAGACATGGTCTACCTCTCAGACCAGTGCCACTGCTTTCAGACCACACTTGCCTAAGGTACTATATAATAAGATCAGAAAAGAAAATGTTGTGGGTGTCTCCTCTCTAAAACCTACTTTAACCCACCTAACGTACTGTGTGCCCTTACCAGTACCTCTAGTCTAATATGCAAAACTGATCAGTCTTAAAACATAGTTCTAAGACATTTATTCTCAAATCGTATATTTAGCATGCAATGGGTAAGGAAGGGTGACAAATATTTTTTCTCTGAGACAGTGAGATACAGTGGAAAGAACGAAAACTTGGTGATATGATTTGGCTGTGTCCTCACCCAAATCTCATCTTGAATTCCCACGTGTTGTGGGATGGACCCAGTGGGAGGTAATTTAATCATGGGGGCAGGTTTTTTCTGTGCTATTCTCCTGATAGTGAATAAGTCTCATGAGATCTGATGGCTTTAAAAGGTGGAGTTTGCCTGCACAAGTCCTCTCTTCTCTCTACCTGCGGCTATCCATGTAAGATGTAACTTACTCTTTCTTGCCTTCTGCCATGATAATGAGGCCTCCCCAGCCATGTGGAACTGTAAGTCCACTAAACCCTTTTTCCTGTATCAATTACCTAGTCTTGGGTATGTCTTTATAAAAGTGTGAAAACGAAATAATACAGTAAATTGGTACCAGTAGAGTGGGGCACTGCTGAAAAGATACCCAAAAATGTAGAAGCAACTTTGGAACTGGGTAACAGGCAGAGCTTGGAACCATTTGGAGGGCTCCATGGAAGACAGGAAAATGTGGGAAAGTTCAGAACTCCCAAGAGACTTGTTGAATGGCTATGGAAAATAAAGTCCAGTGCTGAGGTGGTCTCGGATGAAAATGAGGAACTTGTTGGGAACTGGAGCAAACATGACTCTTGTTATGTTTTAGCAAAGAGACTGGTGGCATTTTGCCCTGCCCTAGAGATGTGTAGAACTTTGAACTTGAGAGAGGTGATTTAGGGTATCTGGCAGAATAAATTTCTAAGCAGCAAAGCATTCAAGAGGTGACTTGGGTGCTATTAAAGGCATTCAGAATTATAAGGGAAGCAGAGAATAAAAGTTCAGAAAAGTTGCAGCCTGAAAATGTAATAGAAGAGAAAATCCCATTTTATTAGGAGAAATTTAAGCCAGCTGAAGAAATTTGCATAAGTAATGAGGAGACTAATGTTAATCCCCAAGACAATAAAGAAAATGTCTCCAGGGCATGTCAGAGGTTTTCACGGTAGCCCCTCCCATCACAGCCTCAAAGGACTAGGAGGAAAAAGTGGTTTCATGGGCTGGGCCCAGGGTCCTCGTGCTATGTGCAGCCTAGGGACTTGGTGCCCTGGTGTCCCAGTCACTCCAGCCCTGGCTGAAAGAGGCCAATGTAGAGCTCGGGCCATAGCTTCAGAGGGTGGAAGCCCCAAACCTTGGCAGCTTCCACCTGGTGTTGAAACTGCAAGTGCACAGAAGCCAAGAATTGGGGTTTGGGAACCTCTGCCTAGATTTCAGAAGATGTATGGAAATACCTACATGCCCAAGCAGAAGTTTGTTGCAGGAGTGGGGCCCTCATGGAGACCCTCTGCTAGGGAAGTGCAGAAGGGAAATGTGGGGTCAGAGCCCCCACACAGAGTCCCAACTGGGGAACCACCTAGTGGAACTGTGAGAAGAGGGCCACTGTCTCCCAAACCCCAGAATGGTAGCTCCACCAACAGCTTGCACCATGCACCTGGAAAAGCCACAGAAACTCAATGCTAGCCTGTGAAAGCAGCCAGGAGAGAAGCTATACCCTGCAAAGCTACAGGGGTGGAGCTGCTCAAGGCCATGGGAGCCCGCCTCTTGCATCTGTGTGACCTGGATATGAGACATGGAGTCAAAAGACACCATTTTGGAGCTTTAAGATTTGACTGCCCTGCTGGATTTTGGACTTGCATGGGGCTTGTGGCCCCTTTGTTTTGGCCAATTTTTCCCATTTGGAATGACTATATTTACCCAATGCCTATACCCCCATTGTATCTAGGAAGTAACTAACCTGCTCTTGATTTTAGAAGCTCATAGGCAGAAGGGACTTGCCTTGTCTCAGATGAGACTTTGGACTGTGGACTTTTGAGTTAATGCTGAAATGAGTTAAGACTTTGGGGTATTGACTGGCTGTGGTGGCTCATGCCTGTAATCCCAGCACTCTGGAAGGCCAAGGTGGGTGGATCACCTGAGGTTGGAAATTTGAGACCGGCCTGGCCAACATAGTGAAATCCCGTCTCTACTAAAAATACAAAAATTAGCCAGGTGTGGTGGTGCAAGCCTGTAATCCCAGCTACTTGGGAGGCTGAGGCAGGAGAGTCACTTGAACCAGGGAGGCAGAGGTTGCAGTGAGCCAAGATGGTGCCACTGCACTCCAGCCTGGGCAACTGAGGAGACTTCATCTCAAAAGAGAAAAAGGAAAAGAAAGAAAAGACTTTGGGGTACTATTGGGAAGCACAATTGGTTTTGAAATGTGTGGCCATGAGATTTGGGAGGGGCCAGGGCAGAATGATATGGTTTGGCTGTGTCCCCACCCAAATCTCATCTTGAATTCCCGTATATTGTGGGAGGGACCTGGTGGGAGGTAATTTAATTATGGAGGGAGGTCTTTCCTGTGCTGTTCTCCTGGTAGTGAATAAGTCTCATGAGATCTGATGGCTTTATAAGGCAGAGTTTGCCTGCACAAGTTCTCTCTTCTCTTTGCCTGCTGCCATCCATGTAAGATGTGACTTGCTCCTCCTTGCCTGCTGCCATGATTGTGAGGCCTCCCCAGCCACGTGGAACTGTAAGTCCATTAAACCCTTTTTCCCGTATCAATTACACAGTCTCAGGTATGTCTTTATCAGCAGCGTGAAAATAAACTGATACACTCGGGATCAAGATGGACCTGCTTGCCAACCTAGGAAAATTGATTTAACCTCCATGATACTTGGTTTCTTTGTGTCTTTAAACATACAACAGAAACAATAATACCTACATTACAGAGATGTTGTAAGGTTAAAAATAATTTATGAAAAGTGTTTCACACTTAGGATGAGTCCAATAAATGATAACTATTATTTGTATTATTTCTTTGGATATCATACTCCAGGGCCAGGCATGGTGGCTCATGCCTGCAATCCCAGCACTTTGGGAGGCCAAGGGGGGTGATGACTTGAGGCCAGAAGTTTGAGACCAGCCTGGCCAACATGGTGAAACCCAGTTTCTACTAAAAATTCAAAAAAATTAGCCAGGCATGGTGGCACTAGACTGTCTAAAATTAAAAAAAAAAAAATTCCATTAGTTCATTGGTCTGAGAACAAGAAATACTCCTACCAATCTCTGAACTAATCTTTCTAATAGACTGTGCTCTCAAACTCAGCAGAAATGCCTCTAGATAGCTAACTGGCTCATTCTCTAACTGCCTGGCCCCACCCTACATATTATAATCCAAATATGTAATTGAATGAAAATGCCACTGCCTTCACAATCACTTCCTTTCCCTATCCCCATATGCTGGCTTTTCCCATTAATCTCTCTGATTTTATTTTCAAAAGGATTCAACAGGGAGTCACTAAGCATTTCATAGGCAAGAAGAGAGCACAAACTTCAGAAACACATTGGGTTCCAACAGCAGCTTCACTGTGGGATTTCAACCCAGACTGGGGAATTTAGGCATGTGCCTAGATCTTTTGAATCTCAGTTTTCACCTCTGTAAAATGGAGATGATCATGTTGTGAGAATTAATGAGACTATATATTAATACATGCAAAGCATCCCACACAAAGGAAATTATCAGGAAATAGAAACAATTATTATTATGAAGGGGGCTTCAGTCATTCCTTCTAAAGTAAAATTGTTGGATCTTTTACTGTGACCAGCTCAAGGTATATTACAGAGTAAATTAGCAGCAGGATCTTAAATTTTGAGGACAACCTCAATACTTTCCTTCACCCTACATGTAAAAAAGTGCTCGAATTAGCATTACTAACTCTAGAGGGCTTCAACTGCAATCAACATTTTCTCACACTCCATAGCTGAAGTACTCACTTTCAGACTCTATTTTCAGAAGCAAACTAAAGCAGATTGGTTAAAGTGTTCTGGACACCACACTTTCAGAAGCACAAGTCAGGTTTCAATATGATGAATGCAAAGTAACTTTTTCTTCCATTATCCCTTTTGACTAAGAGCATGGAAGTACTCCAGCCATTGCAGATCTGGCATTAGTCCTATCAGCCACCTCCACTCTGTTCCATCACTCTGAACTGATTCTAACTGAATGAAGATTCTCCAGAAAATCTACAGAGAATCACCTGGACTCACCAACTTACACCATTATAATTACAATTGCAGAAAACAAAACTTTAAAAAAATTGAAAATTAAAAAAATACAATTGCAAAATTATTTTATTTTTCCACTTTTTTTTTTGAGAAAGTGAGACTCAGAACCTTACACCGGAACTATAAGCTCTGGCCTTACATTATTGACATAATTATTTCTTAGCATTAAATTAGATTTTAAAAACATTATCAGGATGTGGATGTCTTTAGTGGGACAGAATTTTAGGGTTCCTCTCAGCTTCAGGAAGCATTTAACTTTTCCTCTTCCTTTAAAAAAAAAAAGCCCAGAAGGACTTTTGATCAATAAAAATATAAATGAAAGATTCTTTCTGTTGCCAGTCTAAAAGACAAATTCTTCCTTAGGGAAAATTCTCCACTCATTTAAGTAAACTCTTCACTAGCAAATAAACTAACAAAAGCATTCAACCCCCCTTTCCAGGGTAATCAATTTCAAAACTTGACCAAATATGAGGAGAGAGGCACTTTGATATATAACAACTCTCTTGTAAAAAAAGTAAAGAGAAAGAGATGTCAGGATGCCTCACTTTCTAATTAGAATTATTCACAGAAGATATTATGCTTCCTTGCCTGGATGAAGGCCACTTTCAAAAGAGTTGAAGTAAGCCTGGTTGGATAGTTGAATTTCTGTTGAAAGGTTTTTGATAAAACATGGTGCTGGGGTTAAAACTTTAAGATCTGAAAAGGTTATTCTGGAGATCATCCACCCTGGGTAATGCGGTATCTAGAGAACCGATAAGGTTAATCCAAATTATCCAGGAGATTACCCCTGAGACAGCAAACGGTTCCATAAACATCACCATTCCTGTCCCAAGCAGAGAAATGATATGCTTCACTTTTGTTAGCATTTTCAAGGAGACTAAACCTGAAAATGTCAGTGAAATGAAGGCTTGGGTTTATAGGCAAAGCTGTCACTGAACCACTGAATTATGAGGCTAGACTTTCAGTAGCAGCCAAGTTATAGGTCAAATGCTTCTAGGTCAATTTTCACCTCTTTCAAAAAACCCATGATGAAATTTCAAAGGCTTTTATGTGAAGTTTTATTTATCTAGGTTAGTTTGAAAGAAAAAGGTAGGCAGGGAAAATGTGAGATTTCATTATCTTTGTCCATTGTTCTCTGCTTTCTATAATACAATGCTCATAGAATCATACATGGATAATCAATTATTCTGGGCACATGGTGGGAAAGACAGGGTGAAAAGGCTAACAGGATTCTTAAAACACTCAAGACATTTGCCTCCCAGTATTGAAGAACTAAAGAGCACAACTTCTTTTTCCTTTTTCCTTTTAAACTCCAAGCTATTTGATCCTAAGTTGAAATTGTTTACATTTTTTAAAAATTATTATACAAGTTATAAGATTTTAGGGGGGGAAAGCACAAATGTAGAGATTATAAATGAGAATCCTTTATTACCTGGCACATAGCCAGTGCTCAATAAATGCTTGTTGGCAAATCCTCTTCAATTTCTGCATTAAAAACAAAGCTAAAGTGTAAGTATTAATATGTGCAAATTATGTGATTTGCATGCCCAAGTGACTGTTTATATATGCAAACAGCTGTTTGGCAAATAAAAAGTTTAAAAATAGCCACATATGAGAGCATAAAAAGGCATCATTATGTGGAAAAAAGAATTACTACATTGGTATAGTAATTTTTGTTTACCTTTCAGCCAAGCTACCAAATTCTAGCACCAGTATGAGGGCATCATTCTATAAAGTCCAAAATTATGGTTGTTCTCTATATTTCTCCTTAGAAAAGATTAAAACAATCCATTTGTTTCTCTCTACCTCCACTGCTGTCACCCTGGTACATGCTTCTATCATCTTCTGTCAGGACTACTGAGATAGTGTCCTAACTGATCTCTCCAAATTCTCATGGGCCCCTGTAAAATCAATTTACATTGAAAGTGATTTTTTTCAACACATATATCTGACTACCTCACTTTCTCTTGCTTGAAACATTTCAACAGTTTTGCATTTAGAGGCTATCACTGATGCACAAAGAAAGTCATGTGGCCTAAGCTGCACATTCATGAAAGATCACAAATTTGAAGTTTCACCCTACGTTTAAATGGGGAATTACCTGTATATAGTCACAAAGACACAGTGACAGGATTGAGAGAAGATGCTCATCACACAACTTTAAATTAGTGTCCTACTACATCCATACCACCTATAGTACCCTTTAGACTGATTTTTTGTAAGTTCTGTAATTGTCTTGTGAATAGCATACCTATATGAATTATTCTTTTATGTATCAAGAATATTAACTTATAGCCTTAATTATTAGCCATGTTATGGCATTTCTCCTTCCGCTGCTCCTTCTTCTTCTTCTTTTCACACACCAGAAGCCATGGCCTGAGATTCTCTCAACATCTGACAGGTCTTTTTCCAGCAAAGTGCTTAACATAGCCCTCAAGGCTCTAGTCTCTCTGGCTCCTACCTCGCTCAACAGTTTCATCATCTTTTCACCAAACTCCTTCTTGCTACTGCACGCTGACAACACTAACTTCCTTTCTACTCCTCAAACAACTCATGCTCCCTCCTGCCACAGGACCTCTGCATACACTAGGCCTCTGTTCAGAATATTCTCCTTATCTCCTGCGTGTCCTCCAGATCTCAGCTCAAGTGCCATTGCCTCCTAGGAAGCCTTCCTTGGCCTGAGTACACAGAATTCTCTCCTAATATACTTTCTCTCAGTACCACGCTGTTTCCCCAATCATAATTACTTTTATATTTACATGATTCTTAGATTAATACCTGTCTCCCCACCAGATGTAAGTTATACAAATATCTTTACATGAAGGATGGAGGAGGCAATGCATATACAGACACATATTTATTCTTCACCCAGCACAGCTGGATAGCATTTATTAGATATAGTATATAAATATAAATATATATTAGATGTAATATTTATTTGTTTAATGAATTAAAGTTCTTTTTATTAAACCATACTGCCTCTAAGAAAAATATGAACAGATGTTAAGTATAATATGTGTTTTAAAGAACAATTACATTCAAAGCCTAATCTGTACTGGCCCAATTCATCTAAAACAAATAACAACAACAAGAAAAAACTTTTCCAAAGAATAAGTATTATACCAAAATAACATGACCCCCATGCAAAAAGACATCTCTTTTGCCAGTGCCATGGAGTCTAAAATGGAAAACACTAACCTTAGTTGCTCTAATAAGCTAGGGGTGAAAAGGCACCAGCGACTTATAAGAGACTATGTGGGGTTTTATGCCACACACAAAATGGACTGATCCTCTCACATTCAGTATGCTTTATAAAAGAGAAAATATAAAAAATAAAAATAAAAATTTTTTAATGGACTGATCTAAAATATTCAGTTGACTTTGTTCTCCAGGGCTCTTTCTACATCTGAGTCATGTGGAGACAAGGGGAAGCATCCATGACTGCTTCTCAGCCATCCAGACATCCTCCAATAAATCACACTGGTGATGTGCTTTGGTCCCACTCCGTCTCACTTGTTCATATGGACAAAGGCAAAAGGAAAAAGTTCCCTTCCACACCACAAACAATCAACACAGTATTTCAGTAAAATAGATAAGTTAAACAAAACTACATATATTTACTTATCTATATATATGTACACATATAAGCAAACACACACTACAAAAATTTGACTTCCTACATATAAAGGAAAAGAACATCTAAGCCACAAAAAATAACAATTTGGTGGTGGTGACAGAAAAATCTCCTTTGCTTGTGGAAAGGCCATTACAGATCAATAGTTGAACAGCTAATATGTATACAGTGCTTACGAAGTGCCAGGCTCAATCTAAGTATTTTTACATATATTAACTTACTGAATTCTCACAACAGCTTTATTTTACTTTGTTTTTATTTTTTTAGGTTCAGGTTCTTACTCTGTTGCCCAGGCCAGAGTGCAGTGACACAATCATAGCTCACTGCAGCCCTGAACTCCTGGCCTCAACTTCAAGCCATCCTCCTGCCTCAGCCTCCCTAGTAGCTGGGACTACAGGTGCACACTACTACACTGCACTAATTTTTTTTTTTTGATAGACACAAGATCTAGCTTTGCTGCCTAGGCTGATCTGAACTTCCTGGTTTCAAGCTATCCTCCTTCCTCAGCCTCCCAAAGTGCTGGGATTACAAGCGTGAGCCACCATGTCCAGCCCACAACAACTTTATGAAATAAGGATTTTATTATAATCTCCATTTTACAGATGAGGAAACTGATGCACAGAGAGGGTAAGCAATTTTCCCAAGGTCACACAACTACCGAGTGGAGGAAACCCAGGATCCAAACTCAGGCAGTCTGCCTCCAGATTCCATGTTCTTAAAAAACTCTGTGAAGAGTTGCCTGTCTTTGATTCCACAATCTCAAATTCATCATGTCACTCTAAAACATCCAAAAATTTAGTTTGTTTTACAGACACTACTAACAGACAACTGTTAGAAGCTGCATATGTCCATTTTTCTCAGCATTAGGGCAAACATTTAAGAAAAAAAGACATTCAAGGAAAGAGAAGACAGACAATATAAAGGCCAAAAATCCCTCTGTTTTGTAATAATAAGCGTAACAATAGCTAACATCTTTTAGTGCTGTGTTTAGTACTTCATCAAATTGTCTCATTTAAATCACAAAATAATCCTAAGAGGTAACGCTACTTAGGTCCACTTTACAGTTGAAGAAACCTGAAGCTCAGAGTAGTTGGCAATTTGCACAGGTCACACAACCAAGTCCAAAGCTCATTGCCCTAGTCTGCAGAGCTGAACTCCCCAGACAGGGGGACATCTTATCCCCAGAAATTGGGTAACATTGACATTTATAAACAAGCAGGAGAAGGGTGAAAATAGAGCAGAGTTATAGGGGTAGGGGTGGGGATGGGGAGGCTAGGTTAAGTAACTAATTGCCAAGAGAATGCCTATGCTGGAGGAGGAGGAAGAGGAAGAAAAGGAGAAGGAAGAAATCTTAATCAATAATTTATATAAAAAATGAATATTATAAATTAAGTTTAGAAGAGATTTGTGTCTTATTTCAGCTGCTATAACAAAGTGCCATAACCTTGGTGGCTTATAAACAAAAAGAATATATTTCTCATAGTTCTGGAGAAGGCTGGAAGTCTGAGATAAGGGTGCCATCATAGTTGGTCAGGTTTTGCTGAGGGCTGTGTTCTGGGTTGCAGACTGCCAACTTCTCGTTGTATCTTCACATGGCATAAAGAGAGCTAGCTAGCTCACTGGCTTCTTATAAGGGTACTAATTCCATTCATGAGGGCTCCACCTTCATGAACTAATTACCTCTCAAAGGCCCCACCTCCAAATACTATCACACTGGGATTAGGGTTTCAACACATGAATTTTGAGAGGACACCAACATTCAGATGATAGGGGTTTGTCAGGGTAATTTTGTTATTGATATATAATATTTGTGCATTTTTATGAAGTACATGTGATTTTTTGTTGCATGTATAGAATGTGTAACGATCAAGTCAGGGTACTTAGGGTATCCATCACCTTGAATATTTATTTCTATGTGTTGGGAACATTTCAAGTCCTCTCTTCTAGCTATTTTGAAATACACAACACATTGTTGTCAGCAATAGTGACCCTACTCTGGTATTGAACATTGGAATTTATTCCTTCCATTTAAACGTACATTTGCACCCATTAAGCAACCTCTCTTCACTCCCCACAACACACACATCCTTCCTAGCCTCTGGTAGCTATCATTCTACTATCTACCTCCATGACATCATGTTTAGCTCCCAAATGTGATCAAGAATATGTGATATTTGTCTTTGTGTGCCTGCCTTATTTCACTTATTATAATGACCTCCAGTTCAATCCATGTTGCTGCAAATAACAGGATTCCACTCTTTGTTATGACCAACTAGTATTCCATTGTGTATATATACCATACTTTATCCATTCATTAGTTGATAAACAGGTTGATTCTCTATCTTGGCTATTCTGAATAGTACTGCAATAAATATAGGAATGCAGGTATCTTTTCAATATAATGATCTTCTTTCCTTTAAATAAATGCCTAGTAGTGGGATTGCTGGATCTATTTTTAGTTTTTTGAGGAACCTCCATACTGTTCTTACGGATATACTAATTTACATTCCCACCAATAGTGTATAAGGGTTCCCCTCTCTTCACATCCTCAGCAGCATCTGTTATTGCCTTATTTCAAAAATGTCTTTTTGATAAAAGACATTTAACTGGAGTGAGATGATATCACATGATGGTTTTGATTGCATTTCTCTGATGATTAGGAATGTGGTAAATTTTTTCATATATCTGTTGGCATTTTTATGTCTTTTTTTGAGAAATATCTATTTAGATTTTTTACCCAATTTTGATTGGATTATTTGGTTTTTTGCTATTGAGTTGTTTTAGCACTTTATGTATTCTGGTTACTCATCCCTTGTCAGATGGGTAATTTGCAAATATTTTACCTCATTCTGTGTGTTGTCTCTTCACTTTGTTGTTTCCTTTGCTGTGCAGAAACTTCTTAGCTTGATGTCATCCTATTTGTCTATGTTTGCCTCAATTGCCTGTGTTTTTGAGGTCTTACACAAAAAATCTTTGCCCAGACAAAGGTCCTGGAACATTTCCCTAATGTTTTTATGGGTAATTTCATAGTTCTGAGTCTTAGATTTAAGTCTTAAATCCATTTTAATTTGATTTTTGTTATGGTGAGGAATAGGGGTCCAGTTTCATTCCTCTGCATGTAGTTATCTAGTTTTCCCAGCACCATTTATTGAAGAGACTGTCCTTTCCCCCACTGTATGTTCTTGATACCTTTGTCAAAAATCAGTTGGCTGTAATGCAAGGATTTATATCTGGGTTCTCTATTCTGTTCCATTGGTCTATGTCTGTTTTTATACCAGTGTGATGCTGATTTAATTACTATAGCTTTGTAGTAAATTTTGAAGTCGGGTAATGTGATGCCTCCAGCATTGTTCTTTTTGCTCAGGATTGCTTTGATTATTCAGGGTCTTTTGTGGTTACATATCAATTTTAAGATTTTTTTTCTATTTCTGTGAAGAATGTCATTTTTTGTATCCTCTTTTATTTCATTGAGTGGTGGTTTGCAGTTCTCCTTGAAGAGATCCTTCACACCTCTTGTAAGTTGGATTCCTAGGTATTTTATTCTCTTTGAAGCAATTGTGAATGGGAGTTCACTCATGATTTGGCTCTCTGTTTGTCTGTTATTGGTATATAGGAATGCTTGTGATTTTTACACATTGATTTTGTATCCTGAGACTTTGCTGAAGTTGCTTATCAGCTTAAGGAGATTTTGGGATGAGACGATGGGGTTTTCTAGATATACAATCATGTCATCTGAAAACAGGGACAATTGGACTTCCTCATTTCCTAATTGAATACCCTTTATTTCCTTCTCCTGCCTGATTGCCCTAGCCAGAACTTCCAACACTATGTTGAATAGGAGTGGTGAGAGAGGGCATCCCTGTCTTGTGCCAGTTTTCAAAGGGAATGCTTCCTGTTTTTGCCCATTCAGTATGCTATTGGCTGTGGGTTTTCATTAGATAGCTCTTGTTATTTTGAGATGCGTCCCATCAATACCTAATTTATTGAGAGTTTTTAGGATGAAGCATTGTTGAATTTTGTCAAAGGCCTTTTCTGCATCTATTGAGATAATCACGTGGTTTTTGTCATTGGTTCTGTTTATATGCTGGATTACATTTCTTGATTTGCATATGTTGAACCAGCCTTGCATCCTAGGGATGAAGCCCACTTGATCATGGCGGATAAGCTTTTTGATGTGCTGCTGGATTCGGTTTCCCAGTATTTTATTGAGGATTTTTACATCGGTGTTCATCAGAGATATTGGTCTAAAATTCTCTTTTTTTGTTGTGTCTCGGCCAGGCTTTGGTATCAGGATGATGCTTGCCTCATGAAATAAGTTAGGGAGGATTCCCTCTTTTTCTATTGATTGGAATAGTTTCAGAAGGAAAGGTACCAGCTCCTCCTTATACCTCTGGTAGAATTCGGCTGTGAATCCATCAGGTCTTGGACTTTTTTTGGTTGGTAGGCTATTGCCTTTATTTCAGAGCCTCCTATTGGTCTATTCAGATTCAACTTCTTCCTGGTTTAGTCTTGGGAGGGTGTATGTGTCCAGGAATTTATCCATTTCTTCTAGATTTTCTAGTTTATTTGCATAGAGGTGTTTATAGTATTCTCTGATGGTAGTTTGTATTTCTGTGGGATCAGTGGTGATATCCCCTTTATCATTTTTTATTGTGTCTATTTGATTCTTCCCTCTTTTCTTCTTTATTAGTCTTGCTAGTGGTCTATCAATTTTGTTGATCTTTTCAAAAAACCAGCTTCTGGATTCATTGATTTTTTGAAGGGTTTTTTGTGTCTCTATTTCCTTCAGTTCTGCCCTGCTCTTAGTTATTTCTTGCCTTCTGCTAGCTTTTGAATGTGTTTGCTCTTGCTTCTCTAGTTCTTTTAATTGTGATGTTAGGGTATTAATTTTAGATCTTTCCTGCTTTCTCTTGTGGGCATTTAGTGCTTTAAATTTCCCTCTACACACTGCTTTGACTGTGTCCCACATATTCTGGTATGTTGTGTCTTTGTTGTCGTTGGTTTCAAAGAACATCTTTATTTCTGCCTTCATTTTGTTATGTACCCAGTAGTCATTCTGGAGCATGTTGTCCAGTTTCCATGTAGTTGAGCGGCTTTGAGTGAGTTTCTTAATCCTGAGTTCTAGTTTGATTGTGCTGTGGTCTGAGAGATGGTTTGTTATAATTTCTGTTCTTTTACATTTGCTGAGGAGTACTTTACTTCCAACTATGTGGTCAATTTTGGAATAGTTGTGGTGTGGTGCTGAAAAGAATGTATATTCTGTTGATTTGGGGTGAAGAGTTCTGCAGATGTCTATTAGGTCCGCTTGGTGCAGAGCTGAGTTCAATTCCTGGATATCTTTGTTAACTTTCTGTCTCATTGATCTGTCTAAAGTTGACAGTGGGCTGTTAAAGTCTCCCATTATTATTGTGCGGGAGTCTAAGTCTCTTTGTAGGTCTCTAAGGACTTGCTTTATGAATCTGGTTGCTCCTGTATTGGGTGCATATATATTTAGGATAGTTAGCTCTTCTTGTTGAATTGATCCCTTTACCATTATGTAATGGCCTTGTCTCTTTTGATCTTCGTTGGTTTAAATTCTGTTTTATCAGAGACTAGGATTGCAACGCTGCTTTATTTTGTTTTCCATTTGCTTGGTAGATCTTCCTTCATCCCTTTATTTTGAGCCTATGTGTGTCTCTGCATGTGAGATGGTTTTTCTGAATACAGCACACTGATGGGTCTTCACTCTTTATCCAATTTGCCAGTCTGTGTCTTTTAATTGGAGCATTTCGCCCATTTATATTTAAGGTTTATATTGTTATGTGTGCATTTGATCCTGTCATTATGATGTTAGCTGGTTATTTTGCTCATTAGTTGATGCAGTTTCTTCCTAGCCTCGATGGTCTTTACAATTTGGAATGTTTTTGCAGTGGCTGATACCAGTTGTTCCTTTCCATGTTTAGTGCTTCCTTCAGGAGCTCTTTTAGGGCAGGCCTGGTGGTGACAAAATCTCTCAGCATTTGTTTGTCTATAAAGGATTTTATTTCTCCTTCACTTATGAAGCTTGGTTTGGCTGGATATGAAATTCTGGGTTGAAAATTCTTTTCTTTAAGATTGTTGAATATTGGCCCCCACTCTCTTCTGGCTTGTAGAGTTTCTGCCAAGAGATCAGCTGTTAGTCTGATGGGCTTCCCTTTGTGGGTAACCCAACCTTTCTCTCTGGCTGCCCTTAACATTTTTACCTTCATTTCAACTTTGGTGAATCTGACAATTATGTGTCTTGGAATTGCTTTTCTCGAGGAGTATCTTTGTGGTGTTCTCTGTATTTCCTGAATCTGAACGTTGGCCTGCCTTCCTAGATTGGGGAAGTTCTCCTGGATAATATCCTGCAGAGTGTTTTGCAACTTCGTTCCATTCTCCCCGTCACTTTCAGGTAAACCAATCAGACGTAGATTTGGTCTTTTCACATAGTCCCATATTTGTTGGAGGCTTTGTTCATTTCTTTTTATTCTTTTTCTCTAAACTTCTCTCCTTGCTTCATTTCATTCATTTCGTCTTCCATCACTGATACCCTTTCTTCCAGTTGATTGAATCGGCTACTGAGGCTTGTGCATTCATCATGTAGTTCTCGTGCTGTGGTTTTCAGCTCCATCAGGTCCTTTAAGGACTTTTCTGCATTGGTTATTCTAGTTAACCATTCGTCTAATTTTTTTTTGAGGTTCTTAACTTCTTTGCCATCGGTTCAAACTTCCTCCTTTACCTCGGAGTAGTTTGATCATCTGAAGCCTTCTTCTCTCAACTCGTCAAAGTCATTCTCCATCCATCATACTGTCCAAGGTAATTTATAGATTCAATGCCATCCCCATCAAGCTACCAATGACTTTCTTCACAGAATTGGAAAAAACTACTTTAAAGTTCATATGGAACCAAAAAAGAGCCTGCATTGCCAAGTCAATCCTAAGCCAAAAGAACAAAGCTGGAGGCATCATGCTACATGACTTCAAACTATACTACAAGGCTACGGTAACCAAAACAGCATGGTACTGGTATCAAAACAGAGATATAAACCAATGGAGCAGAACAGAGCCCTCAGAAATAATGCCACATATCTGCAACTATCTGATCTTTGACAAACCTGACAAAAACAAGAAATGGGGAAAGGATTCCTATTTAATAAATGGTGCTGGGAAAACTGGCTTGCCATATGTAGAAAGCTGAAACTGGATCCTTTCCTTACACCTCATACAAAAATTAATTCAAGATGGATTAAAGACTTAAATGTTAGACCTAAAACCATAAAAACCCTAGAAGAAAACCTGGGCAATACCATTCAGGACATAGGCATGGGCAAGGATTTCATGACTAAAACACCGAAAGCAATTGCAACAAAAGACAAAATTGACAAATGGGATCTAATTAAAATAAAGAGCTTCTGCCCAGCAAAAGAAACTACCATCAGAGTGAACAGGCAACCTACAAAATGAGAGAAAATTTTTGCAATCTACTCATCTGACAAAGGGCTAATATCCAGAATCTACAATGAACTCAAACAAATTTACAAGAAAAAAACAACCCCATCAACAAGTGGGCGAAGGATATGAACAGACACTTCTCAAAGAAGACATTTATGCAGCCAAAAGGCACATGAAAAAATGCTCATCATCACTGGCCATCAGAGAAATGCAAATCAAAACCACAATGAGATAACATCTCACACCAGTTAGAATGCCGATCATTAAAAAGTCAGGAAACAACAGGTGCTGGAGAGGATGTGGAGAAATAGGAACACTTTTACACTGTTGCTGGGACTGTAAACTAGTTCAACCATTGTGGAAGTCAGTGTGGCGATTCCTCAGGGATCTAGAACTAGAAATACATTTGACCCAGCAATCCCATTACTGGGTATATACCCAAAAGATTATAAATCATGCTGCTATAAAGATACATGCACACATGTGTTTATTGTGGCACTATTCACAATAGCAAAGACTTGGAACCAACCCAAACGTCCAACAATGATAGACTGGATTAAGAAAATGTGGCACATATACACCATGGAATACTATGCAGCCATAAAAAAGGATTAGTTCATGTCCTTTGTAGGGACATGGATGAAGCTGGAAACCATCATTCTCAGCAAACCATCACAAGGACAAAAAACCAAACACTGCATGTTCTCACTCATAGGTGGGAATTGAACAATGAGAACACATGGACACAGGAAGGGGAACATCACACACCAGGGCCTGTTGTGGGGTGGGGGGAGTGAGGGAGGGATAGCATTAGGAGATATACCTAATGTTAAATGATGAGTTACATGGCACATGTATACATATGTAACAAACCTGCACATTGTGCATATGTACCCTAAATCTTAAAGTATAATTTAAAAAAAAAAGAATGTCTTTTTTTTGTTCATTTGTTGGGGTTTTTTTTTAGTTTTTATGAGTACATGGTAGATGTATAGGTAGATGTATAGATGTTTAGTTTTAGCTTTTATGAGTATATGGTAGATGTACAGGTTTATAGAGTACATGAGATATTTTGGTACACACATACCAGACACATAATGTAATAATATCATGGAAAATTTGATAACCATCCCCTCAAGCATTTATCTATTTTTTCTAACTATTTTTTTTTACCCATTATCCATCCCCACTTTCTCCACACCCCACGCCTCACTGCCATTCCCAGACTCTGAGAACCATTCTTCTATTCTCTATCTTGATGAGTTCAGTCGTTTTGATTTTTAGATCCCACAAATAAGTGAGAACATGAGAGGTTTGTATTTCTGTGCCTGCTTATTTCACTTAGCATAATTACCTATACTTCCATCCATGTTGTTGCAAATTATTATAGAATGACATTCTTTTTTATGGTTGAATAGTATTCCATTGTGTATATGTACCACATTTTATTTTCTTTTATTTCTTTTTTTATATTATACTTAAGTTCTGGGATATATATGCAGAATGTGCAGGTTTGTTACATAGGCATACATGTGCCATGGTGGTTTGCTGCACCCATCAACCCGTCATCTACACTAGGAATTTCTCCTACTGCTATCCCTCCTTTTCCTGTCCCCCACCTGCCAATGGACCCCAGAATGTGATCTTCCCCTCCCTGTTCCCACATATTCTCATTGTTCAACTCCCACTTATGAGTGAGAACATGAGATGTTTAGTTTTCTGTTCCTGTGTTAGTTAGCTGAGAATGATGATTTCCAGCTTCATCCACGTCCCTGAAAAAAACATGAACTCATTCTTTTTATGGCTGCATAGTATTCCATGGTGTATATATGCCACATTTTTCTTTATCCAGTCTATCATTGATGGGCATTTAGGTTGTTTCCAAGTCTTTGCTATTGTGAATAGTGCTGCAATAAACACACATGTGCATGTATATTTATAGTAGAATGATTTATAAAAGTAGAATGATTTATAATTCTTTATAATCCTTTATATAGTAGAATGATTTGTAATCCTATAAACTTGATTTATAATCCCGTAATGGGATTGCTGGGTATATATCCAAAGGTATTTCTAGTTCTAGATCCTTGAGGAATCACCACACTGTCCTCCAAAAGGATTGAAGTAATTTACACTCCTACCAACAGTGTGAAAGCATTCTTTTCTCCACTTCCTTTCCAGCAGCTGTTGTTTCCTGACTTTTTAATAATCGCTATTCTAAGTGGCATGAGATCGTATCTCATTGTGGTTTTGATTTGCATTTCTCTTATGACCATTGATGAGGAGCTTTTTCTCATATGTTTGTTGGCCACATAAATGTCTTCTTTGAAAAGTATCTGTTCATATCTTTCACCCACTTTTTGATGGGATTGTTTGTTTTTTTCTTGTAAATCTGTTTAAGTTCCTTGTAGATTCTGGATATTAGACCTTTGTCAGATAGACAGATTGCAAAAATTTTCCCACATTCTGTAGATTGCCTGTTCACTTTGATGATAGTTTCTTTTGCTGTGCAGAAGCTCTTTAGTTTAATTAGATCCCATTTGTCAATTTTGGCTTTTGTTGCAATTGCTTTTGGTGTTTTAGTCATGAAGTCCTTGCCCATGCCTATGCTCTGAATGGTATAGCCTAGGTTTTCTTCTAGGGTGTTTATGGTTTTAGGTCTTATGTTTAAATCTTTAATCCATCTTCAGTTAATTTTTGTATAAGGTGTAAGGAAGGGATCCAGTTTCAGCTTTCTGCATATGGCTAGCCAGTTTTCCCAGCACCATTCATTAAATAGGGAATCCTTTCCTCATTTCTTGTTTTTGTCAGGCTTCTTGAAGATCAGATGGTTGTAGATGTGTTGTGTTTTTTCTGAGGCCTCTGTTCTGTTCCATTGGTCTATACATCTGTTTTGGTTCCAGTACCATGCTGTTTTGGTTACTGTAGTCTTGTAGTATAGTTTGAAGTCAGGGAGTGTGATGTCTCCAGCTTTGTTCTTTTTGTTTAGGATTGTCTTGGCTATACGGGGTCTTTTTTGGTTCCATATGAAATTTAAAGTAGTTTTTTCTAATTCTGTGAAGAAAGTCAATGGTAGCTTTATGGGAATAGCATTGAATCTATAAATTATTTTGGGCAGTATGGCCATTTTCATGATATTGATTCTTCCTATCCATGAATATGGAATATTTTTCCATTTGTTTGTGTGCTCTCTTATTTCCTTGACAAGTGGTTTGTAATTCTCCTTGAATAGGTCCTTCACATCCCTTGTAAGTTGTATTCCTAAGTATTTTATTCTCTTTGTAGCAATTGTGAATGGGAGTTCACTCATGATTTGCCTCCCTGTTTGTCTATTATTGGTGTATAGGAATGCTTGTGATTTTTGCACATTGATTTTGTATCCTGAGACTTTGCTGAAGTTGCTTATCAGCTTAACAAGTTTTTGGGCTGAGACGATGGGGTTTTCTAAATATACAATTGGGTCATCTGCAAACAGAGATAACTTGACTTCCTCTCTTCCTATTTGAATACCCTTTATTTCTTTTCTTGCCTGATTGTCCTGGCCAGAACTTCCAATACTATGTTGAATAAGAGTGGTCAGAGAGGGCATCCTTGTCTTGTGCTGGCTTTCAAAGGGAATGCTTCCAGTTTTTGCCCATTCAGTATGATATTGGCTGTGGGTTTGTCATAAATAGCTCTTTTTATTTTGAGATACGTTCCATCAATACCTTGTTTACCAAGTGTTTTTAGCTAGTAGGGGTATAGAATTTTATTGCCTTTTCTGCATCTATCAAGATAATCATGTGGTTTTGTCATTGATTCTGTTTATGTAATGGATTACATTTATTGATTTGTGAATGTTGAAACCACCTTGCATCCCAGGGACAAAACCAACTTGATTGTGGTGGATAAGCTCTATGATGTGCTGCTGGATTCGGTTTGCCAGTTTTTCATTGAGGATTTTTGCATCGATGTTTATCAGGAATATTGGCCTGAAATTTTCTTTCTTTTTTTTTTTTTTTTTTTTTGAGAAGGAGTCTTGCTGTGTCACCAGGGCTGGAGTGCAGTAGCAAGATCTTGGCTCACTGCAAGCTCTGCCTCCTGGGTTCACGCCATTCTCCTGCCTCAGCCTCCTCCGGAGTAGCTGGGAATACAAGCACTCACCACCACACCCAGCTAATGTTTTGTATTTTTAGTAGAGTCAGGGTTTCACCATGTTAGCAAGGATGGTCTCTATCTCCTGACCTAGTGATCCGCCTGCCTCAGCCTCCCAAAGTGCTGGAATTAGAGGTGTGAGCCACCGTGCCCAGCCTCAAAATTTTCTTTTTTTGTTGTGTCTGCCAGGTTTTGGTATCAGGATGATGCTGGCCTCATGAAAAGAGTTAGGGAGGAGTCCCTCTTTTTCTATTGCTTGGAATAGTTTCAGAAGGAATGGTACCAGCTCCTCTTTGTACCTCTGGTAGAATTCGGTTGTGAATCCATCTGGTCCTGGGATTTTTTTTTTTTGGCAGGCTATTAATTACTGCTTCAATTTCAGAACTTGTTATCGGTCTATTCGAGATTCTACTTCTTCCTGGTTTTGTTTTGGGAGGGTGTATGTGTCCAGAAATTTATCCATTTCTTCTAGATTTTCCAGCTTATTTGTGGAGAGGTGTTAATAGTATTCTCTGATGGTAGTTTGTAATTCTGTGGGATTAGTGGTGATATCCCCATTATCATTTTTTATTGTGTCTATTTGATTCTTCTCTCTTTTCTTCTTTATTAGTCTGGCTAGTGGTCTATCTATTTTGTCAGTCTTTTCAAGAAACCAGCTCCTGGATTCATTGATTTTTTTTGGAAAGGTTTTTTGTGTCTCTATTTCCTTCAGTTCTGCTCTGCTCTTACTTATTTCTTGTTTTCTGCTAGCTTTTCAATTTGTTTGCACTTGCTTCTCTAGTTCTTTTAATTGTGATATTAGGGTGTCGATTTTAGATATTTCTTGCTTTCTCCTGCAGGCATTTAGTGCTATAAATTTCACTCTAAACACTGCGATAGCTGTGTCCCACAGATTCTGGTACATTGTGTCTTTGTTCTCATTGGTTTCAAAGAACTTATTTATGTCTGCCTTAATTTTGTTATTTACCCAGTAGTCATTCTGGAGCAGGTTGTTCAGTTTCCATGTAGTTTTGCAGTTTTGAGTGAGTTTCTTAATCCTGAGTTCTAATTTGTTTGCACAGTGGTCTGAGAGATTGTTTGTTAAGATTTCTGGTTTTTTGTTTTGTTTTGTTTTGTTTTGTATTTGCTGAGGAGTGTTTTACTTCCAACCATGTGGTCAATTTTAGAATAAGTGCGATGTGGTGCTGAGAAGAATGTATATTCTGTTGGCTTGTGTTGAGAGTTCTGTACTTGTCTATTAGGTCCACTTGGTGCAGAGCTGAGTTCAGGTCCTGAATATCCTTGTTAATTTTCTGTCTTGTTGATCTAATATTGACAGTGGGGTGTTAAACTTTCCCATTATTATTGTGTGGGAGTCTAAGTCTCTTTGTAGGTCTCTAAGAACTTGCTTTATGCATCTGGATGCTCCTGTATTGGGTGCACATATATTTAGGATAGATAGCTTTTCTCGTTGCATTGATCCCTTTACCATTATGTAATGCCCTTCTTTGTGTTTTTTGGTTTTTGTTGGTTTAAAGTCTGTTTTATCAGAGACTAGAATTGCAACTCCTGCTCTTTTTTTTTTTTTTTTTTGGCATTCCATTTGCCTGGTAAATCTTCCTCCATCCCTTTATTTTGAGCCTACATGTGTCTTTGCATGTGAGATGGATCTTTTGAATACAGCACACCGATGGATTTTGACTATCCAATTTGCCAGTCTGTGTCTTTTAATTGGGCAATTTTTGCATGACAATTTTGTATTTTGTAACTTTACTGTATTTATTACTTCCAACAGTTTTTCAGTAGTGTCTTTAGGCTTTCAATATATAAAATTATGCCATCTGTGAACAAGGCTAGTTTGACTTCTTTCTTTCCAACTTAGATGCCTTTCATTTCTTTCTCTTGCATAATTTCTTTGGCCAGGACTTTCAGTATTATGTTAAATGAAAGTGGTGTCTTCTTGACTTGTTCCAGTCCTTAAAGGAAAGACCTTCAATTATTCCCCATTCAATATGATGCTAGCTATGTGTCTGTCATATTTTGAGGTATATTCCTTCTATACCCATTTTGACAAGATTCTTATCATAAAAGGATGTTGAATTTTATTGAATATTTTTGTGGTATCTGTTGAATTAATCATATAATTTCTTCTTGGTTCTGTTACTGTGATGTATCACATCTATTGATTTGCATATGTTGAACCATCCTTGCATCCCTGGGATGAATCCCACTTGATCATGGTGAATGATCTTTTTAATGTGTTGTTGATTTTGGTTTGCTAGTTATTTTGTTGAGAATTTTTGCATCTAATTTCATCAGTGATATTAGCCTGTAATTTTCTTTTTTTGTGTGTTCTTGTCCAGTTTTGGTATCAGAGTAGTGTTGGCCTTGTAGAATAAGTTAGAAATAATTCCCTCCTTTTCCATTTTTTGCAATAGTTTGAGTATAATTGATAGTAGTTTTTATAAGAGTGGTAGACTTTGGCATTGAAGCCATCAAGTCCAGGGCTTTTCTTTGTTGGAAGACTTTTTACTACTGGTTCAATCTTTTTATTTATTATTGGTTTACTGAGGTTTTCTATTTCTTCATGGTTTGATCTTGGTAGGTTGAATGTATACAGGAATTTATCCATTTCCTCTAGGTTTTCTAATTTCTGATGTATAGTTGAACATAATAATCTCTGATGATCTTTTTTATTTCTGTGGTATTAGTTGTTTGTCTCCTTTGTCATTTAAGACTTTGTTTATTTGGGTCTTTTCTCTTTTTTTCTTATTAGTCTATCCAAACATTTCTCAATTTTATCTTTTCAAACAAATAACTTTTTGTTTCATTGATACTTTGTATTTTTTGTCTCTGTTTTGTTTAATTATACTCTGATCTTCATTATTTCTTTCCTTCTTATTTGGGATTTGGTTTGTTCTTGCTTTTCTAGTTCTTTGGGGCACATTATATATTACATGAAATATTTACTTTCTTGTTGTAGGTATTCATTAATATAAACTTCCTTATAGAACTGCTTTTGCTGTATCCCATAGGTTTTGGCAAATTGTGTTTCCATTTTCATTTGTTTTAAGAAATTTTTTAATTTCCTTCTTAACTTCTTCATTGACCCATTGGTCATTCAGGGGCATGTTATTTAATTTCCAAGTATTTATACTGTTCCCAAGGTTCCTCTTTTTATTGATTTCTAGTTTTATTCCTTTGTGGCCTGAGAAGATACTTGGTATACATTTAATTTTTAAAAAATTTTTGAGACTTCTTTTGTGTCCTAACATATGATCTACCCTGGAGAATGTTTTATGTGTTGATGAGAAGAATGTGTATTCTGCAGCTGTTGGATGAAATCTTCCATAGATGTTTGTTCAGTCTATTTGGTGTAAAGTACAGTTAAAATCCAATGAATGTTTCTTTGTTGATTTTCTGTCTAGATGATTTGTCTAAAGCTGAGAATGGTGTGTTGCAGTCCCCAATAACTATTGTAGTTGATCTCTCCCTTTAAATATAATATTTGTTTTATATATTGGATGCTCTGGTATTAAGTGCATATATATTTAGAATTTATTTTCTGATGTCCTTTGTCTCATTTCACTATTTTTATTTAAATTCTGTTTTATTGGTGATAAGTATAGCCATTTCTGCTACTTTTGGTTTCTGTTTGTATGGAACATCTTTTTCCATCTCTTTGCTTTTAGTGCATATATGTCTTTATAGGTGAAGTGAGTTTCTGTAGGCATCATATAGTCAGGTCATGGGTTTTTTTAATTCATTCAGCCAATCTATATCTTTTAAGTGGAAAATTAAATTTATTTACATTCAAGGTTGTTTATTGATATATGAAGACTTATTCCTACCATTTTGTAGTTTTCTGGTTGTTTTGTATATCTTTGTTCCTTTCTTTCTCTTGTTGTTTACCATTATGATTTGGTGATTTTTCTCTGATAGTAATATTTGAGTCCTTTCTCTTCATTTGTGTTTTCTCTAGCCTTGTGTTTTATATTTTCCTGTGTTTTTATGATGGTATATATCATCTTTTCACATCCCATTGTAAGACTCCCTTAAGCATTTCTTGTAGATTCAGTCTAGTGGTGAGAAATTCCCTCAGTTTCTGCTTGTCTAGAAAAGACTTTCTTTCGCCTTCATTTATGAAGGATAACTTTGGTAAGTAAGGTACTCTTTCTTGGCTGGCAGTTTTTCTCTTTCACCACTTTGAATATATCATCTTATTCTTTCTTGGCCTATAAGATTTCTGCTCAGAAATCCACTGTTCACCTGATGGGGGCTCCCTTTTATGTGACTAGATGCTTTTCCCTTGCTGTTTTTAGAATTATCTCTTTGTCTTTGACTTTTGACAGTTTGACTATAATGTGCTGTGAAGGCCTTTTTGGGTTGTATCTACTCGGGGATCTGTAAGCTTCTTATAATTGTATGTCTAAATCTTTTACTAGACTTGGGAGGTTTCCAGATATTGTTTCATTAAATAGATTTTCTATGCCTTTGGTCTCTTTACCTTCTGAAACATCCAAAATTCAAATATTTGGTTCCTTTAGGATGTCATATATGTCACATGGGCTTTGGTTTTTTTTATTATTTTTTCTTTGTTTTGTTTGTTTTTGTTTGACTAGGTTATTTCAAAGGAAAGACCTATCTTTGCATTCTGAATTTGCTTCTTCTGTTTGCTCTAGTCTATTGTTGAAGCTCTTGAATGACTTTTTTGTTTCATTCATTGAATTCTTCTTTTCCAGGATTTCTCTTTGGTTATTTTTTATGATATCTATACCTCTGGTGAATTTTACATTCATATCTTGAATTATTTTTCTGATTTCATTGTATTGTTTATCTGTGTTCTCTTGTGTCTCACTGAGCTTTCTTAAGACATTACTTGAATTCTTTTTCCACATTTTTATAAATTTCTTTTTTGTTGGAATCCTTTGCAGAGAATTATTGTGTTCCTTTGGAGATGTTGTATTTCCTCGGCTTTTCCATGTTTCTTGTGTCTTTTCACTGATACCTGCACATCTTGTGTAACAGTCACTTCTTCCAACTTTTTGCATTGACTTTAACAGGGGATGACTTTTTCCTGAAGATTTAACTATAGTGTTGGTTGGGTAGGACACTTTAGCTTTGATTCTGGGTGTATGCAGTAGTGTAGTCTCTATATGATTTCTTCAGCTGTAAACACTGTCAGTGGTGTCTGTGATTTCTTCAGTGGTATAGGCTGCAGTTGTTAATAGAGGCTGTGGTGAGGTTTTATTGGGAATGGGGATGCCAGGTAGGCCACTCCTTGGACCCCAGTGGTGGCAGCAGTGGGCCAGGCATGCCTGTCCTTGGGTCCCAGTCAGCATACGTGGGCATCAGTATTACCAGACACAAGTGAGCTGATTATTGTGCCTCTGGAGAGCTTGCTTGGGTGCCAGCAGTGGTAGCCATAGGGCAGGTAGGTAGGCAGATCCTTGGTCCCCTGGATAGGATGTGGAGCATGGGTGATGGCAGCAGCAGTGGGGGGACATCCCTTGGGCTTTGAAGTGGCATGCATTAGTGTTAGCAGTTGCTGCAATGGGCTAGGCAGGCCAGTTCCCAAACTTCCAGGTGGCACATGCAGCTGGTTGCTAACTATGGCATTAGCAGCAGGCTGGCTGGGCCCATGCTCAGTCCACTGGGAGAAGTACACAGATGACGGTGGTGAACAGGATGGGGCAATCCCCAAGACCCCAGGTAGTGTGTTCAAGCACTGTTGAGAGAAGTAGGGGTGAGCAGGCCTGTCCCCAGGCCCCCCACTGGTGCACTTGAGGCTGTAGTGAGCAGGGCAAGGTGATGCCAGGCTCTTGGCAGAATGCTTGGGTGACTGCAGCAGCAACAATAGGCTGGGGGAGCCTGTGTTCAGGGCATGTACAAGCGTGCTGTGGCCCTGGTGCTGGGGGACAGAGTTGCTGCCAGTGACTGCAGCCACACACAGGCAGTTCTCAGGCTCTTGGGTTAGGGAGGGTGCTTTGGCCTTCAGCGGTGGCAGTAGTGGCATCAATGGCAGCAGCAGCAGCAAGGGAAACTAGTCCTCATGGCATATGCAAGTACATGGTGGCAACCCTGATGCTAGAGGGCCAGGGTCACTGTCAGTGGCATGCACTTTGGCCCTCAGCTGCAACAGCAGCTACTGCAGATGGCAGCATAGCTTGTCCTACTGCTGGGGCTGGGGGTTGAGGTTGCTGTCTGTGGTAACTTTCCCTGGTAGGTGGTTCTCAGACTCTACAGAGAGCATGTTGTAGCTCTCTTTGTCCTGGGGACATCGTCCTTGGTAAGCTGCACTGCCCATTCTGTGGGGCACAGACAAGTTTGTACTAGAGTGCTGGGAAGCCTGACATTCCACTGGGTCCAGCTGGCATCATGCTTCCGCAGTCCTCCAGGTGAACTCAGAAGTATGTCAGTGTACCTCCAGGGATGTGGAGATGCAGGGGCTGTTGTGGCCCAGGGCAGGATGCAGTCTGGTGGGGGCTGAGCTCTCAAAATGGCACCATGCTGCATCTGCTTGGTACTCAGGAGGTATTTGGGACCCAGGATGAATTCTCTCTCTGGAGCAATGCCATTGCACAGTTTCTAGGCAGGTCACTATGCCATTCCTAGGGCCTGCAAAAGCTGCTCCCATGGGTAAGATTGTAAGAGTCCACAGTGGAAATGTGAACCACTCGTGGTCTTTCACTTACTCTTTCCCCACATTAGGGAACCTCCCCAGGTTCCCATCCAATCTTTGCTTTGCTTTCCTCCTCTTCTGTGCCTTAGGTGTTTTCTGTCACTTCTCTGTTGAATTTCAGTGCTCTCTCTTAGAAGATCTATTTGAAGTGGGATTATCCACTTACTATTTAGGTTCTTCTTGGAGGAGGCAAGTGTTGTATTCCTCTAGTCAGCCATCTTTAAGCCCCTCTCTCTAGGGTAACTTTTAAAGAAGTTTGAGGTATGACAATAAAAACTCAAATACAAATATTTCTGTAAAAAACAGGAGTTAGAAATACAAATAATGATAACATAATACAGCTGCCATTAAAATAGTGCTTACTATCAGACATTATTCTAAGACCTTTACATTAATCAACTCATTTAATACTCATGCTATAATTACTTTTGAGATATTCATAGTGGAAGGCTGCATTAATTAGCTTTATTATGGCCTCTATATACCAAATCCAGGTTACATGCAATCATTTTATTATTTTTATAGTATATTAAGCCTGTATATTTGTCTTTTGGAGAAGAAATAACACTAATTTTTAAGGTAGATTTTAACATGAAACTTAAAAGAAATCACTGAAGAATAAATAGCAAGTCATGGGCGTGCATCCCGACTTAATTATAGTTAAAAATATCTGCTATTTATTTTCATTCATGATTTCTTAAGTCTCCATTCTTCTTTTTTTTCTTCTTTCCTTCCTTCTCTCCTTCTTCAGTCCAAAATTCATCTGGTAGACCCCAGAAGGGCAGCAATGGTTGCCTGCAGGAGGATAATATTGGAGCTGGAGAGAAAAAGGAGCCTCAAAAGCTCAGTAATGTTGGCCTCTTGAAGATGGTATTGGAGCCAGGTGGCGGGGCAGCCCTGTTTCAGCTAGTAAATAGCAGCCAATGCAAAGGTAATGTTGGAGTTAGGAAGTAGGGACAGCCTGACATGGTCAGTAACTGGCTACATAAAAAGGATTAGGCAAATTAATGATAATGAGAGCCAGGTTTCTCAATGACTGAGAACAACCTTATGTGTTGGATCAGAATTGGACTTAGCATGATCTCATGGTTTCAGAATGTGTGTGTGTGTGTGTGTGTGTGTGTGTGTAAATAATGATGTAAAGGGATGTGTGTGTTTGTGTTATTTATTGGCTCTGGCCTGGGAATAGCAACACTGAATAGCAATTAACCCATCTATTAAATAACATCCGGCACCCAGATCTTGGTTTCCAAATTCCAGTCTACATTCAAAGGAACTAGAACTTCTTAGAGAAATGGCTGAATCCAGGTCTTGGCAAGGAAAGTAGAAGATTAGCCTAATACATCTTTTGGTGCCAAATGGTAAAAATTGTGCTAAAAGAACTGTGAAGATATTTCAAAAGCACACAGAAGCCAGCATAAAGGTGCATCTTATGGCCAAATCTGGGATAATCTGAAAGTCAGAATAATGATGATGACATATTATAAGCCATCAAATAAAACAGAAATCCATGAGTCTACACTGATCTAAATACATAAATCAGTAAGTAAAAAGAGAGTAAAGGAAGCTCTGTTTACACTATAATATTAACTAATAAATGTAGGAATGAGATATCTATTTTGTCTAACTAGATGGAATTAGAAAAAGCACCACTTAGAAACCATCATAGTAATAATTAATTCAAGCACGAAACATCAATGGATGCTAAAAGTAGTAGGTGAGAGTGAGATGAGGAACAGATATTTACATAGTTTCAAAGTATTTCCACACAAAATACTTAATTACAGAGGATTAAAAAGCAACTTTACAATGGAGGATCCTGGGAGACAATATGTTAATCAAGTAATTAGAATTTATACCACCACTATGGGGGAAAATTGACCTTATGTGTCACCTAATTGAAATGCAAGGAGAATGCATCATTTATGTGATATTTTTGCCAAAATTTGTATAACCTGATCATGGGGAAACATTTGAAAACTCAAATTGAAGGAACATTCCACAAAGTGACTGATCTGTGACCCTAAAACATGTCAAGGATATGAAATGTGAGGGAAGACTGGAGAATGATTCCAGATTAACAGAACCTAGAGAGACATGACAACTGGTTGCAGCATGTGACTCGAGACCTTATGCTATAAGGGACATCAATGAGGCAATGAGTGAAACTTGAATGGGGTCAATAGATAAAGACAACACAGGAGGTTTTTTAAGCTGTTCTTGCAATTTTTATGCAAGTTTGAAATTGCTGTGAAATAAATTAATTTTTAAATCTCAAGTAGATTATGAAATAAAGTTGAATATGACACAGTATAAAACCAAACTGTGATTTGTACATTAAACAGAAAAATCACAGAAATCTGATTAATTATTTCTTTATTGACATAAGTACTCAAATAAGCAGAAATTTTTATTTTTAAGTATATCCTCAATAAAAGCTAAGAAATCTACCAGTTCTTCCTTTACAGAGATGGAAACTGAGGTCCAGAAAATTAAAATAGTGTTATGATTGTATCAAACTTACAGAATACTATTTATAGATAAGAATATTTTCTTTAAAAAAAATCTGAGGTCATTATCTTGTGTCTTGACATGATTAAAACAAAAGCCTGTTTTTCACAGTTTAAATAATGCTCCAAGTAATTTTTGTAAAATGGAAACATAATGATATACCTATTTTAGTAACTGGTCTACCCAAAACCCTGTGAATTTAGACTCAAAATTTTTACTTTCATAAGAGACATCTCACTTTTAATCTTTCAGTTTGATATAACCATTTTTTATAAACACTTTGTTTCTCAATTTTTTTAGGGAGTAAAAAGAGTAAAAATCAACCTAAACACAGATTTGAGGTACAAACAAGTTCCACAGATATTGTAGTAAACATTGTGAATTTCTCCTTAACTTCCATTCTTGTTCAAATGATTAATCTTAGTCAAGCACACTAATTCCCCTCTCCTGGCCAGCAGTTGCCTCGAGGATGCACAGGCCTCTCAGGGATTTTAGGGTATGGAGTGAGTCTTTTCTCTTGGGTGATGCTGAACTTCTGGAAGCCATATTACAATCATAAAAAGAAGTCTGAGGATGGAATCATTGCTATGAATGACATAGTGGAGATATAGAAAAATCTCAATGTTCAGTATCAATGTTTAGCCACTGAACTAACCAACACTGAAGATTACTTTATCTGAGGATTTAGTATTAAAGAAAATAACACAATCACTATTTAAACCAGTTTGAGATGGGTTTTCCATTGCCATCAAAAGTGTCTTGATACATACATATCAATGAGAAAAAAATATAAGGTCAGCGAAGTTGTCCTACAGAGAGAATAAATCTTAAAAAAATGCAAAAATTAAATAAAATATCAGATATAGGCCTCAA
Organism: Homo sapiens; assembly: GCF_000001405.40. Taxonomy (NCBI): domain Eukaryota; kingdom Metazoa; phylum Chordata; class Mammalia; order Primates; family Hominidae; genus Homo; species Homo sapiens. Next base: position 70,840,291 of record NC_000008.11, on the reverse strand, counting down.
ATTACCTGAGTTTCCATATCTCAACCAGTTTTGGGAGGTTACAGTACCTTTGCAAGTGGATTTTGTAAGCAAGAGTCCAGAGTTATCCTAAAAGCCTACCACTAGGCCAAGGCCAGAAGATCATGGAGGTACAGCAATTAGCCCCATCAAGGTCACTGCTGACAGCAGTCAACACAAGTTACTTATTAAAATTGTCTGCTCCTAATACCAAACTCAGGGACCACATTCAAAGTACCCACCCTAGTAGCCATGCATGACCTTTAGGAGAGTGTATACAACACGCTGAGTTGGAGAATTGTCAGATGGAAATGGAGAGATGAGATAATAGCTGAAAGAGAACGTTAAATGGGCTCCTACCCAGCCAAAGCTATCAGGTTTCTCTGAAATGGCATGTGACTTCACTGGAGTATCAGTTTACTTTAGGCACTGTCCATTTGTCTGGACAGGGATTCCATGTAAGGGTATTGCCACCTGCTGGTCGCTTTCTTCTCAGGTACAGATATCCTTAAAATCTGGCCACTGTGCCATACCCCAGAGTATATGCTATTATTTGGCAAGTGGTGGTTTCTTTTTTATTGTCAAAGTTAGACTGTCTTCTCTGTTGATTAGACAAACATAAAATTCTCTTCAGGAAGCTGAGTAAGGTATCTCAGAAAACAAGCAAAAGAGAAAAAAGAAATAGATGACAAACACATTTTGCAAGAATATCAGTTTTGTTAGAGTGGCTCACTAAAATCCTGCAGAAAAAATTGTCCTCGTGTTTAAGCAAGTATTAACACACTTTCATCAAAGTAATGTTGGCGGCTATGTTTGAGAAAAATAGAAATGTAGTGTATTGGTTTATCTGAGCACGTATTTAAACACCAAGTCTTAAAATCTCTGAGAATCCTAATCCCTTGGAGAATGTATTTTTCACATGGTATATAGAAAGAAACACTAGACTTCAGGGACAACGGTGCAGATTCAGGAGGTTAAAGTGCTCTTTTTTAGTGAAATTTTCTGAAAGCATATCTGCTTTATATTGTAGGTACAGTTGGTGTAGCCAAATCCAGTCCTTCAAGACACAATATGGGTTTTAGGACCTTAAAATTTCTTTCACTATCTTCCAGCATACCTCCAAGTCATATGAATGTAATAAGAAGGAAATTGGTCAATATTATTTCACCCACATTTTATTCTTCATTCTCTTTAAGAATATTGCAAGACTTCCATATCAGGAAACATCTCTCAGAATAGACCAGTAAGATTTATACTATCTTACCTCATAATGGGAGGTACAAAACTTAAAAGGATAAGCAAATATATTAGAGAGCTGAAAAAGTGATGGATAAGCGAAGGTTAAAAGATTTGCCATCAAATTATTTAGTCTAGAGACAGGGACTATACAAGGTTGCTTAATCACATGGACTTGAAAATGTCTCATAAAGAGCAAACTCTTAACTAGTTTTTTCTACTTTTGTAGAGGACACAATAAAACAAACTAAAACCACAAAGCAATGAACACGGTGCAGTAGAAAAAACTTCCACACTTGGAGTCAGAAATGTTAGTCTACTTGCTAACTCTGTGACCTTGACTAAATTAAGTATCAGAGAGAGAACATCATATCTTTGAGGTAACATGAACTTCAGAGAAAGATGGGACTGCTTTGCCCACCAGTTTTTGTTGTTTTTGTTTATTGAGTGTATGAAATTGAGCCAATTACCTAACGTCTCTGAGCCTCAGTTTTCTCATTTGCAATGTAGGGATAATGACACCTATCTGGCAGGCTTGTTATGGGGCTATGAAATCGAATAACAGTGCCAGGAATGCACTTAACAGAATGCCTGACACATTATAAGGATTCAGTAAGTGTTCTTTCCCCAAGTCTTCTGCAGCCTGTTTCATTGTCTGTAAAACGGTGGGTAATGATACCTACCTAACTAAATGACATCATAAAATGCATTCAGTACATACATGCATTCTCTCTCTTTGCCTTCTCTAAGCCTCACTTTCACCATCTATAAAATGGAATCAATAATACAACACAGGAGAGTTGTAAGTAAAAAAAGACAACGATTATAAAATCGTTCTGCACTGGATATGGTGCATAGTAAGGACTTAGTAAATCTGTTATCATCACTATTATTTAAGAATATATTCAACAATCATCTCTTGAAACATATTATTTACAATCATGCCTGACCCTAGATCAGCTGGTCTTTTTCAGCAGTCGGTAAGTCCTCAATAAAGGAACAAAAACTTTTGCCACTAATGGTAACATCAAATGACTGAACTTTTGTCTCAGCAACAATAGTCAAGATTTCAAGCCTTAAGTAGAAAGAGATTTTCAGTAATAATAAATGATAATGAAGATTGAAATAAATGATACTGTTTAGAAACCTCAAAACATTTCATTCAACATCAATATTAGTTGATAATTGTTTTCACCATCTTTATGTTCTCTGCTTATAGTTTAATATTGAAGTATAGAAACAGAGAGAAGGAATGCACATTTTCCATGGCCTTCCCAGTTATCCTTTGAGGACACTGCTTCTCTCTCAATTTACCAGCACCAGTGAAATCCAAGAGTAACAATAATTAAATAGGTGTTCTTGCTGCCTCCAAACCAGGGTTGAGACCAGCACGACCAAGATTTGGCTAAACTGTGAAGTTTGACAGATTTGTTTCTTCTATTCTTCCTTCCTTTTCAATCCCTTAAACCATACATCTTGTCCTTTCAGCCTTTTGCCAGCACTCATGTTCACTGACCTGCCTCCAGAGCATCATCCTGTTCTTTATCCTGCTCCCAAAATGTTTCCATGTACTCTGTCCCATCTCTTCAACTCATTGCTCTGTAAACTCATAATCTCATAGTCAAATTCACAATAATGTGACAGCAAATGTTTATAGGGTTTCCTATGCCAGGTTTCTCATTTCTATTCTTACAGAGCACTTTTAGAAACTATGTCTTAAACCCAAAAAGCTGTGGTAAGCCTTCTAGTCATCAAACATTCATTGAGCACTTGCTGTCTCCTCTAAGCCTCACCTTCTCTAAGGTGCTATACTGATATTACATACATAGGTGAGATATGAACTCTGATTCAAGAAGCTCACAGTCTATTAGAAACAGACATGTATGTAATGAATTGCAATACAATTAAATAAGTGGTATTAGAGGTATGTACTATAACAGAGTGCAACTGAGACACAAAGAGTTTATGTAACCCGCTCGTCATAGACCTAGAGGTGGTAGAACTGGTATTTTGAACCATTCAGGCTCTAGAACCTGTGGCCTTGACCACTGTGGTCAAGTAGCAGTAGTGGGCATAGTCACTAACAAGATGAATTATTTTGAAATGAAAATCACAAAATAATGTATACAATGTAACTGAGCAATTTCATTTTTAAAAAACTTTAAAATAATATGTTGAACCAGTAGAAGAAAAGATGTGACACATATTGAGACATCAGTCTTCACAACTTATCCCCAGTGCCCAGCATAGTGCCTGACACCTTGTAGGTTTCCAATAAATATTTTTTAAGTAAAAGACTATTTATAAAACTAAATATACATTACCCAGCAATTCTATGCCTCGATATTTGCCCAAGAAATATGAATGCACATGTCCCTTAAAGATATTGGTTCAAAAATGTTTATAGTAGTGTTATTTGTAATAACTAAGCAAAAAAAAACCCCAAATATCAATCAATAGAATGGATTTTTTAAATCATTTTTTTAAATCCATTCTATTGTGGTGTATTTATATAATGAAATAATAGTCAGAAATATAAGGAACAAATTCCTGGTACATGCAACACTGATGAGACCCAAAAATAGTATGCTGAGTAAAAGAAACTAGACACAAAATGTACATAGTGAACTTCCTATATCTAGAACTGACAAACTAACCTGAAGTAAATACACACACACAGAACAGTGGTCACCTCAGGGTAGGGAGCAAGGACATGGGGGAACCCTTTAGGGTGATAGTAATGCTCCATATTTTGGAAGGAGTTTAGGCTACACAGGCATATTCATTTGTCAAAACTCAGCAAGGTTTACTTATGATTTATGCATTTTTGTGTGAAAATTGTACCTAAAAAATTAAACAAATATTGAATTTTACTTACATATTATAGATGCTGAAGTGGTTGAGGAAAGCATACTAATGTCTACAATTCAGACATCAAATGCACCAAAAAATTTTGAAATGCACCAAAAAATAAGATGGGTAGAGGGATGGAAAGATATGTAAAAGGACAAATATAGCAAAATGTGTATAGTAGAATCTATGGACAGATATATGGGTACTCACTGTAAAATTCATTAAACTTTCCTGTATATTTAAAATTTTCCAAAATAAAATGTTTTTCTTTAGATGAATGAATAGAAGTAAATAATGAAACAAAATAAATGAAAATATTAGCAGTGAAAGAATGTTTGAGATCATCTATTCTAAAATTACATCTAATGCAGGAATCTTCTCTAGAATCTCTCAAAACAATGGATCATACCAGCCTCTGTTTATAAATGTATAGTGGTTGGAGAGTCAGTATGCCCTTAGGTAGTCTACTACATATTTGAACTATGACTAAAAGTAGTTGCTTAACTTACATTTAGACTATACTTAAGCAGGGAATGCAGGAGAGACTGTAAGAAGCGTAGTTCAAGGAATTAAAAACCTAGGCTTTAGTGTGATCTTTTCTCTTCCTAGATCCTTACTCCAAAAAAAGGATTGACTATTTTTTTGCCTTGGTCAACTTAACCTAACTGGCCTACAGGTTTTTATTGTTATTCATTCGTTCATTCAATAAATGATTATTGACCCCAGACTATATTTCCTAAAATCTTAAGATCTGAATGCCTGAAGGTAAGCCAATGATGCTCAGATTTCTTTACACTCTGAAGCCTGTGGTCCTAGGTGAAGAATTAAAGAATTAGCCAATTGATCTGTTCCAAATAACCAATTTAAAACGAAAAGGAAACCCATGTTATTCTTAGTGGAAGGAGCTTTATTTGAATTATATTTAATTGTCTTATTTCTTTTCCCAGTCAAATAAAGACTAGCTTATACATTTAAAATTTCCTATATAAGTGTCATTTTCAAGAAAGATCATTTCCTGAGCTATGGCGTCTTCAAGATCTTTGAGCTGACACTCTATCAGAACTAAGCTTCTTCCTTATTAGGCCACAGCTCCTCCTTGTGGTTGACAGATGTAATACCCTTAAATGCCAGCCACAGGGGCAGTTAAAGAAACAAAGTTGATGTGATCATATTAGGATTAACTCTAGGATAAAAAGTACTAGCATGATTTGTCTTTAATACATATCCCTAGATTCTCACTCATTCATCTGATCAGCTAATCCAGCACAGAGATTCACTGGTAGCACTTGAGAGACAATCCAGAGTGCAATGTTAGTCTAAGAATCTTTTTCAAATCTGTGGTGGTTTAAAGTCGCATATGAGTCTTAGCTACTCAAAACTAGTTCTAAGCAACACTGGTTTTGCTTTGATCTACGGTAAATTAAACTATAGCATGGAAAAATATGAACTCTACTTCATTGTGTAACCAGTCTTGTCCTGCTCAGCATAATTCTTATCAGATTTTACATATTCATTGTTAAACGAATATACGCAAGGATTTATTACACCTTCTTCTGGTAGTTAAAATACCAGGTGACCAAACTACAATCCAAAAACATTTTAACAAGGAAAAATTAGATGAGACTAATAAGATATATTTTTGAATAAAAACAGGAATTTAAGCAACATCAAATGTGATTGGCACAAAATATAAGGCCTTGAATTAACATTTTTCAGAAAATTAACTGCAACAGGATAGGAGAATCATAGATTAGCAGTAGCACATGTAAAAATGAATCAACAGTGTAAGTCTGTTATTTAAAAGCTAATATGAATCTGGTCTATATTAAAATAAATGGAAACAATATAAATGTCCCTCAACAAAGAAAGAATAAATACTGCTATAGTTACTTCAATGGAATATAATGCAGCAGTGAAAATGAATGAACTAAAGCTTCTTATATTAAATATTCAAATCTCTGAAACATAACAGAAAGTTGTAAAAGAATATATTATATATCAGATAAAATTTTTATAAAGTTTCAAGATTTTAAGTGCAAAACACTATATATTATATTCTATACTTAGAAATACATACATATAGAATAAAAAGAGAGAAATGCAAGGTTACTTGCAGAAGCAAGAGAGTTTGGGAGATCTACACAAAGAGTTTGGACCGTCTTTAGTAATATTCCATATTTTAAATCCAGTAGTAAGTCCATGGCTACCCATTGCATTACTCTTTACGTATTTTTGTATATCTGAATTATTACATGATAATCTTTAAATTTTTTATTTCACTTAAATAAATTGCCTACAATAAAGGAAAGTGTTCAAAGTCCTCTTCTTTTCACTAATGAGACCATGTATTGGCTTCTATGTTTTTTGGAGGGGCACCAAACATTTAAAAGAATATAGGAAAAAAGGAAGTATACTGAGAGGGAAAGGCATAATGAAGGGATTCAAATCTATGTCACAGTAAAATTCATTAAAGAAACTTACATTTTTAAAATATAGATGCCAGGACCCAGCCTCAGGGATGCTGATATGACTGGTTTGAGGTAGGCCGTGGGCATCAGTATTTGCAAAAATTTCCCTACATGGTTCTAATGCACAGCCAAAGTTGAACACCACTGGGATAGAAGTTGGAAGTTGTGGGGGCAGTGGAGGTATAGCTTCTACAAGGCACATCACATTTCTTACATTTTTTTTTTAACTAACAAGTCGCAAACCTTAAAGAATAACATCTACATATACTTTACCTTTCATTTCTGATACTTAAAATGTTTTTGGAAAGTAATATATCCTGTATAATGTTATATTCACAATTTAATGAGGAATGTGACATAAATCTGAATACTAATAAACAATGTAGGCAAGGACTGTCTGTCATAGTGATTGCTATGACATTTTGTTATTTGTTCATTCATCTGAATTCCATGGAAAGTATAGAGGGCAATTGCTGTAAATTACAATTCTGAGAAACCACAGCTGACTCAAGTTGGTTAAATACTAAATTTTCTTTCCACCATCTGCAGATGGCTCCTTATTCTGGGGGAGGGAAGAAATCCTCTATTGATTAGCTAGCCCTCTCCCTTGGATGTATAAAAGCTTAAGGAAAACATACACAGGTGTTTGACAGAAGATATGACAAACCAATGAAAAATTTTTTACTAAAAATCCATGTTTGCAAAAGGATAATCATATAGTTCTGGGGTTAGACTGGATTTTATTAACTCGCTCATTTATTTATTCATTTGATAAATAACTACTGAACAAACTCTTAAGTGTCAGGGCCTAATCCAGACACTGAAGATGTATCAGTGAAAAGACAGACGTTGTCTTCTCCTCGTGGGGCTTATATTCTGGTGGAGAAGGCGAACAGTAAACAAGTAAATATTGACAAATCATGATAAGTGCTATTAGGGCTGTGAATCAGTTTCACTGCTTACCAGTTCTGTGACCTTGAGCAAGTTATTAACCATTCTAAACCTCATTTGTAAAACAGAGCTAATAGGTATCCCTTACTGGCAGGGTTGTTTTGAGGATTAAATGGGTTAACTGTCTAGCACACTGTAATGCTTAATAGGAGTTATCTAGTAATATTAATAAGAATATTCCAGTGATTACACAGCATTTGAGCATTTACATATATACTTTATGTTGAAAACCCTGCTACAACAAAACCACTTTTCAGCTTATTCTCTCCTCAACAGAATTCCTTTTTAATATCACTCCTGTAAGTAAAGTCTTCCCCTTCTGTCATCTTTTGTCTATGTCATGGAAATTCAGCTCCTTTCATATTTTTCTACAAATATTTTTTCCACTCAAAACGTTATTTGTGTCTATTTTTGTCACGTACTTTCCATTTCTCTTTTCTTTTACTTTTCTCCTAAAAAGAAAGAAAAGAAAACTTCAATGTCCCTACCCCGTGAATGCCCAGACTCCTTTGTTCGTTGAAATTTGAAGACCAGGAGGGTTTGAGAGCTGTAGGTCAGTATGCCCTCATCTAGCCTGGAACAATAATGCAAATGTGATACTCTATAAGAATGAGCTCACAGAAGAGTAGAGCAATGTATTCATTTATAAAAAGGAAATTGCACTCAAGATACCTGCTTTCTAGATCAGTGAATAGATGGCTATCAAGCTAAAGTAAACCTCTTAAAAGTTAATTTTTATGTTTAAGTCAAGCTGTGCAGAATGACCCTGAGATGGAATTAGGTTTATGGGATAGGAACCAAGAAGTGCATTTACAGCTGCTCAGACACATAAGAAAAACTGCTTCCAGGATCATAACAGGTGAAAAGAATTTCAGTCATCCCTGCCAGGGAAGCAGGAGGATACAGCAGGAAAATGCATAGGTTCCAATCATGGCATCAATATTTACTAGTCGTGAGGCTTTGAGTAAGTTAGATAACCTGAGTTTGTTCATTACCAAAAAAATGAATAAGATAATAATATCTACCTCATACACTGTTTTGAGAATAAAAGGAAATTATGATTGTATGAAGCATCCTGGATCTAAACATCTATGAAATCTGAATATAAGTTTCATAAAAATTATAGAAACCCCAAAAAGGAAAAGAAAAAAATGATAGAATTGTGACTGATAGTGCAAATATCTGCACAAATCATGAAGTAAAAATGCAAAGCCCCACCAAAAGATGATAAAAAGGAGGGTTTGTAACATGGAGAAGAGATGAAGGAGAAGTCTTTAATAGGACATGATACAGTTACTGCAAAGGGAAAAAGTACAACAGGATTAGAGGGCATTTTAATCACGAGAGAAACTTAAATGTAAAGAACATACTTTAAGTATAAATAGTACCTCAACAAATGCTATTTCCTTTCCTTTTCTCTAGCAGAATGTCTGGAACAACAGAATTTGAAATTTTAAAACTCAAAGAAGTTAGGTACTTTTTTTTTTTTTTTTTTTGAGACAGAGTCTAGCTCTGTCACCCAGGCTAGAGTGCAGTGGCACGATCTTGGCTCACTGCAACCTCCGTCTCCCAGGTTCAAGAGATTCTCCTGCCTCAGCCTCCTGAGTAGCTGGGATTACAGGCGACCACCACCACATCCGGCTAATTTTCGTATTTTTAGTAGAGATGGGGTTTCACCATGTTGGTCAGACTGGTCTCAAACCCCTGACCTCAGGTGATCCACCCACCTTGGCCTCCCAAAGTGCTGGGATTACAGGTGTGAGCCACCATGTCTGGCCCAGAAGTTAGGTTTTTAAAAAGTTATCTGGTATACATATAGTTCCCCAAAACACAAAAAGACTAGGTAGTACAGTGAGTGAAGCATGAATTTGGAATTGGAGGATCTGGGTTCATGTCCAAACTCTGTCATTTACTAGTTGTATAACCTTAGAAAAGCCCTACTTTTTCTGAGATTTGGTTATTTGTATGTAAGAAGTCAATAATAATCCCCATCTCTTCCTTTTATTACTTCATAAGGTAGTTGTGAGACATGAAACAAAATTACAGAATGCATGTTAGAAGTGTTTTGTAAACTATAGTATGCTATATCCGTAGACACTGGGGACCTAATTGGTTTATTAAGAATTTATATTTAGTAGAAATAATATTTGATGATAAATTTTATTTACAGTAAGAGTAAGTGACTAATGTTTTTCCCCTGGAGACAGGGTCTCGTTCTGTCGCCCAGGCTGGAAGGCAGTGGCACAATCACCACACATTGCAGCCTTGACCTCCCAGGCCCAAGTGATCTTCCCACCTCAGCCTCCCGAGTAGCTGGGACTACAGGTGCCTCCTACGACTCTCAGCTGATATTTCTTTTTTTTTTTTTTGTAAAGACAAGGTTTTGCCATGCTGACCAGGCAGGTCTCGAACTCTTTGGCTCAAGGGATCCTCCCACCTTGGCTTCTCAAAATGTTGAGATTACAGACATGAGCTGTGGCGCCTGGCCTGTGAGTGACTTCTTAAGCTCACACAAATGACACCAAGTCCTTGAAACTGATGAGCAAAGAATTCTCTTCACTACATTAATTAGGACTTAGAACCAGCAGTTAGTTTTATAAATCTTAGGAAAGGCAGCTTTTTGGTGAAAGAAATCACAAAGAAAACAGACCAACAAATTTAACTACATATGCTTTTAAAATTTCTATACATAAGAAATCTAAAATTAAAAGGAAGAAACATTTATAACCAATATGACAAAGATTAATATTCTTAATAAATAGAGGCTTCATAAAATTAGATGAGCAAAACAATAACACCTCAAAGAAAAACAGGACAGGAACATTAGCACTTTTACAAATAAATAAATTCATAAGAAGAAATCAACTTATTTAATCATCAAAAAAATAAAAATTAAAGCCCTAGTGTGGTATCACGTTTGAGCATTACTTAGAAAAGATTCAAAATGGCAATAATGGAGTATTAACTCAGGTGAAATAGGAAATTTCGTAGTTTCTTTGGGAACGTAAGTTGGTAAAGTATTTTTAGAAAACCAGTTCAGGCTGGGCGCCGTGGCTCACAACTGTAATCCCAGCCCTTTGGGAGGCCGAGGGAGGAGGATCACGAGGTGAGGAGGTCGAGACCATCCCGGCTAACACAGTGAAACCCCGTCTCTACTAAAAATACAAAAAATTAACCGGGTGTGGTAGCGGGCGCCTGTAGTCCCAGCTACTCAGGAGGCTGAGGCAGGAGAATGGCGTGAACCCGGGAGGCGGAGCTTGCAGTGAGCCAAGATCGCACCACTGCACTCCAGCCTGGGAGACAGGGCGAGACTCCGTCTCAACAAAAAAAGAAAACCAGTTAAATAATACATGTCAAGAGGCTTTAAAAATGGTCAAACCCTTGGTCCAGAAATTCTACTTCCTAAACCTGAGATAAGTCCTGAAAACCTCCAGCAGTTCATGGAAATAAAAGTATGTAATAGCAACAGTAATAGTCATATTAAATGTTCATTGTTTTAACTTACTTATATTTTCCTGTTTAACCTATACAGAAGTCCTGTTATTTTTCTTATCCGAAATAAGAAACTGAGGCAGAGAAAGATTAATTCACAAAATGTCACACATTTGTTAAGTACAGAAGCTTGGATTTGAGTTCAGGCACTTGGACAACAAAGTCCACTCTTTTTATTTAAAAGATAAACTGCAACAAAAGCCTATATGACAATAAAGGCCAAAGAAATGTCATATGGGCCACTTATTTTGTTGGTAAATGTTACCATGACTCTCAAGGGGAGAATTTCCATTTTTGGAGAAAAACATTGAATTTCTTTGGCAATTAACGTAGTTTAAATTCTTCTAAAAGTTAGTAACTGAAAATTATTAGGAGAATAACAGGTAGAGGTGGAAAAATTAATGCATATAAAGACCTTAGAATGGGACTTGACTTTATTCTCAGGACTATTAATGACCCAATGGATAATATAGTTTGGGATAACTTAACCTTCATGTTTGTGAAAGCCTCTGCTTTCCCATGCACTCTTTTCTTCCCACCAGTCTTTCTTTTTTTTTTTTTTTTCTTTTTTTTTGAGACATAGTCTTCCTCTGTCACCCAGGCTGGAGTGCAATGGCAATCTCAGCTCACTGCAACCTCCACCTCCTGGGTTCAAGCGATTCTCCTGCCTCAGCCTCTCTAGTAGCTGAATTACAGGTGCGTGCCACTGCACCTGGCTAATTTTTGTATTTTTAGTAGAGACGGGGTTTCACCATGTTGATCAGGCTGGCCTCGAACTCCTGACCTCGTGATCCGCCCGCCTCGGCCTCCCAAAGTGCTGGCGTGAGCCACTGCGCCCAGCCCCCACCAGTCTTTCTTATACATTACACTGACTGTCTAGGTGTTCAACCCACTACCCCCACCTAAACCTTGGAAGCTCTTGTCCCATTCTCCATGCCCACGGTTAAATCATACATCTAAAATCTAAGTTTACATGGGACCTACTATTTAAATCATATAATATAGGCCTATTTGAAGACTTTCATTAACCTTCATTCTTTGAGGATAGAGCACTCCTCTACAAACCAAACAATGTGCTGTTTGAAACCCTTAAAAGGGCAACAAACTTGGTTGATGCTTTCAAAATTTTCCATGAAACTAAAGAAAAACGCCAGGCAGCCAAGTTGAAACAAAACCCTAACTTCGTTCAGTCAGTTGCTCCCATCTTATCTATTTTAATGTGTCTTACATGATGTCCACACTCATATTTTATGACACTGTTAATAATGAAATTCTTGTGCAAAAAGCATATAAAAGCCCAAAGTGGTTTTATTTATAAATAAGGTGTTCACTGGATATATTAAAAATATATTAACATGAGATCACCTAATTTAAAATTTTAACAGATATCTACTAGTGATAAAAATGGAAAGTTCCATTTAAATTCCATATAAACCATAAATCAAGCAATTTTTATTTTATTTGGTTAAAACTTTTTCTTTCTTAGTATATTTTCATACATATTAACAATTTGAAAATGACCACTTTTTTTCCCCAATAAATACATTCATAAGCAGTGCTGACATTTCTTTGGATTTCACTTAAACTGCCAGAGATTTTTGGCATTTTGCAAAAAGTCTAATTGCAGTGTATGTGTGTGCCAAGGAATGAACTTCTCTGCTTTAAAGGGAGTATCTGTGACTGTTAAAGTGACATACAAAAATATGCTACAGGCCACAGAGATGTCTTGAGGAATATTTCCAAGGTCTCTTAATAGAGTTAACAGATTTTTTTCAACATCACAAAGCTTTCCAAACTTTCTCTTCTTCTTCTAATTACCATATGTAAAATGCCTACACACAACCGTCTCATAGTCTCTCTTCTTTCTGTATTTATGTCTGGAGGCAAGAGGAGGACAGGGTGGAAGCTAAAAAGAACACTAAATAATGTTGAGTCTTAACTTTTGGTAACAACATCTATACTTTATGTTTGTGTCATACTGTTTTTCTTCCCTGCCTATCAGTTTTCTAGGAACTGCATTTTATAACTATGAAAATAAACAACACAAATCACATGTACACATATATATGTGTGTGTATGTGTGCATGTGTATATACATATAACACTATATATATAAATATAGCTTTTAATCATGGAATAAATATTCCATCAAAGAGAGTTTTATGTTCCACAGAGGCAGTTCTCAAGTGACTTCATGGTATCATGTTAAAAACCAGAACACAGTCCATTTTTACAGTAGATTTACTCAATCACAGTTACTAATCAGATTAGCACCGCCTTTATGTACAACAAATTTTAAAAGTTGAAGGATCATTAAAGAAGCTACATGTTATGAGCCTGTAGCCTGCATTTTTTCACTTGTTAACCTTTTTTAAAAAATGGTCTTCAAACATAACCTCAAGGAGTTATTTTTCTTTTTAAACTACACTTAAAATAGAATATGAATGTATATTACAAATCAGCTTATTAATTTGTAATAATATGTTGAGAGCAGAGCATTTTTATTTTAAAATGAGTTCATCGTTACCTATATCAACGTATTAAACAGCTAAGCTCCATTTCTACACAGACAACATTTGAGAATGGTACAGGGATATTACACTTACAGTGAAGAGTTTCTCAAATTAACTGTAACACAAAAAGATCTCCTGTATATGGGAAATGGAAAGTCTGAAAAGTCACCCAGCCCAAGCTATTACAATTCTTAAAGGAAGTAACATAAATCAATATAAATAACTTTACCTGGGTAGAAAATGGCAAATTTCCATGCCTCTGAAATTCTTATGATTTAAATAAAAGAAACATTTAAACCATTTTGTCTGGCTTTAATTAAACTGATGTCTTCCATCAAAAAGTCAAAAATTAAGTTATCTAATTATGTTATTTGATGAAGGATGCTTAAGAATAAACAACAAATTGGTAGAACAAACCAAAAGAAGTCAATGTTTGTTTTTGCTAATAATAGAAAACAGGTAAATAGGCCTCTAACAAAGCTTCTGATATGCCACAAACTGATTAGTTCAAATTTCATCTCCTGATTTTTGCGGTCCACACTTGGGAGGCTATACTGAGAACCAGTCAAAACTTTTGAAGCCCAGGCTAAAATTCAGTATCTGAGAATTTGCAATACAAATGCTTTGGCCCAACACATAGCCAATAAGGTCTTCCCTTGGAAAACAAAGACCCAAAATAAAGTGAGTAAAAACCTCACTTTTATCAACATGGATTTATCTACTATTCTGAGGTCTCTAAGTCTAATTTTTCTTTGAATTAGTTTATTCCATATACCCTTATTTAAAATTGATTACAAAATAAATTATAAATATATGTATTACATGATGCAAAGAGGAAATTGGACCATTCTGAAGGAAGTATAGTTTATTTTTTAAATCTCTTTGCAGAAAATTCCATTTTTTGGCATTGTGTTGCAGGGGTAGAGGAAAAAGGAAGGAAGTTAGGAAGTTAATAGTCCGTGTCCATAGATCCCACAAATGAATGATCAATTTTCAAAGGATTTTTAAGTATCCAGGTGTCTAATAGATTTCCCCATGGCTTATCTATTAAAATTCTAGATGACAGCAATGACATTCACAGACATGACTGCAATTTGGGAGGCATAGAAGTGACTGGCCTCAAGTTAAAAGAAGCTCTTCAGGGTGGTCCCATGAAATAACTACAAGAACTTGGTGCTTCCAGGAGCTGAAGAGAGAAGTAAGGCAATCATTCAAGGAAATGTCGTTTTAACTAGAACACAAAGATAATTTTTCCAAGATACAGTAACTTGTCAGGATTCTTCAAGAGAATTGTATGAGTAATAAGTGAATTCACTGAGTATTGAGTAGTGAGTAATTCTGTCAGAGAACTGTATGTGTTCAAAATATTGTATAATATCTAAGAAAACTATGAAGGAAGACATAAGAGGAGGAAATAAGCAATGGGACTCAGAGAAGAATTCATGCCAACAAAATTTCCAAGATACCTGAGCAGGTCACTCAATGAAGTAAGGACAAGAAAAACCTATGAAGTCCAACTGAAAACTCCAGTGGAAAGAATCAAGTCTAAGTATATGATCAGTAGGTGAAGTGCAGGGGGATAGAGGCAGGGAATGGGCTACAAATTACTATTTATCATTCACCAAATAACTCAGAGGAAAGTGAACTTCTAGAAAAACTTCAGTCAAAGATCAGAACTCCATGTTTCAGAGAGTTCACACAAAGAACCAGAGAATCATAATGAATGTGAAACTTGATTTGGCTTAAAGTAAAATAGTCTTGCCATTGAAACTACACTGAACATTTTAACCTGACTTTCAGGATTGAGAAAACATCAAGATCTTGAAGGCTATCTTTGATATTATTATTATTAACTTCTTTATTAATACTACTACTTAGTACTTGTTGCCCTAATGAGTTCTTGTATCTGGGATCCATCTCTCAGGAAGTCCTTTCATTTAGATTGCTTCCACCAAAATCTAAGACCATACACCACAATTCAAAAAAAAGCTATAAAATAGCTTGCTTCATGTAATCATAGATATTCACTAGACACTATTTTTTGCCCTTCCCAATGTTCCTAGGGTAAAAATGTCTGCCATGGCTCCTCCATAGAATTTTTGAGAGACAGAAAGAGAAAAAATGTAACTTCTGTTAGACTTAGTGTTTAACTTCTTTAAATTCCTCAGTAGGCAAAAGTTGGCAAGAAGATATGATCTTCTTAATGCAAGATTATCCACTCTACATTGTTCCTGTTGAGTCTTTTACATTGACCTGTTCCTTGGGTCTACTGACCTCCTGAAGTAGTAAAAGGCATTTTGCTCAAGGTGGTATGAGAAAATTTAGGAATAGGATTTTTAGGCCAGGAAATAAAGACACCTAAATAAGAAGGGTCAATCATGAATAAAGAACAGACCTAACAAAAAGAAGGGAAATAGCAAACATAGGCCTTAACTTATACTACAGAAATATTCTTGATTAAAAACAATAATTGTGTTCATAATTCTGCTAAAAATAACTTATAAGTATTGTTTACTTACCATGCACCAGGCTAACATTTAAAACAGGTAAAATAGAGGATAAAGTTAACCAAATGATTAGATAGTATTTTTCTAAAATACACAATGGCTGAAAATAGTCTGCTTTTGCCTAATGTATTTCCTCAGTCACAATCTCAGAATCATAGTATATAGCACAGTATTACAGTTAAGCCAGTCCACTCCAGAAAGTACTGTAACCAAACTTTTCCACTGAAAAATTCTCAAAAGACTACAAATTGCTTTGGTAATATAGTCCAGTGATTCACAACCCCAACACAAGAAATTCTTACTACAAAAACTAGATTTCAAGTTCTTTGAGAATAGTGACTTTATTTCTACTTTAGGTAAAACAGTGAAATGGACAGTTTATCCTCAGTGTTGCTAGCGCCTTTCCTTCAGAACTCTCCTCAACTTTTCTATATAGACCCCTGTCCACTTGATCAAGGACATAAGCCTTCTGGTTCCTCTTGATTCCCCCACCCTGACACCTTGGCCATCTAAAAGTTCTCTCAAGAGACAATCTCATAAACTCACCTCGTTGAGATATGAAAACATTCAAAAAAATCAAATCCATTACCTTTACCTGAGTACAAGAATCTTTTTACAATAGCAATTTTCTCTTACCAAAAGTTCGAATCTCCTGCACACTTTTTTAGCAACCATGGGAATTTCAATTCTTGAAGATAAATTGTATGTCATTCCTATCAGAGATAAGCAGAAAAAGAAGAAAGTAGTAGTTGGTAATAGAAAAGATAGAGTGTATCTCAGAGCAGCAATATAAATGTTTGCATTGGACCTTCTTCAGAGATAGAAAGGCTGAGGAAAAGTAACCTTGAGCATTGGAATTACACTTCTACTTCTGTGAGTGGGTAGGAAGTTGAGTTATACTTAAGAGCTGTGGTGGTGTGATTTTATGCAAATTGCAGTGATCAGAGCCATAGCTATAAAATCTTGGGTTGAGGATATAATTTAGGAATTAACTACTTAGTTATGCCAAATATGTAAAATAAAGAATTCTCAAAACTAGATCAATGTCAGATATCTAAGTTACAGTATATTTGTGGGACCACAGTGGAATCTGGAGACAAAGTCAACAACTCCGGACCATTAAGGCATTCAGACACAAAAGATATCATCTCTTCATGTATGTATTATCTCTCAGAAGGCAAACTGAACACTTTTTATATCTCTTTGAAACTCTAGCAGACAGAGATCCTTGAAAATTTTATAAGCAAAAAGTACTGATGGATAGGTGGAAATTATTTATAAAGTATGTATTATTATTAATATCAAATGGATGAAGTGTTATGCACTGTATTTGGTGTTTTATATTCTTGACTTTAAGATTATTTATAAGAACCCTTATGTGTTTCTAAAACTTCAGTCTCTGTTTATCTGATAATGTCTTGTATTCTTTACCTATGAATTTTCTTAGAGTTTTTTAGGAACTTGGCCGTCTCAGTAGGGGGAGAGTCTGCTCTGTTTGCATTTCCAAGTAGGTAAAGTCTTAAAAAACTGGGGTTGGGGGCAGAGATGGAAGGAAACAAGTCATGCTTGCTGCTAAAGCTAAACTTGTCACACAGAATGAACTTTCACTAAATATCCTGGGCAGTCACTCAGTTAAAGTGATTATCTAACTGATATCCCCACTGCAAATCTGAACCTATTGCTTTTTCTTTTGTAATATAAATTATTATTTATAATTATATTATTATAAACATATAATTCATAATCTATATTTCTATGTTTTGAGGTAAATATAAGTAGAGTAATACTTTTAGGAAATTAGCAGATTCAGATACAAAGAAAAAAGTCCATCTTCTGCTTGACCACATGTATTACTCACAACCACATATATTCCTGTTTTTCCCAAACTATCTGAAATTATTTCGACAAGGTCTTCTTCCATGACAATTATGATAAATTAACAAAATCTCTAATTAAACCCCTAAAGCTATCCTGATGAATTTTAAGACCAGAAACATAGGATTGCTTTTAATCAAATTATTGCCCGGATAAAAAAATAAATGTTATGTGATACAACAAATTAAACTGACTTTTAATCAGGTTGATATGTATGAAGAAGGTGCTTCTATTTTCCTTTACAATTGAGTAATGGGTTAGCTCTATTAACTTAATGCATCTATAGCCTCTTTTAATAAATACAATATTCCTGCAAATATAGATATAAAGGAATTGAAACTTATGTTTAAAAGAGAAGCAGCACATAAAAGTTTGGAAAATTTGCAGCCTCAAGATGCAATAGAAAAGAAAAACCCATTTTCTGAGGAGACATTCAAGCCTGCTGCAGAAATTTGCATAAGTAATGAGGAATCAAATGTTAATCACCAAGACAATGGGGAAAATGTCTCCAGAGCACATCAGAGACCTTCACGGCAGCCCCTCCCATCACAGGCCCAGAGGCCTAGGAGGAAAAAATGGTTTCATGGGCCGGGCCCAGGGCTTTGCTGTTTTGGGCAGTCTCGAGATGAGATGTGGTGCCCTGCATCCCAGCCGTGGCTTAAAAAGGGCCAATTTACTGCTCAGGCCATTGCTTCAGAGGGTGCAAGCCCCAAGCCTTGTCAGTTTACATGTGATGTTGATCGTGAAGGCACGCAAAAGTCAAGAGTTGAGGTTTGGGAACCTCCACCTAGATTTCAGAGGATGGATGGAAATGCCTGGATGTCTAGGCAGAAGTTTGCTGTAGGGGTGGGGCCCTCATGGAGAACCTCTGCTAGGGTAGTGCAGAAGAGAAATGTGGGGTCAGAGCCCTCACACAGAGTCCCCACTGGGGAGCTGCCTAGTGGAGCTGTAAGAAGAGAGTCACCATCCTCCAGACACCAGAATTGTAGATCCACCAACAGCTTGCACTGTGCACCTACAAAAGCTGCAGACAATGCCAGCCTGTGAAAGCAGCCAGGACAGGGGCTGTACCCTGCAAAGCCACAGGGGTGGAGCTGCTCAAGACCATGGTAGCCCACCTCTTGCATCAGTGTGACCTGGATGTGAGATATGGAGTCAAAGGAGATCATTTTGGAGCTTTAAGATTGGACTGCCCTATTGGATTTCAGACTTGCATGGGGCCTGTAGCCCCTTCGTTTTGGTCAATTTCTCCCATTTGTAATGGGTATATTTACCCAATGCCTGTATCCTCATTGTATCTTAGAAGTAACAAACTTGCTTTTGATTTTACAGGCTCATAGACAGAAGGGACTTGCTTTGTCTCAAATGAGGCTTTGCACTTGGACTTTTTGGGGCAATGCTGGAATTAATTAAGACTTTGGGGGACTGTTGGGAATGCACGATTGGTTTTAAAATGTGAAAGGGACATGAGATTTGGGAGGGAAGAGAGGCAAAATGATGTGGTTAGGCTTTGTGTCCCCACCCAAATATTATCAGGAATTATAATCCCCATAATCCCCACATGTCAAGAAAGAGATCAGGTGGACATAATTGGTTTCCCCCATGCTCTTCATGTGATAATGAGCGAGTTCTCACGATATCTGATGGTTTTATATGGGGCTCTTCCCCCTTAACTCTTGGCACTTCTCCTTCCTGCCACCTTGTGAAGAAGTTGCCTTGCTTCCCTTTGCCTTCCGCCATGATTTTAAGTTTCCTAAGGCCTCCCCAGCCATGTTGAACTGTGAGTCAATTAAACCTCTTTCCTTTCCAAACATAAATTACCCAGCCTCAAGCAGTCTTTATAGCAGTAAGAAAATGAACTAATACAAGCTGGTTGTTAAAAAGAGCCTGGCACCTCTTCCTCTCTTGCTCCCTCTATCATTGTATAACATGCCTGCTATCTCTTTGCCTTCCAACATGACTGTAAGCATCCCCAGACCCTTACCAGAAGCAGATGCTAGCTCCAGGTTTCTTGTACAGTTTGCAGGACCATGATCCAAATAAACCCCTTTTCTTTATAAATTACCTATCTTCAGGTATTCCTTTATAGCAATGCAAAACAGACTAACACAAGAAGTATGATCAGACAAAAGGGTATAATCTAATATTAATAAACTGACAGGAACTTAGCAAGGCCTATAGGTTCAGATTCTTCTCTGTGTCTCTTACTATCCTTAGAGGTAAGGATGTTCTTTTTCTCTAGGTATAGGAAGGATACCTCTAGAATGAGGGTCTTATGACCTGCTTCAGGAGTGAAGGACAGGAGAAGGTCAGAGAATGACCTTCCTGCTTTTGTTGTTTTCTCAAATGCCAATATGGCATTTTGGAGTAACATGTTCTGAACTCTATCAGTGCTTTCCATCATAAGTTTGTACTTCCAAAGGGGCCTTGTTAGAAGAGATATGACAAGGAAAAATGTTTTATATGAGCCAGCTTTCCTCTTTTTGAAGGCTGTCATGCTTAAAATTCACTTAAAAGACTCTAGGGTTTCTTTTCATCTTTGGTCCAAATCTCAACATAGAGCCTCACACCTGTTCTGTCTGCAAACAGGTGTGGCCCTACAGGAACGATTAACTAATGGTTTGAAAATGTCAACTTTTTCTTTACAGAAAGGGAGAGAAAACCCTTGGCAAGGACAGTATTACTTTACATTTGCAAAGAGCTTTCCAGGATACAAAGTACCTTCATATCCATTCTTCTATTTGATTCTCAAAATAACCCTATAGGTTAAAACAGCTGTTATTTCTATTTTATGTAAGGAAATTGAGGCTCAGAGATATTAAGTGACTTGTCTGAAGTCCTCAAATTGTTAAGTGATGGAGTCATAATTTTAACCCTGCTTTAAATTCCAAGAACAACAGTCTTTTCATCACCACTCAGAAAAGACTGAATACTGAAACACTAGTGGACACATTGGTGGAAACACAGTCTCATCCCTCAAGGAGAGAATGGAAATTTTTATATGTTAGTAACATGCTGGAAACTTCTAAGAGGTATGATTCTCTTTTACGCAATTTTCCTAAAATATCACTAAATCTTTTCTTTCAAGGAAGTAGTAGAGAAACAGGAGTGTCATTTAAACTTTAAAGCTCAAGGTGGAAAACTGTAAGACATATGCAGGCATCTTATCAATAAGTTAGACACAAAGGGGCAGCTGAAGGTTTAACAGACAAACCAGGAAATCTGTTTCCATGCAGTGCTAAACAAACAGCTCAAGGGCGTGAAAGAACAGATCCAAGCTGCTGTTCCTTGTGCAACCAGCTCTCTTTCTTTGCAGCTTCCTGGTGTATGTCTTTGCCTGTAAACAGTTATGAAATGGTGTGATTTTAACCAGCTTTGACTGCACCTTGCTCTAAAGGATTACTCAGTGCAGTCCTTAGAGGCACATTACTATTCGGCCCTTTTCCAGGGAAGAAGTCTGTTCTTCATCAGCTTTAGAAAGACAGGAGTGCTTTTGTCTCACCGTTCCAGAGCTAAAGAAAGACCTGAGACCCAGATGACTGGCCACGGACTTGGTCTTGCCAAACTGCAACTACACTGTAAATAGGCCAGTGTGTAACCCAATTCCCTAGTAATGACTTAGCAGAGGTATGTAAAAATGGCACAGTCTCTAAGACTACTCAACCCCTAGTTATATTTCTCTATACCAATTTAGCACAAACAAAATTCCCAAACCATCAAATGTATTCAGCACAACCCAGTAAAAATGATGTATAATACTATACTAAGCATACATGTGGCGACTTGCCCCCAGATTTCATAGATTTATCAAGAATCCCTAAGGACACTCAGATATATTCATTTACTCATTCATTTAACAAATAATGTCAGGCACTAGTTATTTGGTGGTAAACAGTCATAGTTTAAGTGTTAGTTATATTATAATAAATAAAAGTCGTAATATCTACAATCATGAAGTTTAGAATCTAAGCAAAAGATAGTCCATAAACAGGTAAATAAGTAAACATAAAATGTAATTATAAGCTAAGATAAGTGCTGCAGGAGATAAATAAAAAAATAAAGCACTATAATGGGAAACAAGAATGCCTGGGTGGTGAATCATAATTAGATGAGATGACCAGGGAAGAACTTTATAAGAATTTAACCTGAAACTTGAAGAACGATAAAAGAGATAATCATGTGGAAACTCACCAAAAAAAAAAATAAATAAACAAAAAAACAACAACAACAAAAAACACTCTCTTGATAGTTTCCTTTGCTGTGCAGAAGCCCTTCAGTTTAACTATGTACCATTGTCAAATTTGTTCTTGCTGCAGTTGCTTTTAAGGACTGTCATAAATCCTTAGTCAAGGCTGATATCCAGAATGGTATTTCATAGGTTTTCTTCTAGAATGTTTAGAGTTTGAGGTTTTACATCTAAACCTTTAACCCATCTTGAGTTAATTTTTGTATATGGTGAAAGATAGAGATCCAGTGTCATTCTTCTGCATATGGCTAGCCAGTTATCACAGCACCGTTTATTGAATATGGAGTGTTTTCCCTATTGCTTATTTTTGTCAACTTTGTCAAAGATCAGGTGGTTGTAGGTGTACAGCTTTATTTCTGGGTTCTCTTTTCTGTTATATTGGTCTATATACCTGTTTTTTAACCAGTAGCATACTGTAACCTTGTAGTATCGTTTGAAATCTGGTAATGTGATACCTCCAGCTTTGTTCTTTTTGCTTAGGATTGTTTTGGCTACTGGGGCTTTTTGGGGGCCCATATGAATTTTAGAATTTTTTTTCTAATTATGTGAAAAATGACATTGGTAGTTTGATAGGAACAGTGTTGAATCTATAGATTGCTTTGGGTAGCAGGGTCATTTCAATGATATTGATTCTTCTGATCCACGAGCATGAAATGGTTTTCCATTTGTTTGTATTATCTGTGATTTCTTTCAGCAGTGTTTTGTAGTTCTCCTTGTAGAGATCTTTGAACTTCCTGGTTAGATGTATTCCTAGGTATTTTATTTCTTTGTGTGACTATTATAAATAGAATTACATTCTTGATTTGGCTCTCAACTTGAACATTATTGGTGCACAGAAATGTTACTAATTTTTATGCACTGATTTTGCATCTTGGAACTTTACTGAAGTCATTTATCAGTTCTAGGAGGCTTTTGGTGTAATCTTTATGTTTTCTACATATAGAATCACACTGTCAGCAAAGAGATAATTTGACTTCTTTTCCTATGTGTATGCCTTTTATTTCTTTTGCTTGCCTGGTTGTTCTGGCTAGAACTTCCAGTACGATGTTATCAAATTCATTTATCAAAGATAAGACTTTTTGTGGAGTCTTTAGGGTTTTCTAGATATAAAATCATATCATTCTGTTTTCTCTTTCTCTTGATGTTGGCTGTGGGTTGTCATAGATGCTTCTTGTTATTGTGAGATATGTTCCTTCAATGCCCAGTTGGTTGAGGGTTTTTATCATTAAAGAATGTGGATTTTATTAAAAGCTTTTTCTGCATGTATTGAGATGATCATATGGTTGTTGTTTTTAATTCTGTTTATGTGGTGAATCACAATTATTGATTTGCACATGTTGAACCAACCTTGCATCCCAGGAATGAAGCCTATTCAATCATGGTGAACTAACTTTTTGATGTGCTGCCGGGTTTGGTTGATGAGAATCTTTGCATCTAGCCCAATCTCTTCGGGCTTGCAAGGATTCTGTTGAGAAGTCCACTGTTAGCCTAATAGGGTTCACTTTGTATATGATTTGACCTTTTTCTCTAGCTGCTTTTAAGATTTTTTCTTTAGCATTGACTTTTGGTTGTCTGGTGACTACATGCCTTGGTGATGTTTGTTTTATATAGTATCTCACAGTAATACCACATTTTCTTTAGTCAATCTTGCATTGATGAACACTTAGGTTGATTCTGTATCTTTGTTATTGAGAATAGTGCTGCTATAAACATACAGAACCAGATATATTTTTCATATAATAATTTCATTTCCTTTGGGCAGATAGTCATGGGATTGCTGGATCAAATGATATTTCAATTTTTAGCTCCTTCAGAAATCTCCATACTGTTTTCCATAAAGGTTATACTAATTTAACTTCCCAGCTACTGTCCAGTTTTCCCAGCACCATTTATTGAAAAGGTTGTCCTTTCAATCGTGTATGTGCTTGCTGATTTCGTCAAAGATTAGTTGGGTGCAAATATGTGGCTTTATTTCTGCGTTCTCTATTCTTCTCCATTTATCTGTGTGTCTGTTTTATTTTTGCTTGTTTTTTTAGATACAGTTTTGCTCTTGTCGCCCAGGCTGGAGTGCAATGGCACAAGCTCGGCTCATTGCAACCTCTGCCTCCCGGGTAGAATAACATTCTACCCAGCAATCCCATTACTGGATATATACCCAAAGAAATATAAATTGTTCTATTATAAAGACACATGCATGTGTATGGACACTGCAGCACTATTCATAATGGCAAAGACACGGAATCAACTTAAATGCCCATCAATGATAGACTGGATAAAGAAAATGTGGTGCGCATATACCACAGAATAAAAAGCCATAAAAAAGAATGAGGGCCGGGTGCAGTAGCTCACGACTGTAATCCCAGCACTGTGGGAGGCTGAGGTGGGTGGATCACAAGGTCAGGAGATCGAGACCATCCTGGCTAACACGGTGAAATCCCGTCTCTACTAAAAATGCAAAAAGTTAGCTGGGCATGGTGGCGGGCGCCTGTAGTCCCAGCTACTCGGGAGGCTGAGGCAGGAGAATGGCATGAACCCGGGAGGCGGAGCTTGCAGTGAACAGAGATTGTGCCACTGCACTCCAGCCTGGGTGACAGAGTGAGACTCCATCTCAATAAATAAATAAATAAATAAATAAATAAATAAAATAAAGGAATGAGATCGTGTAATTTGTAGGGACCATGGATGGAGGCCATTATCCTTAGCAAACTAATGCAGGAACAGAAAAACCAAATACCACATGTTCTCACTTGTAAGTGGGAGCTAAATGATTAGAACACATGGACACGTAGAGGGGAATAACACACACAGAGGCCTATTGGAGGGTAGAGTGTGGGAGCAGGGAGAGGATCAGGAAAAACAACTAATAAGTACTAGGCTTAATACGTTGGTGGTGATGAAATAATCTGTACAACAAACCCCCATGACACAAGTTTACCTATATAACAAACCTGCACATGTATCCTGAACTTAAAAGTTAAAAAAATTAAAAATAAATGAATAAAATACAATGTAAAAAAATTCTTCTGATCCATAAGTATGGAATGTTTTTCCATTTGTTTGTGTCATCTACAATTTCGTTCATCAGTGCTTTACACTTGTCCTTATAGAGATCTTTTATCTACACAAATAAACTATTAGGCATTTTATCTTTTGTAGCTATTGTAAATAGTATGGCCTTCTTGATTTGATTCTCTACTGGATTGTTATTGATGTATGGAAATGCTACTGACTTTGGAACACTGCTTTTATATACAGAAACTTTACTGAATTCATTTATCAAAGTTAATGTTTTTGTGGACTCTCTAGGGTTTTCTAGACATAAGATTGTACCATCAGTGAAGAGGAATAATTTTACTTATTCTTTCCCACTTTGGATACCACTTATTTCTTTCTTTTGCCAGATTGCTCTGGCCAGGACTTCCAGTACTAGCAATGTTGAACAACAGTGGTGAAAATAGGCATCCTTCTCTTGTCCAGTTCTTAGAGGAAACTTTTCCACATTTGTTTCTTCAGTATGATATTGGCAATGGTTTTGTCATATATGGCCTTTATTATTTTTAGATATGTTCTTTCTAGTTTGTTGAGGGTTTTTATCAGAAAGAGACTGTAATTTGTCAAATGTTTCTTCGACGTCTATTGAGATGATGTAGTTTTTTTTTTCTGTCCTGCTTCTCAGGTATAATTTATTTTTATTTTTTTATTTTAATATTATTATACTTTTAAGTTTTAGGGTACATGTGCACAATGTGCAGGTTTGTTACATATGTATACATGTGCAATGTTGGTGTGCTGCACCCACTAACTCATCATTTAGCATTAGGTATATCTCCTAATGCTATCCCTCCCCCTTTCCCCCACCCCACAACAGTCACCAGAGTGTGATGTTCCCCTTCCTGTGTCCACGTGTTCTCATTGTTCAATTCCACCTATGAGTGACAACATGCGGTGTTTGGTTTTTTGTCCTTGCGATAGTTTGCTGAGAATGATGGTTTCCAGTTTCATCCATGTCCCTGCAAAGGACATGAACTCTTCATTTTTTATGGCTGCATAGTATTCCATGGTGTATATGTGCCACATTTTCTTAATCCAGACTATTGTTGTTGGACATTTGGGTTGGTTCCAAGTCTTTGCTATTGTGAATAATGCCGCAATAAACATACGTATGCATGTGTCTTTATAGCAGCATGATTTATAATCCTTTGGGTATATACTCAGTAATGGGATTGCTGCGTCAAATGGTATTTCTAGTTCTAGATCCCTGAGGAATCGCCACACTGACTTCCACAATGGTTGAACTAGTTTACAAACCCACCAACAGTGTAAAAGTATTCCTATTTCTCCACATCCTCTCCAGCACCTGTTGTTTCCTGACTTTTTAATGATTGCCATTCTAACTGGTGTGAGATGGTATCTCATTGCGGTTTTGATTTGCATTTCTCTGACGGCCAGTGATGAAGAGAATTTTTTCATGTGTTTTTTGGGTGCATAAATATCTTCTTTTGAAGAAGTGTCTGTTCATATCCTTTGCCCACTTGTTGATGGGGTTGTTTGTTTTTTTCTTGTAAATTTGTTTGAGTTCATTGTAGATTCTGGATATTAGCCCTTTGTCAGATGAGTAGGTTGCAAAAATTTTCTCCCATTTTGTAGGTTGCCTGTTCACTCTGATGGTAGTTTCTTTTGCTGTGCAGAAGCTCTTTAGTTTAATTGCATCATGTTTGTCAATTTTGGTTTTTGTTGCCATTGCTTTTGGTGTTTTATTCATGAAGACCTTGCGCATGCCTATGTCCTGAATGGTAATACCTAGGTTTTCTTCTAGGGTTTATGGTTTTAGGTCTAACATGTAAGTCTTTAATCCATCTTGAATTAATTTTTGTATAAGGTGTTAAGAAGGGATCCAGTTTCAGCTTTCTACATATGGCTAGCCAGTTTTCCCAGCACCATTTATTAAATAGGGAATCCTTTCCCCATTGCTTGTTTTTGTCAAGTTGGTCAAAGATCAGATGGTTGTAGATATGCGGCATTATTTCTGAGGGCTCTGTTCTGTTCCATTGATCTATATCTCTGTTTTGGTACCAGTACCATGCTGTTTTGGTTACTGTAGCCTTGTAGTATAGTTTGAAGTCAGGTAGTGTGATGCCTCCAGCTTTGTTCTTTTGGCTTAGGATTGACTTGGCAATGCAGGCTCTTTTTTGGTTCCATATGAAATTTAAAGTAGTTTTTTCCAATTCTGTGAAGAAAGCCATTGGTATCTTGATGGGGATGACATTGAATCTATAAATTACCTTGGGCAGTATGGCCATTTTCACGATATTGATTCTCCCTATCCATGAGCATGGAATGTTCTTCCATTTGTTTGTATCCTCTTTTATTTCACTGAGCAGTGGTTTGTAGTTCTCCTTGAAGAGGTCCTTCATATCCCTTGTGAGTTGGATTCCTAGGTATTTTATTCTCTTTGAAGCAATTGTGAATGGGAGTTCACTCATGATTTGGCTCTCTGTTTGTCTGTTATTGGTGTATAAGAATGCTTGTAATTTTTGTACATTGATTTTGTATCCTGAGACTTTGCCAAAGTTGCTTATCAGCTTAAGGAGATTTTGGGCTGAGACGATGGGGTTTTCTAGATATACAATCATGTCATCTGCAAACAGGGACAATTTGACTTCCTCTTTTCCTCATTGAATATCCTTTATTTCCTTCTCCTGCCTAATTGCCCTGGCCAGAACTTCCAACACTACGTTGAATAGGAGTGGTGAGAGAGGGCATCCCTGTCTTGTGCCAGTTTTCAAAGAGAAAGCTTCCAGTTTTTGCCCATTCAGTCTGATATTGGCTGTGGGTTTGTCGTACATAGCTCTTATTATTTTGAGATACGTCCCATCAATACCTAATTTAATCAGAGTTTGTACCATGAAGGGTTGTTGAATTTTGTCAAAGGCCTTTTCTGCATCTATTGAGATAATCATGTGGTTTTTGTCTTTGGTTCTGTTTATATGCTGGATTACATTTCTTGATTTGCGTATGTTGAACTAGCCTTGCATCCCAGGGATGGAGCCCACTTGATCATGGTGGATAAGCTTTTTGATGTGCTGCTGGATTCGGTTTGCCAGTATTTTATTGAGGATTTTTGCATCAATGTTCATCAAGGATATTGGTCTAAAATTCTCTTTTTTGGTTGTGTCTCTGCCAGGCTTTGGTATCCGGATGATGCTGGCCTCATAAAATGAGTTAGGGAGGATTCCCTCTTTTTCTATTGATTGGAATAGTTTCAGAAGGAATGGTACCAGTTCCTCCTTGTACCTCTGGTAGAATTCGGCTGTGAATCCATCTGGTCCTGGACTCTTTTTGGTTGGTAAGCTATTGATTATTGCCACAATTTCAGATCCTGTTATTGGTCTATTCTGAGATTCAACTTCTTCCTGGTTTAGTCTTGGGAGTGTGTATGTGTTGAGGAATTTATCCATTTCTTCTAGATTTTCTAGTTTATTTGTGTAGAGGTGTTTGTAGTATTCTCTGATGGTAGTTTGTATTTCTGTGGGATCGGTGGTAATATCCCCTTTATCATTTTTTATTGTGTCTATTTGATTCTTCCCTCTTTTCTTCTTTATTAGTCTTGCTACCAGTCTATCAATTTTGTTGATCTTTTCAAAAAACCAGCTCCTGGATTCATTAATTTTTTGAATGGTTTTTTGTGTCTCTATTTCCTTCAGTTCTGCTCTGATTTTAGTGATTTCTTGCCTTCTGCTAGCTTTTGAATGTGTTTGCTCTTGCTTCTCTAGTTCTTTTAATTGTGATGTTAGGGTGTCAATTGTAGATCTTTCCTGCTTTCTCTTGTGGGCATTTAGTGCTATAAATTTCCCTCTACACACTGCTTTGAATGTGTCCCAGAGATTCTGGTATGTTGTGTCTTTGTTCTCATTGGTTTCAAAGAACATCTTTACGTCTGCCTTCATTTCGTTATGTACCCAGTAGTCATTCAGGAGCAGGTTGTTCAGTTTCCATGTAGTTGAGCGGTTTTGAGTGAGTTTCTTAATCCTGAGTTCTAGTTTGATTGCACTATGGTCTGTGAGACAGTTTGTTATAATTTCTGTTCTTTTACATTTGGTGAGGAGTGCTTTACTTCCAAGTATGTGGTCAATTTTGGAATAGGTGTGGTGTGGTGCTGAAAAGAATGTACATTCTGTTGATTTGGGGTGGAGGCTTCTGTAGATGTCTCTTAGGTCCACTTGGTGCAGAGCTGAGTTCAATTCCTGGATATCCTTGTTAACTTTCTGTCTCGTTGATCTGTCTAATGTTGACAGTGGGGTGTTAAAGTCTCCCATTATTATTGTGTGGAAGTCTAAGTCTCTTTGTAGGTCTCTAAGGACTTGCTTTATGAATCTGGGTGCTCCTGTATTGTGTGCACATATATTTAGGATAGTGAGCTCTTCTTGTTGAATTGATCCCTTTACCATTATGTAATGGCCTTCTTTGTCTCTTTTGATCTTTGTGGGTTTAAATTCTGTTTTATCAGAGACTAGGATTACAACCCCTGCCTTTTTTTGTTTTCCATTTGCTTTGTAGATCTTCCTCCATCCCTTTATTTTGAGTCTATGTGTGTCTCTGCATGTGAGATGGGTTTCTGAATACAGCACACTGATGGGTCTTGACTCTTTATCCAATTTGCCAGTCTGTGTCTTTTAATTGGAGCATTTCGCCCATTTACATTTAAAGTTAATGTTGTTATGTGTGTATTTGGTACTGTCATTATGATGTTAGCTGGTTATTTTGCTAGTTAGTTGATGCAGTTTCTTCCTAGCCTCGATGGTCTTTACATTTTGGCATGTTTTTGCAGTGGCTGTTACCGGTTGTTCCTTTCCATGTTTAGTGCTTCCTTCAGGAGCTCTTTTAGGGCAGGCCTGGTGGTGACAAAATCTCTCAGCATTTGCTTGTCTGTAAAGTATTTTATTTCTCCTTCACTTATGAAGCTTAGTTTGGCTGGATATGAAATGCAGGGTTGAAAATTATTTTCTTTAACAATGTTGAAGATTGGCCCCCACTCTCTTCTGGCTTGTAGAGTTTCTGCCGAGAGATCAGCTGTTAGTCTGATGGGCTTCCCTTTGTGGGTAACCCCACCTTTCTCTCTGGCTGCCCTTAACATTTTTTCCTTCATTTCAACTTTGGTGAATTTGACAATTATGTGTCTTGGAGTTGCTCTTCTCGAGGAGTATCTTTGTGGTGTTCTCTGTATTTCCTGAATCTGAATGTTGGCCTGCCTTGCTAGATTGGGGAAGTTCTCCTGGATAATATCCTGCAGAGTGTTTTCCAACTTGGTTCCATTCTCCCTGTCACTTTAAGATACACCAATCAGACATGGATTTCATCTTTTCACATAGTCCCATATTTCTTGGAGGCTTTGTTTCTTTTTATTCTTTTTTCTCTAAATTTCTCTTCTCACTTCATTTCATTCATTTGATCTTCCATCACTGATACCCTTTCTTCCAGTTGATCGAATCAGCTACTGAGGCTTGTGCATTCATCATGTAGTTCTCATGCCGTGGTTTTCAGCTCCATCAGGTCCTTTAAGGACTTCTCTGCATTGGTTATTCTAGTTAGCCATTTGTCTAATCTTTTTTCAAGGTTTTTAACTTCTTCGCCATGGGCTCGAACTTCCTCCTTTACCTCAGAGTAGTATGATCATCTGAAGCATTCTTCTCTCAACTCATCAAAGTCATTCTCCGTCCAGCTTTGAGCTTTGCTGGTGAGGAGCTGCGTTCCTTTGGAGGAGGAGAGGCATTCTGATTTTTAGAATTTTCAGTTTTTCTTCTCTGTTTTTTTCCCATGTTTGTGGTTTTATCTACCTTTGGTCTTTGATGATGGTGACGTACGGATGAGGTTTTGGTGTGGATGTCCTTTCTGTTTGTTAGTTTTCCTTCTAACAGTCAGGACCCTCAGCTGCAGGTCTGTTGGAGTTTGCTGGAGGTCCACTCCAGATCCTGTTTGCCTGGGTATCAGCAGCAGTGGCTGCAGAACAGCGGATATTGGTGAACAGCAAATGTTGCTGCCTGATCGTTCCCCTGGAAGTTTTGTCTCAGAGGAGTACCCAGCCATGTGAGGTGTCAGTCTGCCCCTACTGGGGGGTGCCTACCAGTTAGGCTACTCGAGGGTCAGGGACCCACTTGAGGAGGCAGTCTGTGCGTTCTCAGATCCCAAGCTGCATGCTGGGAGAACCACTACTCTCTTCAAAGCTGTCAGACAGGGACATTTAAGTCTGCAGAGGTTTCTGCTGCCTTTTGTTTGGCTATGCCCTGCCCCCAGTGGTGGAGTCTACAGAGGCAGGCAGGCCTCCGTGAGCTGCAGTGGGCTCCACCCAGTTCAAGCTTCCTGGCCTCTTTGTTTACCTACTCAAGCTTCAGCAATGGCTGGCGCCCCTCCCCAGCCTCGCTGCCACCTTGCAGTTTTATCTCAGACTGCTGTGCTAGCAATGAGCAAGGCTCCGTGGGTGTAGGACCCTCCAAGTCATGCACAGGATACAATTTCCTGGTGTGCCATTTGCTAAGACTGTTGGAAAAGCACAGTATTAGGGTGGAAGTGACCTGATTTTCCAGGTGCTGTCTGTCACCCCTTTCCTTGGCTAGGAAAGGGAATTCCCTGACCCCTTGTGCTTCCTGGGTGAGGCAATGCCTCACCCTGCTTCAGCTCATGCTCGTTGCACTGCACCCACTGTCCTGCACCCACTGTCCAACAATCCCCAGTGAGATGAACCCAGTACCTCAGTTGGAAATGCAGAAATCATACATCTTCTGCATCGCTCATGCTGGGAGCTGTAGACTGGAGCTGTTCCTATTCGGCCATCTTCCTTTTTTAGCTTTCTGATGTGGGCATCTAGTGCTATAACTGTTCCTCTTACCAGTGCTTTAGCTGTGTCCCAGAGATTCTGGTACATTGTCCCTTTCTTCTCATTGGTTTCAAAAAACTTCTTGATTGTTGCCTTAATTTCATTATTTACCCAGGAGTCATTCAGGAGCAGGTTGTTCAATTTCCCTATAATTGTGTGGTTTTGAGTGAGTTTTTTAATGCTGAGTTCTAATTTGATTGCGCTGTGGTTTAAGAGACTGTTGCTTATGATTTTAGAGGTTTTTTTTGCATTTCCTAAGGAGTGGTTTACTTCCAATTATGAGGTTGATTTTAGAATAAGTGCCATGTAGCACTGAGAAGAATATATAGTCTGTTGAAATGTGGTGGAGAGTTCTGTAGATGTCTATTAGATCCACTTGATCCAGAGCTGAGTTCAAGTCCTGAATATCCTTGTTAATTTTCTGTCTTGTTGATCTGTCTAATATTGACAGTGGGGTGTTAAATTCTCCCACTATTATTGTGTGGGAGTCTAGGTCTCCTTGTAGGTTTCTAAGAACTTGTTTTATGAATCTGGATGTTCCTGTATTTGGTGCATATATATTTAGAATAGTTAGCTCTTCTTGTTGAATTGTTCCCTTTACCATTATGTAATGCTGTTTTTTGTCTTTTTTTATCTTTGTTGGTTGAAAGTCTGTTTTGTCAGAGACTAGGATTGCAAGCCCTGCCTTTTTTGCTTTCCATTTGCTTGGTAAATATTCCTCCATCCCTTTATTCTGAGCCCCTGTGTGTCTTTGCATGTGAGATGGGCCTCCTGGATTCAGCACACCAATGGGCCTTGACTCTTTATCCAATTTGCCACTCTGTGTCTTTTAATTGGGCCGTTTAGCCCATTTACATTTAATGTTAGTATTGTTATGAGTGAATTTGATCCCATCATCATGATGCTGGCTGCTTATTTTGCACACTTGTTGGTGCAGTTTCTTCATATTGTCTTGGCCTTTATATTTTGGTGTGTTTTTGCAGTGGCTGGTACTGGTTTTTCTTTTCCATATTTAGCACTTTTTTCAGGAGCTCTTGCAAGGCAGGCCTGGTAGTAATGAAATCTCTCAGCATTTGCTTGTCTGAAAAGGATTTTATTTCTCCATTGCTTATGAAGCTTACTGGCTGGATATGAAATTCTGGGTTGAAAATTCTTTTCTTTAAGAATGTTGAGTATTGGCCCCCAATCTCTTCTGCCTTGTACGGTTTCTGCTGGGAGGTCTGCTATTAGTCTGATGGGCTTCCCTTTGTAGATGACCTGACCTTTCTCTCTGGCTGCCCTTAACATTTTTTCCTTCATTTCAACATTGAGAATCTGAAGATTATGTCTCTGGGGGTTGATCTGCTTGTGGATTATTTTAGTGGTGTTCTCTGTATTTCCTAAATTTCCATGTTGGCCTGTCTTGCTAGGTTGGGGAAATTCTCCTGGATAATACCCTGAAGTGTGTTTTCCAGCTTGTCTCCATTCTCCTCCTCTCCTTCAGGTACTCTAGTGAATAGTAGGTTTTGTCTTTTTATGAAGTCCCTCATTTCTTGGAGTCTTTTTTCATTCCTCTTCATTTTTTTTCTCTAGTCTTGTCTGCATGCCTTATTTCAGCAAGGTGGTCTTCAAACTCTGATATCCTTTCTTCTGCTCAGTCAATTCAGCTATTGATACTTGTGTATCCTTCATGAAGTTTTCATGCTGTGTTTTCCAGCTCCATGAGGTCATTTATGTTCCTCTCTAAACTGGATATTCTAGTTAGCAGCTCCTTTAATCTTTATCAAGGTTCTTAGCTCCTTTGCATTGGGTTAGAACTTGATCTTTTAGCTCAGCGTAGTTTTTTATCAACTGTCTTTTCAGGCCTACTTCTGTCTATTTGTCCATCTCATTATCCGTCCAGTTCTGCACTTTTGCTGGAGAAATGTTGCAATCATTTGGAGAAGAAGAGACACTCTGGCCTTTTGGGTTTTCAACATCTTTTCATTGATTCCTTCTCAACTTTGTGAGTTTGTGTAGTTTCGATTTGAGGCTGCTGACCTTTGGAATGGGTTTCTGTGGGGACTTCTTTGTTGTTGTCGATGCTATTGTTGTTACTTTTTGTTTGTTTTTCTTTCAATGGTCAGGTCCCTCTTCTGTAGGGCTGCTGCAGTTTGCTGGGGGTTCACTTCAGGCCCCATTCATCTGGTTCACTCCCGCACCTGGAGATGTCACTCAAGGAGGCTGAGAACAGCAAAGATGGGTGCCTGCTCTTTTTTCTGGGATCTCTGACCTCAGGGGGCATCAACCTGATGCCAGTAGGATTGCTCCTGTATAGGGTGTCTGACAGACAACTCCTGTTGGAAGGTCTCACTCAGTTTGGTGGCACGGGGAACAGGACCCATTTAATGAATCACTTTCACTGCCCCTTGGTGGAGGGGGTGTGCTTCACTAGGGGGAAGCACATTCATCTGGGCTGTCTATACTCCTCAGAACTACCAGGAGGAAAGGCTAAATCTGCTGTTCTGCAAAGACTGCAGGTACTCCTTCCCCTAGGGGCTCAGGCCCAGGGAGATCCAGGTTCTGTCCGGGAGCCTCTGGCTGGAGTTATTGGAGTTCCTGCAGGGAAGCCTCACCCAGTAAGGATGAGTCAGGGTCACGCCTGAAGAGGCACTCTGGCCAGTCTGCCACAGCCAGTGTGTTGGGCTGTGGGGGAACATGTCTTGGGACCAAGTTGTCCAGTCTCCCTGGCTTCAGCAGGGTAAAAGCACAGCCTGGAGCTATAGAGATGAATGCCGCCCTTCCCCCACCCAGGGAGCTTAGCGTGTTAGGCAGTTGTGAGTCCCGGTGCTGGCTTCTGCCCTTCCCCCAAGGAGCTCAAATGGCTTAGACAGCAGGCAGCCACAGCTGTGGTGCTGGTCACCCCTCCCCCCGGGAGCTCGGTAGGCTAAGCAGATTCCAGCTGCTAGACTGTTGAGAATATGCGCAGCTCTGGGGTGAGACACTAGGCGCCAGTGGCGTGGGTACACGAGTGTGATCTTTCGATTCATGGGTTGCACAGTTCCATGGAAAAAGCACGGTTTACCTGGCCAGGTAGCACACTCACTCACCACCTCCCTTGGCTGGGGGGTGGAGATTCCCCTGCCCTGTGTGGCTCTTAGGTGGGCCGCTGTGCTGCACTGCCCTTCCTTCCTCTCCACAGATCATGCCAGCCTCCTAGTCAGTTCTGATAAGACAATCTGGATACCTTGGTTGCCAGTGAAGGATTTACATGCTTATTATGGTTCTTTTTGATGGAAGCCTCTGATCACCACTGTTTCTAGTCTGCGATCTTGGCCTCACCCATTGGCCAGTATCTTAAACATTTGTGTAGAAGGTGAAGCAATTATGAATCAGGGACCCCAGGGTCACCACAGCTTTCAAGGAATGTGTAATGCTCTTTTTCTTTTATATAAACTAGAATTGATTTTACCAATCCAAAAGTCTGTGAAATATGCAAAATAAAATGAGTCCATGAAGTAAAGACAAAAATGATAACAAAAAATTTATATTCATTCATATTATTTGACTACCCATTATATTTAGCTTCAATACCAGCAAAATTTGCTATCCAATTAAACATATTAGATTTAAAACTACACAAAAACTCAGTATAAAACCATTTTTTAGAGACAACAGTATGTTTCATAATTTTTTCGCCCTGTGTTATCCATGAAAAGCACACTTACCACCTGCCTTTAATGTATCCTATTTTCCAACCTGTTTCCCAGTTTTTATCTAATAACAGTGATGTAACAGTATATGCTAAAAGCTTTACATGTACTATGTTATTATTTAATTTAGTGATCATCCCACTTTGCACATAAAATAATTGAGGCATAGAAAGTTAATATAGAAAAAAAGAATTTGAATCTATAAGTTGTACTGTATATAAAAGTTAACTCCAAATAGACCATAGATATAAATGTAAAACTTAAAACTATAAAATTGCCTGACCCAGCAGTCTTACTTCTCTGTGAACTCAGTGGAAGGGCGTAGCCTCCTGTTATCCCAGGAAATACCCAAACAGCAGGGCAGGTGACCCCGCCTACCCCCACCACTTGCAGCCAGACAGATGACAACTGCTAGAGCATCTGAACCAGCAGTTCTGCTTCTGTGTGAACTTAGCCAGAGGGCTCAGCCTCCTAATGTCCCAGGATATACCTGCATGGCAGGGAGGGCAACCCCACCCACACTCACCACTGGTAGCCAGGCAGGCAATGCTTGCTAGAGCTTGTAGCCCATAGAGCAGACCTGCTTCTATGGCAACTCAAAGAGTGCAGCCTCCTGTTGTCCTGGGAGACACCCAGAAGGTGGGAATCACCCCACCTATCCCTGCCACTGGTTGCCAGGAGGGCAACACCTTTTAGAGCTTCTGGCCCAGCAGTCCCACTTCTGCCTGAATTCTGCAGTCAGGCACAACCCCATGTTCTACCAGGAAGCACTTGGTCACCAGATTAGGGCTGACCTGGCAAGGATATAGCCTGTCCACAAAATGCAGTCCCTGCCTGAGGGAGCAGAACTTCCAGAACACCCAACAAAAGAAACATGGGTACAAAAACAGCTATCAAAGGATGCTCCTCCAAGACCCAGAAGCAGGCTAAAATAGAAGCCAGTTGACTGAGGCCACTTTATACCACAATCAAACCTCTAAAGGAATCAAAAAAGATAAAAGCAAAAAAACTCATCCAAAGGACAGCAACTTCAAAAATCATCAGCCCACACGGATGAGAAATAACCAGTGCAAAAACTCTGGCAACTCAAAAACTCAGTGTCTTCTTACCTCCAAATGATTGCACTAGTTCCCCAGCAATAATTCTTAACCAGGCTGAAATGGCTGAAATGTCAGAAGTAGAATTTAGAATATGAATAGGAATGAAGGTCATCAACACTTAGGAGAAAGTTGAAACCCAATCCAAGGAATCTAAGAAATACAATAAAATGATACAGGAGATAAAAAATTAAATGGCCATTTCAAGAAAGAGCCAACCTGAACTGAGCTAAAAAAATTCTCTTCATGAATTTCATAATACAATCACAAATATTAACAGCAGAAATGACCAAATTGAGGAAAGAATGTCCAAGTTTGAAGACCAATTCTCTGAAATAACAGTCACAATAATTTAAAAAATAAAGGAAAATGAAAAAACCTCTGAGAAATATGAGATTACATAAAGAGACCAAATCTATGTCATACTGTCAACCCTAAAAGAGAGGGAGAGAAAGCAAGCAACTTGAAAAACATATTTGAGGATATCATTGATGAAAATTTCCCCAACTTCGCTAGGGAAGCCAACATTCAAATCCAAGAAATGCAGAGAACTCCTATGAGATACTATACAAGAGACCACCCCCAAGCCACATTGTCATCAGATTATCCAAAGTTGAAATGAAAGAAAAATGGCTAAAGGCAACTAGGAAGAAGGGGCAGGCTGCCTACAAGGGAGCCCATCAGGCTAACAGCAGAGCTTTAGCAGAAACCCTTCAAGTCAGCATTCTTAAATAAAATAAATTCTAACCAAGAATTTCTTATCCAACCAAACTAAACTTCAAAAGTGAAGGAGAAATAAGATCCTTTTCAGACAAGCAAATGCTAAGGGAATTTTATTTCACCAGACTTGCCTTACAATGTGTCCTTAAGGGTCCTTGAGGGACTGCTAAATACGGAAAGAAAAGACAATTACTGGCTACTACAAAAACACACTTAAGAACGCAGACACAATAAAACAATACAATCAAGGCTGCATAATAACCAGCTAATAACATGATGACAGGTTCAAACCCACACATATAAATATTAACCTTGAATGTAAATGGGCTAAATGCCCCAATTAAAAGGCATAGAGTGGCAAGTTGAATGAAGAAACAAGACCCAATTGTATGCTGTCTACAGGAGACCCACTCCACATGCAGTGACACTTATAGGCTCAAAATAAAGGGAAAGAGAAAAATCTACCAAACAAACAGAAAACAGAAAAAAAGCAGGAGTTGATAATCTAATTTCAGACAAAACAGATGTTAAACCAGCAATGATCGAAAAAGAAAAGAAGGGCCGGGCGCGGTGGCTCACGCCTGTAATCCCAGCACTTTGGGAGGCTGAGGCGGGCGGCTCACGAGGTCAGGAGATCAAGACCATCCTGGATAACATGGTGAAACCCCGTGTCTACTAAAAATACAAAAAAATAGCCGGGCGTGGTGGTGGGCGCCTGTAGTCCCAGCTACTCGGGAGGCTGAGGCAGGAGAATGGCGTGAACCTGGGAGGCGGAGCTTGCAGTGAGCCAAGATCATGCCACTGCACTCCAGTCTCTGGGCGACAGAGCAAGACTCCATCTCAAAAAAAAAAAAAAGAAAGAAAAAGAAAAAGAAGAGCATTACACAATGGGAAACAGTTCAATTCAATAAGAAGATCTGACTATTGTACATATATATGCACCCAGCACAAGAGCACCCAGATTCATAAAGCATGTTCTTAGAGACCTATGAATAGACTCAGATAACCACAGAATAATAGTGAGAGACTTCCACACCCCACTGACAGTATTACAGATCACTGAGCCAGAAAACTAACAAAGATATTTGAGATCTGAACTTGATGTATGACCAAATGGGCCTAACAGACATCTCCAGAACACTTCATCCAAAGACAACAGAATACACATTCTTCTCATCTGCATATGGAACATACTCTAAAACCAACCACACAATCAGCCATAACACAATTCTCAGCAAATTTTAAAAAAAGAAACCGTGCCAAACACACTCTCAGATCACAGCACAATGAAAATAGAAAATAATGCTAAAAATATCACTCAACACCAAAAAATTACATGGAAATTAAACAACCTGCTCCTGAATGACTTTTGGGCAGCAATAAAGTTAAGGCAGAAACAAATTATTTGAAACCAATGAAAACAAAGATACAACATACCAGAATCTCTAGAACACAACTAAAGCAGTGTTAGTGTTAGGAGGGAAGTGTATAGTCCTAAAAACTCACATCAAAAAGTTATGAAAACTTCAAATTAACAACCCAGCACCACACCTAGAGGAACTAGAAAAACAAGAGGAAACCAACTCCAAAGGTAGCAAAAGACAGAGTTGAATGGAAGCAAACTGAGACATGAAAAACCATATGAAATATCAATGAATCCATGAGTTGGTTCCTTGAAAGAGCATAAATAAGATTGATAGACCACTAGCTACACTAATTTTTTTAAAAAAATAGAATATTCAAATTAAAAAATCAGAAATGACAAAAAGATATTACTACGAACACCAGAGAAATACAAAAAAAAAAAAAAAACCTTAGAGACCTCAGAGTCTAGTATGAACACCTCTATACACACAAACTAGAAAACCTAGAAGAAATGGATATATTCCTGGAAACATATGACCTCCCAAGACTGAACCAGGAAGAAATTGAATCCCTGAACACACTGATAATCAGTTTCAAAGTTAAATCAGTATAAAAAGCTTACCAACCAAAAAACCCCAGAACCTGGCCAGGCACAGTGGCTCACACCTGTAATCCCAGCACTTCGGGAGGCTGAGGCGGGCAGATCACTTGAGGTCAGGAGTTTGAAACAAGCCTGGCCAACATGGTGAAATGCCATCTCTACTAAAAATACAAAAATTAGCTGGGCGTGGTGACAGTTGGCTGTAATCCCACCTACTTGGGAGGCTGAGGCAATAGAATCACTTGAGCCCAGGAGGCAAAGGTTTCAGTAAGCCACAATCGCCCCACTGCACTCCAGCGTGGGTGACAGAGCAACACTTTATCTAAAAATAAATGCCCATAGCAGATGGACTTACAGCCAAATTCTACCAGATGTATAAAAAGAGCTGCTACCTTTCCTCCTAAAAATATTCCAAAAAACTGAGGTAAAGCAACTCCTCCCTAACTCATTTTATGAGGCCAGCATCATCCTGATACCAAACCTGGCAGAGACAAAACAAAAAAAAAGAAAACTTTAGGCTAATATCCTTGATGAATATTGATGCAAAAATCCTCAACAAAATACTAGCAAATTGAATCCAGCAGCACATCAAAAAGCATATTAATGATGCTCAAGTAGGCTTTATCCCTGGGATGCAAGGTCGGTTCAACATATGTAAATCAATAAATGTGATTCATCACATAAACAGAACTAAAGACAGAAACCATATGATTATCTCAATAGATGCAGAAAAGGCTTTTGATAAAATTAAACATTCCTTCATGTTAGAAACTCTCAATAAATTAGGTATTGAGGGAACATACCTTAAAATAGTAAGAGCCATCTCTGACAAACCCACAGCCAACATCATATTGAATGGGAAAAGCTGGAAACATTCTCCTTGAAAACCAGCTCAAGACAAGGATGTCCTCTTTCACCACTCCTATTCAACATAGTATTGGAAGTTCTGGGCTCAGAAATCAGGAAACAGAAAGAAATAAAAGGCATTCAAATAGAAAGAGAGGAAGTCAAACTACCCCTATTTGCAGATGACATGATCCTATATCTAGAAAACCCCATAGTCTCATCCCAAAAGCTCCTTAAGCTGATAAACAACTCCAGCAAAGTCTCAGGATACAAAATCAATATACAAAAATCAGTAGCATTTCTATACACCAACAACAACCAAACTGAGAGACAAATCAAGAATACAATCTCGGCCTC
Organism: Homo sapiens; assembly: GCF_000001405.40. Taxonomy (NCBI): domain Eukaryota; kingdom Metazoa; phylum Chordata; class Mammalia; order Primates; family Hominidae; genus Homo; species Homo sapiens. Next base: position 70,799,625 of record NC_000008.11, on the reverse strand, counting down.
GCACAGTGGCTCATGCCTGTAATTCCAGCACTTTGGGAGGCTGAAGCGGGCAGATCTCCTGAGCTCAGGAGTTCATGACCACCCTGGGCAACATGGTGAAACCCTGTCTCTACTAAAATACAAAAAAATTAGCTGGGCATGGTGGCACGCACCAGTAGTCCCAGCTACTCAGAAGGCTGAGGCACGAGAATCACTTGAGCCCCAGTGGTGGAGGTTGCAGTGATCCGTGATCGCACCGCAGCACTCCAGCTTGGGCTACAGAGTGAGACTCCGTCTCAAAAAAAATAAATAAATAAATGCAATCTCATTCACAATAGCCACAAAAAGAATAAGATGCTTAGGAATACAGCTAATAAAAAGGTGAAAAATCTCTACAATAAGAATTACAAAACACTGCTCAGAGAAATCAAAGCTGACCCAAACAAATGAAAAAAGCATTCCATGCCCATGGATAGGAAGAATCAATATTGTTAAAATGGCCACACTGCCTAAAGAAACCTACAGATTCAATGCTATTCCTATCAAACTACCAATAACATTCTTTACAGAAAATGAAAAAACTATTTTAAAATTTATATGAGACCAAAAAAAAGCTTGAACAGCCAAGGCAATCCTAAGCAAAAATAGCAAAGCTGAAGACACTACATTACCTGCCTTCAAACTATACTACAAGGCTTCAGTAACCAAAAGAGCATGGTACTGGTACAAAAACAGACACATAGACCAGTGGAACAGAAATAGAGAACTCAGAAATAAAGCTGTACCTCAACAACCATCTTATATTCAACAAAGTCAACAAATACAAGCAATGGGAAAAGGACTCCCTATTCAATAAATGCTGCTAGGATAACTGGCTAGCCATGTGCAAAAGATTGAAGCTGGACCTCTTCCTTACACCATGTACAAAAATTAACTCAAGAAGGATTGTAGATGTAAATGTAAAACTTTTATACAAACCCTGGAAGATGACCTAGGAAATACCATTCCAGACATAGGTCCTGGCAAAGATTCCATGACAAAAACCTCAAAAGCGATTGCAACAAAAACAAAAGTTGACAAATGGGACCTGATTAAACTGAGGAGCTTCTGCAGAGCAAAAGAAATTGCCAACACAGTAAACGGACAACCTACAGAATTGGAGAAAATATTTGCAAACTGTTTACCCAACAAATGGCTAATACCCAGAATCTATAAAAAACTTAAATTAACAAGCAAAAACCAAACTACCTCATTAAAAAATGGGCCAAGGACATGAAGAGACACTTCTCAAAAGAAGGCAAATGTGACAAACAAGCATATGAAAACATGCTCAACATCACTAATCATCAGAGAAATGCAAACCAAAACCACAATGAGATACTACCTCACACCAGTCAGAATGGATATTATTAAAAAGTCAAAAAAATAACAGATGTAGGCAAGGTTGCAGAAAAAAAAAGGAACACTTATACACTGCTGGTAGTAATGTAAACAGTTCAGCCATTGTGGAAAGCAGTGTGGCAATTTCTCAAAGAACATAAAACAGAACTACCATTCAAACCCAGAAATCCCATTACTGAGTATATATCCAAAGGAATATAAATCATTCTACCATAAAGACACATGCACTTATATGTTCATTGCAGTGCTATTCACAATAGCAAAGACATGGAATCAACCTAAATGCTCATCAATAATAGACTGGATAAAGAAATGTGGTACATACACACCATGGAATACTATGCAGCCACAAAAAAGAACAAAATCATATCCTTTGAACCAACATGGATACAGCCGGACATCATTGTCCTAAGCAAACTAATGTAGAAACACAAAACCAAATACCACATATTCTCACTTATAAGTGAGAGCTAAACACTGGTTACACATGGACACAAAGAAGGGAACAACAGACACCAGGGCCTCATTGAGGGTGGAGGTTAGGGGAGTGAAGATGGAAATACTACCTATTGGGTACTATGCCAATGAAATAATCTGCACACCAAATGTCCATGACACAAAATCTACCTATTTCACACACCTGCACATTGTACCCCTGAACCTAAAATAAAAGTGAAAAAAAAAAATCTGCAGTTATTGTAGCTATGAGACCAAGGGCTGCTAAAAGTTAAAGATTATATATGTAGCTTTGGGATCATATCTGATAAGAGTTGAAGAAGAAGGAATATTTTTATCAAAATTTAAAAATTAGATGATTCAGTTCAAAAGGTTGAATCCACATGCAAATCCAAGTAGAGGCGGGCACTTAGAAGAAAGGCCACACCTAAGCTAAAGTGCGGAGGAGGTAAAAATTGTCTTGGTATCCTCCTGCTTTTCTTGTTCATGTGCCTGTCCTTTCCCAGGTACTCTCAGCCAGGTGACACCCTCTACTCTCCACACTACCTCTCCACCTAAAATGTGCATGTGTGTGTGTGCGCACACCCCTCACTCTGACTGTTACCTCATTTTTTAAAATCCTTGCTGAAGCATTAACTGATAAAACAACAGACTGAAGTGTTAGTTGAAAAGGGATTCATGTGTGAACTTTCCCACCTTGCATTTTGACAGAGGTCTCCTAAAAATCCAGCAACCACTATTTGAACCCAATAAATGGAGGTTTAATGCTGCAGGTGCTAACTGGGGTCACAGGATCCTGTCTCCAATTACCTTTCAGAAGGGTAATTTTTTTTGTTCACAAGGCCAGTACAGTCTGGAAGGGTCAATACACACATATCTGCCACTGTCATGTTTGTCTTCTTAAGCCTGTAACCTAAAGGCATAATATATGTTATGTTAGGGTTGAGAAGGAACAATTTAAGTGTTCATTCAACAAATATGTATTAAGTGGTTACTATGTGCTAGGCCTAGCAGTATGTCCTGTGTCTCTAACATTCTTTCTTTTAAGTAACACACAGTATTTAATTTTAAAATGAAGCTGGTATTCTATTGACATTTCTTTAAATTTACCTTACAGTGATATGCTTTACAAATGTCAAATTAGTCAATAAATTTTGTAACATTATTAGAGTTACAAAAGAGAGATTTCAAGTCAATAATCTAACTATAAAAAACAGAGCTGAAGTTAATTAAAACAAACGAAAAAGAAAATCAATGAAGCCAAAAGTTTGTACTGTGAAAAAATAAACAAAGTAAACCAACCTTTAGCAAGATTGACAAAAAGAAAGAAGACTCAAATTACTAAAATGATGAAGAAAAAAGGAAATGTTACTGCTGAACATACACAAATATAAAAGATTATAAGGAAAAACAATGAACAATTGTAAAGAAACAAATTAGATAACTTAGATAATATGGGAAAGTGCCCAGAAAGGAAGACATTACCAAAATTGACTCAAGAAAAAATTCAAAATCTGGTACATATGAACAAAGAGAAGGGAATAACAGGCACCAGAGCCTAGTAGAAGGTGGAGGGACAGAGGATGGTAAGGATTGAAAAACTACTTCTTGTACTATGCTTATTACCTGTGTGGTAAAATAATCTGTACACCAAACCCCTGTGACATGCAATTTTCTGTCAAAAAACCTGCACATGTACTCCTGAACATGAAACAAAAACTAAAAAAAAAAAAATCAAAATCTCAATAGACCTATAACAAGAAAAGAAATTGAGTGAGTAATCAAAAAACTTTCCACAAAGAAAGGTCTAGTACCAAATGACTTAACTGATAACTTCTACCAAATGTTGAGTGAACAGACAACCTACAGAATGGGAGAAAGTTAGACCTTTGTCAGATGCAAATTATGCATCCAGCATCTATAAGGAACTTAAACAAATTTGCAAGAAACAAAACAAACAACTCCATTAAAAAGTGGGCAAAGGGCATGAACAGACAGTTTTCAAAAGAAAATATACATGCAGCCAAAAACCGTATGAAAAAAAAACTCAACATCAGTGATCATTAGAGAAATGCAAATCAAAACCACAGTGAGATAGCACTTCACACCAGTCAGAATAACTATTATTAAAAAGTCAAAAAATAACAGATGCTGACAAGGTTATGGAGAAAAAGGAACACTTATACACTGTTGGTGGGAGTATAAATTAGTTCAACCATTATGGAAGACGTTGTGGTGATTCCTCAAAGACCTAAACACAGAATTACCATGTGATCCAGCAATTCCATTACTGGGTATATACCCAAAGGAATATAAATTTTTCTATCATAAAGACATGTGTGGACATGTGTCCATATGTTCATTGTGGCATGATTCACAATAGCAAAGACATGGAATCAACCTAAATACCCATCAATGGTAGACTAAATAAAGAAAATATGGTACATATACACCACGGAGTACTATGCAGCTATAAGCGAGATCCTATCCTTTGCAGGAACATGGAAGAAGCTGAAGGCCATTATTCTTATCAAACTAACACAGGAACAGAAAACCAAATATCGTATGTTCTCACTTACAAGTGGGAGCTAAATAATGAGAACCTATGAACACATAGAGGAGAAAAACACACACTGGGGCCTATCAGAAGGTGGAGGGTGGGAGGAGGGAGAGGATCAGGAGAAATAACTAATGGGTACTAAGCTTAATACCAGTATGACAAAATAATCTGTACAATAAACCCCCATGACACAAGTTTATCTATATAGCAAACCTGCCCTGAACTTACAAGTTAAATTAAAAATAATAATAAACAACAACAAAAAGAATAATTAACGTTAATTCTTTACAAACTCTTCCAGAAAACAGAAGAGAATCAAAACTTTCTAGTTTATTGTGTGAGGATAGTATTATCCTGATAACAAAATTAGACAAATATACCACACACACACACACACACACACACAAAAGAAGACTACAAGCAATTATATCGTACGAATATAGACACAAAAATCCTTAACAAAATACTAGCCAATCAAACAAACAAAATAAAAAGGAGTAGACACCATATAAGACACCTGGAATAAGTAGGACTTATTCCAGGAATAAAGGTTGGTTCAACATTCAAAAATCAGCCAATATAATGCACCATATTAATAGAATGACAGTTTAAAACTACACACACTCATGATCATATCAACAAAGAAAAATCATTTGAAAAAATCCATCAACTCTTCATTATAAAAGCATTCAACAAACTAGGAAAACAGAACTTTCTCAATCTAATAAAGGTCATATGAAAAACCTATAGCTAACATCAAAATTAATGGTGAAAGACTGAAAGCTTTCTGCCTAAGGTAAGAAGTAAGAGAAGGATGCTAATTCTCACCACTTCTAGTCAACATTGTACTGGAAATCCTAGCCAAGGTAATTAGGCAAGAGAAAGAAATAAAAGGGATCCAGATTGAGAGGGAAGGAATAAAACTATCTCTATAGGTAGATGGCATGATCTTAACTGTAAAAATCCTAAAATACTAATAAAAACCTGTTAGAACTAATAAATGAGTTCAGCAAAGTTGAAGAATACAAGGCCAGTATGCAAAAATAAGTAGTATTTCAACACACTGGCAATGAACAACCTAAAAGTGAATTTAAGGAGACAAATTCATTTATAAAGGCATCAAACAAAAATAAAACACAAAGTTGTCATTTAACATAAGATGCACAAAAACTGTACACTAAGAATTACAAAACTTCATTGAAAGAAATTAAATATCTCTGCTTTTATTTTAGTAAATGGATAGATATCCTGTGTTCATGGATTTGAAGACTTAAATTGTTAAGCTACTCCCAAATTGACTTAGTGATTCAATGCACTCACTATCAAAACTTCAACTGACTTTTTGACAGAAATGGAGAGCTGATCCTAAAATTCTACGAAATTATAGGAGTTCCAAAACAGGCAAAGAAATCTTGAAAAAAAAAGGGACAAAGTTAGAGAACTCACACTTCCCAATTTTAAATTCTACTACAAAGCTACAATAATCAAGACAGTGTGGAACTGACATAAAGATAAATATATATTAGTGGATTATAATTGTAAGTCCAGAAATAAACCTATACATCTATGATCAATTGGTTTTAGATGAGAGTGCTGTTATAGTCCATCTTCTGTTGCTTATAATCAAACACCTGAAACTGGGTAATTTATAAAGAAAAGGGATTCATTTCTTTGGAAGCTGAGAAGTCCAAGGTCAAGGGACCACATCTGCTGAAGGTATTTGTGCTAGTGGGGTGTACTCTGCAGAGTGCCAAGATGGCCAAGTGCATTACATGGCACAGGAGCTGAGCATGCTAGCTCAGGTCTCTCTTCCTCTTTTTATAAATACACCAGTCCAATTCCCAAAATAACTCATTAATCCATTAATCCATTGATTAATGTATGTATTAATTCATTCATGAGGGCAGAGCCTTCATGACCCAATCACTTCTTAATGACCTCACCTCTCAATACTTCCATATTGAGGATTAAGTTTCAACATGAGTTTTGGAGGGTACAAACACCCAAACCCTAGCATGTTCCAGAAGCATTCTATGAGAGAAGAATGCTCATTTTAATAAATGGCAAGAGAAGGCTAATATCTATATTCAAAAGAATGAATTTGAATGCCTACCTCACACCATATACAACACTGAAGTCAAAATGGTTCAAGGATCTAAACAGAAGAGCTTACACTAAAACAGTCTTAGAAGAAAACATAAGTGTAAGCCTTTGTAATTGTCTTAGTCCATTCATGTTAAAACAAAAATTCTAAAAATTAGGTGGCCTGAAATAACAAACATTTATTTCTAATAGTTCTTGAAGCTGGAAAGTCCAAGATCAAGTAGATTCAGTCTACGATGAGGGCTTCTTTTCTGGTACATAGATAGCTTTCTTCTCACTGTGTTCTCACACGGTAGAAAGGCTGAGAGAGCTTTCTGGGGTGTCTTTTATAAGGAGACAAATTTGATAAGCTTGTTTCAGTGATTATAATTTTTCTTCTTTGCAACTTTTGGTAATGTTGGCCATTCCCTCCTTGAAGCCTTCTTGCTTCTCAGAAACCTTCTATCATTTCTTCACTGCCCCCACACCCATCTCTTTCCACTCTTCTAGAGAATAGCCTTGTCAGGCTCCTTAAAGCCCTGTCTAGCACTAACTGCTTCTTATGTCAGTGTTCCAGAGTTGTGGGCTCAGTGTTTTTCACTCCATAGTTCATTTCTTTCTTTTGTTGACTGATTGATTTCCTCATTTATTCATCATCTGGCACAGTACATGACACCCTGAAGCAAATTCTTGTGACTCAAAACTCAGCTTCAAGGTCATTTCCTCAGGGAAGACTTCTCTTAACTACTACAGATATAGCCCAGCTCAGTTCAACTTTGAGGCAACTCACGCCTGAGGATCTTGGTACTTATCCCTGCTCTAAAACTTTCCCCACTGTTGTAATGATTGTCTGAGATTCCACCACTAGACTCTGAGCCCTTGGAGATAGGAATGATTTTCTAGTAATTTTTGTTTCCCCATAATGCCCAGAAAAAGAAAAAGAGTCTATTAGTGTTAATTGAATAAATTAAAATATTTTGTAAGCTATTGTACTCTGCATGATTAGTGTTCCAAAATTAGAGAGATATCCTTTATCTCTAAATTGCAAAAACACTTGGAAGAAAGAACACTGAAGATCGAATAACTGATCCTTTCTTAAGGACAGGCTTGGACAGAGGAGAAGTGTGTGGTAGGAAACAGTGAAAACAGGGACTCCCTCAAACAGACACGTGCCCAAAGCCTGGCTTACTTACTTACTAAGTCACTTGGCCCCTCTGAAATTCAGTTTCTATAGAAATTCTTGTAGAGTTTATAAATGAAGGGGGTAAATCACTTAAAATACTGAGACTTAGTAAACCCTAATAAATTTTAGGTATTGTTGCTGAATTTTATACAATCCAAAAATTCATCAGTGTCTTAGTCAGTTCTGTGAAGCTATAACAGAATACCACAGACTGAGTAACTCAGACAGAAATTTATTTGCTCACAGTTCTGGAGGCTGGGAAGTACAAAATTGAGGGGCTAGCATCTGGTGAGTGCTTTCTTGCTGCATAACTCCATGGCAACAGGGTAAAGAGAGTAAAAGAGAGTGGTGGGGGAAAGAGAAAGAAAGAGGGATGGAAAGAACAAGAAAGAAGTATTTAACTCATCCTTTTATAAGGAAGGAACCCACTCCCACAATATAACATTAATCCATTCATAAGGGCAAAGCCCTCGTGGCCTAATCACCTCTTAAAAGTCCTACTTCTTAATATTATTACAATGACAATTAAATTTGTACATGGGTTTGGAAAAAGATAAACATTCAAATCATATTAATCATTTTTTAATCCATACTTTGTGTACTGCTAAGAAAAATATGCCATTGATTGAAAGACCCATTCTTTTTTTTTTTTAAGTGAGATGAGGGCTCACTCTGTTGTTCAGGTTGGTCTTGAACTCCTGGGCTCAAGCAATCCTCCCCCTACCTCAGCTTTCCAAAGCGCTGGGATTACAAAGCCAAGATGCCTGGCCAAAAGACCCATTCTTATTTCAGAAGTGCGGAAGTATTCATGGAATAGATTACAGAATCAATAAAATCCCTTACTGCTGTTGCTATGGCCTGAATGTTTATATCTCACCCCTGAAATTTATGTTTAAATCCTCCCCCAATTCCCAAGGTGATGGTGTTAGGAAGTAGGATCTTTGGGAGGTAATTAGGTCATGAGGACTCTGACCACGTGAATGGGATTAGTGCCCTCATAGCAGAGGCCTGAGTGAGCTGTTTGCCCCTTCCACCATGTAAGGACACAGCAAGAAGGCACCATTTATAAGGAAGCAGGACCTCATCAGATACCAAATCTGCCAGCACCTTGATCTTTGATTTTCCAGTTCCAGAACTGTGAGCAATAAATTTCCGTTGCTAATAAGCCACCCAATTTATGGTATTTTGATATAGGAATCCAAAAGTACTAAGACAATTATGCCTTACAGGAAAAAACAAAATTGCAGAGGATAAAGACTAGACTGTAAGAGGTTATTTTGGGGACTCTGAGATAGGAGAAGTTAGTACTATCATATAATATATACTAGGATATAAAAAGGCAAACATCCTCTCCCCATTTCTTTCATTTCAGATGCAAGGTGCTGGACATTGGAACCCTGCTGCATGCAAAGGAAGATGAAAAGACACTGTAATTAATGTGAACCATCCTCTCATGAACAGACATTTACGGAACTAAAGGGGAGTCAGAGCATTTCAAGGTATGAACTCATTAAAACTAAGCTTCTCTGAAATGAGAATGACTAAGTACAAAATATCTCATGCAACTGATAACTTGTTTTTTAGACAATTAAAAATATGAAAAAGAAACTAACTTCTAATACTTTTATATATTCAATACTTTTAAAGGCACATTTTCATATAAATTAGTGAAGTTTTGGACCTACTTTCAACTTGTTCCCCCACTTTGGCATTCTATCACATCAAATCACAGTAGTGTACAGGTCTCCTCTTTGGAATTTTGAAACTCAGTGTGAAATATAAGAGCACTATTTTAGATGAAAGTAAAGATCTTGCTATAAGAAACAGCCGAAGTAATCAATTCTTTTTAATCACAGGGCTAAGATGAGTCCTTTAGTAGATAATCTGTGACATGAGGCCAAAAAAAAAAAAAAAAAGAAACAATTGTCAAAGGTGACTGGGACAATGAGCACAGTGAGTATAGCTGTTCTTATCTCTGGAGACTAGAGCGCTCATGTGGATGGAGCATTAGTCAAAAATTGGGGTGGTGAATGCAATTGTTGCTAATGGTTACTCCATAGCAATATATAATGGAGTATGATTGGCATTGGCATTGCCTGCCAAACAAGAGATGCTGGACTATAATTAGAATGTTGGTGCTCATCAAAATGCAGTAAAACAAGAACAGTAATTACTTAAACCTGAACCTACATTCCACAAGATGACTTTGCTTTTTAAATTATTTATTCTGTTTTATTAACTAAAAAAAAACTATAGGTCATGAAAAATTAAGATCCCATAGAGTAGAAAGATGAGATGAGTCTGAGATTTCTATATAATGGCCAATATTTAGAAAAGTGTAAATTTCAATGAAAATCACTGCAGAGTGTTTGTCTTACTCAAAAACAGATTTCCTTTTGCTAATAGTTACCTCCTCATCTCTACTTCATTCTTTTGTACCACTGTGTCTGCATTGAGACAGAGCTGACCACCATACCATAATATCAACAAAGAAATGACTTACAGGCTTGAACTGGAGCTTTCTGTTCTCTGAGAATGATTGATGATTGTGCAGTTATCAAAGTTCTCTTTGTAGATGAAGTTGAATCCAGCCTTGCATATTTTCTTTTGAATTTTTCAAAGCTTCCTATATGTATGAAGATTTAGGTAAACCACAATCATTCTAACATTTCTAACATATTCTTCGTGGTCTCCTAGGCCTTAATTCTAAAGAATTGAATTAAATTTTTAAAAATTACACTTAATTTTTTCTTTTTCTTATACTTACTATACACAGTATAGATATTTCCCTTCAGACCTAAGTTACACGTAAACTGTGTTTTGTTGTTTGTTGTAAATGAAATTGGCAAGAAATAGAAAAGGACCATTCTAGTTAGTCATGAGATCACTGGTGATGTAAATTAGTTTGATTAAATAGCATTTTTGAAAAACTAAATTATAATGGTCCTCATAAGGAACTTCACTATATTTTCTCATATTTGATAGATGAAACAAGGATTAGTCCAGTAGTCAATCAGCAAGCATACAACAGGATATGGACCTAAAATGTTCAGATTTTAGTTTGTTTCACATATGACCCACATTTATATGTATAGCCCCAACACACTCTCACATCCAGGCCTTCCAACGCACTTGCAGAAATGTAATTTTTAGTACATTTTATAGATCAGGTCAAATTTTTGTTAAACATTATCTTGTAACATTTGCTTTTACCTGATGGAGTTTAATTCTTCCCACTAGCAGGTTAGGCAACTCCAAAAAGCTATACTTTCTAGAAGTTATATACATAAGCTAAATTGAAGTATGGCTTCATAAATCATAGATATCTAACTTTTTAATCACTGTTTGAAACTATATATGCTATTGCTTTTATAATTACCATGTTACATAAGTGTAAATAATTCAGTACAGACTTGGATATTTAATTTATGAACATCTGCGCTGGTTAAGCTTGCCTGCAAAGTCTTTCAATGATTCAGTGTAAAAATTATTCAATGTAATGTTGCTTGAACATTTCATACAACTTTGCTGGCCCACCTGCCCAACGGTAGCAACCATACTTGTATGACATACTTGTATTGCATAGCAAGAATGCTCCACGATGTTGTAAAACATCAACAGAAAACAGAAAAAGTTGCAACAACTGACAATTATTTCTGTGTCTGTTACAACCTTATGAGCTAACAACTAACACTTAATAACATCAGACATGGAGCTATGCACAATTCATGTACACTAACCCCATTCTCAGAACTACGTTGTAGGGTTGGTGCTATTATTTACCACAGGAAACTGTGCAACAGACATAATCACACAGAACTGATCAGTGGAGGAGTCAAGGTTTGAACTCTGGTCAGCTGGTCTTACCACTGTGTAACTATTAATGATAACTGAAATTAATTAAGTTATTTATCATTGAATTGGTTGAAGTTTGGATATTCAAAATATTAGACTTTTTTCTTCAGTTAACTTAAGGTCAAAGTTAAGTTACCGTTAGTCACAAATGATACTATGTCATGGACCTATTCCTCTTAATTTTTTTTTATTTGCTTATTTTCAAGACACTCAAAATGTTTTATTTCAGCCTTGACCAAATACCTTAATAATCCTTTCACTAAAAATCATTAATCTAGAAAAATTGCCTTAGACTTTCTCCAAATAGTATTGAATAATGCTAGTCAAAATGTATCATGTAGATACCTAGTGCAACATTTTGTAAAGCAAACTGTACTTAAATAAACACAGACTTGGTTTGTCTGTGTAAAAACTGTATTTTCTGCTAGCTGCATAAAATGGACCACAGCCATGGAGGTGTATTCTCTTCTGTAGCGTTTTAAATATGCTCAGTAACCAGATTAACAAAGCACTGTTACGTAAGTTTATCTTCTTGCTTCTCATTTTATTCTGGTGGAATGCACTGTGTACTCAGGACTATGCTAAAGCACCTAAACACTGCAACCCCGTTCACTCTCCTCAGGTCCTGGGTTTCTAGACTTAATTTCTTCTCCCAACATTTGCCATTATCCATGATGATATTTCCAAGCCTATTTTGCATTGAAGATTTACAGCAAATAATTCTTAACTGAGTCACCCACTAGGGTGGTCTTTTGAGAAAAACAACTGTTCCAGCATTATCCCCTAAAATTTTCTCCAGGGTTACTTTTAGAGAAACATATTTAAAAATTCAAACAGGTGATCAGTATCATTATTCTTACTTCTTTAAAAAAATTCTTGTCTGTATGTAAACAAGCAGCAGAATTTGTTTTCAGTGAAAGCATTTGGCTACAACATGGAGATACAGGATGTTATTGAACAATTTTGCTAATCATATCTGTGCAATAATAAATTTCTCTCTTCCATTCTCTTAACTAAACAAGCTTTGCTCCAGGATTAGTTCTAAACTTAAAGACTTTGCATGATTGCCTAATTTTGGAAGAATGTAGTTAATATCTCGTTCCAAGAGTCTACCTGAGCTACTCACAGCCATATTCGAAAACACATTTTGGTAACCACAAACCAAAAATACTTAATAGAAACACAAAACAAAAATAGAAAAGATTCAAAGCATACTACTACAGAAAAACCATCAACCACGAAGGAAGACAGTAAGACAGGAGGAAAGAACAAATGTATATCCAAAACAACAAGAAAGTAACTAACAAAATGGCAGTAGTAGGTCCTTACCTAATGATAATTTCCCTGAATGTAAATGGATTAAATTCTCCCATAAAAAGACACAAAGTCACTGAATGGACTGAAAAAACAAGACCCAACTATATGCTGCATACAAAAGAATAATGGCACACACAAATACACTGAAAGTGAAGAAATGTAAGAAGACATTCCATGCAAGTGGAAACCAAAAGAGTAGTGTTAGCTATACTTATATCCAATAAAACAGACTTTGTCAAAAACTGTAAAAAGAAGCAAAAAAAGGACATTATGTAATGATAAATGGGTCAATTTATCAAGAAAATATAACTGTAGGTATACATGTACCCAACATCAGAGCATCTAAATATATAAAACAAATATTAAAGGGTCTGAAGGGAGAAATAAATCACAATTCAATAATTATAGAAGATTTCAGTACCCCCACTTAAAACAATAAATAGATCATCCATACAGAAAATTAATAAGGAAACATTAAACTTGAAAAATATTTTAGACTAAATGGATCTAACAGACATACATAGAATATTCCATCCAACAGCAGCAGAATACACATTGTGTTGAAGTGCACACAAAATATTCTCCAGGATAGATCACATGTTAGAGCACAAAACAAGCCTCAGCATATTTAAGAAGACTGAAATTATATCAAGTAGTTTTTCCAACCACAATGTTATAAAAATAGAAATCAATACCAAGAAAATTTCAGAAAATTAACAAATACATGGAAATTAAACAACATGGTCCTGAACAACCAATGGGTCACCGAAGAAATTAAAAGGGAAATTTAAAACTATCTTGGAAGTCCAGGTATGGTGGCTCACACCTGTAATCCCAGCACTTTTGGAGGCTGAGGTGGAAGGACTCCTTGAGCCCAGTAGTTCAAAGTTGTAGTGAGATATGATCATGCCACTACAGCCCAGCCTGGGAGACAAATGACATAGAAAATATATAAATATAGATAAATATAAATTTAGGTATGTTGTATGTAAGTATATATACATACATATATATATACATATATACACATATATACATATATATATATATATAGAGAGAGAGAGAGAGAGAGAGCAAAAAAAAGTAAATACAACACACCAAAACTTATGGGATACAGCATAAGCAGTTCTAAGAGGAAAATTTATACTAATAAATTCCTATGTTATAAAAGAAGAAAGATCTCAAATAAACAACTTAACATTCTACCTCAAAGAGCTATAAAAAAAGAAGAAACTAAACCCAAAGCAAGCAGAAGGAAAGAGATAATAAAGATCAGAGGAGAAATAAATAAAATGGAGACTAGAAAAACAATTTAATTGTTTAATTGTTAATCAATGAAAATGAGTTGATTTTTTAAAAAGATAAAATTGGCAAACTTTCAGTTAGACTGATTAAAAATAGAAGATTCAAATAAATAAAATCAGAAATGAAAGAGGAGACATTACAACTGATATCACAGAAATAAAAACGATCATAGGAGACTACTATGAATAATTATACATGAATAAATTGGATAAACTAAAAGAAACTGATAAATTCCTAGACGCATAAAATCTACCAAAAGTGAATAATGAAGAAATAGAAAATCTGAAGAGACCAATAATTAGTAAGGAGATACAATCAGTAATAAAAAGTCTCCCATCAAAGAAAAGCCTAGGACCTGATGACTTCACTGCTGAATTCCACAAAACATTTAAAGAACTAATACCAACCCTTCTCAAAGTCTTCCAAAAAAATCAAAAAAGAAGTAACACTTCCAAACTCTTTATGAGGCCAGCATTATCAATAAATGTGATACATCACATTAACAGAATGAAGAAGAAAAATCATATGATCACCTGGTAGGTGTAGAAAAAGCATTTGATTAAATTCGACATCCTTTCATGATTAAAAAAAAAAAAATCTCACCAAATTAGGTATAGAAGAAATGTATCACAACACAATGAAGTCCATATATGAGAATCCTACAGCTAACATACTCAATGATGAAAAATTGAAAGCATTTCCTCTAAGATCTGGAACAAGACAAGGATGCCTATTCTTACCATTTCTATTCAACATAGTATTGCAAGTGGTTGCCAGGGAAATTAAGCAAGAGAAAGAAATAAAAGGCATCCAAATAGAAAAGAAAGAAGTAAACCTGTCACTGTTTGTTGATGCCATGATCTTATATATAGAAAACCCTACATACTCTACCAATAAAAAAAAAAATCTGCCAGAACTAATAAATACAGTAAAGTTGCAAGGTACAAAATCAACGCACAAAAATCAGTAGCATTTCTACACACTAACAACAAACTAACCAGAAAGAATTAAAGAGAACAATCCCACTTACAATAGGTACAAAAAAAGGAATAAATTTAACTAAAGAGGTAAAAAAAATCTGTACACTAAAAACTATAAAAAAATCATGAAAGAAATCAAAGAAGACACTAATAAATTAAAAGATATTCCACATTCATGGATTGAAAGAACTAATAGTGTGAAAATGTCCATATTACACAAAGTGATCTATAGAGTCTATGCAATCTCTATCAAAATTCCAGGGTCATTTTTACATAGAAATGGAAAAAATAATCCTAAAATCTGTATAGAACCACAAAAGACACTGACTAGGCAAAGCAATCTTGAGCAAAAGGAACAAAGCTGGAGGCATCACACTACCTGACTTCAAAATCCACTACAAAGCCATAGTAATCAAAACAGCATAGTACTGGCATTAAAGTAGACATATAGAACAGCAGAACAGAAGAGAGATCCCAGAAATAAACTCATGTATATATGGTCAATTGATCTCCCACGAAGGTGCTAAGGACACGCATTGGAAAAAGACAGTCTCTTCAATAAATGGTGTCGGGAAAATTGAATGTCCACATGCAGACTAAATTGAACCCTTATCTCAAATCATATACAAAAATCAACTCAAAATGGATTAAAGACTTACATATAAGACTAGAAAGTGTAAAATTACTAGAAGAAAACATAGGAGAAAAACTATAAAACATTGATCTGAGAAATGATTAATGTATTTGACCTCAAATGCACAGCCAAGTAAAGCAAAAATTGTGAAATTGGATTACATCAAACCAAAAAGCTTCTGCACAGCAAAGAAAACAATTAACAGTGTGAGAGAAAATATACAAATTGGGAGAAAATATTTGCAATCCATATATCCAATAATTGGTTAATATCCAAAATATACAAGGAGCTCAAACAACTCAGTTAAAACTCAGCAAAAAAACAAAAAACTCAGTTAAAAAATGGGCATGGGGCCTAAATAGACTTTCTCAAAAGAAGACATACACACTTTGGGCCAAGGCAGGCAGATCACGAGGTCAGGAGATCGAGACCATTCTGGCTAACACGGTGAAACCCCATCTCTACTAAAAATACAAAAAATTAGCTGGGTGTGATGGCAGGTGCCTGTAGTCCCAGCTACTTGGGAGGCTGAGGCAGGACAATGGCGTGAACCCAGGAGGCAGAGCTTGCAGTGAGCCAAGATCATGCCACTGCACTCCAGCCTGGGCGAGAGTCAGACTCCGTCTTAAAAAGAAAAAAAAAAAAAAGACATACAAATGGCCAACAGACATATTTTTTAAATGCTTAATATTGCTAACCATTAGGGAAATGCAAGGTAAAACCACAAGAAGGTAGCATTTCACACCTGTTAGAATGACTATTATAAAAATGATGAAAGATAAGTATTGGCAAGAATGTGACAAAAAGGGAACCCTTGGTGGTTCAACCTTCTATTATTGCTAGGAATGTAAATTAGGACAGCTATTAAGGAAAACTGTATGGTTTCTCAAAAAACTAAAAATAGATTTACCATGATCCAGCAATCCCACTTCTGAGTATTTACCCAAACAAGGTCAAATCAGTTGGTAGAAGAGGTGTTGGCAGTCCTACATTTATTGCAGCACTATTCACAATAGCCAAGTTATGGAATCAAGTAAAATGTCCATCAACAGATGAACAAATAAATAAAATGTGGTCTACATACGCAGTAGGATACTATTCAGTCTTTTAAAAAGAAGAAAATCTTATCATTTCTGAAAACATGGATGGAATTGGAGAACATTATCCTAAGTGAAATAAGCCAGGCAAAGAAAGACAAATCCTGCATGTACTCATTTATATGTGAAATCTAAAACAATCAAACTTATAGAAGCAAAGAGTAGAATGGTGGTTACAGAGGTTAGGGGTTGGGAGAGATGGGAAGATTATGATCAAAAGGTACAAAATCTCAAGCAGAAGGAATAAGATTATGGTCAAAGGGTAAAAAATCTCAGAAGGAATTTTTTTTTACAACTGTATGCAGCGTAGTGCATACAGTTTTAGAGTAATGTACATTTCTAAACTAAGGGTACATTTCAAATATTCTCATCACAAATATGTTAAGTATTTGAAGTGATGGATATGTTAACTAGCTCTATTTAATTATTTAACATCATATTCATAAAACGTAATATCACTTTTTATTCCATAAATGTATACGATTATAAATTGTCAATTTACAATAAAAAATAAAAATAAAATGCACACCAGAAAGCATACTGCAGAGGGAAAGACTAAACCCGAGAATAGCAAAGCAACTAATTTAAAGTCTTTCAAAGAGTCTAAGATAGCAGCTGTGCTGCTTCACATTCCTACATGTTTCCATCAGACTTTGAAGTTCAACCTAAGTCCAGGTGATAGTGACAGCCTCTGCAGGACTTGGAAGCCAGTAAAGAAAGACTTTACTCAGGACATTTGGGAGCAGAGGTCTGGAGCTTATAATTTACAATCATAGTTGTGTATGTAAGTGTGTCTTGTAAAGTTCTAACCACATACCAAGGGCTTTTCTTTGTTTTCCTAAATCCATAGTGTAAATCATAGAACACAAGTGCTATAAGTAATTCAATGAACAATTTTCCCCCAGTAATCCGCATAAATATTTTATGGAACTAATCTTTCTTTTATTTTTTCAGAACACACTTTTTGAGAAAGCTTGTTCTAAATGTCTATCAAGAGTATACTCTTTGGATAAATGAGCTGAATAGACAACTCTCAAAAGAAGACATACAAAGTGCCAACAGGTATATTAAAAAAATGCTCAACATCAGTAATTATCAGGGAAATGCACATCAAAACCACAATGAGATCTCATCTCACCCCAGTTAGAATGGCTATTATCAAAAAGACAAAAAATAACAAATGCTGGCAAGGATTGAAAGAAAAGGGAACTCTTTTTTTTTTTTTTGGAGATGGGGTCTCACTCATAGAAAAATAATAAATGTTTGAGTTAATGGATATGCTGATTACCGTGATTTGACCATCACACATTGCATACATGTATCGGAATATCACCCTGTATCCCATAAATATATACAATTATTACATGTCAACTAAAAATAAAAGGAAAAAAAGAAAGTAAAAAGACAACCCACAAAATCAGAGAAAATATTGCAAATCATATATTTGATGAGGGTCTAGTAACCAGAATGTTTAAAGAATCCTTACAATTCATCAATAAAGAGACAAATAACCCAATTTAAAATGGATAACAGATTTTAATAGATATTTTTCCAAAAAAGATACACAAGTGGCAAATAAGCACATGAAAAGATGCTGAATATGCTGAATATTGTTAGTTGCTAAAGAAATGCAAATCAAAACTGCAAGCAATACCACTTTATACCCACTAGGATGGTTATAATTTTTTTAAAAAGAAAATGAAAAGAATTATTGGTGAGGAAAAGAAAGGAAGAGAATCGTTGGTCCGAGGATAGTGAGGAAGAGAATCACTGGCCTGATGATGGTGGGTTATCAGAACTTATTAACATCAGCATCACTGAAGTTGGTATACAACTCTCCACTGCTAAATTTGACTGTCTTTAAAAAAAAAAGAAAAAAAAAGGAAGAGAATTGTTGGTGTTGAAACCAATTGTTGGTGAGGAGGAGAAACCTCATTGCTGATGGGACTATAATATGATGCAGGCACCAGTGAATTAATTTGACAGTTCCTTAAAAAGACAAACATAAAATTCTAATACCACCAAGTATATTAGTTTTCTGGGACTTCCATAATAAATTGCCAAAAATTAGATGGCTCTAAACAACAGAAACTTAGTCTCTCATAGTTCTGGAGGCTAGAAGCCCAAAATCATGCTGTCGGCAGTCATGCTTCCTCTGAAGGTTCTAGGGAAGAATTCTTCCTTGCCTCTTCAAGCTTCTAGGGGTTTTTGGAAATCCTTCGCTTTCCTGGCTTGTAGCTGGAAAACTTCCAAAATATGTGAAGACTGAACATTATGTTTCTATATAGTACATAAGTCAAAAAAATCATAAGGAACTTAGAAAGTATTTTGAACTAAAGAATAATGAGAACACAATATGCCAAAATTTGTGGGACCACCTAAAACAACGTTTTGAAGAAAATTTATAGCTTTAAATGGTTATATTAGAAAAGAATAAATGTTCAAAAATAAATTATCTAAACATCCAGCTTAAAGAGCTAGGAAAAGAAGGGCAAATTAAATGCAAAGTAAGAAATAATAAAAATTTAAGTGAAAAACAATAAAATGGAAGAGAAAAGAGAAAAATAAATTAAATATAAGCCAGTTCATGAAAAAGTACAATAAAATTGAAAAACCTTTAGATAAAAAAGAGAGAAAAGACAATTACTAATATTGAGATTAAAAGAAGAAATATCTCTATAACAGTAAATGCCCACAAGAGAAATAGGAAAAATCTAAAATCCACACCCTAACATCACAATTAAAAGAACTAGAGAAGCAAGAGCAAACAAATTCAAAAGCTAGCAGAAGACAAGAAATAACTAAGATCAGAGCAGAACTAAAGGAGATAGAGACACAAAAAAAACCTTCAAAAAATCAATGAATCCAAGAGCTGGTTTTTTGAAAAGATCAACAAAACAGATACACTGCTAGCAAGACTAATAAAGAAGAAAAGAGAGAAGAATCAAATAGACACAATAAAAGTGATTAAGGAGATATCACCACCAATCCCACAGAAATACAAACTACCATCAGAGAATACTATAAACACCTCTAAGCAAATAAATTACAAAATCCAGAAGAAATGGATAAATTCCTGGACACACACACCCTCCCAAGACTAAGCCAGGAAGAAGTCAAATCTCTGAATAGACCAACAACAGGTTCTGAAATTGAGGCAATAATTAATAGCCTACCAACCAAAAAAAGCCCAGGTCCAGACGGATTCACAGCCGAATTCTACCAGAGGTACAAAGAGGAGCTGGTACCATTCCTTCCGAAACTATTCCAAACAATAGAAAAAGAGGGAATCCTCCCTACCTCATTTTATGAGGCCAGCATCATCTTGATACCAAAGCCTGGCAGAGACACAACAACAAAAAAAGAGAATGTTAGGCCAATATCCCTGATGAACATTGATGCGAAAATCTTCAATAAAATAGTGGCAAACTGAATCCAGCAGCATATCAAAAAGCTTATCCACCACGAACAAGTTGGCTTCATCCCTGATATGCAAGGCTGGTTCAACATACACAAAGCAATAAACATAATCCATCACATAAACAGAACGACAAAAAACCACGTGATTATCTATTGAGAAATAGATAAGAAAAGGCCTTCGACAAAATTCAACAGTCATTCATGCCAAAAACTCTCAGTAAACTAGGTATTGATGGAACATATCTCAAAATAATAAGAGCTATTTATGACAAACCCACAGCCAATATCATACTGAATGGGCAAAAACGGGAAACATTCCCTTTGAAAACCAGTGCAAGACAAGGACACCTTCTCTCACCACTCCTATTCAACATAGTGTTGGAAGTTCTGGCCAGGGCAGTCAGACAAGAAAGAGAAATAAAGGGTATTCCATTAGGAAAAAAGGAAGTCAAATTGTCTCTGTTTGCAGATGACATAACTGTATATTTAGAAAACCCCATCGTCTCAGCCCAAAATCTCCTTAAGCTGATAAGCAACGTCAGCAAAGTCTCAGGATACAAAATCAATGTGCAAAAATCACAAGCATCCCTATACACCAATAACAGACAAACAGAGACCCAAATCATGAGTGAACTCCCATTCACAATTACTACAAAGAGAATGAAATACCTAGGAATCCAACTTACAAGGGATGTGAAGGACCTCTTCAAGGAGAACTACAAACCACTGCTCAGCAAAATAAAAGAGGACACAAACAAATGGAAGAACATTCCATGCTCATGGATAGGAAGAATCAATATCATGAAAATGGTCATACTGCCCAAAGTAATTTATAGATTCAATGCTATTGCCATCAAGCTACCACTGACTTTCTTCACAGAATTGGAAAAAAACTATTTCAAAGTCCATATGGAACCAAAAAAGAGCTCACATAGACAAGACAATCCTAAGCAAAAAGAACAAAGCTGGAGGCATCAGGCTACCTGACTTCAAACTACAATACAAGGTTACAGTAACCAAAACAGCATGGTACTGGTACCAAAACAGATATATAGACCGATGGCACAGAACAGAGGCCTCAGAAATAACACCACACATCTACAACCATCTGATCTTTGACAAACCTGACAAAAACAAGAAATGGGGAAAGGATTCCCTATTTAATAAATGGAAAACTGGGTAGCCATATGTAGAAAGCTGAAACTGTATCCCTTCCTTACACCTTATACAAAAATTAACTCAAGATAGATAAAAGACTTAAATGTAAGACCTAAAACCATAAAAACCTTAGAAGGAAACCTAGGCAATACCACTCAGGACATAGGCATGGGCAAGGACTTCATGACTAAAACACCAAAAGCAATGGCAACAAAAGCCAACATTGACAAATGGGATCTAATTTAACTAAAGAGCTTCTGCACAGCAAAAGAAACTATCATCAGAATGAACAGGCAACCTACAGAATGGAAGACCATGTTTGCCATCTATCCATCTGACAAAGGGCTATTATCCAGAATCTACAAAGAATTTCAACAAATTTACAAGAAAAAAAAACCTCATCAAAAATTGGGCAAAGGATATGAACAGACACTTCTCAAAAGAAGATATTTATGCAGCCAAGAGACATATGAAAAAAATGCTCATCATCACTGGTCATTAGAGAAATGCAAGTCAAAACCACAATGAGATACCATCTCATGCCAGTTAGAATAGCAATCATTAAAAAATCAGGAAATGACAGATGCTGGAGAGGAGGTGGAGAAATAGGAATGCTTTAACACTGTTGGTGGGAGTGTAAATTAGTTCAACCATTGTGGAAGACAGTGTGGCGATTCCTCAGGGATCTAGAACTAGAAATACCATTTGACCCAGCAATCCCATTACTGGGTATATACCCAAAGGATTATAAATCATGCTACTATAAAGACACATGCACACGTATGTTTATTGCAGCACAATTCACAATAGCAAAGTCTTGGAACCAACCCAAATGTCCATCAGTAATAGACTGGATAAAGAAAATGTGACACATATACACCATGGAATACTACGCAGCCATAAAAAAGGATGAGTTCATGTCTTTTGCAGGGACATGGATGAAGCTGGAAACCATCATTCTCAGCAAACTATCACAAGGACAGAAAAACAAACACCACATGTTTTCACTCATAAATGGGAGTTGAACAATGAGAACACATGGACATAGGGAGGGGAACATCACACAAGGGGGCCAGTCACGGGGTGGGGTCTGGGAGAGGGATAGCATTAGGAGAAACACCTAATGTAAATAACAAGTTGATGGGTACAGCAAACCAACATGGCACATGTATACCTATGTAACAAACCCACACATTCTACCTATGTACCTCAGAACTTAAAGTATAATACATACATATATATATATATATAGAGAGAGAGAGAGAGAGAGAGAGAAAGAAAGAGAAAACCTGCTAAATGCAAGGTACTGTGTTGATAAGAAGAATGTAATGGCAGGCCAGACAGATGATTCCTGCCCTCAGGCAGCTCCCAGTAATCAAAGGCATCAGTAAAATTATAAAGATTTCTTAATTTAAGGTGGCAGGAGAAGGCCCTTCTGACGAGGTGACAATTATGCTGAGATCTGAGGACTAAGGAGAGACAGCCATGAAGAGAGAGAACAGGTGGTACAGAGGCTGTCCTATCTCCATTCCTCCAGCCTACAAGGAGAACCTGGCTTTTCCCTGCAGCCAAGTGTCTGCCACTCACTGATCTGGAGGGAGTTGCAGGAGCTCAGAGGAGAACAGGCATTTAACTCCAGACAGCATTCAGAGTCTTATAGAAACCCCAGGGAGTTTATCACATCTAAGACCCTGATAGCATCTGTATTAGAAATAAGAATCCAACCAGACAGCTCATGAAAGATTAGCTTTAATTCTTTCAGAAGAGAAAATGGCTTATACCAAAAAACAGAAGAAATATCACTAAGATCCTACAGACACTTAAAAAAAGGTACTATTATTTAAATTTTTAAGTGAAAAAATGTTGATTGCTTAGTTGAAACAGACATATTCCTTGAAAGAATGAGTTACCAAAACTGATTCTAGAAGAGCAGAAAATCTGAATAACTCCCTTGTCAATTAAAGAAACTGTATTAGAATTAAGCCCTTCCTATAAATAAAATTCAAAACTCAGATGACTTCACTTGCAAAGAGTTTTAAAAAGAACTCTTTTAGAAAATAGAGGAAGAGAAACCATTTCTCAACTGATTTTGTGAAACAGGGCTTTCCCAATACCAATATGAGGCAAAAACATTACAAGAAAAGAAAAGACCAGGTTGGGGGCAGTGGCTTATGCCTGTAATCCCAGCAATTTGGGAGGCTGAGATGGGAGGATTGTTTAAGTACAGGAGTTTGAGATCAGGCAGGGCAAGATGGCAAGACCCCATCTCGACAAAAAAATTTAAAACTTAACCGAACATAGTGGCACACACTTGTGGTCCCAGCTACTCAGGAGGCTAAGGTGAGAGGATCACTTGAACCCAAAAAATCGAAGCTGCAGTGAGCCATGATTGCGCCACTGTAGTCTGGGCAACAGAGCAAGACTTAGACCTTGTCTCAAAAAAAAAAAAAATGACCAATATTCCCCATGTACGCAGAGGCAAAAATCTTTAATAAAAGTGCAAGCCAATTAAATCCATTAATACATAAAAGGTATAATACATCATGTCCAAGTGTGGTTTTCTCAAGAATACAAGGTTGGTATAATATTTGAAAATAATATAATCCACCATACTAACCAAATTAAAAAGATATCAGAGCATCTCAATAAATGCAGAGAAAGCATTTGACAAAATTCAACACTCATTCATAATTTTAAAATCTCAGAAAACTGGGACTAGAAGAAAACCTGAGAAAGAGTATCTACTAAATATCTACAGCTAACATCATGCTTAATAGTATGATATTACACTATTTCAGTAGTAGTGAAGACAAGGCAAAGATATCTGCTGTAACTTCTGTTTCACGTTGTGTTTGAGGTTGTACTCAAGAAACCATGCAAGAAAAGAAATAAAAATCATACTACTTGGAAAAAAAGAGCCAAAATTGTCTTAATTTGCAAGACATGACTGTACATAAAAAATACCAAAAAATTTACCCAAAAAGTGACTAGAATTAAGAACCAAACTTAGCAAATTTGCAGGATACAAAATCAATATGCAAGACTCAGTTATGTTGATATATCCCAGCATAAACAATTAGAAGATGAGATTTAGAAAATAATACTATTTACAGTAACATAAAAATGAGATATTTAGGGATAAATTTAATAAAATATGTACACTGAAAATTATAAAACATGGCTGAGAACAATTAAAGACCTGTGTAGATGAAAGATATTGGGAAACTCAATAAAATTGATCCAAAGATTCAATACAGTCCTAATCAAAATTCTATCAGGTTTTTTCTAAAAGGTAAAAACTTGATTATAATATTTATATGGAAATAAAAGAGACATATAACAGTAAAAACAATTTTGAAAAAGAACAAAGTTGCAGGGCTTGCAATATTTATTTGAATATTTATAGTTATATTTTTCAGAACAGTGTGCACTAGCCTAAGGATAGACAAATAAAATAGACAGCCCAATAATGGACCATTGCATATAGGGTCAATTTATTTTTTACAAAGATACCAATAATTTGATGGGGAGAGGACAGTCTTTTCAACAAACTATGCTGGAACAACTGGAAATCCATATGGGAAAAAGTGAAACTAAACACTTATCTCATACTACACACACAAAAAGAACACCCCAAATGGCCTATAGATCTAAATGTTGAATATATAGAGCTTCCAGAAGAAAACAAAGGAGAAAATCTTTAAGACTGAAGGGTAGGCAAATATTGACTTGGTTTGGCCAATAAAACACAAATGAAGCGAGGTGCAGTGGCTAGTCCCTGTAATTCCAGTGTCTCTAGAGGCTGAGGTGAGTGGATGGGAGGATTGCTTGAACCCAGGAGTCCAAGACCAGCCTAAGCAACATAACAAGACCCCATCTCTGAAAAATATTAAATTGTTAAAAAATTAAATTAAATTTGAATGAATTATATCACTTCAGGGTGGAAGCTTTAAGAGATAGCACATAATTTACTGTTTTCCTTTTTCTACGCAATCATGAAAGTATCGGTTGAAGTAGAATCTCTGTCAACCTGTATCCCTAAGTGTATATGACAGACACTGCCAATAATTTCTGGACATGTAGCATGGGTGAGAATTAAGTATTTATTGTGTTACATCATGAGATTTGGGCATTCTTTGTTCTGAAGTATGACCTCAAGGAAGGGATGGATGTTCTGTTAAAGGTGACTTGTACAAAGAAAAATTGAAAAGTATTAAAAAATGATGCCAACAGATTGCTGTGAAACTGTTTCCAGTGAACATTGCTCTAGATTTTAAATCTCCATACTTTTAATCTACATGAAGATGACCCTATTCTAACAGCCAATCCATGCCTCCTTACTAAACCTAACAAAGATTACAAAGAAATGAAGAGTCCATTCCAACCAACTGGCTTAAGAACAAGTTAAATGGCCCTAATTCACCCTGGACTTTGATTCCAAATATTACAATGACACACTCATTTTGTTGATTCATTGCCTTCATAGGAAGCAAATAAATCAGTGTTTTTGACCCTGAACACTTCCCCCTTTTAACTGGCAAATGGAAGTTAGAAATGGTATGCCAACATTTCACCATGAAGCTATCAGTTTCCTTCCCAAAGTCTGATCCATACACATCATAAAAGATTAACACACAAAAGTTAATCCAAGTGTTTCTCCCCTTTCCCAAAATGTACATGTTGAGGCCACTTTACAACAACCAAGATCATCCAATTTTGCATGTGGAGCTTGTTAAAAGCTTAGCCAAGAGAAAAGACAGCCTGAAGGGAAGTAAAAAAGTTGTGTTGCTCTATGCTCTATGACCATGGCCAGTAGATTGTATTCAAATTAGCCTCTTGCAGGCAGAATCCATCATTGACAGAACCAATTTGTTAACGCATAATCTCTGACTTAATTAAGCCATAGGCCTGCTTCCCTGCATATCCATATCTGTAAACATGCCAAATAATAATCCTGTTTTGGTTGGGCAACCTGAACTAAAAATCCCTCAAAGACACTTGTAAACTGCTTACCTTGCCATATCTGCCAGATCTTTTTATAACCACTGAAAGAATGCACTGGCTTTCCTGAACACTCAGTAATCAAAATATTGGAGCCTTTTACAAAGTGACAAGACTTGTGCTACAGTATGATTATATAATATGTTTATCACAAATATACATCTACATTACATGTATAAATAAACTTTTAATTTAATATTTTCATGACCTATTGATTTCCCAACAAGCCAATGGACATAGCATTTTAAAGATAATGTTCAAAACACTTTTCGACTGAAACCAACAATGCTTTATCCTTGCCATTAAAACTCTATAAACTTTTATACCAAACACTCCCCTTTACTTTACACCTAACTAGAAAATTGGGAAGACAAACATTTGGCAAGTCCTAAAAAGCAAAGACTTGCAACACATGAATTAGAAATCAAGAAGCTAATTTTTCTGTTCATCTTTTCAAAAGGTCTTTTAATTTTTTTTAACATTTCTACATAAATATAATAATTTTTAAAAGTTGCCATGGTATTTCACGACGATGGTATGAGCACAAGATACCACAATAAAGAGAACTACAATGCATCAAAATGAAACCTTACACAGTATTCATTTCTAAACTCCTGTCAATGTCACAAATGTTATAAGATTCCTGGCTTGTTAGCTAGTGAAAGATATAATAACCAAGGCATTTCATGGTGTTTTAAACTAGATTGGATTGCCAAGAAATCTACTTCTCCCCCAACTGCTCCTGTCTATTATTAAATCGGGCTGTTCAAAATCACTGTAGGGTCAACACAAATGGAAATTCAAATCTTTAGGCTCCTTTGTCATGGAATATTGTCCCAAACATATATCACTAAAAAGAGAGGTGCATCTTTTCCTGTGTGTTCTCTTTCACAAATCTTCTGTTCAGAGATCAGCAAATATCCAGACAGACGGCAAACATGTGTTAAACATTTACAGCATTCCAGTTATCATGCTAGACTCCTGACACAGAAGTGAATAAGATACAATCCTGATCTCAAGTTGTTTATATTCTAGTAAAGAAAATGCATTTTAATTATGCAAAGATAATACATTCTCAAGGTGTTAATGGTATTAATTTATCAGGTATAATGCAAGTCTGGTACTTGGATGGACCATCTCAAATAAAATTTAACTATAAAAGTATTCAAAAGTGTATTACACATGGCAGGAAAAACATTTTTCTTTTCTATGTTTTATTTTGTTTATCTAAATCTCATGTAGAAAATTTTCCTGGGATTTTTAATAAACCAATTTTAATTAATTTTTCAAAAGTAATCCTTCCAGAAATTTTGTCAATATCTACAATTCTCTTATTGCCATACTCTAAAAGATTCATGCTACAACAGGATTGGATCATCTGCTTCACCCAAACCTCAAGAAACAGCTTGACAAGTGAGACTGGGTTCTCAAGAGGTCAAGCTACAAGATATCATTAGTGGACAGAGTTAAGGAACATTTCAGCTATTACCACCCTACCAAAGAACATAGGCCACATTTTCTTTTGATCTAGACAAACCCAATCTTCAATTAATGTCATATGCAAGCTAGAATGACTAAAACAGTCACTTGATCCCTGGGGAAAAAAGCATAATATTTTTTGAAGTATATTAACAGGCCTGTCCCTTTTACATTCCTTACAGACATACTAAGGTATCCATCTTCCTTGGAAAGTGAGGTGAATAGATCAGTGTTGTTGCCCCATTAATATAAAGAGAAAAAAATTTAGTAATCACTTGGACCACAAAATAAAAATTTCAAGTCAATAAGGATAAAAAACAGTCTTGAAAGTCAGGCTTTGTAAAAATAACTTTCTAGATGGCCGAATAGGAACAGCTCCAGTCTGCAGCTCCCAGAGACCAATGCAGAAGGCAGGTGATTTCTGCATTTCCAACTGAGGTACCAGGTTCATCTCATTGGGACTGGTTAAGCAGTGAGTGTAGCTCACAGAGGGTAAGCTGAAGCAGGGTGGGGTGTTGCCTCACTAGGGAAGCACAAGGGGTCAGGGAACTCCGTCCCCTAGCCAAGGGAAGCTTTGAGGGACTATGCCATGAGGGACAGTGCTATCCAGCCCAGATACTATGCTTTTCCCACGGTTTTTGCAACCCACAGAACAGGAGATTCCCTCAGGTGCCTACACCACCAGGGCCCTGGGTTTCAAGCACAAAACTGGGCTGTCATTTGAGCAGACACCAAGCTAGCTGCAGGAGTTTTATTTCTGTACCCCAGTGGTGCCTGGAACCCCAGCAAGACAAGAAGCATTCACTATCCTGAAAGGCAGCTAAGGCCAGGGAGCCAAGTGGTGTTGCTAAACAGGTCCCACCCACACAGATCCCAACAAGTTAAGATCACAGGCTGGAAATTCTCACTGCCAGCACGCAGTCTGAAGTCCACCTGGGACACTCCAGGTTGGTGGGGGGAGGGGTGTCCACCATTACTGAGGCTTGAGTAGGCAGTTTTCCCCTCACAGTGTAAACAAAGCCACTGGGAAGGTCAGGCTGGGCAGAGCCCACCTCAGTGCAGCAAAGCTCCTGTAGCCAGATTGCCTCTCTAGATTCCTCCTCTCTGGGCAGGGCCTCTCTGAAAGGAAGACAGCAGCCCCAGTCAGGGGCTTACAGATAAAAGTCCCATCTCCCTGGGACAGAGCACCTGGAGGAAGATGCGGCTGTGGGTGCAGCTTCAGCAGACTTAAACGTTCCTGCCTGCCGGCTCTGAAGAGAGCAGCATATCTCCCAGCACAGCGCTCAAGCTCTGCTACAGACAGACTGCCTCCTGACTGAAAGAGACCTCCGAGCAGGGGTCGACAGACACCTCATACAGAAGAGCTCCAAATGGCATCTGGCGGGTGCTCCTCTGGGATGAAGATTCCAGAGGAAGGAGCAGGCAGCAATCTTTGCTGTTCTGCAGCCTCCACTGGTGATGCCCAGGAAAACAGGGTCTGGAGTGGACCTCCAGCAAACTCCAGCTGATCTGCAGAAGAGGGGACTGATTGTTAGGAGGAAAACTAGCAAACAGAAAGCAATAACATCAACATCAACAAAAAGGACACACATGCAAAAACTCAATCCAAAGGTCCTCTGCATTAAAGAGCAACAGTAGATAAATCCATGATGAGGAGGAAAAAACAGCACCAAAAGGCTGAAAATTCCAAAAACCAGAATGCATCTTCTCCTCCAAAGGATCACAATTCCTCGCCAGCAAGGGAACACAACTGGATGGAGAATGAGTTTGACGAATTGACAGAAGTAGGCTTCAGAAGGTGGGTAATACCAAACTCTTCCAAGCTAAAGAAGCATGTTCTAACCCAATGCAAGGAAGCTAAGAACCTTGATAAAAGGTTACAGGAAATGCTAACTAGAATAATCAGTTTAGAGAAGAACATAAATGACCTGATGAAGCTGAAAAACACAGCATGAGAACTTTGTGAAGCACACACAAGTATCAAGAGTCAAATCGATCAAGCAGAAGAAAGGATATCCAAGATTGAAAATCAAATTAATGAAATAAAGGATGAAGACAAGATTAGAGAAAAAAGAATGAAAAGGAACGAATGAAGCCTCCAAGAAATATGGGACTACATGAAAAAACCAAACGTACAATTCATTGGTGTACCTGAAACTGATGGGGAGAATGGAACCAAGTTGGAAAACACACTTCAGGATATTATCCAGGAGAACTTCCCCAATCTAGCAAGCCAGGCCAACATTCAAATTCAGGAAATACAGGGAACATCATTAAGATACTCCTCAAGAAGAGCAACCACAAGACACATAATTGTCAGATTCACCAAGGCTGAAACAAAGAAAAAAATGTTAAGGGCAGCCAGAGAGAAAGGTCAGATAACCCACAAAGGGAAGCCCATCAGACTAACAGCGGATTTCTCTGCAGAAACCCTACAAGCCAGAAGACAGTGGGGGCCAATATTCAACATTCTTAAAAAAAAAAAAAAAAGATTTTTCAACCCAGAATTTCATTTCCAGCCAAAATAAGCTTCAGAAGTGAAGAAAAAATAAAATCCTTTACAGTCAAGCAAATGCTAAGGGATTTTGTCACTACCAGGCCTGCCTTACAAGAGCTCCTAAAGGAAGCACTAAATATGGAAAGAAAAAACAGGTACCAGCCACTATAAAAACATACCAAAATATATAGACCAACGACACTATGAAGAAACTGCATCAACTAATGTGCAAAATAACCAGTTCGCATCATGATGACAGCATCAAATTCACACATAACAATATTAACCTTAAATGTAAATGGGCTAAATGCCCCAATTAAAAGACACAGACTGGCAAAATGGATAGAGTCAAGACCCATCGGTGTGCTGTATTCAGGAGACCCATCTCATGTGCAAAGACACATATAGGCTCAAAATAAAGGGATGGAAGAATATTTACCAAGCAAATGTAAATCAAAAAAAAAAAAAAGCAGGGGTTTCAATCCTGTCTCTGATAAAACAGACTTTAAACCAACAAAGATCAGAAAAGACAAAGAAGGGCATTACTTAATGGTAAAGGGATCAATGCAACAAGAAGAGCTAACCATCCTAATTATATATTTGCCCAATACAGGAATACCCAGATTTAAAAGGAAGTTTTTAGAGACATACTAGACAATAATAGACTTAGACTCCCACACAATAATAGTGGGAGACTTTACACTCCACTGTCAATATTAGACAGATCAATGAGACAGAAAATTAACAAGGATATTCAGGCCTTGAACTCAGCTCTGGACCAAGAGGACCTAATAGACATCTACAGAACTCTCCACCCCAAATCAACAGAATATATATTCTTCTCACCACCATGTAGCACTTATTCTAAAATTGACCACATAATTGGAAGTAAAACACTTCTCAGCAAATGTAAAAAATGGAAATCATAACAAACAGTCTCTCAGACCACAGTGCAATCAAATTAGAACTCAGGATTAAGAAACTCACTCAAAACCACACAACTACATGGAAACTGAACAACCTGCTCCCGAATCACTACTAGGTAAATAACAAAATTAAGGTAAAAATAAATAAGTTCTTTGAAACCAATGAGAACAAAGAAACAATATACCAGAATCTCTGGGACACAGCTAAAGCAGTGTTTAGTGGGAAATTTATAGCACAATGCTCACATCAGAAAGCAGGAAAGATCTAAAATCAACATCCTAACATTTCAATTAAAGAACTACAGAAGCAAGAGCAAACAAATTCAAAAGCTAGCAGAAGACAAGAAATAACTAAGATCAGAGCAGAACTGAGGAGAGAGAGACATGAAAAACCCTTCAAAAAATTAATGAATCCAAGAGCTGGATTTTTGAAAAGATTAACAAAATAGATAGGCCACTAGCCTGACTAATAAAAAAGAAAAGACAAAAGAATCAGGCTGGGTGCGGTGGCTCATACCTGTAATCCCAGCACTTTGGGAGGCTGAAACAGGCAGAAAACGAGGTCAGGAGATCAAGACCATCCTGGCTAACACAGCGAAACCCCATCTCTATTAAAATTACAAAAACAAAAATTAGCCAGTCATGGTGGCGGGCACCTGTAGTCCCAGCTACTTGGGAGGCTGAGGCAGGAGAATGACGTGAACCCAGGAGGCAGAGCTTGCAGAACCAAGATCATACCACTGCACTCCAGTCTGGGCGACAGAGCGAGACTCCATCTCAAAAAAAAAAAAAAAAAAAAGAAGGAAAAGAGAGAAGAATCAAATAGACAGAATAAAAATGATAAAGGGGGTATCACCACTGATCTCACAGAAATACAAACTACCATCAGAGAATACTATAAACACCTCTACGCAAATAAATTACAAAATCTAGAAGAAATGGATAAATTCCTAGACAGATACACCCTCCCAAGACTAAGCCAGGAAGAAGTCAAATCCCTGAATAAACCAATAACAAGTTCTGAAATTGAGGCAATAATTAATAGCCTACCAACCAAAAAAATCCCAGGTCCAGACGGATTCACAGCCGAATTCTACCAGAGGTACAAAGAGGAGCTGGTACCATTCCTTCTGAAACTATTCCAAACAATAGAAAAAGAGGGACTCCTCCCTAACTCATTTTAAGAGGCCAGCATCATCCTGATACCAAAACCTGGCAAAGACACAACAAAAAAAAGAAAATTTCAGGACAATATCCCTGATGAACATTGATGTGAAAAATCCTCAATAAAATAGTGGCAAATTGTATCCAGCAGCACATCAAAAAGCTTATCCACCACAATCAAGTTGGTTTCATCCGTGGGATGCATGGTTAGTTCAACATACACAAATCAATAAACATAATTTGTCACATAAACAGAACCAATGACAAAAACCACATGATTATCTCAATTGATGTAGAAAAGGCCTTCAATAAACTTCAACACCCCTTCATGCTAAAAACACTCATGAAACTAGGTATTGATGGAACATATCTCAAAATAATAAGAGCTATTTATGACAAACCCACAGCCAATATCATACTGAATGGGCAAAAGCTGGAAGCATTCCCTTTGAATGCTGGCACAAGACAAGGATGCCCTCTCTCACCACTCCAATTAAACATAGTATTGGAAGTTCTGGCCAGGGCAATCAGGCAAGAGAAAGAAATAAAGGGTATTCAAATAGGAAGACAGGAAGTCAAATTGTCTGTGTTTGCAGATTATATGATTGTATATTTAGAAAACCCCATCATCTCAGTCCCAAAACTCCTTAAGCTAATAAGCAACTTCAGCAGTCTCAGGATACAAAATCAGTGTGCAAAAATTACAAGCGCTCCTATACACAATAATACACAGAGTCAAATCATGAGTGAACTCCCATTCACAGTTGCTACCAAGAGAATAAAATGCCTAGGAATACAACTTACAAAGGATGTAAAGGACCTCTTCAAGGAGAACTACAAACCACTGCTCAAGGAAATAAGAGAGGACACAAACAAGTGGAAGAACATTCCATATTCATGGGTAGAAAGAATCAATACCATGAAAATGGCCATACTGCCCAAAGTAATATATAGATTCAATGCTATTCCCATCAAGCTACCACTGAATTTCTTCACAGAATTAGAGAAAACTACTTTAAGTCTCATATGGAACCAAAAAAGAGCCCATATAAGCCAAGACAATCCTAAGCAAAAAGAACAAATCTGGAGGCATCACACTACCTGACTCAAACAATACTACAAGGCTATAGTAACCAAAACAAGAAGACTGTTACCGAAACAGACATATAGAACAATGGAAGAGAACAGAGGCCTCAGAAATAACACCACACATCTACAACCATCTGATGTTTAACAAACCTGACAAAAACAAGCAATGGGGGAAAGAATTCCCTATTTAATAAATGGTGCTGGAAAAACTGGCTAGCCATATGCAGAAAACTGAAACTGGAC
The DNA here is from genome assembly GCF_000001405.40 of Homo sapiens. Taxonomy (NCBI): domain Eukaryota; kingdom Metazoa; phylum Chordata; class Mammalia; order Primates; family Hominidae; genus Homo; species Homo sapiens. The sequence continues at coordinate 70,765,799 of NC_000008.11, read as the reverse complement.
CCCTTCCTTACACCTTATGCAAAGATTAACTCAAGATGGATTCAAGACTTAAATGTAAGACTTAAAGCCATAAAAACCCTAGAAGAAAACCTAGGCAGTACCATTCAGGACATAGGCATAGGCAACGACTTCATGACTAAAACATCAAAAGCAACTGCAACGCAAGCCAAAATTGAAAAATGGGATGTAATTAAACAGCTTCCACACAGCAAAAGAAAGCAGAGTGAGCAGGCAACCTACAGAACAGGAAAGCGAACATCATCATAGTAAACAGGCAACCTACAGAATGGGAGAAAATTTTTGCAATATATCCATCTGACAAAGGGATAATATCCAGAATTTATGAGGCACTTAAATTTACAAAAGTCCATTAAAAAGTGGACAAAGATATGAACAAACACTTCTCAAAAGAAGACATTTTTGCAGCCAACAAACATGATAAAAAGCTCATCATCACTGGTCATTAGAGAAATGCAAATCAAAACCACAATGAGATACCATCTCACGCCAGTTAGAATAGTGATCATTAAAAATTCAGGAAACAGCAGATGCTGAAGAGGATGTGGAGAAATAGGTACGCTTTTACACTGTTGGTGGGAGTGTAAATTAGTTCAACCATTGTGGAAGACAATGTGGTGATTCTTCAAGGATCTAGAACCAGAAATATCATTTGACCCAGCAATCCCATTACTGGGTATATTCCCAAAGGATTATAAATCATTCTACTATAAAGTCACATGCACATGTATGTTTATTGCAGCACTATTCACAACAGCAAAGACTTGGAACCAACCCACATGCCCAACAATGATAGACTGGATAAAGAAAATGTGACATTTATACACCATGGAATACTATTCAGCCATAGAAAAAGAATGAGTTCATGTCTTTTGCAGGGACATGGATGAAGCTGGAAACTATCATTCTCAGCAAACTAACACAGGAACAGAAAACCAAACACCGCATGTTCTCACTCATAAGTGGGAGTTGAACAACAAGAACACATGGACACACGGAGAGGAACATCACACACCAGGGCCTGTCAGGGGGTGGGAGGCAAGGGGAGGGATAGCATTAGGAGAAATATGTAATGTAGATGACGGCTTGATGGGTGCAGCAAACCACCATGGCACATGTATACCTATGTAACAAACCTACACATTCTGCACATGTACCCCAGAATTTAAAGTATAATAAAACAAAATAATATTCTAAATTTTTTATCCCCCTCTTTAACAAATGAAGAGGCAGATCTGGTCATCTTAATCATAGACTTTCATATAGAAGAAGTCCAAACAAGACAGAAAGAAATGTGAAAGCTTATTCTTTTCTTTGCCAGTGCACTTTGGGAAGAGAAGGAAAACAGAGAGAGAGAAAGCAGCAAAAGAACAAGTACATTTTCTGACCTACCCTCTCCAAGCTGAAGTTCCAGAGAGGAGAAACTTTTATATAAGATGAAAGGAATGTTGAGAGTAAAAGAGGTTTTTGGCCCTTTGGGACTCCATTGCAAAACTGCTGTGCAAGACAAACCTGTACTAATATGGTACAGTCCCAGCAGAGTAAAGAGGGCAGAGAAGGAAAGTCGAGCAGAAAAGGCCTAATTGTCATTATTATCTCTCATTTGGTGGAGTAAACCTAAAGTTTTCCACATATCCCTAAGAAAAGAATGAGAAGATCCCAAGACAGCAGTCATGACATAGGTTATCTCATAATGGGAAGCAAGGAGAGCTCATCAATAAGGCTATAGACTCAAAACTATCTGCAGTATGTGGCTAAAAACTTGAGACAGACGCAGCATCAGTGAGAGTCAAGGTAAATCCATGTCACACAGGTTGGACTACAAGGGCCTGAAAAATCTGAATCTAAAGTTCTGTCAGGAATTATATCATTTGCAGACCTAGAGGCAGATGCCAATATATTGCCTAGGAATACAGTCTACTAATCCAGCTCAACAGTTATCAGTAATTTTATACCCAAGGACCAGCAACAAGGCCAGGGTATAAGTTCCCCTCCACCAGTACATTTGAATAATAATTTGAAGAGGAGCAACACCACTGTTTGCATTTCTGCTTCAAATAGGGGAGGGACACAATTCACTGCCCTTATATCTACTATAATATGAAAGGGAAAAAAATAATTTTTTCAGAAATTAGTTTTAGATCTGCTTTTTAATTTGAAATTTCCTTTTAAGCCAAGAAGTTCAAACACCTATAAACTGAATATATACATTGTTTATGGAAATGATGTATTATAAATAGAAGAATTACATTAATGAGAACTGCCAAAGGCCAAAGCAGCCAACCATGAATTCTCAAATTCTATTTCAGTTGAAGTCCACAGGGGGATTCTTACCTCACACCCAGATCTCTAGGAATGCTAAAAAGCAGCAGAACATCAACTCACAGACACCTTAGAGTTATCTGAAAAAAGTTAGCTGGATGATCCCTGCTCTATTCTACAAAGGCCAAAAGAGTCCACAAACATGTGAACTAAGTAAGCAAGGCCACTGCCTCACGATATTTTTTCAAAAGTAACCATCATGCTTCTGAAGTAGAGTGAATCACATTCTACCCACAGATGTATTGAGCTCTGACTCAAATTCTAGGCAGAGACTATACTATCAAAGACCCCTTAATCCATTTTATAGTCCACAGTTTTCCCTCTTTTCATCCCTTTCTCACAGACTACAGCCTGAGATTCCTTTTTGTTTAGATCATATAAATGGTAGGAATTACTATATAATTAAATCATTTTTTATATCCTCTAGTCACAAAATTATTCAGGATCTGGTCACAAGGCTATTAGATCAACCTTCCTTTACCAAAAAATCCACCACATACAATTCATGATTTCAATAGTGTCTCTATATATTTTGTTGGAGGAATAACAAAAGGATGAAAAACCTATTTCTGCTTTGTAACACAAATAAATAAAGCTCATTGAGTTTTACAGCAGACTTGAAAACATTACTAGTAGCCGAATTATTAAGATTTGGGAACTACAAGGGTCCCTTAAATTTAGGGATATCTTATTTATCTTTAGGACATCAGTGGCTAGCACTGCACCTAGAACAAAATTAGTTCTCTTTAAATATTTGTTGACATGAACAGCTGAAACTAACCTCTTTATATATTATTATTTTCAAAAAATACCATAACTTAAGATGACTGCATTACTGAACAGAAAGAATGACACTTTAAATAAATTCCATGGATGCAGGTGAGGTGAGGGAATGGTTTCAGGATAACATTGTTCCACCTTAGATCATCTGGCGTTAGATTCTCATAAGGAGCAGACAATCTGGATCTGTTCACAATATGGTTCATGCTCCTATGAGAATCTAATGCTGTGGCTTATGGGACAGAAGGTGGAGCTCAGGTGGTAATGCTCACTTGCCCTCTGCTCACATCCTACTGTGCAGCCCAGTTGCTAATATGCCACGAACTGGCAGTCCGTTGCCCAGGGGTTGGTGACTCCTGGAACAGAAGTTACCAGGGGCTGGAAAAAGAGGGAATGGAAAGTGATTGTTTAATGATTATATAGTTTTTGTTTGGGATGATTAAAAATGTTCAAATCTAGAGAAAACTATTTTAAAATTCATATGGAACCAAAAAAAAGCCCAAATACCCAAGGCAATCCTAATCAAAAATAACAAAGCTGAAGGCATCACACTACCCAACTTCAAACTATACTACAGGGCTACAGTAACCAAAACAGCATGGTACTGGTACAAGAACAGACACGTAGACCAATGGAACAGAATAGAGAACCAAGAAATAAGACCGCACGCCTACAACTATCTGATCTTCAACAAACCTGACAAAAACAAGCAAAGGGGAAAGGATTCCCTATTTAATAAATGGTGCTGGGAGAACTGGCTAGCCATATGCAAAAAAAAATTGAAACTGGACCCCTTCCTGACACCATATACAAAAACCAACTCAAGATGGATTAAAGACTTACATGTAAAACCCAAAACTCTAAAAACTCTAGAAGAAAACCTAGGCGATACCATTCAGGATATGGGCATGGGCAAAGATTTCATGACAAAGATGCCAAAAGTAATTGCAACAAAAGCAAAAATTGAAAAATGAGATCTAATTAAACTAAAGAGCTTCTGCACAGAAAAAAAAAATCAACAGAGTTAACAGACAGCTTACAGAATGAAAGAAAATGTTTGCGAACTGCATCTGACAAAGGTCTAATATCCAGCATCTATAAGGAACTTAAACAAATTTACAAGAAAAAACTAACAGCCTCATTAAAAGGTGGGGTGAACAGACACTTCTCAAAAGAAGACACGTGCGAACAACAATCATGTGAAAAAAAGCTCAGTGTCACTGATCATTAGAGAAATGCAAATTGAAATCACAATGATACACCATCTCACACCAGTCAGAGTGGCTTTTATTAAAAAGTCAAAAAAAAATGCTGGTGAGGCTGTGGTGAAAAAAGAACACTTTTACACTGTTGGTGGGAGTGTAAATTAGTTCAACCATTGTGGAAGACAGTGTGGTGATTCCTCAAACACCTAGAGACAGAAACACCATTCAACCAGGCAATCCCATTACTGGGTATATACCCAAATTAACATAATTGTTCTACTATAAAGACACATGCATGTGTATGTTCATTGCAGCACTATTTACAATAGCAAAGACATGGAATCAACCTAAATGCCCATCAATGGTCGACTGGATGAAGAAAATGTGGTACATAAGCACTGTGGAATATTATGCAGCCATAGAAAAGAATAAGATCATGTCTTTTGCGGAAACATGGATAGAGCTGGAGGCCATTATCTTTAGCAAAGTAACACAGCAACAGAAAACCAAATACTGCATGTTCTCACATGTAAGTGGGAGCTAAATGATGAGAACACATGGACACATAGGGGGAACAATGCACACTGGGCCTACCAGAAGGCAGAGGGTGGGAGGAAGAACAGGATCAGGAAAAATAACCAATGGATACTAGGCTTAATACCTGGATGATTAAATAATCTGTACAAGCCCCTGTGACACACACTTACCTATGTAACAAACCTGCACATCCTGCACATGTACCCCTGAACTTAAAATAAATTTTTTTAAAAGCTCAGGAAATGATAGTGGTGATGGTTGTATAATTGTGAATGTACTTGAATTATACACATAAAAATGGCTAAAATGTGCCAGGCATAGTGGCACCTGCCTGTACTCCCATCTAAGGGGAAGGTTGTGTGGCAGGAGGATCACTTGATGCTAGCCTGGGAAACATAGCAAAACCCTTCAAAAATTGTTAAAATAGTACGTTTTATGTTGCATATATTTTACCCCAATAAAAAAGGCATAGTGACTACTAAATATTAAAATAATGCCTCACAAACTGCTGTGTAATAATTCACTCTACCAGTGTGACGACTCTAAGGTGCACATACTGTATAAATTACCTATCTTATTTAACCCCAAAAGAAACCAATGCTAATCAGTTAATGAGCAAATAGGTAAAATAGCTGAATATTACAAATAAAGATGGACTACAATTCCCTTATCAGTAGCCTTAGCACTTTACAAAGTAGTTTGAGAATACTGTGTGTTTTATTCTTACTTACGAGTAAACTGAATAAGAATGGGTAAAAAAAAATGTTGTCCTAACAGAATTTGAAATAGCTACAGAATGATGACTGTTGAAGATACGCTAATTTGATAACTGAATAAATATTTTTAAAGTTCATTAGATTCATTCTGTAACAAGTAACTTCACATGTGAATATTAAAATATACATTATTTGAAAACAAAAATATAAAGAATATGCTCAAAACAGACAAGTTAGAACACTAAATCCTTCAAAGGGTTAAAATAAGCTGTAGTCTTTAAGCAATCACCCTCTAGAACAATGTCTTCATAAATTTGATTCATTTATAGAGTGTTTTTGATGATAGGCAATTCTTTGTTGAAAGTTAAGTGCTCTTTTATATGAATAAATAAAAAAGGCTTTGGTTTGAACTAATACATTATTTTGACAAATGTTTATTGGAACCCCAGTTATGGGTTCATAAATCAGAGTACTTTGTGGTCCATCAGGTGAGCTCACCAATGCCACCAGATGTCACAGCAAATACCAATACGGTAATTAAAACAAGTCCATGGAATGCAGTCCCTCTCCTACACAATGACAATAGTCAAAACAAGAAGAAATAGCTTATTATCTTTAATTTAACCTACTGAAAATACTTCTGCAAGATGTCATAACCATACCTTCAAAGAAAAAAAAACATTTGTTTTCTATTTACTGTTGTATTAAAATGACAAGGTCAAACATGATGCATGATCTGTCAGACAGATTATTTCCAAACCTATCTCACAATAAAAAGGAGGAAAATCATCTGCATGCAGTAACTAAACTATATCCTTAGAAAAATTATTCCTCTTTTTTCTTCCTTTTCTTCCCTTCCTTTCTCTCCACCCCCTTTCTAAAATAGCTATTATTTTCTGAAAAGTGAGTCCTATTAATAATACCTAATGTACCTGGCCCAATGCACATCCAGTTGCATATTGCATGGGCCTGAGCTGTTTTAAAAAATTCCATGATTAAAAGCTTGCATTCTTTTCTACCAAATAGAAAACATTTGGCAAGAAAATTCTAGCAAAACACCAAACCCATTTTTGATGAAAAACTGGAAAGACTTTTTACTCTGAAGACTTTTGAAAGTCCCTGTATAGTCCGGGCACTAACCAGCCATGAAAAAGAAGGGGAACAAGGCTTTTAATTAAAATAGTCATTTGCATAATATAGCTTAGAGTGGGAAATTTTATTGAAGGATCCCTCCCCGTCAGAACAATAGGTAGACCTCTGCATAATTCATCCTAAACGGTCACAAGTAACACAGGCCAGCACATTAGAGACTGCCTCTAAACCAACCAGGCAGCTCCATGTAAAGGGCCAGTATGGTAAGGCCATATAAGGAGAGCTTTGCTGTTACTCTGTAACTTCACTGCCCATGCCTGCTGCTTCACTGTTGATGATAATATAAACACTGAGTGACAATTTAAAATGCTAGCTATTGAACTACTCTAATCTTAAATCAAAGAAATTATGTCATCAAGACTGACTTAAAAGAGCAATGTCTAAATACAGGTGTTATTTGTGAACGACAAAAACGTTGCCATTGTATCATAGGACAATGTTTAGAAAGAACTGAACTGGGACCTGGGTCTTCCAGAGCATCTCTGATTCCACATTATCTGGGTAATCCCATATTTTTTAAAAAGTTATTATTAAATGGGTGCCTAAACTATAAAGACAGCTAGTTTGCAAGAAAGAACTGGGGAATAAGACAGCTGGAAGGAGCCCTGTCAACATAAAAACAAATATTATACATTGACCTCAGAAACTTTTCTGTCCAAAGAACCACAATTTGATGGGACTAGTGTACAGAAAAAATTATATTCCAGGGTGTTATTATAAACAATAGAGCAATAGTCTGGCAATTATTGGAGTTTACCAGCTAAGTGTGGTCAGGGTAAGAGTGAGAGAGAGACCTACTGGTGCTGCCGTCATCCCAAGCTAACTGTAGGCATACTCAAAGCTGTGCCTCCCTAAGGAACGACATCAGAGGCTTAACAACGTAGGGGCAGGGGTCATATAGCAGAGAGAACAAGGGAGAGACTTTACTATAATAATCCAGCCAATCACTAAACAAATAAATAAGAAACTAACAATAACCAGTCCCAGGGTAGTGCCCAGAGTAGTCATATTATCAAAAATAGTTACCAACAAAAAATTATGAGGCAAGCAAAGAAACAGGAAAGTAGGATACATTCTCTGGCAAGTGGGAGAGCAGACAACATAAATTTCCTGTCAAAACAACCAGATGTCAGATTTAACAGAAAAATAGTTCAAAGTAGCCATTATAGAAATAAAGGAAAGCAGCCAGGCACGGTGGCTCACGCCTGTAATCTCAGCACTTTGGGAGGCTGAGGTGGGCGGATCACCTGAGGTAAGGAGTTCGAGACCAGCCTGACCAACATGGCGAAATCCTGTCTCTACTAAAAATACAAAAATTAGCCAGGCATGGTGGCATGTGCCTATAGTCCCAGCTACTTGGGGAGGCTAAGGCAGGAGAATCACTTGAACCCAGAGGCAGAGGTTGCAGTGAGCCGAGATTGCGGCACCACATGCCAGCCTGGGCGACAGAGCAAGACTCTGTCATAAATAAATAAATACATGCATACATACATACATACATACATACATACATACATACATGATGAAAGAAGTAAAGAAAGATATATTGACAATATTATACCAAATAGAGAATACCAATAAATAGAAATTTTTTTAAAAAGGAACCAAATCAAAATTCTGGAGTTGCAAAGTGTAATAACTGAAATAATTTATTTGCTAGAAGGTCTCAACAGGATGTTTGAACTGAAAGAAAAAAGAACTTGCAAACTGGAAGATAAATTGACAGAGATTATGCATGCAAAGGAACAGAGAGAAAAAAAAGATGATGAGGAAAAAATAAACAGACCCTCACAGAAATATGGGACACCATTAAATGCACCAACATGCACATAAAGGGAGTATCAGAAGGAGAGGAGAAATGAGAAAATTCATAACCAAATGAGATTTCACCAAGAATTCAAAGCTAAACATCCAAAACTCAAATAATGTAATAGGTCATATAAGTAAGCTAAAAAACAAAAATCACATGATTATCTCAATAGACACAGAAAAAGAATTTGAAAAAAAATCCATTACCCTTTCATGATAAAAACATTCAATAAATAGGAGTAGGAGGAAATTTCCTCAACCTAATAAAGAGCATCTATAAATATCCACAGTTAACATCATAGTTAGTGGTGCAAGACTGGATGCTTCCCCTTAAGATAAGCCACAAGACAGGGATGTCCACCCTCAACACTTCTATTTGACCTTATACTGAGGATCTAGCCATGGCATTAAACAAGGAAAAGAAATAAAAGGTATCCAAATTGGAAGAGAAGGAAAATGATCTCTATTTGCAGATGACATGATCTTATATGTAGAAATCTTAAAGTAGCCCAAAAACTATTGGCGCTAGTGAATAAGTTCAGCAAGACTTCAAGATTAATATACAAAAATCAATAGTATGTCTATACATTTGCAATGAGCAATCCAAAAATGAAATTAAGAAAACAATTCTATTCACAGTAGCATCAAAAAGGATATAACACTTAGTAATAAATTTAACAGAAGTACAAAACTTATACTCTGAAATCTATAAAAACATTGTTGAAAGAAACAAAACATCTAAATAAATGGAAAAACATCTCATGTTCATGGACCAAAATATTCAACACTGCTTAAATAGCAATATTCCCCAAACTGATCCATAGATTCAATGCAAGCCCTATCAGAATCCTAGCTAATTTCTCTGTAGAAAGTGACAAGCTGATTCTAAAATTCATATGAAATTGCAAGGGAGTCTGGACAATTAAAATAATGCTGAAAATGAATAATAAACTGAGGAATCACATTTTCCAATTTCAAAACTTACTATAAAGCAACAGTAATCAACAGTGTAGTACTGACAAAAGAACAGATATATAGAGTAGTCGAACAGAATTGAGAGGCCAGAAATACATCCATGTATCTAAGGTCAACTGATTTTCAATAAGGGTGCCAAGACTAGTCAATGAATAAAGAATATCTTTTCAACAAATGGTACGGGGGTAACTGGATAGCCATAGGCAAAGGAATAAAGAATAAACACTTATCTCACACTCAAATCAACTCCAAATACATCAAAGACCTAAATGTAAATCTAATGCATATATTATAAAAGTCTTAGAAGAAAACATAGGAGCAAATCTTTATGACCTTTTTGAATATGAAACCAAAATCTTTTTTTTAATTATTATTATTATACTTTAAGTTTTAGGGTACATGTGCACAATGTGCAGATTAGTTACATATGTATACATGTGCCATGCTGGTGTGCTGCACCCATTAACTCGTCATTTAGCATTAGGTATATCTCCTAATGCTAACCCTCCCCCCCTCCCCCCACCCCACAACAGTCACCAGAGTGTGGTGTTCCCCTTCCCGTGTCCATGGGTTCTCATTATTCAATTCCCATCTATGAGTGAGAACATGCGGTGTTTGGTTTTTTGTCCTTCCGATAGTTTACTGAGAATGATGATTTCCAATTTCATCCATGTCCCTACAAAGGACATGAACTCATCATTTTTTATGGCTGCATAGTATTCCATGGTGTATATGTGTCACATTTACTTAATCCAGTCTATCATTGTTGGACATTTGGGTTGGTTCCAAGTCTTTGCTATTGTGAATAATGCCACAATAAACATACGTGTGCATGTGTCTTTATAACAGCATGATTTATAGTCCTTTGGGTATATACCCAGTAATGAGGTGGCTGGGTCAAATGGTATTTCTAGTTCTAGATCCCTGAGGAATCGCCACACTGACTTCCACAATGGTTGAACTAGTTTACAGTCCCAGCAACAGTGTAAAAGTGTTCCTATTTCTCCACATCCTCTCCAGCACCTGTTGTTTCCTGACTTTTTAATGATTGCCACTCTAAGTGGTGTGAGATGGTATCTCATTGTGGCTTTGATTTGCATTTCTCTGACGGCCAGTCATGACGAGCATTTTTTCATGTGTCTTTTGGTTGCATAAATGTCTTCTTTTGAGAAGTGTCTGTTCATATCCTTTGCCACTTTTTGATGGGGTTGTTTTTTTCTTGTAAATTTGTTTGAGTTCATTGTAGATTCTGGATATTAGCCCTTTGTCAGATGAGTAGGTTGCAAAAATTTTCTCCCATTTTGTAGGTTGCCTGTTCACTCTGATGGTAGTTTCTTTTGCTGTGCAGAAGCTCTTCAGTTTAATTAGATCCCAATTGTCAATTTTGGCTTTTGTTGCCATTGCTTTTGGTGTTTTAGACAGGAAGTCCTTGCCCATGCCTGTGTCCTGAATGGTAATGCCTAGGTTTTCTTCTAGGGTTTTTATGGTTTTAGGTCTAACATGTAAGTCTTTAATCCATCTTGAATTAATTTTTGTATAAGGTGTAAGGAAGGGATCCAGTTTCAGCTTTCTACATATGGCTAGCCAGTTTTCCCAGCACCATTTATTAAATAGGGAATCCTTTCCCCATTGCTTGTTTTTGTCAGGTTTGTCAAAGATCAGATAGTTGTAGATGTGCGGCGTTATTTCTGAGGGCTCTGTTCTGTTCCACTGATCTATATCTGTTTTGGTACCAGTACCATGCTGTTTTGGTTACTGTAGCCTTATAGTATAGTTTGAAGTCAGGTAGCGTGATGCCTCCAGCTTTGTTCTTTTGGCTTAGGATTGACTTGGCGATGCGGGCTCTTTTATGGTTTCATATGAACTTTAAAGTAGTTTTTTCCAATTCTGTGAAGAAAGTCATTGGTAGCTTGATGGGGATGGCATTGAATCTATAAATTACCTTGGGCAGTATGGCCATTTTCACGATATTGATTCTTCCTATCCATAAGCATGGAATGTTCTCCCATTTGTTTGTATCCTCTTTTATTTCATTGAGCAGTGGTCTGTAGCTCTCCTTGAAGAGATCCTTCACATCCCTTGTAAGTTGATTCCTAAGTATTTTATTCTCTTTGTAGCAATTGTGAATGGGAGTTTGCTCATGATTTGGCTCTCTGTTTGTCTGTTATTGGTGTATAAGAATGCTTGTGAGTTTTGTACATTGATTTTGTATCCTGAGACTTTGCCGAAGTTGCTTATCAGCTTAAGGAGATTTTGGGCTGAGACAATGGGGTTTTCTAGATATACAATCATGTCATCTGCAAACGGGACAATTTGACTTCCTCTTTTCCTAGTTGAATACCCTTTATTTCCTTCTCCTGCCTAATTGCCCTGGCCAGAACTTCCAACACTATGTTGAATAGGAGTGGTGAGAGAGGGCATCCCTGTCTTGTGCCAGTTTTCAAAGGGAATGCTTCCAGTTTTTGCCCATTCAGCATGATATTGGCTGTGGGTTTGTCATAGATAGCTCTTATTATTTTGAGATACGTCCCATCAGTACCTAATTTATTGAGAGTTTTTAGCATGAAGCGTTGTTGAATTTTGTCAAAGGCCTTTTCTGCATCTATTGAGATAATCATGTGGTTTTTGTCTTTGGTTCTGTTTATATGCTGGACTACATTTCTTGATTTGCATATATTGAACCAGCCTTGCATCCCAGGGATGAAGCCCACTTGATCATGGTGGATAAGCTTTTTGATGTGCTGCTGGATTCGGTTTGCCAGTATTTTATTGAGGACTTTTGCAACAATGTTCATCAAGGATATTGGTCTAAAATTCTCTTTTTTGGTTGTGTCTCTGCCAGGCTTTGGTATCCGGATGATGCTGGCCTCATAAAATGAGTTAGGGAGGATTCCCTCTTTTTCTATTGAGTGGAATAGTTTCAGAAGGAATGGTACCAGTTCCTCCTTGTACCTCTGGTAGAATTCGGCTGTGAATCCATCTGGTCCTGGACTCTTTTTGGTTGGTAAGCTATTGATTATTGCCACAATTTCAGATCCTGTTATTGGTCTATTCAGAGATTCAACTTCTTCCTGGGTTAGTGTTGGGAGGGTGTATGTGTCGAGGAATTTATCCATTTCTTCTAGATTTTCTAGTTTATTTGTGTAGAGGTGTTTGTAGTATTCTCTGATGGTAGTTTGTATTTCTGTGGGATCGGTGGTGATGTCCCCTTTATCATTTTTTATTGCGTCTATTTGATTCTTCTCTCTTCTTCTTTATTAGTCTTGCTAGCGGTCTATCAATTTTGTTGATCCTTTCAAAAAATCAGCTCCTGGATTCATTAATTTTTTGAAGGGTTTTTTGTGTCTCTATTTCCTTCAGTTCTGGTCTGATTTTGGTTATTTCTTGCCTTCTGCTAGCTTTTGAATGTGTTTGCTCTTGCTTTTCTAGTTCTTTTAATTGTGATGTTAGGGTGTCAATTTTTGATCTTTCCTGCTTTCTCTTGTGGGCATTTAGTGCTATAAATTTCCCTCTACACACTGCTTTAAATGTGTCCCAGAGATTCTGGTATGTTGTGTCTTTGTTCTCGTTGGATGAAACCAAAATCTTGAGCAACACAAGAAAAAAACTGATAAATTGGACTTTGCTATGGTTTGTCCCCACCAAAACTCATGTGGACGCATGGTCCTCATTGTAGCTATGTTGGGAGCTTGTGACTTTAAGAGGTGATTAGGTCATTAAGGGGGATTAATGCCTTTTAGGGGTAAATTCTCACTCTCACAGGACTGAATTATTTATCATGAGAGTGGACTGTAAAGTGAGGCTGCCTCTCGTGTTTGGTCTCTGCACATGCCAACTTCCCCTTCCACTTATCTGCCATGTTATGATGCATCATGAGGCCCTCACCAGAAGCCAACGAGATGTGGCCACTCAATCTTGAACCACCCAGCCTCTAAAATCGTAAGATAAATAAACCTCTTTCCTTTACAAATTACCAAGACTCGGGTATTCAGGTATAACAACAGAAAACAGATTAAAACAGACTTCATCGAAATTTTTAAATGTTGTGTTTTAAAGAAGCCAGTCACAAAAGACCATATCCTATATGATTCCATTCATATGAAAGTCCAGAATAGGGAAATCTATAAACAGAAGGCAGATTGTGGTTGCTTAGGACCAGAATCAGTGAGAGGGAAAATGGGGTGGAGGAGTGAGAGTTGTATTAATCATGTCTCCAAAGACAAAAAAATCAATTGGATGAATACATAGATTTGCTTCAAGGAATTGGCTTACACAAATGTATTAGTCAGGGTTCTCCACAGAAACAGAACCAATAGGATATAAAGAGAGATACATGAGACGGGCTTCATTATGGGAATTGGTTCATGTGATTATGGAAGCTGAGAAGTCCCACAATATTATGTCTGCAAACTGGAAAACCAAGGAAGCTGGTGGCATGGCTCAGTCCAAGTTCAAAGGTGTGAGAACAAGGGAAACTGATGGTATAACTTTTACTTCGAGCCCAAAGACCTCAGAATATGGGGTGACAGAGCAGGTGTGGAGGTTTTGTTAAAACTCTCAGAGTCCAAAGTCCAGAGAACTTGAAGTTCTGGTGTCCAAGGGCAGGAGGAGGTAGATGTCTCAGCTCAAGAAGAAACGGCAAATCACCTTTCCTCTGCCTTTTTGTTCCATCCAGGCCCTCAAATGATCGTATGGTACCTACCCATATTGGGTGAAGGTACATCTTCCTTACTTAGTCCACTGATTCAAATGTCAATCTCTTCAAGAAGTAGCCTCACAACCACACCCAGAAATAATGCTTTACCAGGTATCTGGGTATCCCTTTACCCAGTCAAGTTGACACCTAAAATTATCACAGGCCGGGCACGGTGGCTCACACCTGTAATCCCAGAAATTTGGGAGGCTGAGTCAGGTAGATCACTTGAGGTCAGGAGTTCAAGACAGCCTGGCCAACATGGTGAAACCCCATTTCTACTAAAAATACAAAAATTAGCCAGCCATGGTAGCAGGTGCCTGTAATCCCAGCTACTTGGGAGGCTGAGGCGGGAGAATCCCTTAAACCCCCAGGAGGCGGAGGCTGCAGTGAGCCGAATCGCGCCACTGCACTCCAGCCTGGGCGACAGAGTGAGATTCCATCTCAAAAATAATAATAACTATCACAATTATGGAGGCTGGCAAGCCCAAAATCAGCAGGGTGGGCCAGCAAGCTATACATAGCATGAGCCAATACTGCAGTTCAAGTCGGAAGGCCAGAATTCTCTCTTCCTTGAGGTAGATAAGTCATCTGCTCTATTCACATGTTCAACTGAGTAGATGAGGCCCAACCACACTACGGAGAGCAATATGTTTTGCTCCAAGTCCATTCGTTTAAATATTAATCTCATCCAAAAACATCTACACAGAAATATCCAGTACAACATTTTTGACCACTTACCTGGGCATCATGGCCCAGCCAAATTGACACATAAAATTAACCATCACAGAAAGGATAAAAGTAACAGTTTATTTTTGTAGGTAATGAAAATGTTCTAAAGTTAATTGTGGTGATAGTTAAAGATTAGAAAAGTTTAATGGTTTTAGTCTATTTTAATGACTAGGCTAAAAACCATTGAATTTTATACTTTAAACAGTTGAATTGTATGAATTATATATCAAGAAAGCTGTTTTCTAAAAGGAAGAGCAGACTCCAGTGGCAATCTTCATATCCTTGGAGAATGAAAAAAAAGTTATTTTACCTGCAATTTTTAAAAAAGATGTACATCTACAGATACCAAGAAAAACTAAATCACTCCTCTGGAGTGGTAACCAATCAGTTATTTAACAGATATTTATTAAGACTTATCCCAGAACATTACTGAATACACAGACAGCCCTCCAAAGCACATGCTGATGGATTGATTTATTGCTCCCAAAGTGGAATCAGATGATTTTCCTAGGGAAAAAAATATACTCCATTCACTTCTCTAGGAGCTCAGAAAAAGTAACAGTATTCTGCTGCTAATAGAAACCCCTAGAAATTCTATGCAGAGTTCACAGAGCAACATAGAAATGCAATCCCTAATTTATATGACCTCATATTTCTAGTTAGCAAGACACACTGCCAGACACAAAACAAAACTATAAATAAAACCATTGTTTAACCTTAAAGCAACAATAACTAAAGGGGCTCTATAGTCCAGAAAAAAATAAGAGAAATAATATTTATCAATAAATATTTGATGAAATCCTACCATGCACATAAGTGCATTCATGCATACACACACCACACACACACACGCATTTATACATACTTCCAAATCCCAGAAAATAATTTGCAATTTAAGCCTTATTCCTGATCTAATCACTACTTGTATTTAACAGTCTCAGTAGATTATATTTTCTAAATATCAGGAATAAACACAACATGCAACAGTCTAATGAAAAACTAAGATGTTATATGCAAAAGGATTAAACCTACTTGTCTTATAGTCACAGTGATACCCTAGGGTGGCTGGTCTGTCACCAGCCAGAAACCCTCTGTGGCCAGCCATGCCTCTGCTTGGGGTTTGCTTGCACCTGCTGGGTTCGTTCCACCCAAACGGCCTGGCAAGCTGCGCTCAACTCACACTACTGGCCTGGATCCCATGCCTGCCAAGGGTGAGCCAGGCACAGAGTGGTGAGAGGTGTGTGAGTGAGCAAGCATGGGTCCAGCCACTGTGCACAGCCAGGCATGCCAGGTGAGGCATGGGGGCAGCTCCAGGCACTGGCACAGATGCCGACTCCATGTGAGGCTGTGGCTGGACCAAATGTACCACAAGTAGCTTCTGCTGCAGGCAGCAACATCTAGACAAAGGGAATTTGGTGGCACCTGAAAGCTTGGAGGCACAGGTAACCACAGAACTCCAAAGAGGGTGTTACAGTATGTTCACAGCCCTGGCTTGGGGAGCCCTGAGGTCTAGACTCCCAGAAGGGCCGCAGCTCTTCTCTCCTTCTCGTCACCCACAATGTGGCAGGCATGGAGCATGTTTCAGCCCCGTTTGTATTACAGCTCTTTCAGTCCCACCATTCAGCAGGCCCCAAGTTCTTGTCCCACATCCAGGAAGAGTGAGGTACACAAACAACTGGAGGGTGAGCAATGCAGAGAAGATCTTCACTGAGTGACAGAACAACTCTCAGGAGACCTGAAGTGGGTCACTCCTTTGGGTAGCTACTTTCTGTAGGCAGGTCATCCCGATGAATGTCCAGCTCTCAGCAGAGAGGAGACCCATGGTGGGTAGCTCCTTTCCACAGGCAGGTTGTCCAGGTAAGTGTCCAGCTCTCAGCACAGAGGAGACCTATGGTGGGTAGCTCCTTTATGCAGGCAGGTCATCCTGAAGAGTTGAGGAGACCTGAAGTAGGTAGCTCCTCCCCAGAGCTTGTAGTCCCAATGTCTGAGTCTGGCTGAGTCTGGGGTTTTTGTGGGCTCAGAAGGGAGGAAGTGCATGCTGATTGGTCCATGGGCAGCCATGGGCAAGCCTGGAAAAAGCACCATAAATTCTCATCTGGGCAGTGGATTCTACCCAGAACTGACAGCCTGGCCTCCAGGCTTCAGGCTGTCCCTGGCTAGAAGGTGGGGCTTCACTGGGAACCTGCCCTTTTCCACCAGGAACCTGTCTGCCTCCTGCTACCATCAACATGCCATCCACAGCGCCCAGGCTCCTCATGCCAAGGGGCACCTGCAGACCTGCACAGAGCCACCCTCAGCCCCCACCAGCCTCCCTCCCACGCTTGTCAGTACCCAAAGTCTAGAGGGAGCCAAGGTTGCAGGGGGCTGGCATGTTTGTGCCTCTCTGAATGCACACACACCCAGCCAGGTCACAATAGCACCCAGGCTTGGCTACAACTTTGCTCCACACCAGAGAAGGCGCCAGGAGCGGGGAGAGACTAGAAAGCAGGAGCAGACACTTCCAAGCCTGTGGGGGGAAGGGGGCTTCCTGGGCCCCTGCGAGTGCAGGGATGCCCAGGTCTAGAGCTGCAGCTGGGCAGCTACATCTGCGCCCAGGAGCACAGGTCTCCCACTGACTCAGTAGGGGGCAGGGCTCCCACCTGCTCCTGCTGGCTCTGCAGAACAGGGCAGCCCCAGCCACACCTCCCCCGCTGCAACCCACTTCTTCACAGTGGCCATTCCAGATGGGCCGCCCCTGTCATTAATATAATTCTAAATTTTTTTATATGATTGTTGCTATCTCGTACATGTGGAAGTAATTTTACAAAGATATAATAACAACATCAAAATCAAGTTCAAAAAATACTATCTTGGTGAAAGAATATCAAAAACAGAAAATTTCAGGGATAGTCACAGTCTACAAAACACCATCACATATAGTATCTCACTGATTTTTCACAATAGTCCATGAAGACATTATTATTATTAAATATGTAATTCTTATTTTACATATGCAGAAACTGGGTCTTAAATGACTCATAAATGTCATCCAAAAAATAATGTCAAGTCTAGGAATCAAACTCCAGTCTTTGGACTTTAAATAAAAATTTCTACATTGCAATTAAAAGTAATTGTTGCCTCAAGCCAAGAATTAAGGCTACTCAGAAAGGTATCTAAGACTCTACCTATCTATCTTAATCTGTTTTCTGTTGATTATAACAGAATACCTCAAACTGGATAATTTATAAAGAAACAAATGTGTTTCTTACAGTTCAGGAGGCTGGGAAGTCCAAGGTCAAGGGACCACATCTGGTGAGACCCTTCTTGCTGGTGGGAACTCTCTGCAGCATCTCAAGGCCACACAGGGCATCCCATAGCAACGGGGCTGACTATGCTAGCTCAGGTCTCTCTTCTACTTCTTAAAAAGCCACCAGTACCACTCCCATTATAACCCATTAATGTATTAACCTATTAATCCACTAATCTATGAATGGATAAATTCATTTATGAGGCAATGCATTCATGACCCAATCCCCTGTGGAAAGCAGTTTGGAGATTTCTCAAAGAACTAAAAGCAGAATTACCATTCAACCCAGCAATACCATTACTGGGTATATATCCAAAGGAAAATAAACCATTCTACCAAAAAGTCACCCGCACTCATGTCTATCTCAGCACTATTCACAATAACAAAGACATGGCATCAACCCAGGTGTTTATCAATGGTGGACTGAATAAAGAAAATGTGGTAAATATACACCACAGAATACTACACAGCCATAAATAAGAACAAAATCATGTCCTCTGCAGAACCATGGATAGCTGGAGGCCATTATCGTAAGTGAATTAACACAGAAACAGAAAACCACATGTTCTCACTTATAAGTGGGAGCTAAACAATGGGTATACATGGACACAGAGATGGGAACAATAAACACTGGGGATTCCAAAAGGGAGAAGACAGGGAGGAGGGCAAGGGTTGAAAATTTACCCATCGTGTACTATGTTTACTACTTGGACAATGGGATCAATAGACGCTAAAACCTCAGCATCACATAATATACCAATGTAACAAATCTGCACATATACTCCTGAATCTGAAAAAAAAAAGGCCCCACCTCTCAATACTGCCATATTGGGGATTAAGTTTAAGCATGAGTTTTGGGGAAGACAGACATTCAAACCATAGCACTATCAAGACAGAATTTTTAAAGTGCAGCAACAGCAGCAAAGAAATTTTCAAGTTCTGTACCAGTCTAGGCAAAAAGAAAATATAACAGTCCTGCAAACTACATCTTTTCATTTTCCTCTAGTCCTTTCCTACCATCAAAGCAATATATCTAAAAGAAAGAAACTGCAAATTCCCTATACTCTGTGATCTTTATATTCCATGAATATAATTATAATATATAATTATATTTTATATGTTTTATACATTATATATTTCTATATATCATATATACAATATATTTTACTTTATTTGTTTTGTATATAATTATATTTTATATTATATATAATTATATTCTTTATATTCTATATTCTTTATTCTGTTTCAATAAGCACTTCAGGTGATTCTGATGCACACTAAAGAATGAGAACCACTAGTCTATGAGAAGCATAGTATTCATATTTGAAGATATGAATGTATAATCATATTCTTTATGGAATATAATTATATACTATATGCTGTTTATTTTACTGTATATAACATATAATTATATATTTATTATATGCTGTTTAACATTTTAAAAAAGTACTTAAGTCCCACTTTCACAAAATAAAAGGCACAAATCTTAAAATGAAGGATACCATTTAACTACATAATCATCTCTGTAACAAACTAGATCTAATATCAAAATATAGCCTCTTTGGGAAACGACAAATGGTTCATGTTAACCCCAAAGACATGTATATGTGCAAATGCTCAGCTAGAAAAGTCCAACTTTGAATTTATTGTAATCATTAAGTGGGGCATCAGCCAGAGTTAGAGATGCATTATATATCTCTGACCCCCACAATCACAAGGACAAGATTTACAATTGGAAATGAGCATCAAGATATTGTGCAAGAAATTAATGTTTGGCTTTGGTGTTCTCCTGGCTTGTAGCAATACATAGTTGATCCCATAAACCAGGGAACAAATTAGGCAGCACGTCCAATTTCTCTGTGGTTCCATTGCCCTCTAGTGGCTGTTTTGAAACTAATTATTAACTGATAGCCTTCAAAAGTCAACGGGGATTCTCAAAGAAGGGAGGGGAGAACAGCAGCATCAGCAACATCCGGGAACTTTTTTAAACACGCAAATTTCAAGCCCTACCTAATGCCTACTAAAAAGAAACTCAGGATAGGGGCCAGCAATGTGTTTCAATAAGCACTCCAGGAGATTCTGATGCACACTAAAGGTTGAGAACCACTAGTCTATGAGGAGAGTATTCATATTTGAAGATGTGAATGTATATAGGTGCATATGAGTGTTCTTTTATGAAAGTATTGCTCATAATTATTTTTCTTTTTTAAATTTCAAAAGGCCTTTTATATACACATAATAATCTAGAAAAAGCCCAAAATTTAGTTGCGGAAATTTAAAAGTCTTATAAAGCCATGACTGAACCATATAGAACATGAGGATAAAATTAATTAAGTTCATTCTATATTAAAAGTTCATTTTAAAAGCTTACTATTTAGCCAAAACATCTGACCAGGATCTTCCCATTTATTTCTTGGCTATAAAACCAATAAGAAAATGTTTGTTGGATGGAATGAATACTTAATCTATGTTTGTGTGGGACACTTAGCATTCAAGCTCCTTAGTAGATGTATAATATATTATTTCCTACCCTTTTTCCCATTACATATATTGTTAATTGGATTATTCAAGCTAACAGTGACACAAGTCCAGCTCTACCTTGAGCTAAAGCTGAAAAACATTTAGGCTAGACTTTTTAAAAAACTATATCATAGGCAAATAAATCATTCAGGCTGGCATGGTAACTCATGCCTGTAATCCCAGCACTTTGGGAGGCCGAGGCAGGTAGATCACTTGAGGCCAAGAGTTTAAGACCAGCCTGGCCAACATGGCAAAACCCAATCTCTACCAAAAATACAAAAATTAGCCAGGCGTGGTGGTGCACACCTGTAGTCCCAGCTACCTGAGTGGCTGAGGCACAAGAATCACGCGAACCCAGGAGGTGGAGGTTGTGGTGAGCCACGATCGCACCACTGCACTCCAGCCTGGGTGACAGAGCAAGACTCTATCACAAAAATAATAATTTTTAAATAATGCATAACTTAGCATAGCTGTAGGTAACCTATTCATCAGATAAAGATAGCATGGTTTCACAAAAAATGAACTGGATTTGAGGTGAAAAAGCCTGAGATTGGATCTGTGTGGACTTTGGCAAATTACTTAAACTCTATGAGCCTTGGTTCTCCCAGTTAAAGGGTAGTGATGATAATAATATCTATATTGCAGTTTTTATCAGGGTCATAAGTAGGGATGAGAGAGAACTAAATGTTAAAAAGCTTTACACATCTTGTCTAAGTAAATATTACAGAAAGATTTTTTTTTTTTGAGGCGAAGTCTCGCTCTGTCACCCAGGCTGCAGTGCAATGGCATGATCTCGGCTCACTGCAGCTTCTGCCTCCCCAGTTCGAGTGATTCTCCTTCCTCAGCCTCCCAAGTAGCTGGGATTAGAGGCGCCTGCTACCACACCTAGCTAATTTTTGTATTTTTAGTAGAGATGGGGTTTCATCATGTTGACCAGAGTGGTCTTGAACTCCTGACGTCAGGTAATGCACCCGCCTCAGCCTCCCAAAGTGCTGGCAGAAAGACTGGCAAACATTACAGAAAGATTACTGAAAATGTTATAGATTAATAAGAAGGTGGGTATATCTCTTACTGCACAAATCGTCTCACAAATAACCACTATGAACTCTGGACAAAACACTGGTAATTACCTCAAAGCACTTCACAGCAAAAAAAAGCAAGCAGACACTGGAGAGAGGTCGACATCTGGAAGAAGGAATGGCACTGAGTGAGAGCAGACCCCACTCAGCATACCAACTACACAAAATCCAAATTTAAAAACCTACAGTTTTAGTGGTTTTAAGGCCCAGAGAACAGAGTATGTGGTGATCACAACTGCTGAAAAATGAGGTGGAAAATCTAGGAGAAAAATAGAACCAACAGAAAGGAAGTCTCACTTCATATATTAATTCTGCCCAATTTTAGGCTGACCGTGAACTATGCATATAAGGGGAAGACTCGATGCAGCTCACTGAAGGTTAAATAAAGATTGTTTAGAGTTCAGAGTTTAAAGTTCAAGTTACTGCCTGCTGAAAAGAAAAAAAAATGTTTCTCTGAAGAACAAAAATAATCAAGAGGATCTAAAATGTATCATTCATACCATCCAGGAAACAATTCAAAATTAGTAGCCATATGAGCAAACGTGAAAATGTAACCCATACTCAAGAGAAAAGGCAATGAATGGAGACCAATCCCAAAATGACCCAGGTATTGGAATTAGTGGACAGATTTTAAAGCAGCTATTTTAAATATGATCAAGGATATAAAGAAAAATATGCTTATGATATATAAAAATACATAAAATTTTAGCAAAGAAATAGAAACCATAAAAAGAACCCAAGGAAATTTCAAGAACATAAAAATGCAGTATCTGAAAAATGTTAAAAATTCATTATATGAACTTAACAGTAGATTGAAGATACGGGAAATGTCAACCTGAAGAAAACTCCAATCTAAAGAACAGAGAAACAAATTGGAAAAAAATGAACAGAGCCTCAGGAATAGGTGGGAGAATATCAATAGGTCTAACACATTTGGAAGTGGACTCCAAGAAGATAAAGAAGAAGAAAAACCATGAGAATAATAATGGCCAGAAACTTCCTAAATATAATAGAAGACAAAAATTTACAGGTTCAAGAAACTTGGAGAATCCTATGCAGGAGAAATACAAAGAAAAAACTAGAAAAAAAATACTATACACATGAACACAGTAGTCATACAACTGCAAACCAACAGCTAAAGGTAAAAATCTCAAGAATAGCTAGAGAAAAACAACAAATTACACACAGGGGAATAATGATGTAAATGATCACTAACTTTTTATCAGAAACAATGGAGACCAGACAATAGTGGAGTGATGTCTTTAAAACACTTAAAGGAAGGAAAAAACCTGTCAACTCAGAACTCTATATCCAACAAAAATATCCTACAAGAATGAAAGATAAATAAAGATATGTTCAGATTTAAAAAAAATTAAAAAAGAAATCATCACTAACAAACCTAACCTATACAAAAAAACTATAACAAATTATCTAGGCTGAAGAGAAATAATAACACATAGACATTTAAATCTTCAGAAAAAAACGAAGAACACTTTCACTTTATGATTCAAAGTCTTTAGGCCCTTTATTACTCAAAGATTCCGAATCAAGTGCTGCCAAGCAGCTTAACTTCTTTTCTCACCTTCACCCCACAAACATACAAGCAAACATATACACCAAACATGCAGAAACAGGGAGCTATGTAATTATACAAGAATCATGTGCCCAAGGTAAACCGAAGATTTCCTACCTCCTAAAAGAGTAAATGGTTCACACTGCTTAACTTTCTCAAAGAGTAGCATAAGGGACATATTACTGAGTTTTTGCCCAGTTTTAATCTGGTTATTTAGGCTTTTTTGTTGTTATTCAGTTACAGAAGTTATTTATATACTCTGGATGTTAACCCTTAATTAAATATAGAGAGTTCTCCAAAGAAGATATATGAATGGCCAATAAGCACATAAAAAGATGATTAACATCACTAATCATTAAAGAAATCCAAATAAAAACTACAAAGAAATATCATCTCATATTCATTAGGGTGACCATTATCAAAAGAAAAAAAAAAAACAGAATACAACACGTGTTGGTGAGGATATAGAGAAACTGGGGCATTTATGCAATGTTGGTGGGATTGTAAAATAGTGCAGCCATTATGGAAACAGTATAAAGGTTCCTCAAAATAACCACCATATGATCAAGAAATCCTACTTCTGAATAGGATTTAAAACAGAATTACCACGTGATCAAGTAATCCCACTTCTGAGTACATATCCAAAAGAACTGAAAGCAGAATCTCAAAGAAGTATTTGTAAACCCATGTTCACTGTTGCACTATTCACAATAGCCAAGAGGTGGAAGCAACCCAAATATCCATTCATCAATCCATTCATCAATGAATGAATGGATAAACAAAATGTGGCATACATATAAAATGGAATACTATTCAGTCTTAAAAAAAGAAGTAAATCTTGTCACATGCTAAAATATGAAGCTTAAAGACATTATGCTCAACGAACTAAGCCAGTAACAAAAGACAAATACAATATGAATACACTTACATGTGTCTCAGTCTGTTTTCCGCTGAATACCAGGGACTGGGTAATTTATAAAGAAAAGTTTACTTCACTAATGGTTTCAGAGCCTGGGAAGGCCAAGAGCATAGCACTAGCATCTGATGAGGGCCTCTTTGCTCTATCATAACATGGCAGAGGGCATCAAATAGTGACAGCAAGAGTGTGCTAGCTCAGGTCTCTCTTCCTCTTCTCATAAAACCACCAGTCCCATCATGGAGAACCCACCCTGATAACCTTATCTAAACTAATCTTAAATACTGCCCAAAGTCCCCACCACCTACACCCACCATTGCCCAGGCTTGCTTAGGTAAACAAAGCAGCCCAGATGCTCGAACTGGGTGGAACCCACCACAGCTCAAGGAGGCCTGCCTGCCTCTGTAGGCTCCACCTCTGGGGGCAGGGCACAGACAAACAAAAAGACAGCAGTAACCTCTGCAGACTTCAATGTCCCTGTCTGACAGCTTTTGAAGAGAGCAGTGGTTCTCCCAGCCCGCAGCTGGAGATCTCAGAACGGGCAGACTGCCTCCTCAAGTGGGTCCCTGACCCCTGACCCCGAGCAGCCTAACTGGGAGGCAACCCCCAGGAGGGGCAGACTGACACCTCACACGGCCAGGTACTCCTCTGAGACAAAACTTTCAGAGGAACGATCAGACAGCAGCATTCGTGGTTCACGAAAATCCACTGTTCTGCAGCCACCGCTGCTAGAACACAGGCAAACAGGGTCTGGAGTGGACCTCTAGCAAACTCCAACAGACCTGCAGCTGAGGGTCCTGTCTGTCAGAAGGAAAACTAACAAACAGAAAGGACATCCACACCAAAAACCCATCTGTACATCACCATCATCAAAGACCAAAAGTAGATAAAACCACAAAGATGGGGAAAAAAACAGAGCAGAAAAACTGGAAACTCTAAAAAGCAGAGCACCTCTCCTCCAAAGGAACGCAGTTCCTCACCAGCAACAGAACAAAGCTGGACAGAGAATGACTTTGACGAGTTGAGAGAAGAAGGCTTCAGATGATCAAACTACTCCGAGCTACAGGAGGAAATTCAAACCAAAGGCAAAGAAGTTAAAAACTTTGAAAAAAATTTAGACAAATGTATAACTAGAATAACCAATACAGAGAAGTGCTTAAAGGAGCTGATGGAGCTGAAAACCAAGGCTCGAGAACTACGTGAAGAATGCAGAAGACTCAGGAGCCAATGCGATCAACTGGAAGAAAGGGTATCAGTGATGGAAGATGAAATGAATGAAATGAAGCGAGAAGGGAAGTTTAGAGAAAAAAGAATAAAAAGAAACGAACAAAGCCTCCAAGAAATATGGGACTATGTGAAAAGACCAAATCTACATCTGATTGCTGTACCTGAAAGTGACGGGCAGAATGGAACCAAGTTGGAAAACACTCTGCAGGATATTATCCAGGAGAACTTCCCCAGTCTACCAAGGCAGGCCAACATTCACATACAGGAAATACAGAGAACGCCACAAAGATACTCCTCAAGAAGAGCAACTCCAAGACACATAATTGTCAGATTCACCAAAGTTGAAATGAAGGAAAAAATGTTAAGGGCAGCCAGAGAGAAAGGTTGGGTTACCCACAAAGGGAAGCCCATCAGACCAACGGCGGATCTCTCGGCAGAAACTCTACAAGCCAGAAGAGAGTGGGGGCCAATATTCAACATTCTGAAAGAAAAGAATTTTCAACCCAGAATTTCATATCCAGACAAACTAAGCTTAATAAGTGAAGGAGAAATAAAATACTTTACAGACAAGCAAATGCTGAGAGATTTTGTCACCACCAAGCTTGCCCTAAAAGAGCTCCTGAAGGAAGCACTAAACATGGAAAGGAACAACCGGTACCAGCCACTGCAAAATCATGCCAAATTGTAAAGACCATCGAGGCTAGGAAGAAACTGCATCAACTAATGAGCAAAATAACCAGCTAACATCATAATGACAGGATCAAATTCGCACATAACAATATTAACTTTAAATGTAAATGGACTAAATGCTCCAGTTAAAAGACACAGACTGGCAAATTGGATAAAGAGTCAAGACCCATCAGTGTGCTGTATTCAGGAAACCCATCTCATGTGCAGAGACACACATAGGCTCAAAATAAAAGGATGGAGGAAGATGTACCAAGCAAATGGAAAACAAAAAAGGCAGGGATTGCAATCATAGTCTCTGATAAAAGAGACTTTAAACCAACAAACATCAAAAGAGACAAAGAAGGCCATTACTTAATGGTAAAGGGATCAATTCAACAAGAAGAGCTCACTATCCTAAATATATATACACCCAATACAGGAGCACCCAGATTCATAAAGCAAGTCCTGAGTGACCTACAAACAGACTTAGATTCCCACACAATAATAATGGGAGACTAACACCTCATTGTCAACATTAGACAGATCAACAAGACAGAAAGTTAACAAGGATACCCAGGAATTGAACTCAGCTCTGCACCAAGCGGACCTAATAGACATCTACAGAACTCTCCACCCCAAATCAACAGAATATACATTTCTTTCAGTACCACACCACACCTATTCCAAAATTGACCACATACTTGGAAGTAAAGCTCTCCTCAGCAAATGTAAAACACCAGAAATTATAACAAACTGTCTCTCAGACCACAGTGCAATCAAACTAGAACTCAGGATTAAGAAACTCACTCAAAACCACTCAACTACACGGAAACTGAACAACCTGCTCCTGAATGACTACTGGGTACATAACGAAATGAAGGCAGAAATAAAGATGTTCTTTGAAACCAACGAGAACAAAGACACAACATACCAGAATCTCTGGGACACATTCAAGGCAGTGTATAGAGGGAAATTTATAGCACTAAATGCCCACAAGAGAAAGCAGGAAAGATCAAAAATTGACACCCTAACATCACAATTAAAAGAACTAGAAAAGCAAGGGCAAACACATTCAAAAGGTAGCAGAAGGCAAGAAATAACTAAAATCAGACCAGAACTGAAGGAAATAGAGACACAAAAAACCCTTCAAAAAATTAATGAATCCAGGAGCTGATTTTTTGAAAGGATCAACAAAATTGATAGACCGCTAGCAAGACTAATAAAGAAGAAAAGAGAAAAGAATCAAATAGACACAATAAAAAATGATAAAGGGGACATCACCACCGATCCCACAGAAATACAAACTACCATCAGAGAATACTATAAACACCTCTACACAAATAAACTAGAAAATCTAGAAGAAATGGATAAATTCCTTGACACATACACCCTCCCAACACTAACCCAGGAAGAAGTTGAATCTCTGAATAGACCAATAACAGGATCTGAAATTGTGGCAATAATCAATAGCTTACCAACCAAAAAGAGTCCAGGACCAGATGGATTCACAGCCGAATTCTACCAGAGGTACAAGGAGGAACTGGTACCATTCCTTCTGAAACTATTCCACTCAATAGAAAAAGAGGGAATCCTCCCTAACTCATTTTATGAGGCCAGCATCATCCGGATACCAAAGCCTGGCAGAGACACAACCAAAAAAGAGAATTTTAGACCAATATCCTTGATGAACATTGATGCAAAAATCCTCAATAAAATACTGGCAAACCGAATCCAGCAGCACATCAAAAAGCTTATCCACCATGATCAAGTGGGCTTCATCCCTGGGATGCAAGGCTGGTTCAATATATGCAAATCAAGAAATGTAATCCAGCATATAAACAGAACCAAAGACAAAAACCACATGATTATCTCAATAGATGCAGAAAAGGCCTTTGACAAAATTCAACAACGCTTCATGCTAAAAACTCTCAATAAATTAGGTATTGATGGGATGTATCTCAAAATAATAAGAGCTATCTATGACAAACCCACAGCCAATATCATACTGAATGGGCAAAAACTGGAAGCATTCCCTTTGAAAACTGGCACAAGACAGGGATGCCCTCTCTCACCACTCCTATTCAACATAGTGTTGGAAGTTCTGGCCAGGGCAATTAGGCAGGAGAAGGAAATAAAGGGTATTCAATCAGGAAAAGAGGAAGTCAAATTGTCCCTGTTTGCAGATGACATGATTGTATATCTAGAAAACCCCATTGTCTCAGCCCAAAATCTCCTTAAGCTGATAAGCAACTTCGGCAAAGTCTCAGGATACAAAATCAATGTACAAAAATCACAAGCATTCTTATACACCAATAACAGACAAACAGAGAGCCAAATCATGAGTGAACTCCCATTCACAATTGCTTCAAAGAGAATAAAATACTTAGGAATCCAACTTACAAGGGATGTGAAGGACCTCTTCAAGGAGAACTACAAACCACTGCTCAGTGAAATAAAAGAGGATACAAACAAATGGAAGAACATTCCATGCTCATGGATAGGAAGAATCAATATCATGAAAATGGCCATACTGCCGAAGGTAATTTATAGATTCAATGTCATCCCCATAAAGCTACCAATGACTTTCTTCACAGAATTGGAAAAAACTACTTTAAAGTTCATATGGAACCAAAAAAGAGCCCGCATCGCCGAGTCAATCCTAAGCCAAAAGAACAAAGCTGGAGGCATCACGCTACCTGACTTCAAACTATACTACAAGGCTACAGTAACCAAAACAGCATGGTACTGGTACCAAAACAGAGATATAGATCAATGGAACAGAACAGAGCCCTCAGAAATAACGCCGCATATCTACAACTATCTGATCTTTGACAAACCTGACAAAAACAAGCAATGGGGAAAGGATTCCCTATTTAATAAATGGTGCTGGGAAAACTGGCTAGCCATATGTAGAAAGCTGAAACTGGATCCCTTCCTTACACCTTATACAAAAGTTAATTCAAGATGGATTAAAGACTTAAATGTTAGACCTAAAACCATAAAATCCCTAGAAGAAAACCTAGGCATTACCATTCAGGACATAGGCATGGGCACAGAATTCATGTCTAAAACACCAAAAGCAATGGCAACAAAAGCCAAAATTGACAAATGGGATCTAATTAAAATAAAGAGCTTCTGCACAGCAAAAGAAATTACCATCAGAGTGAACAGGCAACCTACAAAATGGGAGAAAATGTTCGCAACCTACTCATCTGACAAAGGGCTAATATCCAGAATCTACAATGAACTCAAACAAATTTACAAGAAAAAACAAACAACCCCATCAAAAAGTGGGCGAAGGACATGAACAGACACTTCTCAAAAGAAGACATTTATTTATGCAACCAAAAAACACATGAAAAAATGCTCACCATCACTGGCCATCAGAGAAATGCAAATCAAAACCACAATGAGATACCATCTCACACCAGTTAGAATGGCAATCATTAAAAAGTCAGGAAACAACAGGTGCTGGAGAGGATGTGGAGAAATAGGAACACTTTTACACTGTTGCTGGGACTGTAAACTCGTTCAACTATTGTGGAAGTCAGTGTGGTGATTCCTCAGGGATCTAGAACTAGAAATACCATTTGACCCAGCCATCCCATTACTGGGTATATACCCAAAGGATTATAAATCATGCTGCTATAAAGACACATGCACACGTATGTTTATTGCAGCACTATTCACAATAGCAAAGACTTGGAACCAACCCAAATGTCCAACAACAATAGACTGGATTAAGAAAATGTGGCACATATACACCATGGAATACTATGCAGCCATAAAAAATGATGAGTTCATGTCCTTTGTAGGGACATGGATGAAGCTGGAAATCATCATTCTCAGTAAACTATCGCAAGAACAAAAAACCAAACACTGCATATTCTCACTCATAGGTGGGAACTGAACAATGAGAACACATGGACACAGGAAGGGGATCATCACACTCTGGGGACTGTTGTGGGGTGGGGGGAGGGGGGAGGGATAGCTTTAGGAGATATACCTAATGATAAATGACGAGTTAATGGGTGCAGCACACCAGCATGGCACATGTATACATATGTAACTAACCTGCACATTGTGCACATGTACCCTAAACCTTAAAGTATAATAATAATAATAATAATATAAAATTAAAAAATTAAAAATAAATAAATAAACAAAGTCCCCACCACTTCCAAATGCCATCAACATACAAATTTGGAGATTAAGTTTCACACACATGAAATCTGGGGGGCACATTCAAACCATGGCAACAAGGTATCTAAAGTATTCAAACTCATAGAAACAAAAAATTATAATTTCAGTTGAGAGAGACTTGGGGAAGGAGGAAATGGGGATTTGTTCAATAAATAGAGAATCTTAGTTTTACAAGGTGAAAAAGTCCTTGAGATCTGTTGCACAAGGTGAATACAGTTAACACTGATGAACTGTACACTCAAAGTGATTAAGATGGTAAATTTTATATGTTTTTACCATAATTTTTTAAAAATAAAAATAATTTTAAAATATGATTTAGATACAACTATTCTAGCACAAATAGGATTAATATAATTATATGTTAAGAGTGCATTAATTCAGAAAAGCTAGGAAATAAGTAAATAATGAAATGTCAGACCTCTCAGATGCACACCAATTCTCTTTTGCACTTACTGAATTGGAGATTTCATGGATGAAAGCACAGCAGATGCTAAAAATTTGTTTTCTGCTTTCCCTTCTTTCCCTTTTCCTCTACTCAACCTGTCCCCAACTGCAAATATATGCACTGAAGACAATAAAGGAAAAAATAATACAGTGTTCTGCTTTTCTCTTCCCTTTGCAGTCCTCCATAACAGGTACAGTAGTATTAGTTCAGGAACAAGGAAAATGGGAGGGAAGCTCAATTCCAGCCTTCTCATTATGAAAACCAGACCATTTCTTATA
Source organism: Homo sapiens (assembly GCF_000001405.40). NCBI lineage: Eukaryota > Metazoa > Chordata > Mammalia > Primates > Hominidae > Homo > Homo sapiens. The sequence continues at coordinate 70,734,664 of NC_000008.11, read as the reverse complement.
TTTCAGGCTCAAGATGGCAGCTCTACCAGGCAGTAGAAAGATATCTGAGTACTCAAGATCTTCAAAACCAAATGAGAAATTAATTTTAAAAATAAAATACTACTATGTATCTCCTATTTCACTGAACTAATTTCAAATTAAAGGTGGCAAAAATAAGAGACAACACACCCACATAACACACATTTTCTTTACTAACCAATGAAACAAAATATAAGAAAATATATATCATAAATGAATAGCTTATTCCATTAGGAAATATCTCATTCTACATTCTCTTAGAACTGGTTTTCCATCAATTTCATCACATTTTGTTTCTGCACTTCTGTTTGGGTGAAAACTCCCATAATAAACAATAAGAAAAAGAATTCCAAGAAGAAGAGTAAGAACTATAGTTATACTGATAGGTATAAAATAGTCTGGATTAAAAATAGTGAGGGGGCAAACCCAGAATACAGTCAATATCCCCAAAGTGCCCAGTACCCTAACAATATAATAACAAGACATTGGACACTTGGTATTCTGTCCCTTAATATTAAAAAATGTAAAGATAAGAATGAATCCAACAACAATCCTATATAAGAATTCCATACTTATACAAGTACAAAACTGGGTGTTGTTTTTAAATGCCCATATTATACCTAACAACCAAAGAAATAACAACAGAAATAAAGCAATCTTAACATTTAAGAATAGTAGAAGTACAACACTCAGCATCCACGATAATAATGTAAACAACTTGTAAAAGAGATATGTGATTTTGGGACATAATCCATTAAGAAGCTTTTTGTCAGGCAAGGATTTTCTTAAAGCTACTTGATAATCAACAGTTGACCAAGAAATAGCACAGCAAGAGACCATGATGGCCGCATCTACAAAACAAAAAAATAAAAAATATATTGTTATAGGAATAATAGAAATATTAGATTACTATATCCCATACATGCTATATCTATATACACACACCCACAAACACGTCACATACTTTACTCTTCTCATCTAATCTTTTGAAGTAGATATTATTATGTATGGGGGAACTGAGACTTGGAGAGATACACTGCTTGACCCAAGTTGCAAAGCTAGTAAGTTGCAGAACTGAGATTTGAACCTGATTCCAAAGTGGATAGATTTATCCACTATATTAGACTGTTTTATTATGATTTTTTAAAAATTCATGGGACAAATTTTATTGAGCAACTGATATACTGAAAAAAGCATACTCTGTGAGTTAAGAGACTACAGTTATAATCCTAGTTTTTCTAGATGTTTTGACTGTGATTTTAGGCATACACCCAATTCACTAAGAGATAATAGCTTCAAGCAGGGGTAAGGGAAGGAGAGGAGGAGGGGTAGAGAGAGAGAAAGAGGGTTAAACAGAAAATTTAATATGAGATATTAAACAAGCCCAACTTCCCATATCCTGAAGATATTGAAACAAGTGAATGAGTATGTTCTAAAACTTACAACTTTCTGTAGGATTGATATCTATACCCCATTTTTTCTCAGCAAATAACAGAAAAGTAAGTTAATTACCACTCTCTTTATTTCTTTCCTTCTTTTTGAGATGGAGTCTCACTCTGTCACTATGGCTGGAGTGCAGTGGTGCAATGTTGACCTCCACCTCCCGGGTTCAACCAATTCACCTGCCTCAGCCTCCTGAGTAGCTGGGCTACAGGCCCATGCCACCACACCAAGCTAACTTCTGTATTTTTAGTACAGATGGAGTTTCACCATGTTGGCGAGGCTGGTCTCAAACTCCTGACCTCAATTGATCCACCCAGCTCAGCCTCCCAAAGGGCTAGGATTACAGGCGTGAGCCACTGCACCTGGCCTACCACTTTCTATATAATATGATTGAAAGGCAGATTTACAAAAATTTATCTATTGATGAAGATAATGAGGACAAGACCTTTATAAATACATTTGCATGCTCTCTTGGTTTTAGCATACACCACTGTACCTCATTAGTCAAACTCTACTGGAGACTGATTTCAGTAATAAAAAAAACTCCAGTCTCCTGCACAGAAGGCTCTGCATAAATTACTCTTTCTCTATTGTAATTCCCATCATGATAAATTGATTCTGTCCATGCAGCAGCAAGGTGAACCCACTGGGTGGTTACAAATATGGGGGCTCGTCCAGGAATGGCCTTGTGACTACCAGCCCATGGTTCAGTAGCCCCACTCTGGCAATGGATCCAGAGGCCAGCCCAAGTGGCTGCCTAGTTCTCTTGGACTGGGGGTTGACTCTGCTACTCTTGGCAGGGTGCTGCCCACCCAATGTGCATGGATTTAATTGTAATACGGAAATAGTCCTGGTGAGACATCCCGTAACTGTAGCCCCCTCACAGGGTATCTGTAGCTCCATGGCAGAGTGTCTGTAGCTGTAACTCTATTACAAGGTGTCTGGTTTGGTGAGTATCCTAGGCGTTGCCAATGCCTCCTTCTTTCTCCCAAATGGTTCGGTAGCCCCATGATGGGGTGTCTGTCCACAGCCCCATTGTGGGGTATCTGTTTGTAGCTCCACCATGGGGTGTCTATCTCAGTTCAGCTCCTTCGGGGGTCTTGGTTTGTCTATAGCCCCACTGTGGGGTGTCTGTCTCAGTTCAGCTCCTGGGAGTCGTGGTTGGCTCTCCCTAACTAGTAGGAAGTCTTGGTTCAGGAGACTTCTCCTTAATCAGGAAAATTTCAGGGAGAATTTCTCAGACTAAGAATAGGAGGATAGTTTAGAAGAGATACTCTTGGAGTTCTTGATTAGGAATCTGATTTGGAAGGCCTTCTGTCCATCTTGTCTTAGTGTATGTTTGTATATGTGGAGGGGATCTCAGAAGGAATTGTCGATGGAAGTCCCACAGTCCTAACTCAGAGAACTTTCCTTGTCTGATTACATTCCATGAGCCTGAAAGAATGCTCAACAGACCTGTCTCAGGGTGACTATCCACTCTTCACCTTGCCCAGAGATCACCCATTGTGAATTACCATTCAGAGGTCATCCTTCCCCACCTGGAGGAGATCAAAGACAACAGGGGACCAAGAGGAGAAAATTTGAGCTTTGCCAGGTTGATATTGGGTGCTGAATGAGGTGACTGGTGTCTTGTTTTGTTACGTGTATTTTGCTAGACGGAAAATGTTAATTCAGTTCCCCATGCAGCCCATTAGGCAACATCTTGAAAAATTGAGAATCTTTTGTCTATGGTTCCATAAAACAGAAAAGGTGGCTTTTGTAAAGTGGCTTGAACCCCACAGCTATGGCACATCAAGCAGGGTCATCAAAAGTTGCTCCATTCTTCTGGAAGCTGCAGAGAAAAGGAACCTGGAAACCTGGTATGCCAGCAAAAAAAAAAGCATATGAAATTCTTACCAGCCAAGTTTCTGGTCTCTTTCTCTCTCTCTCTTTCTCTGTGTGTGTATGTAAATGGTAGACATCACTATTTGTCTTCTCTGCATGAGTCTGATTGATAGAAAAAAGGATTTGTGAAACTAGTCTTAGGCTGTAGCAAATCTGGTGTGCTTTGTGCTAAGAATTTGTCTTTCTGTGTCATTCTGTAATAGGTATCACAGGATACAATGATGGTTTAGGGCCCCTATAAGGCTGCTTTTAAAGCCAGCCTAGCAGGCTGGTCAGTTACAAACTTTGCTGTGGGACCCTGACACCAATACTGGATGAAATTTCTCTATCTTGTGTTGTGTCCTTAAGAGCTTAACTTTGTGACCATGTGGGGATACTTTCCCTTGGTTTCTGCCATCCAGAGGACAGTAATTTTATGGTTCATATCATAGCCCTAAAATTATCTTGAGCAGTTAAGAGCCTCTGCAAGCTTGAAATTGGCTGCTTTAGACTTCTTCTGGGAAGAGCAATAGAAACTGCTCAATGCTGTGTAGCTCAGTAGCTAAAGCTTTGTTTTTTGACAATGGCAGTCCAGATTCAATTCTTGGCTTCCGGAATAATTTCTCTCTGGTTTATTATTTGTGTAACTTTGCCACAGATTAAGGTTTTCTTCCCCTCAACAATCGCTTCTGAGTTCCTGTCTTGAATTTTCCTTTCTCTGAACTACCCTTGGGGAGATTATAAATCTTATTTAAAAAAAAAATGCTTACCATCTCTTTAAAACACTTTATGCATCCATGGTTAACTTATAACCTTAGTTAAAAATTATTAATTTCATGTGGAAAATTACCTGTGGTAGAATTCAAAAGCCAGAATTATTGGCAGTTCTGGCTAGAGTCTGGTAATAAGAAATTTAAAAGAATTTTTCTTTAGAAAAAAAGAGCTCTATGGAGAAAACTGTAAAGGGTTCTAAAAAGGTTTATAAAAATATTACCTTATGGTTAAACTAATTTAAACTACATAGATTTATAATATTTTATTTTAAAAACTAGCTTTAACATTGAAGATGCACTAATGCAAACATGAAATTTGGTTTTCTCATTTGAAAAAGATTTTTATGTAATATTAAAAGATAATGAAAGGGGTTTTTTTGCCCCTTTGGGTAAATGGCAGGGAAAAAGGGGGAGGAAGGACAAGGTATCAGTTGGCCTCATGCTATCTCCATTGGGTCTTGTTTGGAAAACTAAAACTCTTCAGAGTAAAGGGTTTTGCCTTAAAAAATATATTTTTTTCAAGTTACCACCTCGGATAAGTAAATAAACTGTGATCCTATTTTGTGATATCCAGTGTTTTAAGCCTTTGATATTTGACAAACTTTCCAAAATCAAATTATAAAGTATGTCACTTTCTGACCTAATTAATCCTTTAGACATTAGGTCCCCTGAAGTCCAAAAATGATGTGTTGGCTTATCTGGTATAAAAATCATACAGGAAGCACTATCAAATTTAAAATGCTGTTTGGCTTTCTTTGGGCTGTATTTGTGTAAATGTGTTATAGGTATATGCTCCAAAATTATGTGACACTCCTATAATTCTGATATGACTTAGTATATGATGTCATTAATAATTATAATTATGTTAAATTATTGTGTACCACAGAGGTAACAGATTTTCTTGTCAATTGTGTCTTTAACTATGGCTGCCCTAAGATTTTTTTGTCATCCATAGGCAATTGTTGCCTTATTTTGATCCTCTTTAAATGGTGGTTTCCTAATCAGCTACAAAACTTTGACAGGTGCTCTTGAATGCAAATTTCTTATAACTTTGGAATTTATGACATTAGAATAAAGAGAAAAAACTTCCAAGACTCCCGCAGAGAGTTGAAATGTTCATGAATATCAAGCAGAACAGGAGTTAACTGAACTATCAGAAAACTAAAGTAATCTTTTTCTTACTTTTTTGCATAAAACACTGCTGATCCTTTTTGTTTTCCAGAGCCAAGAAAACTTTTCTTTTGAGATATTTATAGCTTTTAACAATTTAGTAAAATACATTCCTATGAACAAAATTTGGAGCATATTTGTCTCTCTACCTTGGAAACTACTTGTGAGTATTCTCAACTTACGGCAGTATAGTTATTTGCATAAGTGCCATAAGAATCTGTTTTCTTTTGTAACTGGACACAATTGGAGAAACTGGTTATTTTACCAAGGCTTTGACTGGAATGGCATACTTTCTTTAAATAATCGAGGTTGACTTATAGAGCCAATAACAGCCCCTTGGGAAATCTGGCCTCATACTCTGTCCACACAGTCCCTGTACAAGGTTCCTGATCTGTGGTAAGTAAAGAATGTCACTTTCTAACAGGCCTAGGAGCCCTGAGTTATCCTGGGACCTCAAGAGGAGAGGAATTTTCCCAACTCATAGGTATTTGAGGTACAAGCCCACGGCTGTGCTCGGCTTTAAAATATCTTATCCGAGATTCCTTATGGAACAGAGTTCACCAAAATCAATTTTAAAAAGCCTATGTGAAAAATAATCTTGCTGCACCGTATGCAATAATTAGGCCAATTACAATAAGACTAAAGTTCATTTTGTAAACAAATTAGTTCTATCATGATTTGCTTTTAATAAAAATGGGGACTGGAGAGAGAAAAATTATGCTTCAAAAGAAAATACTATAGTACACCTGTTGTTAGCTGTTCTTGAGTTTTTTTCTGCAGTTTGGACAAAATCCTAAATTCTTTGTGGGCTACAAGTTCCCAAACTAATGCTCTCAGATTTTTACTTTTAAAACTGGGAACTGCACTCCTTGTCCTAGAGTCATCATTTACCTTATAGTATACTATTCCCTTAAATGCTGTACTAAAACTATAAATGACAATACTAACGCCTTTAACATGCAAGCCTTGGAAGCCCAGCCTGCCCTGTGTGAGTATGATCAGACAGTTGCAAAGTGGTTCCACTCCTCTCACCTTGGGGTCAGCACCTACCCCCACTATGCCCCTGATCAGCAGGAAGAAGTTAGAGAAGTCTTCGCCCTTTTTCCATCTTCATTAGCCAACACCTTAAGATTAAGAGTTATAAAACCTAAAGAGAGGGATTGAAACCACCATTGCAAAATTACACCTTAGACAGTGAAAGAGACCTGACCTAACCAACTCCATCTTGCTTCTAACCTCCAAGCTCTCCTTGTTCATTCCTGGGCATAGGTTGATCTAACTTTGGGAGGAACATAGTTTCTAGTTTCTAGTTTAAAAAAAGATAACAGGCCTTTCCCAAAACAAGCCTCTTTCTTGCCTGGAGATTAGACTGCCTTTGTAGGACTAACAAATTAGCCACGAGATTAGAAATTATAGTTTAGGAGTCATGCAGCTGAAAGCTACAAGATTCTGACCCTACCTGAACTGCTCCTAAGATCAGTGCTTGAGATATTTTGCAGACCTGCACTTAATGGATCAGGTGGCACTACCCAGATCGATAAACTGACTCATCTGATCTCGTAGCCCCCACCCAAGAACTGATTCAGTACAAGAAGACAGTTTCTCCTCCCTATGATTTCATCACTGACCTGACCAATCGGCACTCCCAGCTCACGGGCTTCCCCTACCCACTAAGTTGTCCTTTAAAACCCTGATCCACAGGCCAGGCGCGGTGGTTCATGCCTGTAATCCCAGCACTTTGGGAGGCCGAGGCGGGCAGATCATGAGGTAAGGAGTTCAAGACCAGCCTGGCCAATATGGTGAAACCCCATCTCAACTAAAAATAAACAATTAGCCAGGCGTGGTGGTGTGTGCCTGTAGTCCCAGCCACTCAGGAGGCTGAGGAAGAAGAATCGACTGAATCCGGGAGGCGGAGGTTGCAGTGAGCCAAGATCGCGCCACTGCACTCCAGCCTGGGTGACAGAGCGAGACTCTGTCTCAAAACAAACAAAAAAACTCTGATCCCCAAATGCTGGGGGAGACTGACTTAAGTAATAATAAAACTCTGAGGTCCTGAAAAAAAAAAAAAAACTTGTCTTCTTTAATTCAAAAATATTTTAGTTAAAATATAATTTTCCCCTAAATTGCCCCATATCTTTTTTATAATGTTTTGATTTTTATCAAATTAACACATAAACAAAGGGACTTCCAGAAGTTCATGGAAAATGGAACTAAAAGATAAAAACAAAAAATATAAACTTAATTTTTTAACATAAGCTCCATCAAGATCAAGACATTTCTATAAACCATAATACCAGCCATATAGTCCATCCCAAAAGAATCGAGGGTCCTGGAAATTTAACCATGTCAATGCAGTCTTTTTTATATTATTAACTTAAGAAAAATGGGTGCCTTTTAACAGATTTTTTTAAGGAAACAAAAAGAAGTCAGAAAAATCCAAATCAGGACTGTAAGGTGGATGTCTAATGATTTCCCATCAAAACTCTCACAAAATTGCCTTTGTTTGATGAGAGGAGGAGCAGGAGCATTGCCATGATGGAGATGGACTCTCTGGTGAAGCTTCCTTGGGCTTTTTTCTGCTAAAGCTTTAGCTAACTTTCTCAAAATACTCACCAGAAGCAAATGTTATTGTTCTTTGGCCCTCCAGAAAGTCAACGAGCTAAATGTCTTGAGCATCCCAAAAAACTCTTTGGTACCTTTGCTCTTGACCAATCCACTCTTGCTTTGACTGGACCACTTCCACCTCTTGGTAGCCATTGCTTTGATTGTAATTTGTCCTCAGAATCATACTGGTAAAGCCATGTTTCATCTCCTGTTACAGTTCTTCAAAGAAATGCTTCAGGATCTTAATACCATTTGTTTAAAATTTTCATTGAATGCTCTATTCTTACCTGCAGCTAATCTGGGTGCAAGAGTTTGGGCACCCATTGAGTGAAAAGTTTGCTCAACTGTAATTTTTCATTCAGAACTCTGTGTGCTGAACCAAGTAAGAGGTCTACAGTGTGGGCTATAAATGTTTCTGCTGTTAATTGTCAGTCCTCTGCAATTCAGGCACGAACAAAATTAATTTTTTCTTCATGAATTGACGCGGATGATCTGCCACTAAGGTATTCAACATTGTTTCATCCATTCTTAAAATGAGCTATATATTTGTAAGCTGCTGATTTCTTTGGGGCATTGTCCCCATAATGTATTTACAAAGTATCAATGATTTCACCATTCTTCCAACCAAGCTTAACCATAAATTTGATGTGTGTTCTTGCTTCATTTTTAATATTAACAGAATTCATATTGCTGTGATGGGGCACTTTCCAAACTGCTACCTTGTCCTTCTTAGTGCCTCAAATTGGATTCTGCTCAGACACATTATAACAAGTTAGATTGAGTTTATCTGGGTAGAAAGAAAATGTAAAATCCATTTGTAGTTTTTTTCATAATATGCATTTTCCATGAACTTTTTGTTGTTGTTTTTGTTGTTGTTTTGTTGTTGTTGAGATGGAGTCTCACTGTGTCATCCAGGCTAGAGTACAGTGATGCAATCTAGGCTCACTACAACCTCCGCCTCCTGGGTTCAATTGACTCTCCTGCCTCAGCCTCCTGAGTAGCTGGTATTACAGGCGACCACTACCATGCCCAGCTAATTTTTGTATTTTTAGTAGAGACAGGGTTTCACAATGTTGGACAGGCTGGTCTTGAACTCCTGACCTTAAGTGATCTGCTCGCCTCAGCCTCCCAAAGTGCTGGGATTACAGCCATGAGCCACCACACCCAGCCCCATGAACTTTTTTAAGTCCTCTCGTACATCGTTTTTTAAAAGTCAAAAAGTTCTACAGAGTATATAAGAAAAATGGCAGTACCTTGCTCTACATCTCCTCACCCCTCAATTGTAACCCCCAGAAGAAATCACTATCAACTCTTCTAGATTTTCTCCTGACATCTATTGTCATATTTATAAATAAAATATATATTGTGCTGAATTTATTTTGTACACTGTTTATTGATTTCCTATTTGGAAAGAGGAAATGTTAACACATACACACATATATACACACATTTCTTCCATTTTCCTTTCCCTCCCCCATCCACCCAAAAGAGCAACATCACAATTTCTGGTAAATAAATATTTGGTGTTTGCCTTATGATATGGTTTGGCTTTGCGTCCCCACCCAAATCTCATCTTGAATTGTAATCCCATAATTCCGACATGTCATGGGAGGGACCCGGAGGGAGGTAATTGAATCACAGGGGAAGTTTCCCCCATGCTATTCTCATGATAGTAAGTTCTCATGAGATCTGATGGTTTCATAAAGGGCCTCTGCCTTCACTTTGCTCTCATTTTTCTTCCTGGTGCCACGTAAAGAAGGATGTGTTTGCTTCCCCGTCTGCCATGATTGTAAGTTTCCTGAGGCCCCTACCAGCACTGCAGAACTGTGAGTCGATTAAACTTCTTTATAAATTACCCAATCTCAGCCAGCTTTTTATAGAAGCATGAGAACATACTAATACAGTAAATTGGTAACAGAAGTGGGGTGCTGCTATAAAGATACCCAAAAAAAGAAAACCCAGACTAAGATGGCCAAATATGAAAAGCTCCGGTCTGCAGCTCCCAACAAGACCAATGCAGAAGGTGGGTGATTTCTGCATTTCCAACTGAGGTACCAGTTCATCTCATTGGGACTGGTTAGACAGTGAGTGCAGACCATGGAGAGCGAGCAGAAGCAGGGTGGGTTGTCACCTCACCCATGAAGTGCAAGGGGCCAGGGACCTCCCTCCCCTAGCCAAGGGAAGCCGTGAGGGACTGTGCTATCAGGCCCAGATACTATGCTTTTTCCCACGGTTTTTGCAACCCGTAGACCAGGAGAACCTTCATGTGCCTACACCACCAGGGCCCTGGGGTTTCAAGCACAAAACTGGGCAGCTATTTGGGCAGACACCAAGCTAGCTGCAGGAGTTTTTTTTTTTTTTTTCCTACCCCAGTGGCACTTGGAACACCAGCAAGACAGAACTGTTCACTCCCCTGGAAAGGGAACTGAAGCCAGGGAGCCAAGTGGTCTCACTCAGTGGGTCCTACACCCAGGGAGCCCAGCAAGCTAAGAACCACTGACTTGAAATTCTCGCTGCCAGCATAGCAGTCTGAAGTCGACCTGGATGATCAAGCTTGGTGCAGGGAGAGGCGTGCGCCATTACTGAGGCTTCAGTAGGCGGCTTTCCCCTGACAGTGTTGAGGAAGCCCAGAAGTTCAGACTGGGCAGAACTCACCACAGCACAGCAAAATGGCTGTGGCCAGAGTGCCTCTCTAGATTCCTTCTCACTGGGCAGGGCATCTCCGAAGAAAAGGCAGCAGCCCCAGTCAGGGGCTTACGGATAAAATTCCCATCTCCCTGGGACAGAACACCTCGGTAAAGGGGTGGTTGTGGGTGCAGTTTCAGCGGACTTAAAAACGTTCCCACCGCCACTGCACTCCCGCCTGGGCCACAGAGCGACACTCCGTCTCAAAAAAAAAAAAAAAAGTTCCCACCTACTGGCTCTGAAGAGAGCAGTGGATCTCCCAGCACATTGTTTAAGCTCTGATAAGGGACAGACTGCCTCCTCAAGTGGGTCCCTGACTCCTGTGCCTCCTGACTGGGAGGCGCATCCCAGCAGGGGTTGACAGACACCTCATACAGTAGAGCTCCAGTTGACATAAGGCTGGTGCCCCTCTGGGACAAAGCTTCTGGAGGAAGGAGCAGGCAGCAATCTTTGCTGTTCTGCAGCCTCCGCTGGTGATACCCAGGAAAACAGGGTCTGGACTGGACCTCCAGAAAACTCCAGCAGATCTGAAGAAGAGGGGCCTGACTGTTAAAAGAAAAAACTAACAAACAGAAAGCAATAAAATCAACATCAACATCAACAAAAAGGACACCCAACCAAAAACCACATCCAAAGGTCATCAGCATCAAAGAGCAAAGGTAGATAAATCCACGAAGATGAGGAATAACCAGCACAAAAATGCTGAAAATTCCAAAAGCCAAAATATCTCTTCTCTTACAAAGGATCGTGGCTCCTCTCCAGCAAGGGCACAAAACAGGACAGAGAATGAGAATGAGTTTGACGAATTGACAGAAGTAGGCTTCAGAAGGTGGGTAACAATAAACTCCTCTGAGCTAAAGGAGCATGTTTTAATGCAACGCAAGGAAGCTAAGAACCTTGATAACAGATTACAGGAACTGCTAACTAGAATAATCAGTTTAGAGAAGAACATAAATGAACTGATGGAGCTGAAAAACACAGCACAAGAACTTCATGCAGCATACACAAGTATCAATAGCCAAATCAATCAAGCAGAAGGAACAATATCAGAGTTTGAAGATCAACTTAAAGAAATAAGGCATGAAGACAAGATTAGAGAAAACAAAATGAAAAGGAATGAACAAAGCCTCCAAGAAATATGGGACTCTGTGAAAAGACCAAACCTACGATTCACTGGTGTATCTGAAAATGATGAAGAGAATGGAAGCAAAGTAAAAAAAAAAATTTCAGGATATTATCCAGGAGAACTTCCCCAACCTAGCAAGACAGGCCAACATTCAAATTCGGGAAATACAGAGTATACCCCTAAGATATCCTCAAGAAGAGCAACCACAAGACACATAACCATCAGATTCTCCAAGGTTGAAATGAAGGAAAAAATGTTAAGGGCAGCCAGAGAGAAAGGCCAGGTCATCTACAAAGAGAAGCCCATCAGACTAACAACAGATCTCTCTGCAGAAACCCTACAAGCCAGAACACAGTGGGAGCCAATATTCAACATTTTAAATAAAAGAATTTTTAACTCAGAAATTCATACCCAGCCAAACTAAGTTTCATAAGTAAAGGAGAAATAAAATTCTTTACAGACAAGCAAATGCTGAGGGATTTTGTCACCACCAGGCATACCTTACAAGAGCTCCTGAAGGAAGCACTAAATATGGAAAGGAAAAGCTGGTACTAGCCACTGCAAAAACACACGAAATTATAAAGACCTATGACACTATGAAGAAACTGCATCAACTAATGTGCAAAATAACCAGCTAGCATCATGATGACAGGATCAAATTCACACATAATAGTATTAACCTTAAATGTAAATGGGCTAAATGCTCCAATTAAAAGACACAAACTGGCAAGTTGGATAAAAAGTCAAGACCCATCCATGTGCCATATTCAGGAGACCCAGCCTCATGTGCACACATAGGCTCAAAATAAAGGGATGGAGGAATATTTACCAAGCAAATGGAAAGCAAAAAAAAAAAATCAGGGGTTGCAATGCTAGTCTCTGATAAAATAGACTTTAAACCAACAAATATCAAAAAAGACAAAGAAGGGCATTACATATTGGTAAAGGGATCAATGCAACAAGAAGACCTAACTATCCTAAATATATATGCACCCAATTCAGGAGCATCCAGATTCATAAAGCAAGTTCTTAGAGATGTACAAAGAGACTTAGACTCCCACACAATAACAGTGGGAGACTTTATACCCCACTGTCAATATTAGATCAATGAGACAGAAAATTAACAAGGATATTCAGGACTTGAACTCAGCTCTGGACCAAGAGGACCTAATAGACATCTACACAATTCTCCACCCCAAATCAACAGAATATACATTCTTCTCAGCACCACACAGCACTTATTCTAAAATCGACAACATAATTGGAAGCGAAACCCTCCTCAGGAAATGCAAAAGAATGGAAATCATAACAAACAGTCTCTCAGACCATAGTGCAATCAAATTAGAACTCAGGATTAAGAAACTCACTCAAAACTGCAAAACTACATGGAAACTGAACAACCTGCTGCTGAATGACTACTGGGTAAATAACAAAATAAAAACAGAAATAAATAAGTTATTTGAAACCAATGAGAGCAAAGACACAACATACCAGAATCTCTGGGACACAGCTAAAACAGTGTTTGGAGGGAAATTGATAGCACTAAATGCTCACATCAGAAACTGAGAAAAATCTAAAATCAACACCCTAATATCACAATTAAAAGAACTAGAAAAGCAAGAGCAAACAAATTCAAAAGCTAGCAGAAGACAAGAAATAACTAAGCTCAGAGCAGAACTGAAGGAGATAGAGAAACGAAAAACCGTTCAAAAAAATCAATGAATCCAGAAGGTGGTTTTTTGAAAAGATTAACAAAATAGATACACCACTAGCAAGACTAATAAAGAAGAAAAGAGAGAAGAATCAAATAGACACAATAAAAAATGATAAAGGGGATATCACCACTGATCACACAAAACTACAAACTTCCCTCAGAGAATACTATAAACACCTCTATGCAAATAAACTAGAAAATCTTGAAGAAATGGATAAATTCCTGGACACACACGCCCTCCCAAGACGAAACTGGGAAGAAGTCAAATCCCTGAATAGACCAATAACAAGTTTTGAAATTGAGGAAGTAATTAAGAGCCTACCAACCGAACAAAGCCCAGGACAAGAGGGATTCACAGTTGAATTCTACCAGAGGTACAAAGAGGAGCTGGTACCATTCCTTGGGGAACTATTCCAAACAATAGAAAAGAGGGACTCCTCCCTAACTCATTTTATAGGCAAGCATCATCCTGTCACCAAAACATGGCAGAGACACAACAAAAAGAAAAGAAAATTTCAGGCCAATATCCCTGATGAACATCGATGCAGAAATCCTCAATAAAATACTGGCAAACTGTATCCAGCAGCACATCAAAAAGCTTATCTACCACGATCAAGTCAGCTTCATCCCTGGGATGAACAGCTGGTTCAACATACGCAAATCAATAAACATAATTAGTCACGTAAACAGAACCAATGACAAAAACCATATGATTATCTCAACAGATGCAGAAAAGGCCTTCAATACAATTCAACACCCCTTCATGCTAAAAACACTCAATAAACTAGGTATTGATGAAACATATCTCAAAATAATAAGAGCTATTTATGGCATATCCATAGCCAATATCATACTGAATGGGCAAAAGCTGGAAGCATTCCCTTTGAAAACCAGCACAAGACAAGGATGCCCTCTCTCACCACTCCTATTCAACATAGTATTGGAAGTTCTGGCCAGAGCAATCAGGCAAGAGAAAGAAATAAAGGGTATTCAAATGGGAAGACAGGAAGTCAAATTGTCTCTGTTTGCAGGTGACATGATTGTATATTTAGAATACCCCTTGTCTCAGCCCAAAAACTCGTTAAGCTGATAAGCAACTTCAGCAAAGTCTCAGGATACAAAATCAATGTGCAAAAATCACAAGCATTCCTACACACCAATAATAGACAAACAGAGAGCCCAATCATGAATGAACTACCATTCACAATTGCTACAAAGAGAATAAAATGCCTAGGAATACAATTTACAAGGCATGCAAAGGACCTCTTCAAAAAGAACTACAAACCACTGTTCAAGGAAATAAAAGAGGACACAAACAAATGGAAAAATCATTCCATGCTCATGGATAGGAAGATTCAGTATCGTGAAAATGGCCATGCTGCCCAAAGTAATTTATAGATTCAATGTTATTTGAATAACCATCAAGGTACCACTGACTTTCTTTACAGAATTACAAAAAACTACTTGAAATTTAATATGGAATTAAAAAAAGCCCATATAGCCAAGACAATCCTAAGCAAAAAGATCAAAGCTGGAGACATCATGCTACCTGGCTTCAAACTATACTACAAGGCTACAGTAACCAAAACAACATGACTGGTACCAAAACAGATATATAGAACAATGGATCAGGACAGAGGCCTCAGAAATAACACCACAGGTCTACAACCATCTGATCTTTGACAAAAACAAGCAAAGAGGAAAGGATTCCCTATTTAATAAATGGTGTTGGGAAACTGGCTAGCCTTATGCAGAAAACTGAAACTTGATCCCTTCCTTAAACATTATACAAAAATTAACTCAAGATGGATTAAAGACTTAAACCTAAAACCTAAAACCATAAAAACCCTAGAAGAAAACCTAGGCAATACCATTCAGGACATAGGCATGGGCAAAGTCTTCATGACTAAAACACCAAAAGCAATTGCTACAAAAGCCAAAATTGACAAATGGGATCTAATTAAACTAAAGAGGCTCTGCACAGCAAAAGAAACTATCATCAGCGTGAACAGGCAACCTACAGAATGAGAGAAAATTTTTGCAGTCTATCCATCTGACAAAGGGCTAATATCCAGAATCTACAAGAAACTTAAATTTACAAGAAAAAAAAATCCCATCAAAAAGTCAGTGAAGGATATGAACAGACACTTCTCAAAAGAAGACATGTGGCCAACAAACATATGAAAAAAAACTCATCATAACTGGTCATTAGACAAATGCAAATCAAAACCACAATGAGATACCAACTCACACCAATTAGAATGGTGACCATTAAAAAGTCAAGAAACAACAGATGCTGGAGAGTATCTGGAGAAATAAGAATGCTTTTACACTGCTGGTGGGAGTGTAAATTAGTTCAACTATTGTGGACAGTGTGGTGATTCCTCAAGGATCTAGAACTAGAAATATCATTTGACCCAGCAATCCCATTACTGGGTATATACCCAAACGATTATAAATCATTCTACTATAAAGACATGCACATGTATGTTTATTGCAGCACTATTTCCTATAGCAAACACTTGGAAACAACCCAAATGCTCATCAATGATAGACTGGATAAAGAAAATGTGGCCCATATATGCCATGGAATACTATGCAGCCATAAAAAAGAATGAGTTCATGTTCTTTGCAGGGACATGGATGAAGCTGGAAACCATCATTCTCAGCAAACTAACACAGGAAGAGAAATCCAAACACTGCATGTTCTCACTCATAAATGGGAGTTGAACAAAGAGAACACATGGACACAGGGAGGGGATCATCACACTCTGGGGCCTGTTGGGGCATCAGGGGCAAGGGGACAAGAGCATTAGGACAAACAGCTAATGCATGCGGGGCTTAAAACCTAGATGATGGGATAATATGTGCAGCAAACCAACATGGCACATGTATACCTATGTAACAAACCTGCACATTCTGCACATGTACCCCAGAACTTAAAGTAAAACAAAAATAAATAAATAATAAAAATAAATAAATAGATTAATAAAATAAATAAACAAAGATACCCAAAAATGTGGAAGTGACTTTGGAACTGGGTAACAGGCTGAGGTTGGAACAGTCTGGAGGGCTCTGAAGAAGATAGGAAAATGTGGGATAGTTTGACACTTCCTGGAGAATTGAAGGGCTCAGAAAACTGGAAGATGTGGGAAAGTTTGGAACTTCCTAGAGACTTGTTGAATGCCTTTGACCAAAATGCTGATAGTGATATGAACAATAAAGTCCAGGATGAGGTGGTCTCAGATGGAGATGAGGAATTTGGAGGGAACTGGAATAAAGGTTACTCTTGCTATGCAAAGAGACTGGCAGCATTTTGCCCCTGTCCTAGAGATCTGTGGGACTTTGAACTTGAGAGAGATGATTTAGGGTATCTGGTGGAAGAAATTTCTAAGCAGCAAAGCATTCAAGAGGTGACAGAGCATAAAAGTTTGGAAAATTTGCAGCCTGACAATGCTGTAAAAAAAGAAAAATTCATTTTCTGAGCAGACATTCAAGCCCACTGCAGAATTTGCATAAGTATTACGCAGTCGAATGTTAATCACCAGGACAATGGGAAAAATGTCTCCAGGGCATTCCAGAGACCTTTACTGCAGCCCCTTCTATCACAGACCTGGAGGCCTAAGATGAAAAAATGGTTTTGTAGGCTGGACCCAGGAGCCCCCTGCTCTATGCAGCCTCAGGACATGGTTCCCTGCATCCCAGTTGTTTCAGCTCTAGCTATGGCTAAAAGGGGCCAATGTAAAGCTTAGGCCATTGCTTCAGAGGGTACAAGTCCCAGGCCTTGGCACCTTACAAGTGGTACTGGGCCTGCAGAAGCACAGAAGTCAAGAAGTGAGATTTGGGAACCTCCACCTAGATTTTAGAGGATGTATGGAAATGCCTGGGTTTCCAGGCAGAATTTTGCTGCAGGGGTGGATCCCTAATTGAGAACCTCTGCTAGGGCAGTGCAGAAGGGAAATGTGGGGTTGGAGCTCACACACAGAGTCCCCACTGAGGCACTGCCTAGTGGAGCTGTGAGAAGACAGCCACCATCCTCCAGACCTCAGAATGGCATCTCCACTAACAGCTTGCACAGTGCACCTGGGAAAACCACAGACACTCAATGCCAGGCCAGGAAAGCAGCCTGGAGTGGGGCTGTACCCTGCAAAGCCACAGGGGCAGAGCTGCCAAGGCCATAGGAGTCCACCTCTTGCATCAGCATTACCTGAATGTGAGACATGAAGTCAAAGGAGATCATTTCAGAGCTTGAAGATTTGACTGCTCCACTGCATTTCAGACTTGCATGGGGCCTGTTGCCCCTTTGTTTTGGCCAAATTCTCCCATTTGGAATGGGTGTATTTACTCAATGCCTATACCCACATTGTATCTAGGAAGTAACTAACTTGCTGTTGATTTTACAGGATCATAGGTGGAAGGGACTTGCCTCGTCTCAGATGAGACTTCAGACTTGGACTTTTAGGTTAAAGCTGGGATGAGCTAACATTTTGAGGGACTGCTGGAAAGGGCATGATTGTGTTTTGAAATGTGAGGACATGAGATTTGGGAGGGGCTGGGAGAGGAATGATATGGTTTGGCTTTGTGTCCCCACCCAAATCTCATCTTGAATTGTAATCCTATAAGCCCCACGTGTCATGGAAGGGACACGGTAGAGGTAACTGAATCATAGGGGTAGTTTCCCCCATGTTGTTCTCGTGATAGTAGGTTCTCACAAGATCTGATGGTTTTATAAGGGGCTTCCCCCTTCATTCGGCTCTCATTCTTCCTGTCACCATGTGAAGAAGGATGTGTTTGCTTCCCCTTCTGCCATGCTAGTAAGTTTTCTAAGGCCCCCCACCGCAGCCCTGCAGAATGTGAGTCAATTAAACCTATTTTCTTTATAAATTACCCAGTCTCGGGCAGTTCTTCATAGCAGCATGAGAATGGACTAATACACCTTATTATAACTACATAAGTGCAGTGTTTTTATTGCTTACTTTTCAAAAAAACACTCTATATTTCCTTTCTTTTAAAATATTTCATTATTCCTGGAGTTGACAACTGCCTTGTTTCCTCACTTGGTTAGTTTTCATAACCCTCTAATTATTTCTTAGCAAAATCTTCAAATTAATTAATAAAACTCCTCTATATACATCTACTAGTTCCTTTTTTTCTGGTTTTTTAGAACACCATTCTCCCACTCTAAGCCAGTTGCTCTTAAGTCTTGCTTCCAGTCTTCCCACAACTTCCCTTCACCTCTCTTCTATATTACTTTCCTGTTTCCTGGTTCTCCTATCATCTTTCTTGGTTTACTCTCATGTTTTGATTAAACTTTTGCCAGGCCTTCCTGAAAAAAATTTCTCAGAAGCAAAATTTTTTGAGACCTTATATATCTCAAAACATCCTAATTCTACCCTCATACTTGATACAGTTTTGCTTGAAAGAGAATTCAAAATCAAAAAAAAATGTTTTCCATTGAAACCTTAAACTTACTGTTCTGTTTTAATTTCACTGTTAAGGTTAAAAATTTCATGCCATTCAGTTTTTCTATCCTTAGTACATTACTTTTTTTCCTCTCAAATCTTCTAGAATCATCTTTCTTTGCTTCTCTGAAATGATATAATGATGTGCTTGATGTGAGCTATTTTTATTCACTTTTTCAATCTAATAACCCATATCATTTAATTATATGCCCTGTTTTTATTCTTTGGTGATTTCTCTAGAAATCATAACATGAATATTAAGCATATCAAAGTTTAAGGCTAATCAATATTGTTACCTCAAAGATTAATATATCAATACGATAGTGAAGCTTAAATTTCAGGGACTCTCACTTGCCCAGTCTCCTTCCAAGCCTAGCAAAGCCCTATCTGTTCACCTTGTCACATATTTTTATAAAATTTGCAAAAATAAGACATTTTAATTGCAGTTGATTAAATTCCCTGTCTCTTTCTATTCTTGCTTACTTTCTCTCACATATTCCCCTAGTATGTTCAAGTGGCTGTGGGCATTTTGGGGATGTGGCTAAGGGAAACTAAGTTGAGACTACATTTAGTTTAAGCATAGGGGACATGTTTACATGATTTGCTTCAATAAGTAAGATTAGTAAGTGGTGGAGCTAGGATTCCAAGGCAGTTTACCTGATCTTAACATTTCACTAAATTGTCTTTCAGATGTCAACAGCCCTTTTATTCCCAATGTGAAGGCACAATAGTCGATTCTCATCTAGTTGACACTATTATTTGACATTTTTGCCAATTTCCCACTTTCCTACCTGCTTCTAACATATTTTTTTCTATCATATTGCTGCCCTAACCTCTACATTACACTCTATTCAAACTAAATTTTGTGCCATTGTCAAACTATGCCTTTGTTATGCCTTTTCCTCAGTCTAAAATGACCTTGTCCAATCACATTATTCTTATTAATTCTTTACTTATTAATTCAGAGATTTTCATTAATTTATTTCTGATTTGGCATTAAGTACTGACATCAGTGAAGAAAATAGAGAACTCCCATCCATGTTCACTAAATAAGACATCAACAATAAACTAGAGATGTCAATTCAAACGCGAGTTAAAATTAGTCACTTTACCTAAAAAAAATCTTCAAATACCAAAAAATCCTATGGCACATTATTAAAGAAATTGATAGAGGTTTTCCAAAATTTGACAATAATTGAAAAATGCATATTTTATCAATAAGTTATGATGTTGACAAAAACTTTTTTAAATTTAAATAAAAACCAAATTCCAATCGACCACGCTAGAGAAAAGATTGAATTATTTTTTCTATTCTATGAAAATTATATTATAAAATCATCAAATCTAGAGCCAATCAGAGAGTACAAAGCCACAAATTTAGAGAAAAGAGTATTAAAATAATAAAAATATATTATTTTTCTTTCTTTTGTGAAATTTGTAGGTGTTAGCTTTCTTATATCTGTAATTTGCTGTAATTTATTTTCTTGTTTTAAATAAATATTTACATTAATATCTTTTATGGACTGTATTGCGTATCCCCAAAATTCATACATTGAAGCCCTAACTCCCAATGTGACTATATTTTGACATACAGCCTATAAGGAGGTAAAGTTAAATAAATAAGTTTATAATGGTGAGGCCCTAATCCATTAGGACTAGTGTCACTGTAAAAAGAGAAACATTAGAAATCTCTCTCCCCTCCTCTTCCTCTCCCTCCTCCTTACTCATCCCCACCCACCATTATGTGTGCACAGAGGAAAGGCCACATAAGCATGCAGCAAGGAAACAGCTGTCTGCAACCCAAGAAGAGAGGCTTCACCAGAAACCAACCCTATTGGCACCTTGATCTTGGACATCTAGTCTCTAGAACTGTGAGAAAATAAAGTTCTACTGTTTAAGCTACTCAGTCTGTAGTATTCTGTATGGCCGCCCAAGCAAACACATACAATACCTAATTTTTTTCATAATATTGTTATTTTTCTTAAATAGGGTCTCTCTAAATGTTTTTGCTTTACACTTTAAAAACCCCACATCCAACTTTGCTTTACCTTTCTCCTATACTATATAGGTTTTAACTCCACTTATTCTCCATCTGATTTACATGTTATCATTGTCCTGTATTTTCATTCTTCTTCTTAACCACATAGCATTTTGTTATAAAACAAAATGCCAATATTCATTTAGAATATTCAATATTCATTTATTCATTTAGAATCACCCATATACTTACTACTTCCTTTGCTCTTTACTTCTTCTTGTGCCTCAGAACATTTCTGTTTTGTCTGAAGTACACTCTCTTTGGAATTTCCTCTGGTGGGGATACACTATGGTATGAATTTCTTTCTGCTGAGTACGCTTGTCAGATGATGGGCTTCTTGAATCTGTGGGTAGGTGTCTCTCATCAGTTCTGAAATTTTTTGAGTGACTAACTTTTCAAATATTGCTTCCACTCCATTCTTTCTCTTCTCTCCTTTGGGGACTCTGTTCAGATGTATATTAGATGTTCTCACCCTATCTCTCATGTCTCTTAATATCTCTCTCATATTTTCTATCTCTTTGTCTCTCTAAACTACAATCTAGATAATTTCTTCTGACCTAGCAGTAACTCATTCATTGTCTATTTAATTCTGTCTAATCTGCTAATTTGTTCCTTTCAATTCCTGAATTTTCTATTTCAGTAAGTTCTACTTATTTCTTTTTCAAATATAAACTCATTTTTAATAGTTTTCTGTTCCATATTTTCAAGTTCATCTTTTAGTTCTTTAAACATAATAGGATACTTGTTTTATACTTTGCATCTGGTAATTTCCAAAAGTTCAAGTCTCACTGATTTTTTTTCCTATTTCCTCTACTTCTTATTCATGATATCTTAGTTGTTTTGGTGCTATAAACTACTGTCAAACTTTTGTTTTCCATTGAAAACTTTTGTAAAAATTATTTGAGGCCTAAGAGAAGGTGAATTCTTCCAGGGAGGATTTATTCTTATTTCTGCCAGACATGTAGGGGTACTATCAGTCTAGAATCACTCTAAACTATATTCATGGCTTGTCTTTTGTTAGAGTTTTTGTTTCTTTGTTTTGCAGGGGGAGTTATTTTGTTTGTTTTTTGGACTAGCCAACAGTTGTAAATTTTGGTTGCAAAAATGTACACCTTCTCAAGGACGTTTTTCTCTGCTCTACTCAGCATCAACACACTATTACTTGCAAACTCTTTGAAGTCAGGAGTCAGGTAGGTAACTTTACTCTTACCCTGAGAAGGGTACCTTTTGGAGTCCCAGTTTTATGGATTATAATTTACTAGGGGAGAGAGGTTCCTCACCAAGGTTGTGAGGACCCTGAGTTTTGTCTTCTGTGCCCTGAAAAGTCATCAAACTTGAAATTGTTTATAAGGTTCAGTAAAACCCTCAGAGTATAATTGCCTTCAGAGTCCTACTTAACTATGCTGCTTTCCCACTGTCATACATATTTTGGCCTGTTTTATCAGATATGTTATGTTTTAGGAAGATTTTTAAAGATATTTTATCCAATATTTTTAGATATTTTCAGGGGAAGAGTTGAATAACTTAGCCTCTCAGTGGAAGGGTTGATTTAAATAACCTAGGTTTTCCATCTGCTTTCCATCTTCTAAACATTTATTGATATTTCTAATCTGCTATTCTACTCTGCACTCTCTGTCCTTATGTGCTTATACTGTTTTTACTCTTTTACTGTGATTTCAGAAGGAACAGAAATAAAAGCACGATTTCAGAAGGAGCAGAAATAAAAGAATACGTTCAGTCTTCTGAAGTACTACTATACACAACCTGACTTTTTTTTCTTCCAACTTTTAAGTTTCAAGGGGTACGTGTGCAGGTTTTTTACATGGGTAAATTGTGTATCACTGGGGTTAGGTATACAAATAATTTCCTCACCCAGGTAGTGAGCCTAGTACCCAATACATAGTTTTTTGATCCTCACCCTCTTCCCACCCTGCATCCTCAAGTAAGCCCTGATGTCTATTGTTCCCCTCTTTGTGTTTTTCTTCCAACTTTTAAGTTTCAAGGGGTACGTGTGCAGGTTTTTTACATGGGTAAATTGTGTATCACTGGGGTTAGGTATACAAATAATTTCCTCACCCAGGTAGTGAGCCTAGTACCCAATACATAGTTTTTTGATCCTCACCCTCTTCCCACCCTGCATCCTCAAGTAAGCCCTGATGTCTATTGTTCCCCTCTTTGTGTTTATGTGTACTCAATGTTTAGCTCCCTCTTATAAGTGAGAACACTGTGGTATTTGGTTTTCTGTTCCTGCATTAATTCACTTAGGAGAATGGCCTCCATCTGCATCCATGTTGCTGCAAAGGACATGATTTCATTCTTTTTTATGGCTTTGTAGTATTCCATGGTATATATGTACCACATTTTCTTTATCCAATTCACAACTGATTGACATCTAGGTTGATTCCATGTCTTTGCTATTGTGAAAAGTGCTGCAATGAACATCTGCATGCATGCATCTTCATGGTATAACAATTATATTCCTTTGCATATATACCCAGTAATGGGATTGCTGTGTTGAATGGTAATTCTGTTTTAAGCTCTTTAAGAAATCTCTAAACTGCTTTCCACAATGGCTGAACTAATTTACATTCCCACCAACAGTTTGTATAACAGTCCCCCTTTCTCTGCAACCTCACCTACATCTGCTATTTTTTGACTTTTTAGTAACAGTCATTCTGATTGATGTGCAAGGGTATCTCATTGTGGTTTTGATTTGCATTTCTCTAATTATTAGTGAAATAGAGCTTTTCATATGCTTGTCTGCAGGTATGTCTTCTTCTGAGAAATGTCTGTTCATGTCCTTTGTCCATTTTTTAACGGGGTTGTTTGTTCTTTGCTTGATTTGTTTAAGTTCCTTATAGATTCTAGATTTTGACCTCTGCTGGATGCATAGTTTGCAAATATTTTCTCCCATTCTGTAGGTTGTTTGTTTACTCTGCTGATAGTTTCTTTTGCCATGCAGAAGCTCTTTAGTTTAATTAAGTCACACCTGTCAACTTTTTTTTTGTTGCAATTGCTTTTGTTTTTTGTTTGTTTATTTGTTTTTGTTGTTGTTGTTGTTGTTTGAGATGGAGTCTCGCTCTGTCACCCAGGTTGGAGTACAGTGGTGCGATCTTGGCTCACTGCAACCTCCGCCTTCCTGGGTTCAAGCGATTCTCCTGCCTCAGCCTCCTGAATAGCTAGGATTACAGGCACATGCCACCACACCCAGCTAATTGTTCTCTATGTTTACTAGAGATGGGGTTTCACCATGTTGGCCAGGCTGATCTCGAACTCCTGACCTCAAGTGATCTACCCGCCTTAGCCTCCCAAAGTGCTGTGATTACAGGCATGAGCCACAGTGCCCAGCCTGCAATCATTTTTGTAGTCTTTGTCATGAGATCTTTGCCAAGGCCTATGTCCAGAATGGTATTTCCTAGATTTTCTTCTAGAGTTTTTATAATTCTTCATTTTATGTTTAAGTCTTTAATCCATCTTGAGTTGATTTTTGTATATGGTAAAAGGAAGGAGTCCAGTTTCAATCTTCTAAACATGGCTAGCCTGTTTTCCCAGTACCATTTATTGAATAGACAGTCCTTTCCCTGTTGCTTGTTACTGTCGACTCTGTCGAAGATCAGATGGTTGTAGGTATGAGGCTTTATTTCTGAGCTTTCTAACCTGTTCCATTGGTCTACATGTCTGTTTTTATACCACTATCATGCTGTTTTGGTTACTGTAGCCATGTAGTATAGTTTGAAGTCAGATAGTGTGATGCCTCCAGCTTTTTTCTTCTTGCTTAGGATTGCTTTGGCTATTTGGGGTCTTTTGGTTTCATATGAATTTGAGAATCTTTTTTTCATTCTGTATAAAATGATAATTTGATAGGAACAGCACTGAATCTGTACATTGCTTTGGACAGCATGGCCATTTTAACAATAGTGATTCTTCCTGTCCATGAGCATCAAATGTTTTTCCATTTGTTTGTGTCACCACCGATTTCTTTTAACAGTGTTTTGTAATTCTCATTGTACAGATCTTTCACCTCCCTGGCTGGCTATATTTCTTGCTATTTTATTCTTTTTTGTGGCTGCTGTAAAAGGGATTGCATTCTTGATTTGGCTCTCAGCTTGGACATGGCTGGTGTAAAAAAATGCTACTGTTTTGTACATCGATCTTGTATACCAATTTTACTGAAGTTGTTTATCAGTTCTAGGAGCCTTTGGGTAGAGACCATGGGGGTGTTCTAGGTATAGAATCATATTGTTTGCAAACAGGGATAGTTTTACTTCATCTCTTCCTATTCGAATGCCTTTTATTTCTTTCACTTACCCAATTGCTCTGGCTAGTACTTCTAGCACTATGTGGAGCAGGAGTGGTGAGAATGGGCATCCTTGTCTTGTTCCAGTTCTCAAAAGGAATGCTTCCAGCTTTTGCCCATTCTCAGTATGATGTTGACTGTGGGTTTGTCATAGATGGTTCCATTATTTTACGTATATTCCCGGGCATCCTTTGATGCCTAGTTTGTTGAGGGTTTGTAACATAAAGGGATGTTGAATTTTATCAAAAGCCTTTTCTGTGTCTATTGAGATGATCATGTGGTTTTTATTTTTAGTTGTATTTATGAATCACATTTATTGATTTATGTATGTTGAATAAACCTTGCATCCTAGGAATAAAGCCTACTTGATCATGTTAGATCAGCCTCTTGATGTGCTGCTGGATTTCATTTGATAGTATTTTGTTGAGGATTTTTGTGCCTATGTTCATGAAAGATATTGGCCTGGAGTTTTCTTTTTTTCTTGTGTCACTGCCAGATTTTGGCATCAAAATGATGCTGACCTCAGAGAATAAATTAGGGAAGATTCCTGCCTCAATTTTTTGGAATAGTTTCTGTAGAATTGATACCAGCTCTTTTTTATACATCTGATAGTATTCAGCTATGAAGCCATCTGGTCTAAGGTTTTTTCTGGTTGGTAGGTTTTTTGTTACTGATTTAATCTCAGAACTCGTATAACATAATTTTATACATAGTTACTATAGAAAATTTGGAAATCCAGAAGAATATTTTTTAAATGAAAACAATCATTCATAATTCCTCCACCCAGAAGCAGACACACTTAACATTTTGCATATTTTCTTCCAGATATTTTTCTATATAATAATCTCTTTGTAACCTTAAAAATGTGCTGACAGAAAATTCTATAAACTGTGTTTTGCCTACATTCTACGTTATAATTGCTTTCTTGTGTCATTAAAAGTTCTTTGTAAACACTCTAGTGGCTACATAATGTTCCATACTAACAACCTACAATAATTTATTTACCAATTCCTCTATTGTTAGACAATTGAATTATATCTCATTTTATGCTATTTTTAAATAACTTACCTCAATTTCCTACTTCAAGAAGAAACTATATAGATGAAGATTGAATATAAAGATAGCTGGATCTCATAGGTAGTCCAGATGCTATGTATCCCTTGGAATTATCATAAGATCTCCCATAATACAGGCTGTAAGATCTAAATTTTGTACCTCTAGTTTCAGAACTATGTAATACAGAACTGTTAAGGGTTCCGTATCATATAGAACCCAATCCATGAATTATTTGCATCACAAAAAAGAGATCTCATACACAATAGAGATCTCATACACACAATCATTTTGTGTCTTACTAACAATCAAAGTAAAGGTAAAATATTAGAAGGGACCATGTTCTAGAGGTTTACAGGAAAATGGGAACAGAGACACTGTTTAACTGATATAACATGTGAGTCTAGGACAGCAAGAACTCCAGGGAAGATAACAATCTTATCCCCTGAAATAAATCCGAAACTAAATGGAACCCTAGTCATTAATGCAATTTGTGATTATTATTTAGCAAATAAATTGTTTTTTAACATCTCAAGTTAATTACCTATAAAAGGATTTTTCAAAAAGGAAGATGGAAATAGACTTTTCTTTAAAAAATGAACATTTTTACCTTAACAAACAAATCTACTGTAAAACAGCAAACACATTGGCCAACTTGCAAAACATTCATTAGTTTTTTAGCATTTACACTCTTACCCAGTAATTCCACTTCTGGGAATTTACCCAATGGATATACTTTTTACATGCAAGTGATTTATGCATAAGATTACTCGTTGCAGCATTTTTTCAATGGTTAAATATAAGAAACAACCTAAATTAACATAAATAGGGAGTTTGTTAAATAAATTATGGCACATTCATAATTTGCAATACTATGCAGATAATAAAAATGAATGTGGGAAATTTTTCTGTACTAAGATGAACAGATCTCCAAGATATACTATGAGGCACAAAAAACAAAGACAGTTTTTATTTTATGTTACCATTTGTGTTAAAGAAAAAAGAAAAAAAAGGACATATGCTTTTAAAAACTTCTCTGAAGGAATCATCAAATAACTAACAATAGCAGTTTTCTTTCTGGGCAGATGAATACAGTATATTATCTATATACTTTTTGATATTTCAACCATGTTACTGTACTTCCTTTTCAAAAGAATAAATAATTTTTAAAGTATTAAAAATTTCTAAAGTCAGCCAAAGATTTATATAGTTGACGTAAGGTCTCAGTGGCATCCATTTAACACAAGGAGTTAAGAAAAACTTACACTGACTGAAATTCGCTTGTCCATGCTCCAGAAGAATGTAGAGTTGAAGAATAAGTTGTGGGCAGCCTTCCAGGTAGGTCTCAAATAGTCTGAGCATGCTCAAATCAGTCACTCTATCTATAACTTCTTTATGTAGATCAATTTGTTCTTCCACGAAGTTACTAGTATTGCTGTCATATTTAAAAGCTGCATGGTAACCCCT
Source organism: Homo sapiens (assembly GCF_000001405.40). Lineage (NCBI taxonomy): Eukaryota > Metazoa > Chordata > Mammalia > Primates > Hominidae > Homo > Homo sapiens. Next base: position 70,706,951 of record NC_000008.11, on the reverse strand, counting down.
TTTTAAGGCAAACCAATACCTATAAAGTAAACATAAACATTTCTCTTTAGTTTTATATTCTTTGTAACATGTCTGTTAATACACATAATAATTTGGAAAAAGGAATATGTGTTTTAAGTACACAGTTTTTCCACAAACTCTCTCTACTACAGATTTTTTGTGAACATCTCATAGTGGCTTTATTGAGATTCAGACCCTGTAAACCTTTATTGTATGTTTGATGTGCCAGTTGTGTGCTAGTTCTATTAAGTATACATAATCCCATTTCATCTTTACAATAATTATGTGAGAAAAGGAGACATTATTCCATTTCACAGATGGAAAAACTAAAGCTGAGAAAGATAGAGTGATGTGCTGAAAGTTACACAGATAGTAAGGGGTAGACACAGGGTCCAAACCCAGATCTTATTATTTCTAGTATTAACCACTACTTTCTGAAAGACAAACTGCAATTTTTCATTCATGCAATTGATCTGAACTACAACACAGATAATTTCCCTTAAGAGAATATCAAGGTTGAAGATGAGATTGAATCTTCCTTAAATGTAATCTAGAAAACAATTAGTCAATACCTACAAGATGCTAGGCTCTTTGACCATTACCATCCCAGAAAATATATAAAACTTCAAAGACTCTTGAAATATCCCTGGTCAGACTCTTCTTCTGAAAGAATTTTAAAGTGAACACAAGTTATCATCCCATAGATAAAATCGATAACAAAAAAAATTGAAACATTTATTTAGAAGAAATCTGAGGCTAGCAGTAAGGCAACCAGAATTCTTCCCCCAAAGCTTATCAAAAGTCTTTATATATGTCTCAGTTTCTTCACATATAAAATAAAGGCAGTGATATATGCCCTGTTTCAACCTGTTCCTTCTGCCAACGTTTCCCATTTCAGTAAATGGTAATAACATTCACTATATTGCTCAGACCAAAAATGTGGGAATAATTCCAATTCCTCTTCTTTCATGTGCTATAAAAATTCCTCAGCAAGTTCGCTTGGCTCTTGGTTCTAACTTCAAATATATCCAGAATCTAAACACTTCTTACCACTTCCACTACTACCACCCTTGTTTAAGCAGCCAACTCTCTGGCCTGGATTCTTTCAACAACCTCATAATTGGTCTCTCTGATTCTACTCTTGCTCCCCATATAAGCTATTCCCTACACAGCATTCAGATTAAACTTTTTAAACATAATTCAGATGTCACTACTCATTGGGGTAGAAAATGTTCCAATGATTTCCATCAAACTTAGAACGAAATCCGAAGTCCTTATCATATGTTACAAGGCCCTCCATGGTCTACTTCCCACACATGCTACCACCACAACTACCTTTCCATCTCATTTCTCTCCCACTTCCAGTATGGCCTCCTTGCTGTTTTTCTCAACTTAAGGGCCTTTGTCTTTGCTAATTCCTCTGTCTGGAACTCTTCTAAACTCCATATATTTTCAGTTTGCTCCTTAACTTTATTCAGGTCTCTACTCAAATATTACTTACTTATAGATGCCTACCAGATCATACCACCTAAAGTAGTACTCTCTACCATATTCTATCTCTTTACCCTATATTATTTTTCTTCGAAGTACTTATCACCACCTAGCACATTATTTATTTTTGTTTATTATCTTTACCTTCTCACAAGAGTGTAATCTACATGAAAGGACAGACTTTGTTTTGTTCATTGCTATATCCTAAACAACTAAGAATCGGCACATAATAGGTGCTCAAGAAATATTTACTGAAGTAATAAATGAAAGCTCATGACATTTTTTTCCATAAAGATAAATAGATGGTAGGTATGAAAGGGCTTTGGAAAGCTGAAAGTAAAACACAAATATAAAGTATTCCCATTGTAAATAAGATAAATATATGGATATGCAAAGATTCTTTGTCTGGCAAAAAGGAGCATATTTTTACCATCACAGTTCTGGAATAACATTCCCTGATGAAGGCATGGTCTCTACCCACAATGACCTCACAACCTAATGGGAGGGCCAAGCCTATAAACTACTAGCTGCAGTATAAGGCAGAAAAAAAATAGTCATTCATTAGAAAGGCAAATGTTGAGCTGTAAGTACAGAAGAAAAAAAATGATTAATACTGCCCAGGATTTATAAGCAAGATTTCTAAGAAAAGTCGTGTTTTAGCCTTTTCTGGGTATCTGACATAGTAGAGAGTATGTGATTCCTGTTCTTGAAGTTGTTTATAATCCAATAGGGTAGATACTATTGAAAAACTTGAGAAATTCACAAGTATAAACATACCCAGAGCATAATTATTACACACAGCAGAAATTGAGAGAGGTAGCAGAGCAAAGTAGTTAAGAATGCAAGACTCTAATAATGCCAGAATGCCGTGGTTCAAATTCTGGCTCCACTACTTCCTGGTTTAATCTCTCTGTGCTTTGGTTTCCTCATCCGGAAAATAGGGCCAATCATCATACCTCCCTCATTGGGTTGATGTGAGAATTAAATGAGTTAATATATGTAAAATGCTTAGACCAGGACCTGGCACATGTTAAGTGTCTCTTAAAAACAAAACAGATAGTGCTGTCTACAAATGTACACATTTTAATGTCCAGTGTCTTTAGGTAGAAATATTTTCTAATTCTGAAACAATTAATGGCAAATATATACAAAGTTCTGCTTATCTGAGGGTAATTTCATGGAAAAAGGAATATGAATATAATTTTTAATCAATAGGACACAGTTTCACTTATTTATTTATTTATTTTATTGTTTATTTTATTTTATTTTATTTCTTTTTGAGATGGAGTCTCCCTCTGTCGCCCAGGCTGGAGTGCAGTGGCACAATCTCTGCTCACTGCAAGCTCCACCTCCCGGGTTCACACCATTCTCCTGCCTCAGCCTCCCGAGTAGCTGGGACTACAGGTGCCCGCCACCATGCCTGGCTAATTTTTTGTATTTTTAGTAGAGGCAGGGTTTCACTGTGTTAGCCAGGATGGTCTTGATCTCCTGACCTCATGATCCACCCACCTCAGGCTCCCAAAGTGCTGGGATTACAGGCGTGAGGTACCACGCCCAGCCTGTTTCACTTTTATGAAACAAATGATGAATAGGCCAAAAAAAAGAAAAACAGAGAGGGCTTTCTTAACATAGTGTATTCCCATATTTTTATCCCTATATCTTCTTTTATTTGAAACAAAAAGCCACCAGCTTCCAGTAATGATGAGTTACATCATATCAGGCTGATTCCCCTACTGATTACAAATATAAATTCCAGACAAAATATAAAAGAAAACAAGGCAGAAAAGAGCAACAAAAGTAGGATTGGTGAACATGAAGATAGGTGCAATAGATTAAATGTCTGGGTTACCTCAAAATTCATACGTTGAAACCTATTCCCCAATGTGATGATATTTGAGGTGGAGAGCCTTTTGAAGATGATAAAATGAATGGCATTAGTGTGCTTATAAAAGAGGCCCTAGAGAGCTGCCTTGCCCATCCACCATGTAAGAACACCACAAGAAGGCACCATCTATGACACCAAATCTTCCAGCACCTTGCTCTTGGATTTCCCAGCCACCAGAACTGAGAAATAAATTTTTGTTGTTTAAAACCTGTATTTTGTTTTATAGCCACCTCACTAGACTAACACTCAAAAGACTTAAGACCTCACTAGACTAAGACTAAGGGTCAAGAGAAATCACCCAAACTAAAGCACAAAGGGGAAAATTTTAGGAGAAAAAAAAATGAACAAAACAACAATAACAGGTAAAATTGACATCCTAGAAGAAAAGAGAGAGGGGCAAAAAAAAAACACTTGGAAAAATATTAACCCAAAACATTTGTTACATTTGATCAAAACCAGTAACATACAGACTCAAAAAGCTCAATGAACCCAAGCAAAATAAATACCCAAACACCATACATAGGTACATCTTACTCAAATTGCTGAAAATCAAATGTAAAAAGAAAGCCTGAAAAATAGAGAAAAAAGACATATTCCTCACAGGGAAACAATGAGAGTGTTGGCTGACTTCTCACCAGAAACAACAAAAGTCAGAAAACAACCATATCAATAATTACACTAAATGTAAATGGATTAAACACTCCAATTAAAAGAGATTATCAAACTGGATTTTTAAAAAGCAAGATACAAATTCATGTGTTTTAGAAGGGACTCTCTTTAAACATAAAGACTCAGATAGTTTGAAAGGAAATCACCAAATAAAAAACTTCATATGGCTATATTACTATCCCAGACAAAACAGACTTCGAATCAAGGAATACTACCAGAGATAAAGAGGATCAACATGTCATAATAATATAAGAATAAATTCATCATGAATACATAATATTTTAAAATCTGTATGCACCTAATGGAGCTTTAAGGTACACAAAGCAAAAATTGACAAAGGTAAAGTGAGAAAAAGATAAATCCGCATTCTCAGTTGAGGATTTTATCACCTCTCAGTAATTGAAAGGAAAAGGAGACCTTAAAAATATCAATAAGGACATTGATAATTTAACATTATCTGCCTAATTGACCTAACTGACATTTATAGAACATTACGTTCAATAACTGAAAGTTAAAAATTCTTTTCAAATGCACATGGAATATTCAACAAGTTAGACTACATGCTGGGCTATAAAAACAAGTCTTAATAAAGGCAAAAAGACTGTAATCCTATGAAGTATGTTATTATAATAAATTTAAGTGAGAAATCAATAACCAACATATTTTTTAAATCCCCAAAGATTTGGAGACTGAGGTAAAATTTATCCTAAAGTTTTATAAATATTGAACCCTAATAAATTTGAACATAACTACATGACCTCTCTCTAAGGCGTTTTAAATTGAAAAATAGGTAAGAAGGAGAGTTCAACTATTTAATGCCCATTTAACTCCATACAAGGGCCTAAGAATCTGTGGGAGGAGGGAGATTCAACTCCCATTATATTCATTTTTATAGAATTTAAACTTTTTATATGTACTAAAAAGAGCAAAAGCCATTTCCACATTTTAAATAATTAAAATGCCTTTCATATATCCATCAAAAGAAAACTCTCCTTTGGCAGAGAGAGGTTTTTATCACAAATCACACATCAAATAGAAATGCAAAACTGTCATTTAATTTATATTCTGGAAAATGAAACATCCTACTCCACAGACCCCTGAACAGTAATGGCATACATAGTAGCAAGAGGCACACATACCTAATAAATAATTCATATTGATATTCCTTGTCTTTCATCTACCAACATGAATTCAATTTTTCTATTCCTTAGGGAAACAAATCCACAATTCAGCAAATCTCAGGTTTTGCAATACTTAGCCTGGACAAACCTTTGGATAATTTGGCCCATTTTTATGAACTGTTCTAATTTTTGCTCATTTCTCACTGTCTATCTCAGTATTCTGCCACTTCCTGAACTAAAAATATACAAAGAGAAAGGAAAAGGGTGGGGATGTGAAGTGGCCAAGATGGCTGACTAGAAGCAGTTAGTGTGCCTGGCTCTAAGAGAGAAACAGAAGGGGCAAGTAAATACAACATCTTCGAATGAAACATCCAGGTACTCACATTGGAATTAATCAAGGAAACAACCTGACCTACAGAGAACAAAGAAAAACAAGGCAGGACAGAGAGGTGGCAGCCAAGATGGACGAATAGGAACAGCTCCGGTCTACAGCTCCCAGCGTGAGTGACGCAGAAGATGGGTGATTTCTGCATTTCCGTCTGAGGTACCGTGTTCATCTCACTAGGGAGTGCCAGAGAGTGGGCGCAGGACAGTGAGTGCAGCACACTGTGCACGAGCCGAAGCAGGGCGAGGCATTGCCTCACTCGGGAAGTGCAAGGGGTCAGGGAGTTCCCTTTCCTAGTCAAAGAAAGGGGTTACAGACGGCACCTGGAAAATCGGGTCACTCCCACCCGAATACTGCGCTTTTCCGAGGGGCTTAAAAAACGGCACACCAGCAGATTATATCCCACACCTGGCTCGGAGGGTCCTACGCCCCACGGAGTCTCGCTGATTGCTAGCACAGCAGTCTGAGATCAAACTGCAAGGCAGCAGCAAGGCTGGGGGAGGGGTGCCCACCATTGCCCAGGCTTGCTCAGGTAAACAAAGCAGCTGGGAAGCTCAAACTGCGTGGAGCCCAGCACAGCTCAAGGAGGCCTGCCTGCCTCTGTAGGCTCCACCTCTGGAGGCAGGGCACAGACAAACAAAAAGACAGCAGTAACCTCTGCAGACTTCAATGTCCCTGTCTGACAGCTTTGAAGAGAGCAGTGGTTCTCCCAGCACGCAGCTGGAGATCTCAGAACGGGCAGACTGCCTCCTCAAGTGGGTCCCTGACCCCTGACCCCCGAGCAGCCTAACTGGGAGGCAACCCCCAGTAGGGGCAGACTGACACCTCACATGGCTGGGTACTCTTCTGAGACAAAACTTCCAGAGGAACGATCAGACAGCAGCATTTGCAGTTCACGAAAATCCGCTGTGCTGCAGCCACCGCTGCTGATACCCAGGCAAACAGGTTCTGGAGTGGACCTCTAGCAAACTCCAACAGACCTGCAGCTGAGGGTCCTGTCTGTCAGAAGGAAAACTAACAAACAGAAAGGACATCCACACCAAAAACCCATCTGTACATCACCATCATCAAAGACCAAAAGTAGATAAAACCACAAAGAGGGGGAAAAAACAGAGCAGAAAAACTGGAAACTCTAAAAAGCAGAGCACCTGTCCTCCTCCAAAGGAACGCAGTTCCTCACCAGCAATGGAACAAAGCTGGACAGAGAATGACTTTGACGAGTTGAGAGAAGAAGGCTTCAGACGATCAAACTACTCTGACCTACAGGAGGAAATTCAAACCAAAGGCAAAGAAGTTAAAAACTTTGAAAAAAATTTAGACAAATGTATAACTAGAATAACCAATACAGAGAGTGCTTAAAGGAGCTGATGGAGCTGAAAGCCAAGGCTCGAGAACTACGTGAAGAATGCAGAAGACTCAGGAGCTGATGCGATCAACTGGAAGAAAGGGTATCAGTGATGGAAGATGAAATGAATGAAATGAAGTGAGAAGGGAAGTTTAGAGAAAAAAGAATAAAAAGAAACGAACAAAGCCTCCAAGAAATATGGGACTATGTGAAAAGACCAAATCTACATCTGATTGGTGTTCCTGAAAGTGACAGGGAGAATGGAACCAAGTTGGAAAACACTCTGCAGGATATTATCCAGGAGAACTTCCCCAATCTAGCAAGGCAGGCCAACATTCACATACAGGAAATACAGAGAACACCACAAAGATACTCCTCGAGAAGAGCAACTCCAAGACACGTAATTGTCAGATTCACCAAAGTTGAAATGAAGGTAAAAATGTTAAGAGCAGCCAGAGAGAAAGGTTGGGTTACCCACAAAGGGAAGCCCATCAGACTAACAGCAGATCTCTCAGCAGAAACGCTACAAGCCAGAAGAGAGTGGGGGCCAATATTCAACATTCTGAAAGAAAAGAATTTTCAACCCAGAAATTCATATCCAGACAAACTAAGCTTCATAAGTGAAGGAGAAATAAAATACTTTACAGACAAGCAAATGCTGAGAGATTTTGTCACCACCAGGCCTGCCCTAAAAGAGCTCCTAAAGGAAGCACTAAACATGGAAAGGAACAACCGGTACCAGCCACTGCAAAATCATGCCAAATTGTAAAGACCATCGAGGCTAGGAAGAAACTGCATCAACTAATGAGCAAAATAAACAGCTAACATCATAATGACAGGATCAAATTCACACACAACAATATTAACTTTAAACGTAAATGGACTAAATGCTCCAGTTAAAAGACAGACTGGCAAATTGGATAAAGAGTCAAGACCCATCAGTGTGTTGTATTCAGGAAACCCATCTCACGTGCAGAGACACACATAGGCTCAAAATAAAAGGATGGAGGAAGATCTACCAAGCAAATGGAAAACAAAAAAGGCAGGGGTTGCAATCCTAGTCTCTGATAAAAGAGACTTTAAACCAACAAAGATCAAAAGAGACAAAGAAGGCCATTACTTAATGGTAAAGGGATCAATTCAACAAGAAGAGCTCACTATCCTAAATATATATGCACCCAATACAGGAGCACCCAGATTCATAAAGCAAGTCCCGAGTGACCTACAAAGAGACTTAGATTCCCACACAATAATAATGGGAGACTTTAACACCCCACTGTCAACATTAGACAGATCAACAAGACAGAAAGTTAACGAGGATACCCAGGAATTGAACTCAGCTCTGCACCAAGCGGACCTAATAGACATCTACAGAACTCTCCACCCCAAATCAACAGAATATACATTTTTTTCAGCACCACACCACACCTATTCCAAAATTGACCACATACTTGGAAGTAAAGCTCTCCTCAGCAAATGTAAAAGAACAGAAATTACAACAAACTGTCTCTCAGACCACAGTGCAATCAAACTAGAACTCAGGATTAAGAAACTCACTCAAAACCACTCAACTACATGGAAACTGAACAACCTGCTCCTGAATGACTACTGGGTACATAATGAAATGAAGGCAGAAATAAAGATGTTCCTTGAAACCAATGAGAACAAAGACAAAACATACCAGAATCTCTGGGACACATTCAAAGCAGTGTGTAGAGGGAAATTTATAGCACTAAATGCCCACAAGAGAAAGCAGGAAAGATCAAAAATTGACACCCTAACATCACAATTAAAAGAACTAGAAAAGCAAGAGCAAACACATTCAAAAGCTAGCAGAAGGCAAGAAATAACTAAAATCAGAGCAGAACTGAAGGAAATAGAGACACAAAAAAACCTTCAAAAAATTAATGAATCCAGGAGCTGGTTTTTTGAAAGGATCAACAAAATTGATAGACCGCTAGCAAGACTAATAAAGAAGAAAAGAGAGAAGAATCAAATAGACGAAATAAAAAATGATAAAGGGGATATCACCACCGATCCCACAGAAATACAAACTACCATCAGAGAATACTACAAACACCTCTACACAAATAAACTAGAAAATCTAGAAGAAATGGATAAATTCCTCGACACATACACCCTCCCAAGACTAAACCAGGAAGAAGTTGAATCTCTGAATAGACCAATAACAGGAGCTGAAATTGTGGCAATAATCAATAGCTTACCAACCAGAAAGAGTCCAGGACCAGATGGATTCACAGCCGAATTCTACCAGAGGTACAAGGAGGAACTGGTACCATTCCTTCTGAAACTATTCCACTCAATAGAAAAAGAGGGAATCCTCCCTAACTCATTTTATGAGGCCAGCATCATCCGGATACCAAAGCCGGGCAGAGACACAACCAAAAAAGAGAATTTTAGACCAATATCCTTGATGAACATTGATGCAAAAATCCTCAATAAAATACTGGCAAACCGAATCCAGCAGCACATCAAAAAGCTTATCCACCATGATCAAGTGGGCTTCATCCCTGGGATGCAAGGCTGGTTCAATATATGCAAATCAAGAAATGTAATCCAGCATATAAACAGAACCAAAGACAAAAACCACATGATTATCTCAATAGATGCAGAAAAGGCCTTTGACAAAATTCAACAACGCTTCATGCTAAAAACTCTCAATAAATTAGGTATTGATGGGACATATCTCAAAATAATAAGAGCTATCTATGACAAACCCACAGCCAATATCATACTGAATGGGCAAAAACTGGAAGCATTCCCTTTGAAAACTGGCACAAGACAGGGATGCCCTCTCTCACTACTCCTATTCAACATAGTGTTGGAAGTTCTGGCCAGGGCAATTAGGCAGGAGAAGGAAATGAAGGGTATTCAACTAGGAAAAGAGGAAGTCAAATTGTCCCTGTTTGCAGATGACATGATTGTATATCTAGAAAACCCCATTGTCTCAGCCCAAAATCTCCTTAAGCTGATAAGCAACTTCGGCAAAGTCTCAGGATACAAAATCAATGTACAAAAATCACAGGCATTCTTATACACCAATAACAGACAAACAGAGAGCCAAATCATGAGTGAACTCCCATTCACAATTGCTTCAAAGAGAATAAAATACTTAGGAATCCAACTTACAAGGGATGTGAAGGACCTCTTCAAGGAGAACTACAAACCACTGCTCAATGAAATAAAAGAGGATACAAACAAACGGAAGAACATTCCATGCTCATGGATAGGAAGAATCAATATCGTGAAAATGGCCATACTGCCCAAGGTAATTTATAGATTCAATGTCATCCCCATCAAGCTACCAATGACTTTCTTCACAGAATTGGAAAAAACTACTTTAAAGTTCATATGGAAACAAGAAAGAGCCCGCATCGCCGAGTCAATCCTAAGCCAAAAGAACAAAGCTGGAGGCATCACGCTACCTGACTTCAAACTATACTACAAGGCTACAGTAACCAAAACAGCATGGTACTGGTACCAAAACAGAGATATAGATCAATGGAACAGAACAGAGCCCTCAGAAATAACGCCGCATATCTACAACTATCTGATCTTTGACAAACCTGACAAAAACAAGCAATGGGGAAAGGATTCCCTATTTAATAAATGGTGCTGGGAAAACTGGCTAGCCATATGTAGAAAGCTGAAATTGGATCCCTTCCTTACACCTTATACAAAAATTAATTCAAGATGGATTAAAGACTTACATGTTAGGCCTAAAACCATAAAATCCCTAGAAGAAAACCTAGGCATTACCATTCAGGACATAGGCATGGGCAAGGACTTCATGTCTAAAACACCAAAAGCAATGGCAACGAAAGCCAGAATTGACAAATGAGATCTAATTAAACTAAAGAGCTTCTGCACAGCAAAAGAAACTACCATCAGAGTGAACAGGCAACCTACAAAATGGGAGAAAATTTTTGCAACCTACTCATCTGACAAAGGGCTAATATCCAGAATCTACAATGAACTCAAACAAATTTACAAGAAAAAAAAAAACAACCCCATCAAAAAGTGGGCGAAGGACATGAACAGACACTTCTTAAAAGAAGACATTTATTTATGCAACCAAAAAACACATGAAAAAATGCTCACCATCACTGGCCATCAGAGAAATGCAAATCAAAACCACAATGAGATACCATCTCACACCAGTTAGAATGGCAATCATTAAAAGGTCAGGAAACAACAGGTGCTGGAGAGGATGTGGAGAAATAGGAACACTTTTACACTGTTGCTGGGACTGTAAACTAGTTCAACCATTGTGGAAGTCAGTGTGGCAATTCCTCAGGGATCTAGAACTAGAAATACCATTTGACCCAGCCATCCCATTACTGAGTATATACCCAAAGGATTATAAATCATGCTGCTATAAAGACACATGCACACGTATGTTTATTGCAGCACTATTCACAATAGCAAAGACTTGGAACCAACCCAGATGTCCAACAATGATAGACTGGATTAAGAAAATGTGGCACATATACACCATGGAATACTATGCAGTCATAAAAAATGATGAGTTCATGTCCTTTGTAGGGATGTGGATGAAGCTAGAAACCGTCATTCTCAGTAAACTATCACAAGGACAAAAAACCAAACACTGCATGTTCTCACTCATAGGTGGGAATTGAACAGTGAGAACACATGGACACAGGAAGGGGAACATCACACTCTGGGGACTGTTGTGGGGTGGCGGGAGGGGGGAGGGATAGCATTAGGAGATATACCTAATGCTAAATGACGAGTTAATGGGTGCAGCACACCAGTGTGGCACATGTATACATATGTAACTAACCTGCACATTGCACACATGTACCCTAAAACTTAAAGTATAATAATAATAAAATAAAAAAAAATTTTTTTAAAAACAAATCAATGAGAAAAAAAAAAAAAAAAAGAAAAACAAGGCAGGACAACGGCCACCTGGGAACAACACAGAGCCAGGGGATTCTCCCCAACCTAGTGAAGTGGTAAGTCCAAGAGCAACCCAGGGAAATCATGCTTCTCCCACAGCTCTTTGCAACCCTCAGGTCAGATCTTGTGAACCCACTCCAGCAGGGCCTTCGGTCTTCAGTCTGACAGACAGAGCTATGTAGAGTCTCAGCAGAGCAGCCACTCAGGCATGCATGGAGTCCCTGGAGGCTTAGATACTAGGGCTTTCCAGCAAAAGTAGCTGCAGCTATGGCAAAGTAGGATGTTAGACTCCTGTACATACCCCTAGAAAAGAGGCTGAATCTATGGGGCTGAACAGCAACAGCCCACAGGCCCCATTTCCACAGCACCTCACAAGTTAAGACCCACTTACTTGGAATTCTAGCCAGCTACCAATAGCGGCATTGCACCTCCCTAAGAAGGCACTCCTGGGAGGAGGGGCGGGCTGCCATCTTTGCTATTCAGGCACCTTAGCCATTCTAGCCTTCAGGCTTTGGAGAGTCTGAGTCCACCCAAGGCAGAAGGGATTCCCACAGCATAGCACAGCCGCTCTATCAAAACATGGCCAGACTGCTGCTTTAAGCAGGTACCTGATCCCATTCTTTTTCGCTGGGCAGGACCTCCCAACCAGGGCCTCCAGCCACCCCCAACAAAGCTTTCCAGCTGACACAGATCTGAATTCCCCCTGGGATGGCACTCCTAGAGGGAGGGGCAGGCCACCATCTTTGTTGTTTGGGCAACTTAGCCATTCCAGTCTTTGGGCTTCAGAGTGTCTGAGGCAACCAGGGGCTGAAGTGGACACAACACAGCTGCTCTACTAAAATGTGGCCAGACTGTTTTAAGTGGGTGCCAATCCTGTTCCTGCTCACTGGGTGGGACCTCGCAACCACGGTCTCCAGCCACTCCCTACAGGTGCCTTTAAGCTGGCAACAGCTTTGCTGTTTCACAGCCTTCACTGGTAACACCTCTAGGTTTTGGAAAATTTGAGGTGTCTAGGACTGGACCGGGCCCCAAGCATACCACAGCAGCCCTACAGAAAAGTGCCCAGACTGTTACATGGGTACCCATTCCCATATCTCCTCACTGGGCAGGTCCTCCAGCCCTGGGCCTCCAACCACCCCCTGCCAGAGCTACCAAGCCAGTACCAACTCAGTAACTCCATAGACAGAGCCTCTGGGGGCAACTGAAAGCCTCTTTGCCACTGCCTCTGCAGTGGAACATGCCTTGCCACCTTCGGACTAACAAAGGAGCAAAGATCCCAAGTGCCTTATCCACACCTCCAATGAGCTGCAGTCAACCTAAGGAGAAGAGGCCAACCAATTTCCCACAAGTCCCCCATACCCTACATAGCTTGTCACCAGACAGAAAACCCCTGGCTTGGACCCACAGCACAAACCTTCCGTCTTGGGCTGACTGCACTGAGCAGTTGCTGACCTGCAACTCTCTGGGGTGGAGCCCCTCGGAGTCAAGCAAATGACCCTTGGCCACAACCACTACTATGATCTTTTCCTCTGCTGCCTCTAACCTGGAGAAGGGAAATAAACACTAAGACTGTCCCAGAGCTGCAGTGGGCATCCCAGGAGTGACAAGTTGTGAACTACAGCCAGTACTCAAGGGAGAGAGGAACCTATACTTTCAGAGCACTGACAGGGAACACAGCTGCAACTGTGAGGAAACATAGGGAAGCCACACAACCAAGAAAGAGTCTACCAACTGACTGATAAGCCTAAATGTCATCTGCTGGATCATACCCCCAAAGCTTCAACAGCAAAAATATCTCACTAATATACCCCCACTGAAACCAGAGACAAGAAGTCAGCTTCAAATAAAGACCCTACACAAAGCCTCAGCCAAGTGAAAACATCCAGAAAAGAAGTCTATTGACTACACTCAATCTGCACTGCAGTTAAAGAAATACCCACATGCAGAGATGAGAAATAGCCAATACAAGAACTCTAGTAACTCAAATGCCAAGTGTCATCAAAAAGCTAATCTACCGTGATCAAGTAGGTTTCGCCCCGGGATGCAAGGTTGATTCAACATATGAAAACCAATAAATGTGATTCATCACATCAACAGAACTAAAGACAAAAACCACACAATCTTCTCAACAGATGTGGAAAAGGCTTTTGATAAAACTGAACATTCTTTCATGTTAAAAACTCTCAATAACCTAGGTATTGAAGGAACATACCTCAAAATAATAAGAGCCATGGCCAGGCGTGGTGGCTCACACTTGTAATCCGAGCACTTTGGGAGGCTATGGCGGGCAGATCACCTGAGGTCGGGAGTTTGAGACCACCCTGGCCAACATGGTGAAACCCCGTCTCTACTGAAAATACAAAAAATTAGCTGGATGTGGCGGTGGGCACCTGTAATCCAAGCTACTCGGGAGGCTGAAGCAGGAGAATCGCTTGAACCTGGGAGGTGGAGGTTGCAGTGAGCCAAGATCGCACCATTGCACTCCAGCCTGGGCAACAAGAGCAAAACTCTGTCTCAAAAAAATAAGAATAATAATAATAAGAGCCATCTATGACAAATGCACAGCCAACATCATACCGAATGGGCAAAAGCTGGAAGCATTCCCCTTGAAAACTCGTACAAGACAAGGATGCCCTCTCTCTCCACTTCTATTCAACATAGTATTGGAAGTCCTAGCCAGAGCCATGAGTCAAGAGAAAAAAAAACAAAGGGCATCCAAATACTAAGAGCAGGAGTCAAACTATCTCTGTTTGCAGATGACATGATTCTATATCTAGAAAACCCCAGTGTCTTGGCCCAAAAGCTCCTTCAGCTGATAAACAACTTCAGCAAAGGTGCAGGATATAAAATCAATGTACAAAACTCACTAGCATTCCTGTGCACCAACAACAACCAAACTGAGAGCCAAATAAGAAAGGCAATACCATTCACAGTTGCCACCAAAAAAATAAAAAATAAAACACCTAGGAATACAGCTAACCAGGGATGTAAAAAATCTCTACAGTGAGAATGACAAAACACTGCTCAAAGAAATCAAAGAAGACACAAGCAAATGAAAAAAATCCCATCATCATAAATAAGAATCAATATCATTAAAATGGCTATACTGCCCAAAACAATTTACATATTCAACGCTATACCTGTTAAACTACCAATGACATTCCTCACAAAACTAGAAAAAATTATTTAAAATTTATATGGAACCAAAAAAAGAGCCCAAATAGTCAAGGCAATCCTAAGCAAAAAGAACAAAGCTGGAGGCATCATGTTATTCGACTCCAAACTATACTACAGGGCTATAATGACCAAAACAATATGGTACCAGTACAAAAACAGACACACAGACCAATGGAACAGAATAATGAGCCCAAAATAAGGCCACATATCTTTGACTATCTGATCGTTGACAAAGCTGACAAAAACAAGCAATGGGGAAAAAAAATCCCTATTCAATAAATAGAGCTAGGATAAATGACTAGCCATATACAGAAGATTGAAGTTGGACCTCTTCCTTACACCATATACAAAAATCAACTGAATACAGATTAAAGACTTAAATGTAAAACCCAAAGCTGTAAAATACTCTGAAAGACAACCTAGGCAATACCATCCTGGATCTAGGAACAGGCAAAGATTTCATGATGAAGACACCAAAAGCAGTTGCAACAAAAGCAAAAATTGACAAATGAGATCTAACTAAACTTAAAAGCTTCTGTACAGCGAAAGAAACTATCAACAGAGTAAACAAACAACCTACAAAATGGGAGAAAGAATTTGCCAACTATGCATGTGACAAAGGTCTAATACCCAGTATCTATAAGGAACTTAAACAACTTTACAAGAGAAAAACAAGCAACCCCATTAAAAAGTGGGCAAAGGACATGAACAGACCCCTCTCAAAAGAAGACATACATGTGGCAAACAAGCTTATGGCAAAAGCTCAATACCACTGATCATTAGAGAAATGCAAATGAAAACCACAATGAAATACCATCTCACGCCAGTCAGAATGGCTATTACTAAAAAGTCAAAAAATAACAGATGCTGGCGAGGTTGTGGAGAAAAGGGAACCCTTTTACACTGTTGGTGTCAGTGTAAATTAGTTCAACCATTGAGGAACTGTATGACAATTCCTCAAAGAGTTAAAAGAACTACCATTCGACCCAGCAATTCCATTACTGGGTATATACCCAGAGCATTCTACCATAAAGACACATGCACACAAGTGTTCATTGCAGCACTGTTCACAATAGCAAAGACACAGAATCACCTAAATACCAATCAATGACAGACTGGGTAAAGAAAATGTGTTATATATACACCATGGAATATTATGCAGCCATAAAAAAACCAGATCATGTCTTTTGCCAGAACACAGAAGGAGCTGGAGGCTATCATCCTTAGCAAACTAACGTAGGAATAGAAAACCAAATACCGCATGTTCTCATTTACAAGTGGGAGCTGGCCAGGCACGGTGGCTCACGCCTGTAATCCCAACACTTTGGGAGGCCGAGGTGGGCTGATTGCCTGAGCTCAGGGGTTCGAAACCAGCCTGGGCAACATGGTGAGACCCCCACCCCCATCTCTACTAAATACAAAAAAAAAAAAAAACTAGCTGGGCATAGCAGCATGTGCCTGTAGTCCCAGCTACTCGGGAGACTGAGGCAGGAGAAAGAATTGCTCGAACCTGGGAGGCGGAGGTTGCAGTGATCCAAGATCATGCCATTGCACTCCAGCCTGGCAACAGAGTGAGACTCTATCTCCAAAAAACAAGTGGGAGCTAAATTGTAAGAACTTATGAACACAAAGAAGGAAACAACAGACACTGACACGCATCTACTTGAGGGGGAGGGTGGAAGGAGGGAGAGGAACAGAAAAGATAACTATTTGGTACTGAACTTAATACCTGAGTGATGTAATAATATGTAATAACAAACCCCCATGACACGTGTTTATCTATGTAACAAACCTTCACATGTACCCCTAAACCTAAAACAAAAATTTTTAAAAAGAAAGAAAAACAAAAAAAGAGTAAAGTGTTTGTTTATCTATCTGGCATCTTCCACTAATGCCCAACCTAATTCAATTTTCTTTTTCTTCTTTTTTAAATAGGCAAAATATTTAAATAATTCAAAAAATTAGAAAGTTATAAGTAAGAAAACTCTACCCTACTCCTATAACCCACTATCCAGCTTTTACCCTCCCCCATGGCCACAGGAATTCAGTTATTAGTTTCATGTGTACCCATATAGAGTTTCTTCATGCAGATACAAGCAAACATAAATATATATTAGTTTTCACCATCTTTTATTACACAGATTGTGGCATACTATACCTTCTGTCTGTACCTTGTCTCTTCACCCAAAATAAGTCCTGGATATCTTTTCATTTCAGCATAGAAAGTACTTTATCATTCTTTATGATAGTTATGTACTATGCCATTGCACAGTATATTACAAACTCTATCAAAAGACACTAAAATTGTTTTCAATATTTTTCTATTACAAACAATGCTACACTTAAAAATTGTGTGCATATGTCACTTTACATGTATGCAAGTATGATAAATTTCTAGAAGAGGAAGCTCCGGGGCTAATATACATATATATATAATACATATATATAAAAAATACATATATATACATAAAATACATATATATATATATATTTGCAATATGGTCAAGCTACTTTCCACAGAAATTATACCAATCCATACTCTGATGAACAAGGTATGAAAGTATGTTTTCTCACACTTTACCAAGAGAGTATATAGTCATTCAGATTTTTGTTAATCTAGTAAATGAGAAATAATATCTCAATGTAGTTTTAATTGGAATTTTTCATGAATGAGGCTTAGCATCTTTTATACAACTTAAGGCCTATTTGTATTTCCTTTTCTATGAACTATCCTTATTCTCTTCCCATTATTCTACTGGGTAGATGGTCTTTTACTTTTTGATTTCCAGAAGCTGCTTAAATATCAGAGGACTAGCCCTTTTTCTGTTATAAGTTTACAATTCTTTTTCCCTGTTAATGTTGTTTTTCTTTGTTATGCTTTTGTTCTGTGTGTTGGGATTTTTGCTTTTGTTTATTAGCACGCATTTTTATAGTCAAATCTACAATTGTTATAGCTTCTGGATTTGGAGTCATGGTTACAAAGGCTTTCCCCATTTCAAAGTTATAAAGGAATTCTCCGATGTCTTCTTTTATAGTATTTTACATTAAATATTTGATTCATTAGAAATTTATCCTGCTATCTGGTATCTACCTAGAAGTATAACATGCTATCTTAAAGTATCCCAACTTTATAAGTTAACAAAGTTTTTACTGTTTTCATGCTGCATATACTGGCTATTGCTTCCTTTTTTTTCCAATCAATTTCAAAAAAAAAAAAAAGGACAGGCACAGTGGCTAACGTCTGTAATCCCAGCACTTTGGGAGGCCGAGGCGGGCGGCTCACGAGGTCAGGAGATCAAGACCATCCTGGCTAACATGGTGAAACCCCGTCTCTACTAAAAATACAAAAAATTAGCCAGGCGTGGTGGCGGGCACCCGTAGTCCCAGCTACTCAGAAGGCTGAGGCAGAAGAATGGCATGAACCTGGGAGGCGGAGCTTGCAGTGACCTGAGATCGCACCACTGCACTCCAGCCTGGGTAACAGAGCAAGACTCCATCCCAAAAAAAAAAAAATGTGGCCTGTGTATTCATATGCCATACAGAGAAAAACTCGTTTATCGCCCTTGTGGTTTGTATGGGTGACGGGGAGAACTCTTGCGGAATATCCTTTCAAACTTTCTCCTGGCTTGGAAGAATTAGAACCCATATTTTGTCACATCAAAAACTGTGACACGCCAAAGACACACACATTTCACCTTTCTCCCAGGGTCTACCTCTGTTTCTACTAATATACTTCTGAAGATTTGACCACCACTTCCACAGAATGAAGATTTCATCTCCACAGAAGAGACCTCTTTTCTAGATCATGTGCCATGGTAGGGCATAGCCTAAGACTGACCTTTGTGTGAAAACTATTATTGCCAATTAAAATTTATATATTTTGTTTCCTTCTAAATGGCTACCCAGTTTCCCCAACACTTAAAACAACTAAGCATAAAATCAGTAAAACTGTACAATATCTGAATGGCACTATCAACTACACTAAATTTCATTTATAGAATACCAGAACAACTGCAGAAACACATATGTTTCAAGTGTACATGAAACATTCATAAAGATGGACCATATGTTAGACAATAAAACAAGTCTGAATAAATTTCAAAAGATTGAAATCATAAGAGTATGTTATCTGAACACAAAAGAATTAAATTAAAAATCAACATTAAAATAACTACAAAAGACCCAAATATTTGAAAAAACACTTAACAGTCTAATCCTTTAGTAAAAGACAAAATCACAAGGAAGCTAAAAAATATTTTGAACTGGACTGGGCACAGTGGCTCATGCTTGTAATCCCAGCACTTTGGGAGGCCAAGGCAGGAGGATCACTTGAGGCCAGGAGTTCGAGACCAGCCTGGGCAACATACTGAGGCCCCATCTGTACAAAAAAATAAAAAATTAGCCAGACCTGATGGCACATGCCTGTAATGCTAGCAACTCAGGTGGCTGAGATGGGAAGATCACCTGAGCCCAGGAGTTCGAGGTTATAATGAGCTATGATGAGCCTGTCTCTATTTAGAAAGGAGAGAGAGAGAGAGAAAGAGAAAGAGAAAGAAAGAGAAAGAAAGGAAAGAGAGAAAGAAAGAAAGAAAGAAAGAAAGAAAGAAAGAAAGAAAGAAAGAGGGAGGAGAGAAAGAAATCCTGTCATTTTCATTTGCAACTACGTGGATGAAACTGAAGAACATTATGTTAAGTGAAAAAAGCCAGGCCAGGCACAGAAAGACAAATTTCACATGTTCTCACTCATACATTGGAGCTAAAAATTGAAACAAACTCATGGAGATAGAGAGTAGAATAATAGTTACCAGAGCCTGGGAAGCGTAGCAGGGAGTAAGGCAGAAGTGGGATGGTTAATGGGTGCACAAATGTAGTTAGAATGAATAGGCTCTAGCATTTGATAACATAACAGGGTGATTAAAGTCAACGATAATTTACTGTGTATTTTTAAATAACTAAGAGTGAAATTGGAATGTTCCTAACACAAAGAAAAAATAAATACTTGAGGTGATAAATATCCCAATTACCCTTATGTGATTATCATACATTATATATGTCTATCAAAACATTACATGTACTCCATAAATATATACACCTATTATGTACCCATAATAATTAAAACTGAAAAAAAATTTTAAAAGAGGCCAAAGAGGAAAAAACACCTAAAGGAGTAAAGGTAAAAATTACATTCACTTTCTCCTCAGAAACCATTCAAGCAAGAAGAGAATGGATTTGAGAGGCCGAAGGAGACGGATCACTTGAGCCTAAAAGTTCAAAACCAGCCTGGGCAACATGGTAAAACCCTGTCTCTATGAAAAATACAAAAATTAGCCAGGCATGGTGGCACATGCCTGTAGTCCCAGCTACTCAGGAGGCTAAGGAAGGAGAATTGCTTGAACCTGGGAGGCGGAGGTTGCAGTGAGCCAATATCGGGCCACTGCACTCCAGCCTGGGCAACAGAGCAAGAATCCATCTAAAAAGAAAAAAGAACTCTGTCTCTACCAAATATATATATATATATATATTAGCTATCTCGGTGTGGTGGCACACACCTGTAGTCCCAGCTACTTGTGGGGCTGAAGTGGGAGGATCACCTGAGCCCAGGGAGTTAGAGGTTGCAGTTACCTGTGACCGCACCACTGCAGCACTCCAGCCTGAGCAACACAGTGAGATTCTGTCTCAAAAAAAAAAAAAAAAGAATGGAGTGAAATATTTAAAGTGTTGAGAGTAAAAAAAGGAGAGGAAAGAAAGAAAACACCACTGTGAATTCTGTACCCTGTGAAATTATGCTTCAAAAGTGAAGGAGAATAAAGATTTCCACAAACACTGGGGAAACTTGTTGCCAGTAGACTTGCCTTGCAAGAAACGTTAAAATAGATTCTTCAAAGAAAAGGAAAATGTTACAGGTCAGAAACTTGGATCAATTAAAATATATAAAGAAAGGAAGAGCACTGAAAAAGGAATAATTGAAGATAAACAAAAACTTATTTTTCTTATTTTTAATTGATTTAATTTTATTTAAATTATTTAAATATAATTTTTTTTATTTTATTATTATACTTTAAGTTTTAGAGTACATGTGCACAATATGCAGGTTAGTTACATATGTATACATGTGCCATGCTGGTGTGCTGCACCCATTAACTCATCATTTAGCATTAGGTATATCTCCTAATGCTATCCCTCCCCCCTCCCCCCACCCCACAACAGTCCCCAGAGTGTGATGTTCCCCTTCCTGTGTCCATGTGTTCTCATTGTTCAATTCCCACCTATGAGTGAGAACATGCGGTGTTTGGTTTTTTGCCCTTGCAATAGTTTACTGAGAATGATGATTTCCAATTTCATCCATGTTCCTGCAAAGGACATGAACTCATCATTTTTTATGGCTGCATAGTATTCCATGGTGTATGTGTGCCACATTTTCTTTATTATTATTATTATTATTATACTTTAAGTTTTACGGTACATGTGTGCAATGTGCAGGTTAGTTACATATGTATACATGTGCCATGCTGGTGTGCTGCATGCATTAACTCGTCATTTAGCATTAGGTATATCTCCTAATGCTATCCCTCCCCCCTCCCCCCACCCCACAACAGTCCCCAGGGTGTGATGTTCCCCTTCCTGTGTCCATGTGTTCTCATTGTTCAATTCCCACCTACGAGTGAGAATATGCGGTGTTTGGTTTTTTGTTCTTGTGATAGTTTACTGAGAATGATGATTTCCAATTTCACCCATGTCCCTACAAAGGACATGAACTCTTCATTTTTTATGGCTGCGTAGTATTCCATGGTGTATATGTGCCACATTTTCTTAATCCAGTCTATTGTTGTTGGACATTTGGGTTGGTTCCAAGTCTTTGCTATTGTGAATAGTGCTGCAATCAACATACGTGTGCACGTGTCTTTATAGCAGCATGATTTATAGTCCTTTGGGTATATACCCAGTAATGGGATGGCTGGGTCAAATGGTATTTCTAGTTCTAGATCCCTGAGGAATCGCCACACTGACTTCCACAATGGTTGAACTAGTTTACAGTCCCAGCAACAGTGTAAAAGTGTTCCTATTTCTCCACATCCTCTCCAGCACCTGTTGTTTCCTGACTTTTTAATGATTGCCATTCTAACTGGTGTGAGATGGTATCTCATTGTGGTTTTGATTTGCATTTCTCTGATGGCCAGTGATGGTGAGCATTTTTTCATGTGTTTTTTGGCTGCATAAATGTCTTCTTTTGAGACGTGTCTGTTCATGTCCTTCGCCCACTTTTTGATGGGGTTGTTTGTTTTTTTCTTGTAAATTTGTTTGAGTTCATTGTAGATTCTGGATATTAGCCCTTTGTCAGATCAATTAAAATTAAGACAGACCAATTAAATATAATTATATTTAATTGATCTTAATTTTAATTGATCCAGATAACAGTTCAAAATAATAGGACAATATATTTGATTATGTATGCTTATGTGTATATATTTATATGCTTATGTATACTTAGTACAAGTGAAATGAATGATAGCAATGATACAAGGAATGAGAGGGAGGAATCTGGATTATAACATTCCACAGAATGTATCACAAAGAGTTCAAAAATAAGAATTTTTAAAATCTAACATTTAATAGTTATGTTAAACACAGTGAGAACGTGTAACTTACATTTGATTGGCATCCCAGAAGGGAAAGAAACACTAAATATAGTAAAGAAAATGTTAAAAAAGTTAATGGCTGACAATTATATAGAATTAATAGAAGATAATAATCCACAGAATCAAGAGGACCAACAAATCCTAAGCAAGAGAAATAAAATCTACATCTAAACATATAATTAAACTGTAGAAACCCACAGATAAAGAGAAAAATCTTAAGAGCAGCCAGAGGAGGAAAAGACAAAACACTTTCAAAAGAGCGGCAATGAGACTAAAATCTAACTCCTCCAGAGCAACAATAGAAACCAAAAAACAATCAAATATAATATGCAGAGAGAACATAACTACTCATCTAGAATTCTATAGCCACTAAAATATCTCTCAAGAAAGATAATGAAATAAAGACATTTTCAAACAACCAAAAATTGAGAGGTGATGTCACCAACAGCCCGTCAATAGATGAAATTCTAAAAGGCAGACCTCAGGAAGGCAGAAGTAAAGTAATTCTAGGGCCGAACATGGTGGCTCACACCTATAATCCCAACACTTTGGGAGGCCAAGGTGGGTGGATCACTTGAGGTCAGGAGTTCGAGACCAGCCTGGCCAACATGACTAAACCCCATTTCTACTAAAAATACAAAAATTAACCAAGTGTCATGGCACATGCCTGTAATCCCAGCTACTCAGGAAGCTGATGCAGGAGAATCTCTTGAACCAAGGAGGTGGAGGCTGCAATGAGCTGGGAAGGCGCCACTGCAGGCCAGCCTGGGTGACAGAGCAAGGCCCTGTCTCAAAAAAAAAAAAGAAAAGTAATTCTAGGTAGAAGTCCTGAGATTCAAGAAGAAATAAAAAATAAAGAGAGTATAAATATATGGGTAAACATAAACAAAATTCAGTAGAATTTAACTACATAAAGTAGAAAAATACATAATAATATCTAGTGGGATTAAAAACAGGCATTAAAATGACAACAATATAAATATATTAGTTGGGAGCATAGCAAATCGAATTATATTGTTTTGAGGTCTTTAAATTATCAATGTTAACAGCAAAGGTTTTGTTTTACTTTATACTTGGAACAATTTAAGACCGCACGTTACACACTATACTTCTAGGTAGGATCCAGCATATTGGAATAGACCAATGCTCCCGGCAAAGCAATTAAGAGAAACTACAAACTGGGCTGATATATTTACAAATGTTTGTTGCTTGGAAATATTTGCTGATTCTATTACTCAGAACAAGAGGTTGAAAACCTGGATTCTGCCCAAGCAAAGGGCTGTTGTTAGGCAAGAAGAGAGGCCTAGTTCAATAGATTATAGTACATCCATACTAAAGGATACACCATGCAGCCTTTAAAAAGAGCAAAGCAGCTTTGTATGAACTCACTTCAGAAGATCTTCAAGATGTTTAAGCTAGGTTTTAGAGGTCTGTTGACTGAGGGACCTCAACTCAATCAATTTTTCCAACAACGTATGTGCCAAATTTTGAAACTACACCATAGAGGCTAAAAGCTAAGCAGAAAGTCTTGAAAAAGCAAAACAGGCTTTCTGGTAGTCTTGTGGTGCCAAGATAAAAATTAGTGTTCAGGACTTGTGGAGGTGAGATGACCACACCATACTCTCAAGTTCCCTAGAAACTACAAACCAAAGCAGATTGAACCTTAGTCTAAATGCCTACTAGAGAAAAAGCAAAACAGTAGCATTTGAAACTTCTATCATCTTTTGTATACAATGTGTAATATTCAATCAAAAATTACTAGGTGTATCAAGAGACACTGAAAATCAAGGCAATTTGGCCTTTCTTTTATAATACAATTTATAATTTATAACACAATGTACCTTAAGGTCCTCATTTCAATGCTGATGAAAATAGTTCTGTAGATGTGCAAATTTTCCATTATTAGAATGGCAAGTAACAGAGAATTTACCATATTTCTAAATTCCTTGCAAAAGCAACTTTTATCTTTCTTCAATATTACAACTACATAATTCTCAATATTGCTCATACAGAGTACTCATTTAATCTTACCTATTACATATGTATTTGTTCATCAGCACTTTTACTGTATTTCTTTAAACATTTTTGTCTTATTGAGAATGTGCAGTTTGAAAATTGACTTCTAATACCAACAACTAAAGCACTTTTTTTCCAGCTTTTCCTAAAACCTATAAACTTCTTTCTCACTGCACATTCTGTTTCTTTTACATATTAAAAACATAATAACTATAGCTTCAAAAAGGCAAAATATGTGAAAATACTTTGAAAACTATAAGTCTCCACATAAATACAATGGCGTTATTCCCATTAATTAATATAAGAAAAGCCTGGAATTTTTTTAATACATTCAACTAAGGATCATGAATTGCTTTTTAACAGGACAGAATCAAAAGTAGAATCACTTAAAGTAATAATGGAGAGGTCATAAAAAATTAAATATACAGAGAATCATGGAATTCTGAGGGCCTATTTAGAGTCTCGTTTCTCTACCTATAACAACATGATTCTTAAGGTTGCTTTAGTTCTATGACTCTGTACCTAGCTAACCACATAGCTACTGCATTATTGCAGCAAAAATTTCATTTAGTTAAATCAATGATAAGTATCAAAAAAGTGAGTACTCTCTCAGTTACAAGTGAAATGCCATATTTACACAATCAGACTTAGAATATACACAGAAGATAAAAGTTCTGTAAGACATAGAAATGTCTTTTTCCTTCTCATGAAAACTGAGTTCATATCAGAAAAAACCTAATTAGATAAATTTAAACATTTTTATTAATGAACCTGGAAAATTCTGACAGTATGGCAATGACTTATATTAGCACAATAGTGAGGAGCAAGTAACCTTTGTGCTTCATGCAAATAAGGGATCTTTGTACATTTGACTACCCAGATAAGATACAAAATGGTAGCTTCTGTTTGGAAAAAGAAAAACAGTGGTAATGATTAAACATGTATGCTCACCTTGTAAAAACTCCTCCTTGCAAGCAATGAAGTAGAAGAAAACAATGCTGACTTTCTTGGCCTGCTTTCTTTAAATCAGCCTTGAACCAAGAATAACTAAAACACTGAGCCACAAGTGTTCCAAAAAGCATAAAGCTTAACGCTAAAGCACTAAAAACATACTGTCCTTCATGGAAAAATCTGACAGATACCCATATGTCCACAATTAAATCAGTTACGTAGATTATAATGCCAAGAACTGACATCATAAAATTCTGTTTAGTATATTTCATTACGAATGACTATAGCTTTTCGTTATCTACTTTTTTCTCCCTCACAAAAAGGGAAAAAAAGCCAAACAAATATTAGTATACCCTTTGGTATAGCATTGAATTTTAATTTCTACTCCCTAAATCTATTTAGAAGAAAGAATAAATATTATGAAATGGGAACACTAACACTAAAGTGACTAATTTTGACTTTCTTTTCTAAATCTCTAATCTAGGTCCAATGTTACAAGGCTTTAATCAATCTTCTGTTTCACAATGATCTTCATTACAGATGACAAGACCTAAAATAAAACAGATATTTAAGTTCCAAAATATCTTAAGTATAATATTAAAAACGCTTGGCAATGATTTTATCAAAGCTCTACTTTTCCTAAAAATAATATATTGCCACTAAATACAGTTCTTATAATAGCTTTGGGAAAGTCTCAGAAATATACTTGATAGTTGATAACTTCCTCTCAGGCTATTTATCTTTTAAAAATATGACCTACCCACAAAGAAATTTATCACACGACTATTTATAGTGGCAAACTGGAAACAACCTAAATATTTCAACATAAGGAAATGGTAAAGTAAATAAAGGTAGATCCATAAAATGGAATATTACAAAACTACTAAAATATATGTAACAAAGGTGCAATAGTTGTAAAAATTCTTAATATGCTTTTGGCCCAGCAATTCCATCTAGGATTCTATCCTAGGGAAATATTCAAAAATGTACAAAAAGATAATCTTTGCAGAGCCTTTTTTATAAGAGCGAAATATTGAAAACTACCTAAATGACAATTGAGAGGCCTAGTTCAATAGATTATGGTACATCCACACTAAAGGATACACCATGCAGCCTTTAAAAAGATTAAAGCAGCTTTGTATGAACTCACTTCAGAAGATCTTCAAGATGTTTTAAGTGAAAAAAGCAAATCCCAGAAAGATAAATACTGTATACTATTTATGGTTTTTAATTATACATGGAGAGAGGAAGGCGGTTGAGAGTAGGAAGCAAATGCAACTTCAGTTGTTTTCTCTCTATACTGCTACATTTTTTTGAGGTTTTTTTTTTACAACAGACCTGTACTGATGTTGTTAGGTATATAATTTTTTAAAATAAAAATAGTAAATGATACTCATGCAGAATCTCAATGACTGGAGAAAATGTTTATGCTACTAATGAAAGCTAACATTTACTTACCACTATGTGCCAAGCACTGAGCAAAATGTTGTATATAAAACGCCCCAATTTAATTCTTCTATCACTTAAAATGTAGATTCTACTATTATTATTACTATTTTATAAACATAGTCTGAATGAACACAATCTGCATACAAGATTTGTCTGACTCAGTGGTGGTTTTTTGGTTTGTTTTCCTAATTAATTGCCAACATTTCACAAAAAACACAAATGTTTGACTGCTAACAAAAAACAGAAACATCTTCTATGCTAGATTAGTCCTTCATGAGCAGTGGCTGCCCCTTTAGATGGGGCATGCTCTCTCCTGTTCATCGCAGTAGTCATCTGGCCCATTTCAGGCATTTCAACAGCTGGGTCTCAATGTTAATGCAGCTACCTACTAGCTGTGTGTCCCTAGATGTATTCTTTTCAGCCTTATACTTTATTTTCTTCATCTAAAATGTGGAGAGAATAATGGTATATACCTTATAGGGTTGTTGTGAAGGTCAAGAAAGATAATACATGTAATACATATAAACCCCTAGAAAAGTACTTGGCACACAGTTAGGGCCCAGTAAATGTTAGTTATCATTATTACCTTGCTAACTGCTTGCCTGGCCTCTGTAAGCATATGAGTTTGCAATGTCTGACTTGACTTCATATAATGTTAAGTGAAAAAGTACTGTGGTATGATCTTAAAGGTAAGGAGGGATAAATGAGCTCTGGAGCCCTGATGCAATAGGACTGGAGTTCTTACAAGAAGAGGAAGCAACACCAGAGAAAAGGCCATGTGAGGACACAAGAAGGCAGCCATCTGTAACCCAAGGAGAGAGAACCTCACCAGAAACCAACCCTGCTGGCACAATGATCTTGGACTTCCAGTGTCCAGAACTGTCAAAAAATAAATTTCTATTGTTTAAGCTAATAAGTCTGTGGTATTCTGCTATGGCAGCCAGACCAGTTAACACACTATGTTTCTATAAAAAAATTTATTACTTTAAACACACCAAGGTGAATGTTTACTAAAAACACACACACAAACCAATACTTACTGTGTTCTTATCATTTTATCACTTATAAGTATTTTGCTAAAAAGTCTTCAGAATAATATTAAAAGGTATTTCATTCTTCTCACGGAATAAAGCAACAGTTATGATCACTGCTTCTCCTGTCAAGAATGTTGTGGCCAACAGGACAGAAAAAAACAGTTTAAAAACTGAGTTTTAAAAATCTAGTGGGCCATGAATTTCCCTGCAGCAGGTTTCTTATGCTAACATGAAAGACCTCAAGCCAACATACACATGGGGTTTAGGAGGATGAGATTAATCGGGAGGTTCTGCTCAATTGAACTAATTAAATATTTACTTAGAAACTACCATGTGCTGTTTTAGGCTTTCCTGGATATATCAAGTGATGAGAGACAAATATTCCTGCCCCTGTGGAACTTATATCCTAGCACAGAAAGATAATCAAGGGGTATCTCAACTACAATGATTTGATCTTTATAAATTATATGAATGTATTAAATTATCACATGCACCTCAAAAATATGTACATCTATTATGTATCATTCTTAAACATAAAATTCAAAATATAGTCAATTAACAATAAAAAATAATTAATAAATCAAATATATTAGAAGGTGGTAAGTGCTATGGAAAAAATAAAGCATAGTAAGGAAGATCAGCAATTACAGTAGAGATGGGCATATCATGGGCTGTGACATTAATTAGATTGGTCAGGGCAGGACTCACTGAGAAGGTGGCATTTGAGTAGTGAAATTGGCCATGTGCATAGAGATGGAAAAGCCTTCCAGCTTGAAGGAACAGCTAGTTCAAAAGTCTAATGCACTAGATTTTGAATCCTTCAAAAACAAAAGTTTCAAAAAATATTGTCAGAAATTCCTTAGCATGGTTCTACTGGATATGTTTAATGTGTATACAAATCCTGTTCTAATATCATTCTTAAAAATATAATTTCTTAAGCTTTACTAAGAAAAAAATTGCTTATATAGGAGAAGAATAGATGGTAGTAATAGTAGCTACTACTGCTAGGTGTTTACTAAAAGTGAAGTTTTTTGGCATAAATTATTTCATTTAATCCTCACAAATCCCTGTGAAAACAGTATTATTGACTCCATTTTGTAGACCAGAAAACTGAGGCATAGAGGTGTTGGATATTTAGGTGAGTTTTCTCTAATGAGTAAAATCTGTTTGCCTCCAATGCTTAGGTCCTACCCACAATATACTTACACAGTATCTGAAGAGAAAACAGAAAACATTTATAGCTGTGTGAGTATAACACTTAGGCACAGCAGTCTATAGATTTGAGATAGAATACACATTATTATTGTATATTATTCTTTTCTGTAGTGAAATTAAAGGGAGAGGGGAATATAGTTAGAATTGCAAATGATGTGATCTAAACCTTTCTAAACAAAAATCTTGGCCAGGTGCAGTAGCTCACGCCTGTAATCTCAGCACTTTGGGAGGCTGAGCCAGGCAGATCACTTGAGTCCAGGAGTTCAAGACCAGCCTGGGCAACATGGTGAAACCCCACCTCTACAAAAAAAATACAAAAATTAGCCAGGCATGGTAGTGTGCTCCTGTAGTGTCAGCTACTTGGGAGGCTGAGGTGGGAGGATCATTTAAGCCCAGGAAGTGGGGGTTGCAGTGAACTGATATGGCATCGCTGCACTCCAGACTGGGCAACAAAGTGAGACCCTGTCACAAAACAAAACAAAAAAAGATTTTTTTTATTTTTTTTTAATCTTTAACTTATTTTCCACTGCTTTTTCTCAGGAAAACTTTATAGTCTGAGAACATGTTCAAAAGAATAAAACTTGACTAAAACACAATAGTTAAGCTAAAATTTTGCTTTAAATGATTTTAAATGTAGATAATTTCCTTAAAATTACAGACTATAATACTTCAGTATTCCATATGTGCATTTCTTAATCTCTCTACCCATAAAGAGAGCTTCCTTTACCTGGCAAGAGTAATAAAAATAGTAGTAGCAGGTTTGGGTTGTTTGTTTGTTTGTTTGTTTAAGAGACAGGGTCTCTCTATATTACCCAGGCTGGTCTTGAATTCCTGTGCTCAAGTGATCCTCCCACCTTAGCCTCCTGAGTAGCTGGGACTATCAGCACAGGTACCATACCTGGCCAACACTAGCAGTTTTGAGTCAACTTTTACAAGATGGAAAGAATAATTTCCAAGAAACAGAAACTGTTACTGGCAGAACATTAGATGCAATAGATTAATCTAATATGGTAATATCCATATTCCTAATTTAGTCAGGCAGAACATAACACCAAGTAGAAGGAAACCTACATAGCAAGCTAATACATACGGCGGATCTGATAAAGAGAGCTGCAGGTCTTTCAATTGTTGAATAACTTGTATTAAGAATAGTTCATCTCTATCTCTATGGTTGATCACTATTCCAGTACCACCTTAGGTAAAATAATGCCACCTACAAAGTTTGGCTTCATAGGGGACTTCTTACACTTACTGACTTAATAGGACAATGATATAATCTGAATATATGTCCCTACCAAATCTCATGTTGAATTGTAATCCCCCATGTTGGAGGTGGGGCCTGGTTGGAGGTTTTGGGTCATAGGGGTGTATCTCTCATGGTTTGGTGCTGTCCTCACGATAGTGAGTGAGATCTGGTTGTTGTAAAGCATTGCATCTCCCCCACTACTCTCTTTTTTGCTCCTGCTCTCTCCACGTGAGACACGTGCTTCCTCTTCACCTTCTGCCATGATTGTAAGCTTCCTGAGGCCTCCCCAAAAGCAGATTCTGGCACTTTGCTTCCTGTACAGCCTGAAGAACCATGAGCCTATTAAACTTATTTTCTTATAAATTACCCAGTCTCAGGTATTTCTTTATAGCAATGCAAGAATGGCCTAACACAGAAAATTGGCACCAGTAGTAAAGTTTTGCTATAAAGATACCTGAAAACATGAAAACAGTGTTAGAACTGAGTAACAGGCAGAGGCTAGAAGAGTTTGTAAGACTCAGAGAAGAAGGGAAGATGAGGGAAAGTTTGGAGCTTCTTAAAGGTTGTGACCCAAATGCCGATAATGATATGGACAATGAAGTCCAGGCTGCTGATGTCTCAGATGGAAATGAGTAACTTATTCAGAAGTGGAGCAAAGATCACCCATGTTATGCCTCAGCAAAAAGCTTGGCTGGATTGTATTTGTGCCCTAGAGATCTATGGAAGTTTGAACTTCAGAGTGATGATTTAGGGTACCTGGCAGAAGAAATTTCTAAGTAGCAAAGCATTCAAGACATGGACCAGCTGCTTCTAACAACCTATGCCCAGATGTGGAAGCAAGAAAATGACTGAAAATTTGAATTTATATTTAAACAGGAAGCAGAGCATAAAAGTTTGAAAAATGTGCAGCCTGGCCAGGTGAGAGAGAAAGAAAAAGCTTCTTCAGAAGAGGACTTTAAGCAGGCTGTACAGCAACCACTTGCTAAAGATATTTGCAAAACTAAAAGGGAGCCAAGTGCTAATATCAAAGACAGTGGGTTCGAGTGATTCTTCTGCCTCAGCCTCTCCAAGTAGCTGGGACTACAGGTGCACACCACCAAACCCAGCTAATTTTTGTATTTTTAGTAGAGACGGGGTTTCGCCATATTGGGCAGGCTGATTTCGAATCCTGACCTCAAGTGACCCACCCACCTCAGCCTCCCAAAGTGCTGGGATTACAAGAATGGGCAACTGCACCTGGCCCTCGTTTCTTATAAATTACCTAGTCTCAAGTATTTCTTTACAGCAATGCAAGAATGGCTTAACACAAACGGTTTCAATCCAATTCCAAATATCAACCTAGCTATGTGGCTACCTGGCTGCGAGCCGAAATACGTAACTTTTGCCCACTGTACAACTATCTGAGATAAAGCAGATATTTAAAGAAATTAAAACTAGGAAACTTTCCCTTGTCAACCAAATATAACACATATAAAACATAGACTTACTTGTCAAATATAAAAAGCCATCTTTGACTCAAAGTCCCTTCTGGAAAAATCTTCATCTTGTGAATATTTTACTTCTTCTTCACTAAAAACAAGTATAATTAAAGGATGTGTAAACCTTTAAGATCGAATACTAAAATGAAACTGAAATCACCTGTTAGTCATATGTGGCATTTTCTAATCTAGTGATAAGAGTCTGTGTCATTGTGAATACAGTACACCCTTTTATAACTATCTCATTGAGAGGAAGAAATAGCATAGGTCCTTTCATAGGCTGACTAGGCTCCAAGCTTTCACTGTATTTGTCAAATAAGTCAAGAAAATACAATTTGTCTCACAACATATCCAAATGGATAACATGTCATGTTTGAAAAGGAGGTTCTTAAATTTGAAGTACTCTAACAAAGTATCATAAACTCAGCCCTACCTACTTTTCAACCTTATACCTTCTCAAATCTTGTGCCCCAAAGAGCATATGATTGTTGGTCTGTATTCCCAAAATAAGCACTACTTTTCTTCCATTTCCAAGCCTTTGCTCAAGGTTATTTACTGCTGTCTAGAATAACTGCCATCTATCTGATGAAATTCTGTCAATCCTTTAAGAATCAGCTCAAAACCCACCATCTTTAGGCTTTCCCAGATCATCCCAGTATGTTTCTCCCCTTTCTCCTTGCAATCTCATCACTTCAGCTGTACTTCTCTTCTAGTATTTACCCACATATGCTTTTTTTTAAGAGACAAGGTCTTGCTCCATCACTCAGGCTGGAGTGCAGTGGCACAATCATAGCTCACTATAACCTCGAACTCCTGGGCTCAAGCACTCCTCCAGACTCAGCCTCCCAACAGTGCTAGGATTACAGGCTCATGCCACCATACCTGAACCCATATATACTTTAAAAGTATCTCCTTCATGGTTATGACCCTCTAGAAAGCAAAGATTATCTTATTCATTTTTAACATGCCCTCAATATGTCTACAACATTACCTTGCATGTTGTAAGTAGATAATAAACTATTGTAAGTGTAACTGAACAGAACGTGAAAAATATTTGATCTGATTTCTTGGAGAGGAACTTAAACTTCAAGTCACATTTCTAAACATATTCACAAAGACTTAATTTTGTATCTTTTTTTTTTTTGACATGGAGTCTCACTCTGTCACTCAGGCTGGAGTGCAGTGCCGCGATCTCAGCTCACTGCAACCTCCGCCTCCT
Organism: Homo sapiens; assembly: GCF_000001405.40. NCBI lineage: Eukaryota > Metazoa > Chordata > Mammalia > Primates > Hominidae > Homo > Homo sapiens. The sequence goes on along the minus strand of NC_000008.11, from coordinate 70,673,689 downwards.
GGGTTCAAGTGATTCTCCTGCCTCGGCCTCCCAAGTAGCTGGGATTACAGGCACCCGCCACCATGCCCACCTAATTTTTGTATTTTTAGTAGAGACAGGGTTTCACCATGTTGGTCAGGCTAGTCTCCCAAAGTGCTGGGATTACAGGCGTGAGCCACCACACCCGACCAAAAAATATATCTAACTGTCCATAGGTTTCTTTACCTGGATATACCACAATTACCTCAATTTTATCTCATCTAAAACATAGTCACTATCTACCTTCTATTTGTACTCTTTTTCTAGTATCTCCTTGTATGGCCCTATGCAAGTTGCCTTACTTTTAAATCATTTGGCCTATTCCTTCATCTGCCAAATGAGGAGCTTGGCAATTGATTAAATGGAATCCAGAAGGAAAGTGCAAGTGAAAGTTTAATTTTTAAAAAAAGCTAATGAAGCTGGACCTTGTCTCTCATCATATGCAAAAGCCAACTCAAGAAGGATTAAACGTAAGACCTTAAACTATAAAACTACTAGAAGAAAATATTGGTAAAATACATAAGGACATTGGTTTAGGCAAAGATTTTGTAGCTAAGACCTCAAAAGCACATACGACTAAAATAAAAACAGACAAATTTGACTATATTAAATGAAAAAGTTTCTGCACAGCAAAGGAAACAATCAACAGGGTGCAGAGACATCTGCTGAACAGAAGAAAATATTTGCAAACTATTCATCTGACAAGGGACTAATATCCAGAACATACAAGGAACTCAAACTCAACAAGAGAAAACACAAATAATCCCACCAAAAAGAGGGTACAGAACATGAATAGACGATTCTCAAAAGAAGACATACAAATGGCCAACAAACATATGAAAAAATGCTCAACATCACTAATCATCAGGCAAATGCAAATCAAAACCATAATGAGATATCATCTTACCCCAGTTAGAATAGCTGTTATTAAAAAGACAATAACAGATGCTGCAGAGGATGTAGAGAAAAAGGAACTCTCATACACAGTTGGTGGGAATGTAAATTAGTACAACCGCTATGGAAAACAGTACAGAGATGTATAAAATACACACACACACACACACAGAACTACCATATGATTTAGCAATCCCACTACTATTTGTATATCAAAGGGACAACTGCACCTGCATGTTTATCACAACATTATTCACAATAGGAAAGATATGAAATCAACCTAAAAGTCCATCAACAAACAAATGGATAAAGAAAATGTGATATATACACACAATAAAATACTATTTGGCCATAAAAAAATGAGATCATATTTCTGAGGGCTCTGTTCTGTTCCATTGATCTATATCTCTGTTTTGGTACCAGTACCATGCTGTTTTGGTTACTGTAGCCTTGTAGTATAGTTTGAAGTCAGGTAGTGTGATGCCTCCAGCTTTGTTCTTTTGGCTTAGGATTGACTTGGCAATGCGGGCTCTTTTTTGGTTCCATATGAACTTTAAAGTAGTTTTTTCCAATTCTGTGAAGAAAGTCATTGGTAGCTTGATGGGGATGGCATTGAATCTGTAAATTACCTTGGGCAGTATGGCCATTTTCACGATATTGATTCTTCCTACCCATGAGCATGGAATGTTCTTCCATTTGTTTGTCTCCTCTTTTATTTCCTTGAGCAGTGGTTTGTAGTTCTCCTTGAAGAGGTCCTTCACATCCCTTGTAAGTTGGATTCCTAGGTATTTTATTCTCTTTGAAGCAATTGTGAATGGGAGTTCACCCATGATTTGGCTCTCTGTTTGTCTGTTGTTGGTGTATAAGAATGCTTGTGATTTTTGTACATTGATTTTGTATCCTGAGACTTTGCTGAAGTTGCTTATCAGCTTAAGGAGATTTTGGGCTGAGACGATGGGGTTTTCTAGATAAACAATCACACGTATGTTTATTGCGGCACTATTCACAATAGCAAAGACTTGGAACCAACCCAAATGTCCAACAATGATAGATTGGATTAAGAAAATGTGGCACATATACACCATGGAATACTATGCAGCCATAAAAAATGATGAGTTCATATCCTTTGTAGGGACATGGATGAAATTGGAAACCATCATTCTCAGTAAACTATCGCAAGAACAAAAAACCAAACACCGCATATTCTCACTCATAGGTGGGAATTGAACAATGAGATCACATGGACACAGGAAGGGGAATATCACACTCTGGGGACTGTGGTGGGGTCGGGGAAGGGGGGAGGGATAGCATTGGGAGATATACCTAATGCTAGATGACACATTAGTGGGTGCAGCGCACCAGCATGGCACATGTATACATATGTAACTAACCTGCACAATGTGCACATGTACCCTAAAACTTAGAGTATAATAAAAAAAAAAAAAAAATGAGATCATGTCATTTTCAGCAACATGGATGGAACTAGAGATTATGATAAGTGAAATAATCCATGCATAGAAAGACAAATATCACATATTCTCATTCATACGTGGGAGCTAAAAAGTTTATCTCAGCCAGGCATGGTGGCTCAAGCCTGCAATCCTAGCACTTTGGGAGACCAAAGCAGGAGGATCACCTGAATCGCTTGAGTTCAAGAGTTCAAGGTTACAGTGAGCTATGATAGTGCCACTGCACTGCAGCCCGGGTGAAAGCCAGACCCTGTAAGTAAATAAGTAAGTTAAGTAAGGAAATTAATTAAGCCAAAGAATAAAAGAAGGGGAGTGCCCAGATTCTCAGGAATCTGGTCCAGAAATTACTGTTCCATCCTCTTCTCCAGGGTTCACTGACTTTCCAGCAGAGTTCTTAAAAAGGGAAGATGTGCAAAGCCTCCTGCCTGAATAGCCATTAATTGATGGCTATCATAAATACATATTGACAGATTGAAATGCCTGATGTAGGAGATTTGGTTACTTTAAGTATTTTTTGAAGGGTATACTGTTTAACTTCCCATTGCAACAGGGGATAACTTATATGATTATTTCAGCGATGATTTTTTGAATATTTTTCCATTAAAAGTACAACTGTGTGAAACAAGGCAAAGACATTTCTCACACACAAAGCAGATGTCATTAGCCACTCTGATACACTATGCTGCTGATTCATAAAATAGGTAAGAGCAGATCGTTTTCTTCATCAGAAATATCTGGAAAAAAAAAAGCCACCAAGCACTGTATGTGTCAATTTCTCACCTTTTTTTAAAAAAAAAAAGAGTGGGCTGCTACAGTGGATATGTTCTACATCTCTTTGGGGCAGTGATTACATACAATTGTCATAACTCGATGGAACTGTCTACAGGATCTGTGTATTTTCTTTTAAGTAATTTATAACTCAACTTTTTTTATGGGAAGCTGTAGTTAACACTGGATAGTTAATACTTGGCTGATAAGAAACCGACTTGTTACAGAGAAAATGAGTCCCTTCCATCTTGGGCACAAAACGGCTCCACAAGACCAGCCTAGCTCTCTGGGCAGGCAGGTAACACTGGCAGGCAGAGGCATGCTCCTTGAATCTCACTGAGGGGGACAAGTGTTAGTGCGAGGCAGGTAGGAGCAAGGCCGCACACGCAGACTCTGTCATCTGGGCAGCTGCCCAATCCCCGTTTTTCATTTGTAACAAAAATAGTGTCCACCTCTTAATAATGTTCTGAGGATTAAGGGCGTTAAGTCGGATGTTTGTTGAAAGCACTTAGGCATAGTAGGAAGTACTAAGTAAATATGTCTTACCACTATTTATTATAAAAGATGAACAGGCTGGCCCGGCGTGGTAGCTCACGCCTGTAATCCCAGCACTTTGGGAGGCCGAGGCGGGCGGATCACGAGGTCAGGAGATCAAGACCTTCCTGGCTAACACAATGAAACCCGGTCTCTACTAAAAATACAAAAAATTAGCCGGGCGTGGTGGCGGACGCCTATAGTCCCAGCTACTCGGGAGGCCGAGGCAGGAGGATGGCGTGAACCCGGGAGGCGGGGCTTGCAGTGAGCCGAGATCGCGCCACTGCACTCCAGCCTGGGCGACAGACCGAGACTTCGTCTCAAAAAAAAAAAAAAAAAAAATGAACAGGCTACTACTACTACTACTACACACACACACACACACACACACACACACACAGAGCCACTGCCTAAAAATCTGGCAATCCTTCCTGACATTTATTACTGAATAACGAACGGTTACCAAACCTGTCTCCCAAATCACAAGACTCTTCCAGATTAAAATGTCTCTCGCCCACTTGGATCCACTCGCCTGTCTAGGACACAAACCCGTGAGGCACCAGCCCCCGTGACAGAGGCAGATTCCAGCTTCGCCTCACGCCACCTCACGCCTCGCGCCAGCCTTCCCACCACTGCCCGCGCAGCCCGCGCGGCGTCACGTGACCTCTAGTTCCGCACCGCCCCCCCCACCCCCCGGCCTAGCTGCCGGATCCCCGCCCCGGCTCGTCCGCGGTGTCACATGACACCTGGACCAGCCGCTGGCCAATCCCCTCCCTCCCGGGTTGCGAGGCATCACGTGGACGCTACTCGCTATCCCCGGCCTGTTGGCTTCTTCCGCGCTGGAGTATCCAGATAGGCGACACGCCGGCGGGCGGCTGAGGCGGGAATGGCTGCTGTACTGCAGCGCGTCGAGCGGCTGTCCAATCGAGTCGTGCGTGTGTTGGGCTGTAACCCGGGTCCCATGACCCTCCAAGGCACCAACACCTACCTAGTGGGGACCGGCCCCAGGTAAACGTCCCTCTCCAACCTCCCCAACGTTCGCAGCCGGCCCCGGAGCCCGGGCTTTGACTGATCGCGGCTGCGCGGGCAGTGGAGAGCGCCGCGTCCTGTCCCTAGCTGGGCAGCCCCGCGCCTAGCAGCCCCGTCGGGACTGCACGCAGACACTCGGATCTCGAAGCTAGCTAAAATACGACCACCCCAGGTGATAGCTCTCTAATTTAGGGAGAAATGGAAAAAAAAAAAAAAAAAAAAAAAAAAACTTCTGTTTTGAAACCCGATTTACTGTTCTTGATGTTTGAATGCCAGGGTGTGCGTGTTTAAACTGTTGAGAAAATTCGGATGTCAAGAGTCCAAGAAAGCGTTTACTTTGCTCACTTGACTTTCACTGGTGTTTTGCCCAGAGTGTAACTTCCCTTCTCAAAAGCGATTAATTATGTTGAGGCGATTTCCTCAACTCAGCAGCAGAGGGCAGGATTCTCCTGGCTTCCAAATTGGTTCTCTGCAGCCTGTGGGCTCATAAGAGGAGCTGACATAAGTAATTTGGGGAAGTTTTTTGTTACAATTGTGTGTGACCTTGTTTGAGTTTAATTTGCAGACACAGTAACACACCTGTATTTCTAAGAAGATACTTTTGCTCTTGTTTAGCTGCATTCTGTTTTAGTGGAATTATGCAGGAATGGGAGATTTGGTTTACTGCATAGTAAGTCTTAGGCATTTAGCAACTTTTGTAGTCTTTACTGGATGAACCCAGATAATGTAGTTTCTCTTGAGCATAGAATTTAATTGTGCAGTCAAGACATAAATTATTTTTAAAATATAATTGATTACTAAAAACGATTTAGTAAGTACAGTTAATTGAGTTTTCCTTGGAAGTGTCTACTGTTTGGCGTTTTTCCAGTAAATAAGAATTTTAGAAGCAGCAGACCTGCAAAGTGGGCAGGTAAAAGATTAAGTTCAGAGTAAATAAGGCAGGGTCAGGTAGTTACCAAAGGTTTAGGCTGCCACCAGAATCTAGGAGGATAGAGAATTAAGCAGGAAAAATGCCAGATCTCTAGGGTACAGTCTGTCTTGGCTGGAAGTCCCTCAACCAAGTAAATCCATAGGCGGTCTCTCTACAGTGTGTCATCTTGAACTAGTCAATACCTCAGACAAAAGATGCATATTATCAGAATTACCCTGGAAAGTCTCTTAGAAGAACACCATGTTGGAGATCAGTGTATTGTCTCAGTAAGTTCAGCACAACCTGCCTTTTTTCCAGCGTTGAAACAGATGGCTGATTCTGTTTGAAAACCAGGTGAAGAAATTGGCTTGTGTTGAGGGGCTATATTGTATGAAAAATACATACTGTATCTTTAAACACTATAATCACACTCAACATAGCAAAGTGCTAGTGCTAAGAGAGACTTAAAGACTAACTGAGGGAAAAGCAGATTTATAGTCTCTCGTCTTAAATTACTTAACACTGTTGCTCACATAAATTAATGGAGTGGAATGGCCAGTGGAATTACTTGCACTATGTAAATTATTTCTCCATATAGTTGAACTAGAGAGTCCGTATAGTTGAGCTAGAAATAAGTGTAGATAATGCTACTGTATAAAGTAAAAGGTGTAAAGTAAAAGGTGGCTAGAAGTTAATATTAATTGGCCCCTTGTCAGATGTTCTGAGATTGGTATCCACCTGTTCCGCTTCACAAAACAGTTCTAAGATCACAAGCGGCTTTTGTATCACTAACCCCAATGGTATTTTTCTGTTCTCATCTTCCTTGAACTTCAGTGCTTTGACACCATTGACGACTCCCTCCTTAATTTGCCAACACCACATTCTTCAGGTTTCCTATTACCTCTTGAGCTGCTCTTTCTCTTTCACCTTGATAGAGTCATCTTCTTTATCAAATCTTTAATTATTTTAGTTATTCAGTATATAATCCTCATCTCTCATGTTCTTCTACTGTATTCTCTACCTAGGTGATCTCATCTACTTATTTGGCTTTGCCTTTATTATCTGTTTATTATTAACTACCAAATATATAGCTCAAGTTCAAATTCCAAACTTGATCTTCAGACTCAAGTAGCCAACTTTTAAATCTATTTGCATGACTCACTGCTGCCTGGAACTCAGTGTTTTCCATACTGAACTCATAACCTTTCCAGAAAACTGCCAGGTCCTCCTTCAGTTGTTCATATCTTGATAAACAAAGCCATCAAAGGAAATGCCTAAATACCCTTCCTGACATTTATTTGCTTCCTACTGCATATCCAAGCCATTATGAAGATCTGTTCATGTCCCCTGCTGTCACTCAGTCCAAGCCAGCACAACTCTTGCTTAGGCTACTGTAATAGCCTCCTAATTGGCTTCTGTACGACTACCTCTGTCTCTCTTCAATCCAATCTTCCCTTTGTAGCCTGAGTGGTATTTTAGGAATTAAAACTGGAAGGCCTTGTGTATTCTGGCCTCCATCAGTCTTATCAGGCTCCTCTCAAACCTCTCCCACTCCAGCCATGCTGGCCTTCTAGTGTCTCAGATGAGGTTTGTGATTCCCTGTCTCAGGGCCTTCACGCATGCTTTCCTCTTTCTTCCACTCATTCCTCCCTTCTTTACCCAGCTAATCTCATTCATCCTTTAGAGCACAGTTTAAATACCATTTCCTCATGGAAGTCTTCCCTGACCCATCAGACTGTATTAGGGACACTCCATACTTTTCATGGTCCTTATCTCAATGATAATGAAATGATTTTTTTGTGCAAGAAGCTTAGTGTCTTTCCACACCTTCATACCCCACTATAACATCAGTTCAGTGAAAGCATATTCATGGCTATATCCCCAGCACCTAGCACAGAGCCTTGTACACAGTTCAGGTAGAACAGTAAACAGTTGCTGAATGAATGAGCATTCTGTACATTTTCTCTTAATTTTCACTATTATGACTCCAGAACTGCTGGATAACTACAGTTTTAGCTGGTCTTCCTTCCTCATCTGATCAGCCCATGGAAGCCAAATGAATTTCACTAAAACACTGCTAGACCTAACTGTGATGCTTAGTACATAGGTACTCAATAAGCATTTGAATCAACAAATGACAGCCAAATTGTCCAGTGTTTTTACTTTCCTCCTCTGCTCAAGAACCTTTAAAAACTGCAATTTTAACCTTTCCTATCAAAATTGTACATACTTTGTGGGCAGACAGTGTGGCTGATAATAGAAAAAGGTAGTCAAGTGGAATAGAATTAAAACTCTGGACTCTGGTTACCTCGATTAGAATCCTGGTGCCATTTACTAGCCATATGACTTTGGACAAGACAGTTCTAAGCTTCAGATTCCTGATACAACCCAATGAAGGTTGTGTAGTACCTACCTCATTGGATTTTATAAGGGCTCAGTGAAATTTAAGTGAAAAAACGTATATGAAAAGCACTTAACAAGTTCTAGCACGTGGAAAACATACCATGTTAGCCATTATGTTTATCACTTCTGCTTTCCTCATAACATCTAGATAACACTGTGCTCATAGTAGGTGTTCAGAAAATATCTAATGATTTTATAAGAGTGACAGCAAATAGAGACCAGTTAATAGCTATCTTAATATTGACATGAAATACCTATAACAAGGAATTTGATTCTACTAATTTTCCATCAATTAAAAATTTTTTTCTCCATTCATGTAGCAAACAGTTATTGTGTGCCTACTATGTGCCAGGCACTTTGCTCTAGTGAATAAATCGTTCATAGACCTATACAGATTCATCCATACTCTTCCCTTGAGCCCTTCATTAGCATAATTTGCATTTGCAAAATGACCTCCTGAGATAGGGATATTATTATCTGTGGCCAAGAAGAACAAAGTCAACTAGCCCATGTAGAGATGATACTATCCAATCATCTATTATAACTATTTACAGACATCACTGATAGAGTAACTGTTTGCTAAGGGAGAAACTGATAACATTTTTTTCAATTTCAAAACTGATAACAGTTTTTTCAAATGTATAGCTGAAGTTTTATTTTTGCCACATAATGATTCTAAGCACTTAACCTAAGCAATCCCCTTCTGCTAGAGAGGCAGTGTTTTGAATGGAGAAGTCACTGGACCTTGTATCTGAACATCTAGTGCTTCCTAGCACTGCCTCTTGCTGGTTATATGACCTGGAGCAAATCACTTAGCCTTTCTGAAGATAAGTTTTCTATAAAATAAATAATTAATAAAGTAATAATACCTCCCTAGAGTTGATATGAGGATCAAAAGAAATAGTAAATATGAAAGCCCCAAATGGTTTAAATTGCTATGTCAATGTCATATGTTATCAGTGTGACTTTTTTTTTCCCTCAAAGCTTGGTGCAAACTCATGTTTTAGGTTTTATAGTATCTAGACACCCCTCCTTTGTTCTGAATAGATTGTATTAATTCCAGAACTTTTTTCTGTTTTCTTTCTTTTGAGAGCCCTTCTTTTATCAATTCCAATTTTGTTAAACCAAGACAGGACCATTAAGAGACCTAAAACTGGAGCCCCAGAAACATGTTCTCCACTACCACAGTCGTATGGTCACTCACACTTTCACCTGCAAACAACCAGCACAGGCATTCTAAAAGATCTGTTTTCTTTGCTACTAGATTTTATCAAATTCATGTATCAACCCTGTTAATTTTGTCATGACTTTTGATCAGTGTGATGTGATCTGGTCATTAAATTACAGAAATTTATATTCATTTTTAGATTAGGAGATATTTCAAAACAGAGTTTCTTGGGAGGACGGGAAGGCAAGGATTAAGAAATAATTTTAAAAGTGGTGGGGCCTTGATGGATTGAAAAAATTTGAGCCTTACCTGAAGCATGGAAGTATTCTTTTTGTGAGGACCAGAAGACCCACAAAAATAGTCCCAGTGACTCTACGTTAGGGGCAGTGAGAATTTGTGGTAAATAACTGCAAATGCATGGAGGCAGCCAAAATCTAGGATGGGTGGGCTAGAGAGTATTATTGGAGGTATCATAGTATTATAGTCTTGTGTATTTTAATTTAGCATAACTAAATATGCACAATGCTAAGTGCAGTACAATGTATTATGGATATAGAAATAAATCCATAAATTCCTTGAACCAAACAGACAAGCTTTCTGCCCTGAAGGGACTCAAATTTGTACGGTGGTGTTGGTTGTGGAAATAGGCAATAAAAAAATAAATATGTAAATACATAATATATTACATGGTAATAATTGCTATGGAAAAAAAGCAAGATAAGATGGCTAGGAATAGCATCAGAACTCACTCTGACCCGAGTCAAACTCATCTCAAATTTGCTCCCTCCAGGGTTTACCTTCTTGATTAATGGCACACCAATCCTCCCACCTAGAAACCTCAGAGTCGCCAACTGTTTCCCTCCTTCCACATCTCGTTGTTTAACAAATATCCTGGTGGTTGGTTGATTGTACCTTCTAAATGTTCTTAAAGCCATCTCTTCCTTACATTTCCACTACCAACAGAACCCTATAATAAATGCCCTCTTGGTCCAGTGTAACCATCTGGTCTCCTGTCTCCGGATAGGACAGTTCAACACTGTGTTTCTGAAGGACATCTACTGTGCTACAGAACATAGGGTGCAGATAGAAGCCAATGGGCTATGAGGCCATTACCCTCCTCCCTTATGAGAGGCCAGTTTGTTTTTGTTGGCTCTGGGTCTCAGGGAGTAGGGTTAGGGAAACAAACCAATAAAAAATAACCATCCAGTTACTCACTGTTTAATTTTAATGCTTTGCAAAATGCTTTCTATGGTATGTTACTTTTATTGTTTATTTCCAGTCATATGCAGTTCCCCTTCTCACCAACAGTTGAATGTAAGCAGGGTTGTTGTGTCCTGCTTACTGCAAGAAACAAATTTGTAGCACATATTAGGTAATCCATAAACAGTTATTGATCAATTAATGAATAACTCAGACTTTTCATCAAGGCTAATCTGTCAGCCAGCCTGAATTATTGAGGTGTTACTGTGAAACAGTATGAGTGAAGAAGTTTGTGAATTGGATCTTGAGCTGGGCATGGTGGCTCAACGCCTGTAATCCCAGCACTTTGGGAGGCTGAGGTGGGAGGATTGCTTGACCCCAGGAGTTAAGAGACCAGCCTGGGCAATATGACGAAACACCATCTCTACAAAAAATACAAAAATGAGCCGGGCATGGTGGCACATACCTGTAGTCCCAGCTACTCAGGAAGTAGATGTGGGAGAATCGCTTGTGCCCAGGAGGTCAAGGCTGCAATGAGCTGAGATCGCAACACTGCACTCCAGCCTGGGTGACAGAGCAAGACCCTGTCTCAAAAAAAAAAGAATTGGATCTTGAGGAACATGTCACCCCCATGTCTTTAGTTCAGCAAAACTTCACAGAGAAAGGCCACCTCATAAAATCGTGAGGAAGGGCAAACAAAATATAAGGAAGATTCAGAACCACAAGCAAAAAATACAGCTAATGGGGTTGTCTAAGTAAAGAAAGAAAATAGCTCAGATGTTTTTCCCATGCTTCACTAAAGCCTTCATTTTCATGTGTCAGGGTGCTAATATAAAACTTCAGTGATAAGTTGTATATCTAGTGCCAAAGACTAGTTTCTTTAGGGGTGCCATTGAATCAAAATCTTTCATATCTATAAAACTTTTGAAATATACTGAGATATGAGATCTCAAAGGCAGATAGATAAAAGCACATATTCTGGCATCAGAATACCTGGGTTTGAAAGCTGTTTCTGCCATTTATCTGTAGAGTAACCTGGGCAAGTTACTTCTAAATATAATGATAAAATATCTACTTTAAACAGTTGTTACGAGGAATGTAATTGGTAAAATATGTAAAGTCCTTGGAATGGTGCCATGTTTATTTTAATTGCTATGTAAATGTTCAAGATGACTGCTATTATTCCTTGTTCAGACTTATATTTAGCTCTAATTTTTCTCAGAAAACTTTCTTAGGGTGAGATTACTGTAGTTAAGCTGAAGTGATGTAGCTGGTTTTTGTGCATGTTAAAAGTAAAATAATTTTTGCAGTTTCTTTAATGTAAATTATCTGTGTGCAAAATAATGCTAATGTCAACGCAGTGTTCCAATTGTGTGATTATCTTCCATTTAATTTTCAGGAGAATCCTCATTGACACTGGAGAACCAGCAATTCCAGAATACATCAGCTGTTTAAAGCAGGCTCTAACTGAATTTAACACAGCAATCCAGGAAATTGTAGTGACTCACTGGCACCGAGATCATTCTGGAGGCATAGGAGATATTTGTAAAAGCATCAATAATGGTAAACAGAAAACATTCATTAAGCTCATTGAGGAAAGCCGTGTTTGGAGAATAATTTATTTCAGTTACAGAGCTAAGTAGTCTATAAACCATTTACTAAATACCTCAGTTTTAAATGGTACTTTTAGAAATTGATTAGACTGTTGAATACTGTGCCTAGTTTTAACAAAGGAGGAACGGAAATCCTGATTTCTGTTTCAAATCCTCAATTTTACTTTAGTGTGTGAGTTACTATTCAGACTTAATCATAACTAACAACTGTTGAGCATTTACTCTGTGCCAGGCACTGCACTAAACAATTTATGTGGATACTGTGAGGTAGGTGCTCTTATTGTTCACATTCTAACAGATTATCTCAGTCCTTCTGTAACTTTAAGGCAGTTACTAAGATATGCTGAAATTCAGGCAATATATCATTGTATTGATAATTCATTGTCCCTGAAACCTATACAGTACTGACATTTTCTATCTCTTTATTTCCTCATCCCACCATCATATACCTAGATTCATTCATTCATTCATTAAATATTCCAGTTACTGTTATATGTCAGACAGTGTTCTTGGCACAAGGGGTATAGCAGTGAACAAAACAGACTCTGTTCTCATGGAGCTTTCATTCCAGTAGGGAAGGTACTGGTAAATAAATAATAGATCAGGCTGGGTGCAGTGGCTCATGCCTGTAATCCCAGCACTTTGGGAGGTCAAGGTGTGTGGATTGCTTGAGCTCAGGAGTTCAAGACCAGCTTGGGCAACATAGCAAGACCCTGTCTCTACAAAAAAAGTACAAAAATTTCCCGGGTATGGTGGCGTGCACCTGCAGTCCCAGCTACTCGGGAGGCTAAGGTGGGCAGATGGCTTGAGCCAGGGAAGCTGAGGCTGCAGTAAGCCAATATTGTGCCACTGCACTCCAGCCTGGGCACCAGAATGAAAAAAAAAGGGAAAAAAATAGATCAGATAATCATGGGTGCTATGCAGGAAAATAAAGGTACAAGAAGAGAAAGGGAAGAGAGCGTAAAGTGGAGAAGGGCAAGGGCTGTTATATCCAGAGTGGACAGAGAGAAGGAGCAAGCTCCTGGCAGGAAGGCCTGCAGGCAAACAGCATTGCAGGAGCAAAGATGGTGGAATGAGAGTGTGGTTGGCACATTCAGGGCACAGTAAGGAGGTCAAGAACATTCATGCTTATTTACATTGAGCTAGTATTTTTAAACATTTGTAAAGATCTGCTTTTTTAGGCCTTGTGACTACAATTGGGACATCTCAGCTACCACACCCAATATCACCAGGCTGCCAGTTATAAAAAACTGGCAACCAAGCTTCCTTACCCTCTTAGCTCCTTTCTTCCAATCTAAGGGGACTGTGTACCATAGGAACTTATAATCTGTCAGTCTGACTTTTCCTTCTCTTGTCTTACCTCTTTTAATTTTGTCTTACCTCTTCTTTTAATCTACCTATTAAATCTTGTGAATTAAAAAACTATTTTATGCCAGGGACGGTGGTGTGTGCTTATAATCCCATCCACTCAGGAGACTGAGGCAGGACGATAGTTTGAGCCCAGCAGTTCAAGACCAGCCTGAGCTACAAAGTGAAACCCTGTTTGCGGGAAAAAAAAAGAAAAAAAAAAAGAAACTACTCTGTGATTTCTTAATTAGCTTTGTCACCTCAGCCAACTCTTCAGATTTTTCAGTTTGAAAAATTAAAATGTTTATGGCCCACTTTTTTCCTTCATAAATCAATTTTATTGAGCTTTAATTTACATACATAAAATGTGCCCATTTTAAGTGAACAGTTTAGTGAGTTTTAACAAACATCAATACCTATGTGACCATTCCAGTCAAGATATGGAACACTTCCTCCATTCCAAAAAGAGGTCCCCTCATGCTGCTTTGCAGTGATTTCCCCCATCCCCAGCCTCCAACAACCACTCAAATAGGATATGTGTTTTCATTTATATTTGCACATAATTTTGAAGACAGATACAAAGTTATAGTATGACATTTATTTTGTAATTTTGATATAATTGTGATTTTTTAATTGTCTACTAAAGGTCTCATAAGCAGAAATGTAATGCCTCCATTTCTTTACTGAAAGATAAAATTATACAGCTTATAAACAAAACAAACAAAAAAACCTCAATATCTCAATCTTGTTATATAATGTCAATTCCCAGAAAAGCATATCATTGTTTTCCTTCGGCCTCTTAGATACAAAATAATAGAGTTTGGGGTTGGAAGGGGAGGTGGTATTTGTTGTTGTTTCTTTTTATTTCAGTGTTTCTGTCTCCTTTATCCTCAAACTAGCAAATTTCTGTGCCTTGTCCATTTTTCTTTGAAATATCTCTTTCTCCCTTCATATTTCCAGTGCTACCGTCTTAACCCTACTATTCATTACCTTCTAGCTGGGAAATTGTAGTCATTCCCCTCCTGGGCTCTCTGATCTCCTTTTGGTCTCCCTACCCACAGCCGCCATATTGATCATCAGTTAACACTATTTCATTATCTTACTAAAGAGTGTGCAGTGATTACACGTGGTAAAGTTTAAATTCTCCTATTTTGTAAAAGGCAATTTGAGACCCTTTCTGATCTGAGCTTATCTTACCTATCCAACTTTATCTCCACTCTTCCTAGCCAGTATTTTGCAGTAGAAAGTTGGTAGCATTATGTTGTCACACATATGTCATGCTCATTCTCATTTTAATGCTTTATTTTTTTGAGACAGAGTCTCGCACTGTCGCTCGGCCTGGAATGCAATGGCGTGATCTTGGCTCACTGCAACCTCCGCCTCCTGGGCTCATTCGATTCTCCTGCCTCAGCCTCCCGAGTATCTGGGACGTTAGGTGCACACCACCACACCTGGCTAATTTTTTTGTATGTTTAGTAGAGATGGGGTTTCACTATGTTGGCCAGACTGGTCTCGAACTCCTGACCTCGTGATCCTCCCACCTTGGCCTCCCAAAGTGCTGGGATTACAGGTGTGAGCCACCACGCCTGGACTTAATGCCTTTTCTAATGCTGTTCCCCTTACCTGCAAGTCCTTCTCTGTACCTTTACCCATCCTGCTCATTCTGTAAGTCACACCTCAAGTTCTATCATATTTATAAATCCTTTCCTAACTCTCTCTGAACTCCTGCTGCCTTTATTAGCCGAATTGTCCATTTAATATTCATTAAATGGTACCAAGTATAGTTCTTTGTTTCATGTTTGTAAGTTTTAGTTTCCCAATCAGGACAGCTTTTAAGAACTTTGATATCACAGTGGTTGTATTCAGTATACCTAGTATACTGGTTAGTTAATTGGCACTCAATTGTTAATTGGTTAATTAATTTATTTTCTTTGTGTCAGTGAAGGGTGGTATAGATTTAGCTTATTTTAAAGGTTTAATATCTTAGCCACTGGTTTGGGGCTTCATTTCAGTACTTGTAGCAAGGACCTCATGCTTTCGTTATTAATTAATGTTTATCCTTTTGTTATTAATTACTGTCATGACACCTTTGCTACATGTTAGGCACCTGGATAGAGAAGAGTTTCCAGGTTCTGTATTAGTGCCTCTTCAACACTTGTCAGGATGCCGAAGCTAGCTACTTTTAAATTTTTTGTATAAACTAGGACTGACTCAAAAAATAGAGGCTTTCATGTAGACCTAGAGGGGCATGAAAGAATGAAGAGCTGTTTGGTTGAAAGATATGAAATATTTACATCCCAGAGATAACCTGCTGTAATTCATCCCATTTTCTGTTGTCTCTTAATGTTAATATTTTATGCAGTCATTCACAAGTGTTAGCTCTATGAAAGTTGATCTCTTAAAAGGCTTAATTATAAAGTGTGAATTAATATATTTTATATGTTTTATGACTAGACACTACCTATTGCATTAAAAAACTCCCACGGAATCCTCAGAGAGAAGAAATTATAGGAAATGGAGAGCAACAATATGTTTATCTGAAAGATGGAGATGTGATTAAGACTGAGGGAGCCACTCTAAGGTAAGTAAATGTCCCTTAGCCAGGGAAGGTGAAGAGTCTGTGTATGTGTGTTATAGAAAAGGATGGAAGGATCCCAGCATTTTGGGAGGCTGAGATGGGAAGATCGTTTGAGCCCAGGAGTTCAAGACCAGCCTGGGCAATACCAAAAAAAAATTTAATTAGCTGAGCATGGTGGCACATGCCTATAATCCTGCTATTCAGGAGGCTGAGATGAGATGATTGCTTGAACCTGGGAAGCAGAGGCTGCAGTGAGTCAAGATTGTACCACTGCATTCCAGCCTGTGCAACCGAGTGAAACCCTGTCTCAAAAAAAAAAAAAAAAAAAAATAGAAGATCTGTGCATATGTGCTGGTATGTGTAAAGAGTACATCAGGAAGGATACAAAAGAAATCCAATAAACATTGCTTACTCTGGGAGGAGAAAATGAGTTGCTTGAGAAATGAGAAAAGAAAGACTTCACTCTTTATTAAATTGTTTATTTGAATCATATGATTACCATTGTTTTAAAAAATAAAATTTACACTTTAAAAAATAAGTGTTGTCTCCCAAGGAGGCTTAGGGATCTACCTATCAATTCAATTCAGGGCTTTCCCATATTCTCACTTCCCAAAGATGACCCATACCTAAATTAAATAAGTTTTAGGCCTGACCGATCATACCTCATGACCTATCTGAGGGTTTCAAAATGGTATTTCAAACTCAGTTATTGTAAAACTGAACTCCTCTCTCCCCCACAATCTGCACCTGTTTTCTGATCTCAGAACATCCACTTTTCTCAGTATGTAAGACTTTACTCATTCTTCTAAGACAGAGGCTTCAGGATTACCTTGCACTGCTCTTCACCTTTACCATCCCCCTCCCCTTGCCCACCACACTAATCAGGTTAGTTTTTACATCAAAAATATTTGTCAGCTGACACAAACAAATGGAAACACATCCCAAGTTCATCTCTGGGTAGGATCAGTATTGTGAAAATGACCATACTGGCAAAAGCAATCTACAAATTCAACACAATCCCCATCAAAATACCACCATCATTCTTCACAGAATTAGAAAAAACAATTCTAAAATTCATATGGAACCAAAAAGAGCCCACATAGCCAAAGCAAGACTAAGCAAAAAGAACAAATCTGGAGGCATCACACTACCTGATTTTAAACTATACTGTAAGGCCATAGTCACCAAAACAGCATGGTACCAATATAAAATAGTCACATACACCAATGGAACAGAACAGAGAACCCAGAAATAAACCTAAATACTTACAGCTAACTGATCTTTGACAAAGCAAACAAAACCATAAAGTGGGGAAAGGACATCCTTTTCAATAAATGGTGGCGGGATAATTGGCTAGCCACATACAGAGAATGAAACTGGATCCTCATCTCTCACCTTATACAAAAATCAACTCAAGATGGATTAAGGACTTAAACCTAAGACCTGAAACTATAAAAATTACAGAAGATAACATTGGCAAAACCCGTCTAGACTTTGGCTTAGGCAAGATTTCATGACCAAGAACCCGAAAGCAAATGTATTAAAAACAAAGATAAACAGTTGGGACTTAATTAAACTAAAGAGCTTTTGCATGGCAAAAGGAACAAACAGCAGAGTAAACAGAAAACCCACAGAGTGGGAGAAAATCTTCATAATCTATACATCTGACAAAGGACTAATATCCAGAATCTACAATGAACACAAATCTGTAAGAAAAAAACAAGCCCATCAAAAAGTAGGCTAAGGACACAGTTCTCAAAAGAAGATATGCAAATGGCCAACAAACATGAAAAAATACTCAACATCACTAATGATCAGGGAAATACAAATCAAAACCGCAATGCAATACCACCTTACTCCTGCAAGAATGGCCATAATCAAAAAATCAAAAAACAGTAAATGTTGGTGTGGATGCGGTGAACAGGGGACACTTTCTACACTGCTGGTGGGAATGTAAATTAGTACAACCACTATGGAAAACAGTGTGGAGATTCCTTAAAGAACTAAAAGTAGAACTACCATTTGATCCAGCAATCCAGCTACTGGGTGTCTACCCAGAGGAAAAGAAGTCATTATACAAAAAAGATATTTGCATACACATGTTCATAGCAGCACAGTTTGCAATTGCAAAATCATGGAACCAACTCAAATGCCCATCCATCAACGAGTGGATAAAGAAACTGTGGTATATATATATGATGGAATACTACTCAGCCATAAAAAGGAATGAATTACGGGGCCAGGCATGGTGGCTCACACCTGTAATCCCAGCACTTTGGGAGGCCAAGGCAGGTGGATCACCTGAGGTCAGGAGTTTGAGACCAGCCTGGCCAACATGATGAAACCCTGTCTCTACTAAAAAAATACAAAAATTAGCCGGGCATGGTGGTGCATGCCTGTAATCCCAGCTACTTGGGAGGCTGAGGTAGGAGAATTGCTTGAATCTGGGAGGCAGAGGTTGCAGTGAGCCGAAATTGTGCCACTGCACTCCAGCCTGGGCAACAAGAGTGAAACTCCCTCTCAAAAAAAAAAAAAAAATAGGAATTAATTAACGGCATTTGTAGTGACCTGGTTGAGATTGGAGACTATTATTCTAAATGAAGTAACTCAGGAATGGAAAACCAAACATTGTTTGTTCTCACTGATATGTGGAACCTAAGCTATGAGGATGCAAAGGCATAAGAACAATACAATGGACTTTGGGGACTTGGGGGGAAGGGTGGGAGGGAGATGAGGGATAAAAGACTACAAATAGGGTACAGTGTATATTGCTCGGGCGACGAGTGCACCAAAATCTCACAGATCACCACTAAAGGACTTATGTAACCAGATACCACCTGTACCCCAATAACTTATGGAAAAAATATATTTGTCAGCTGAGCACAGTGGCACATGCCTGTAGTCCCAGCCACACAAGAGGCTGAGGCAGGAGGATCACTTAAGTCCAGGAGTTCTTGGCTGTAGTGTACTATGCCAATTGCATGTCCATGTTAAATTCAGCGTCAGTATGGTGACCGCTCAGACCTTAGGAGCTGGGGACCACCAGGTTGCCTAAGGAGAGGTGAACTGGCCCAGATCGGAAACAGAGCAGGTCAGAACTCCCATGCTGATCAGTACTGGGATGGAGCCTGTAAATAGCCACTGTACTCCAGCCTGGGCCACAAAGTAGAAACCCATCTCTAAAAAAAAAATAGGTAAATACACACAGACACACACACACATATTTGTCAGTGCTATCCCTTCTTCACATCCACTACCAGTACTTCCTCCTTTATCTTACTGTCTCCAGCTCTCCCCTTTAGCCTACCATCCTTCATTGTGCTACTTGAAATCTTTAATGACTCTCGCTGCATACAAGATAATGTTTATTCTCTTTACCATACCACAGTCTGACCCCAGGCCACTTTTCTGGTCTTAGTTCCCACTCCCCTCACAAAAACACTTAGCCATATACAAATATTCCTGGGCATATTATGCCTGTTTATGTTTTTGTTTATATCACCCCTTTCCACTACTTGTCTCCCTGGTAAATTCTTATCTATTTATTCTTCAAAGCCCAGTTCACATGTTACTTATATCAAGAACGCTTTCTGGGCAAAATTAACTGCTCTTCTCCAGCTTTTGTATAAATTTTATTCTATAATAGCACTTACTAAGTTGTATTGTGGTTTTGTGGAGGGGGGTAAGTGTCTCCTTAAAAAGCAGTCAGCTCCTTAAGTTCACAATATTAGTTAATGCCAGTTGCCATAGCAAAACAACTCAGAAATGTTTAACGGCTCAAATAGGAAATAAATTTATTTCTTGGTCCCATACAGTCCCAAAAAGGTTCCCAGTTAGCCAGTGGCCCTCTGCAAGTAATGATGTATGCTCCTTCCATCTT
Organism: Homo sapiens; assembly: GCF_000001405.40. NCBI lineage: Eukaryota > Metazoa > Chordata > Mammalia > Primates > Hominidae > Homo > Homo sapiens. Next base: position 70,653,878 of record NC_000008.11, on the reverse strand, counting down.
GTGACTCTACCCTCCTGAAGGCTTTTTTTTTCAAGGTTGCATGCTCAGCTCGATCAATCCAGCAGGTAGAAAAGAGCATGGAAGGGATATTGCATGGGAGGTTTTCATGGACCAAGTCTTCTGTTGCATTGGCTGTCAATTCAGTCATAAGTCACCCCTCACTGTAGGGTGTCTGGGAAATTAACTGTATGCCCAGCAAAATAGAGGAAATGGGTTTAGTAACTAGATAGCCATTCTCTGATATAGGCAGATACCAGATTCATCCTCACATCCTCACCTCTAGCACACAGAAGGCACTGAATATTTATCTTACATATAGTTAATATCTTTAAAGAGGCAAATAGACAAACAGATGAGTAAGAGAAAATGAAGTAGTAGATGTCCATGTCCTCTTTTAAATTGGTGCCCCCTTTTTTCTACTGTGCTGTGATTTTCAAAATGTAGTTTCTAGGCAGTTTCCTTATAATGCTTTTGTTGAAAATATAGCCAGGTGCGGTGGCTCACACCTGTAATCCCAGTACTTTGGGAGGCCAAGGCAGGCGGTTTGAGACTAGCCTGGGTAACATGGTGAAACCCCATCTCTACCAAAAATACAAAAAAAATAGCCAGGCATGGTGGTGTGTGCCTATGGTCCCAGCTACTTGGGAGGCTGAGGTGAGAGGATTGTTTGAGCCTGTGAGGGCAGAGGTTGCAGTGAACTGGGATAGTGCCACTACACTCCAGCCTGGTGACAGAGCAAGACTCTGCAAGAAAATAGTAAGAAAGAGCAAGAAAATATAATAGCATGTTATATAATTCGCCCATGACACCAAAGGAAAACAAATGTTATATTACTACTTGCTCAAAAAGTATTCTTCACAATACTGAAATTTCCTCCATAGCACACCAGCCCTAGACCAAGTTAATGAAAGGGGTAGAGATGGTTTATTGAATCTTCTGTCTCGAAGATTTGGGAATCACAGTACTGGTTTATCACATAGAATCATGGGTAATCATTAGAGCTATACCTAATTTACCAGATTAAAGATATGCAGCTGTTGGATGTTAACTGCCATCCAGGTGGAACAGGTCATTTTTTTAAAACTTCTTATCAAAGTATAATATATAAACAGGAAAGATCACATACCATAAATGTACAAAGTCATGAATTTTCACAAATTGAACAAGGCCCATAAGCAGCATTCAGATGAAGAAACGGAACAGTATCAGTGTCCCAGAAATCTCCCTTGTGCTTGCTTCCCCTTCAGTTGAGTACTGTCTTGGATTCCTGGAGTGAATTGATGCCAAGGATTTCAAATATATGAATTCTATTTAATTTTTGTTTTACTGTACTCTGATGGGAATCTGTGTAAAGATTTAAGGGGAAAACTGACAAAAAGAATCAAAAACAGACACATTTTAAAAATGACTAGTAGTAAATAATCTTTTCTCAAAATATAAATTCTCATTAAGCTAAAGCCTGGATAAAACATTTAATTTCCTGATGAATGTGGTTTTCAATTTCCACTTTTATGAAGTCAGAAAAGCCCAACTGTTTTCAATATTAACATGTAATATTTTAAGCAAAACCTTTGTTAAGCTAGCTAGTGAAAAGACATTTGACAGAGTTCAACTCTATATAAATAACAGCACTTAAGAGTTTTGTTCAGTGAAAGTTGCATAAATAGAAGGTTAAAATCTGCCTCAGTCCTCATGTATTCATTGGCCAGTTGATCTTGCCTACTTGCCAACTTTGAAAAAAATAACATAAAATGCAGTAGGGACAGAGATAATATCCACCAAGAACCCTTGCAGTAAAAAGTAGAAAACTAGAAAGGTTTTTCAGTAAGAATTTGATTCTGGATGTAAACTAGCAAGCTAAGTTAAATTTCTTGAAGAAAAGTCAATCTGACAGTTTTTGATCACTGTCTTGAATTCTCTAAGAGAGTCATCCTTACAAAGTCCACTCTATCACAGAAGTAACAGAACTAGATAAATTTTCTACCTGCGAAATAGGAAGGCCACAGCTGCAGTTCCTGTGATCTTTAGCAAAGCACCTCTGATGTCATTTCCTTTTCTCCTCCTGCCTGTGTGAAGTGAATTTTAACAGTTTTATGCAAATTACAGCAGCCACCCAGGTGACTGGAGAATTGAGATTACTGATTCCCCAATTTAAGAAACCCTGCTACTTGTTTTCTGTGTTTATATCACAGAAAAACAAATTGTTTTCTGTGTTTATATCACAGAAAACAGTTACTGAGTTCTGGTGTGGTAGGGGGTCAGGGAGGGCTGATAATGAAGGAGGCATTGCAAGCAAAACAGTTTTCAGATGAAGAGTGGTTCTACAAGTGAGTTTTTGTAGATTAAAAAAAGAAAGATTGGGGTTCTGTTTGTTAATGCATTCTATGTATTCATAAGATTGTCCACAAGATATGACACATCGCCACACAAAGACACATGTTTATATAGTTGGCTGGAAATACACCCCTTGGAATTATTTTCATATAACATTGAATACTTCTATTAACAGCTTGCAGCAAGTTTAACCAGACAAAAGAGATGATTTCTAACAGCTCTTTAATACCTTGCCATTGGATCAACTATAATATAGTAATTGTTTGCAATATATGAAATATATACTTGGAAACTATAAAAGCATAATAGTTCTTAATGTCAGACATTGGCCTTTCAAAAATAATTGCTTCCATTAGTATCTCATGTCTTATACCTTATATCTATTATATTATTAGACTTTTTAAAGTCTTTACAGTTTCAATATTTAATATTAAGGATTTGGTTGGTTTTTATATTTATGGTAAAGGAGAAACTTCCCTAAGTTATAGTCATTTCAGTTCTCTTAAATACTTTAAGAGTTGAATTTTATCAAATGTCTTTTCACTGTCTAGGGAGATGAACTTACTAGTTTCCTCCATATCTTTACTATGATTTTCAGGGATCTTATAATATTGGAGCATTCTTGCATTTTTTAATAAATCTTATTTGGTCATGATCTTTCAATGTGCTTTTGGATTCTCTTTGTTAATATTTTGGTTATTATTTTTAGAATAGTAATAAAATTGGGTAGTATTTTTCTTTTTGTACCTTTGTCAGTTTGGGGCTTTATCTGTTTCTTTTTTTTTCTTTTTTTTTTTTTTTTTTTTTTTGAGATGGAGTCTCACTCTGTCGCCCAGGTTGGAGTGCAGTGGCGCAATGTTGGCTCACTGCAACTGCAACCTCCGCCTCCTGGGTTCCAGCAATTCTCTTGCCTTAGACTCCTGAGTAGCTGAGATTACAGGCATCCGCCACCACGCCCAGCTAATTTTTGTATTTTTAGTAGAGACAGGGTTTCGCCATGTTGGCCAGGCTGATCTCGAACTCCTGACCTCAGGCCTCGGCCTCCCAAAGTGCTGGGATTACAGGCATGAGCTACCGCACCTGGCCTTTTTCTGTGCTCCAGGAGAGTTTAAGTACATAGTAGTGAAATTATCTGACCTTTAAATGTTTGGTAGAATTATCCTGTGAAAATACTGAACCTTTAGTTTCTAGTGACAGTCACACATCTTTTTACTAGAGCTTCACTGTTGCTTATTAATAATGTGGTCCTGTGAGTTAAGCTTAACACAAATAACTTTATGCTTTTTCTGTATACTACTTTTTATAGATTATTTTTTAATATAAGGTTGGCCTAAACGAGTTTTGTATTCTAAATTAAACTATAATCAGATCATCTTGTAAAAAGACAGGTTTACTTAGGCTGGGCATGGTGGCTCATACCTGTAATCCCAGCTCTTTGGGAGATGAAGGTGGGAGGATCCCTTGATGCCAGGAGTTCAAGGCTGCAGTGAGCCATGATCACTCCAGTGCACTCCAGACTAGGTGACAGGGTAAGCCCTCATCTCTTAAAAATAATAATAAAATTTTTAAAAACATTTTTCAAAAGGTTTACTTATTACTGTGGCTTCTAGAATCTAAAATCCAAACTTGAAAACATTTACATATTATGGCTAGGCTCATCAAGGTCTCAAGGAAGAGAGACACACATAATTACCTTTAATGGTACAGTTTTGTTGTACAGGAACAAACAGACAAATGACACAAATGATTAGCTAACAGGTGAAAGTGGTTGCGTCTAGGGAGAAAGAAATTAAACAGTGGGGCAGTAACAGTTACAAATCTTAGCGGACTATTTGATTCTTTCCTACATCTTATTTTTCAATTTGAGATATTAACTTTCCACTAAGAAAAAATTAGAATTGGGTTTTCCTCTTCTCCCACTTTTGAGCACCATTCCTGTCCTCTAACCTCTCAATGTCATAATGCTGGTTAGATCAGCATTCGGTGATGTTGTTATGACTGTAGACACTATTTACAGCTGAACCGTGTAGTAAACTATCCTTACTTTTCCTGCTTTCCTGCAGTTAGTCATTGTTTTTGCTTTGTTATTTTGGATAGTTTTCTGTGTATTTATCACTAATTTAACTCTGAGTATATAAATCTTCCCTTAGGGTGTTTAAATGCATCATGGATTCTCTCAATTTAATCTTCTGAAAGAACCTACCCTTTAAGCCTTCCAGCTAATAACTTGCTCCTGTCGGCTTGTTTTCCTCCGGGCCTGATGCTGGTGTCATCTCAGAATTCCCTGCACTCTCACCTGGGGCTTCCCTTTGCCTCTCTCCAGTGTTGGATCTCCTTTCTCCAGTGCCCCATAAGTTTCTTAAAACCCCCTCTGTTTTAGGGGAACCCATCTCCAGTAGCTTTCTGAGAAATGGTGAATTTTTGAGACCTTAGATATCTGAAAGTATCCTTTTTTCATCTAACTTTATTTAAGGTATTTATGAGTATAGATTCTAAGTTGAAAGTATTTTTCCTTCTCAGTATTGTCTGCAAGGTTTCATTTCCTTCTGGTTTCAATATTGCAATAGAGAAATCTAAAGCCCTTCTGATTGCTGAACTTCTTTGGTCCCTGGCTTTTGCTTTTTCCCTTCTTTTCCACTGTATCCTGAAATTTCACAGTGATTCCTTCATCAAAGGAATCACTGCCTCATCAAAGGATCCTACCTCAGCATGCAAAGGTGCCATATTTTGGCAGTAGTGTGTTCTGAGTCCCATCATCGGAAAAAACTCAGAGGAGTTGACTATAGTTTTAGTCAAAGCGAGTCTTTGTCAATCCATGATAGGCTTTTTCAGTCTTGAAACATGTCCTTCAGTTCCAAAAATTTTTCTTGAGGTGCTTATTTTCTCTCATCTCTTTTGTGCTGTTTCATTTACTAAAATTCCTATTATTTTGTTAGAACTCCTGTACTACTCTAACTTTATTTTTTTCTCTCTCATTTTTCATCTTTTTGCCTTTTTACTATACTTTCTGGGAGATTTTTATTAACTTTATCGCCTAATCTTACTACATGTTTTTATTTCTGTTCTCAGATTTGTAATTTTCAGAAACTTTTTGTTCCCAAAATGTTGCTTTTATACTAACCTAATCTTGTTTCATAGTTGCAATTTCTTCTTTTTTTGCTGAGGATATTATATTCTGTGGGGTTTGGTTGTTTTGGAAATTTTCTTCATAACCCCCTTTGTTTGCTTGTTCGTTTTTATGCGCTGTCTTCAACATAACTTTCCTTAGATGCCTAGTAATCCTGTTTATCTTCTGATGTTTACTAATTGTGTTCTGATGGAAACTACAGAGCTGTTTGGGAGCTCTGAGAATGTGGGGGGGAGTCTTCCGTAGGCTTTAGGCCTCACTGTAGGATAATCTGGATGAGCTCTTCAGTTGGGAACTTTCCAACATTGGTATCGTAGAGTCTTTCTTCCTGAGATGGTAAAATAACTTAGAAAAAGACTCTTCTAATCTTCATGTAGCGTAAAGGCCTGGCTGCCAGAATTATAGAAGCTGAGTGTGGAAAGAAGGCATAGGAATCTACATATATTCTTGTAATCTTACTTTTTTTTAGTATATTGTCACTTCCTGCATCTATGCCTCTGTTTTACCCTCTTCAAAGATTAAACCTCCAGCGTTTCCCTTAGTGAGATTGGGGCACTTCTCAACTCAAAGTGGGAAGAGACTCTTGAGGATCTGAATGTTTGCTAAAAAGACTTTCAACAGACTTCTTATTTCAGCCACCTTCCTTCCACTTCACCCTCCACTTCCAGATTTCCTAAATCCTTAGACTTTGAGGAATTCTGCAGTGCAAATCTGATTGGTTCTCAGCTTTCCCTGCTGCTTATTTAGGCTTCCATTTTCTCCTGTCTGGTAAGTCACTTATCACTCATCTATATGTCATCACATTTACCTTATTCCCACAAAATATTCCATTATTGGGAAGATTTATTAAGTATATCCCAAACATGGCTGGGTACAGCGGCTCCTGCCTGTAATCCCAGCACTTTGTGAGGCCAGGGCAGGCAGATCACTTGAGGTCAGGAGTTTGAGACCACCCTGGCCAACATGGTGAAACCCCATCTCTACTAAAAATACAAAAATTAGCCAGGTGTGGTGGCGGGCACCTGTAGTCCCAGCTACTCAGGAGGCTGAGGCAGGAGAATTGCTTGAACCTGGGAGGCAGAGGTTGCAGTGAGCCAAGATTGCACCACTGCACTCCAGCCTGGGCGACAGAGCGAGACCCTGTCTCAAAAAAAAAAAAAATTATATATATAGATAGATAGAGATATATATATTCCAAGCACATAAAAACTCAATACTGACTAGAATAGCAGGTAATTATCCTCTTAAACTAAATAAAATATAATTTAAACCATATTCCTTCAGACATGTATTGCTATTTGCTGTGATTTATTTATGTAAAATGTAAAATGGAGAGGCTAATAATGCCCAACCCAAAGTAGTGTAAGGATTAAATGTAATTTGTGTAAATCCCTGAAGACACTGCCTGGTACATGGAAAGCAATCTATTACTAAAATTAACTACTACTAAGTGCCAAGTACTGAGCGTATAAAAATGAAAATGAGATGAGAGTCCTGCCCTTCTGGAACTCATAACCTTGTGAGGTAGAATAGCAAACAAAACAATGTGAAGCCTACAGAATAACACATAATTCAAAGTAGAAGAAGAATATAGAGGCAACAGTGACCAGTACAGAGAATTAAGTCTGTATATTGCTGAGAAGTCGGGGTGCTTTGCAGAACAGATTATTTGAACTCAGCTTTTTGTTTATCTGGTTTATTGTTGGCATAGTTACAAAACAATATAAATGTAAATAAGAATTTTTGAAATAAAATACCTGTCATACTTTAAAAGTATTATAATCAGTTTTGTCAACAAAAACTGAAAATTGGAGGAAAGGAAAAAGGAAATAAATGCATGTTAAGTTTCTTATATAGGGTAGAATTTATAAAAAACGGCTCTGTCTTAAAATGTTTAACTAGAGAGAAAAAAATAGATTAAAGAGTCTTTTTCTGATTTGCGTTTCTCTGATGGCCAGTGATGATGAGCATTTTTTCTTGTGTCTTTTGGCTGCATAAATGTCTTCTTTTGAGAGTGTCTGTTCATATCCTTTGCCCACTTTTGATGGGGTTGTTTTTTTCTTGTAAATTTGTTGGAGTTCATTGTAGATTCTGGATATTAGCCCTTTGTCAGATGAGTAGATTGCAAAAATTTTCTCCCATTCTGTAGGTTGCCTGTTCACTCTGATGGTAGTTTCTTTTGCTGTGCAGAAGCTCTTAACCACAATGAGATACCATCTCACACCAGTTAGAATGGCGATCATTAAAAAGTCAGGAAACAACAGGTGCTGGAGAGGATGTGGAGAAATAGGAACACTTTTACACTGTTGCTGGGACTGTAAACTAGTTCAACCATTGTGGAAGTCAGTGTGGCGATTCCTCAGGGATCTAGAACTAGAAATACCATTTGACCCAGCAGTCCCATTACTGGGTATATACTCAAAGGATTATAAATCATGCTGCTATAAAGACACATGCACATGTATGTTTATCACGGCACTATTCACAATAGCAAAGACGTGGAACCAACCCAAACGTCCAACAATGATAGACTGGATTAAGAAAATGTGGCACATATACACCATGGAATACTATGCAGCCATAAAAAATGATGAGTTCATGTCCTTTGTAGGGACATGGATGAAGCTGGAAACCATCATTCTCAGCAAACTATCGCAAGGACAAAACACCAAACACCACATGTTCTCACTCATAGGTGGGAATTGAACAGTGAGAACACATGGACACAGGAAGGGGAACATCACACACCGGGGCCTATTGTGGGGTGGGGGGAGGGGGAGGGATAGCATTTGGAGATATACCTAATGTTAAATGACGAGTTACTGGGTGCAGCACACCAACATGGCGCATGTATACATACGTAACTAACCTGCACGTTGTGCACATGTACCCTAAAACTTAAAGTATAATTTAAAAAAAAAAAAGAGTCTTTTTCTGACCACCTTCTGCATGTTAAGAAAGTTTCTTTTAAGCTTTTAGATAATAACTACTAAAATAAATTTACCATTTATTAAGCATGCAATTTTGTGCCATCTGCTATGCTAAGCACTTAAATACTTGTCTTTGAAAAGTATATACTGATGCCAGCCTAGGCAACATAAAGAGACCTTGTCTTTACAAAAAAATAAAAATAAATTAGCCAAGCGTGGTGGCACATACCTGTGCTCCCAACTAGTCGGGAGGCTGAAGTTGGAGAATTGCTTGAGCCCAGGAGGTTGAGGCTGCAGTGAGCCAGGAACATGCCACCACGCTTCAGCCTGGGTGAGAACAGCTTGGAAAACATAACAAGACCTTGATATATCTCAAAAATAAATAAACATATATGTATATATGTGTATATGTGTGTGTGTGTGTATATATATATATAAAATGATGTAAACATATAATGATGTAGGAAAATACAATATAGTAAGTTAAGATTTCAAAAATCAGGTATTAAAACAATATCAGTTTTGTTTTTAAAATATATAAATATGCATAGAAAATCAAAAAGTATATATTCTGTAATAATAAAAGCTCTCCCTCTGAGGAATAGAAATGATTGTTGATGTTCATTTCTTTTAAACACTTTACTTTTCTATTTTCCAAATTTGTTATAATCAGTGCTTATTATTTATAAAGTAAGAAAAATGGTAGGAGGCCAGATGAGGTGGCTAATGCCTGTAATCCCAGCACTTTGGGAGGCCGAGGTGGTAGGATTGCTTGAGTCTAAGAGTTCAAGACCAGCCTGGTCAATATTGTGAGATCCTGTCTCTACAAAAAATAAAAATAAAAATAAATTAGCCAGGCTTGGTGGCCCACACCTGTGGTTCCAGCTACTCAGGAGGCTGAGGTGGGAGGGTCACTTGGGCCCAGAAGATTGAGCCTGCAGTGACCTGTGATCCTGCCTCTGCACTGCAGCCTGGGCAACAGAGTGAGACCCTGTCTCAAAAAAAGAAAAGAAAAAGGGTGGGAAAAGTATTAAATTTTACTTCAGAGTGAGAATCTTGGTTTAGTTAAAGGAGAGAATTTTCTAATGATAATTTTCAGTGGGTTCAAGAAAAGAAAAAGCAGCTTTTTAACTCATCTGTTTATTTGTGTCTAAAGATAAGGATACAGAATAATTTACTTCTCAAAATTTCTTCTAAGCTCGAGTTCATAATTGTTATTATTCCTTATTTCTTCTTTCAACCAGAGTTCTATATACCCCTGGCCACACTGATGATCACATGGCTCTACTCTTAGAAGAGGAAAATGCTATCTTTTCTGGAGATTGCATCCTAGGGGAAGGAACAACGGTATTTGAAGACCTCTATGATTATATGAACTCTTTAAAAGAGTTATTGAAAATCAAAGCTGATATTATATATCCAGGTGGGTAATTTTTAAATTTTTTTATATTTTTATGTTTTTAAATAGAGACAAGGTCTTGCTATGTTTTCCAGGCTGTTCTCAAACTCCTGACCTCAAGCAGTCCTCCCACCTCAACCTCCCAAAGCGCTGGGTATACAGGCATGCCAAAGTGGGTAGTTTTTCAAACCTAGCAAACCATTTGTGTCAAATGATGAGGAAGGTTCATTTTGGCTTGTCTCTGTATGTATTTGGCCTTGAAGAGATAACATATAAGGCCAGGCTCAGTGGCTCACACCTGTAATCCCAGCACTTTGGGATGCCAAGGTGGGCAGATCATGAGGTCAGGAGTTCAAGACCAGCCTGGCCAACATGGTGAAACCCCATCTCTACTAAAAATAAAAAAATTAGCTGAGTGTGGTGGCGCACACTTGTAATCCCAGCTACTTGGGAGGCTGAGACAGGAGAATCGCTTGAACCTGGGAGGTGGAAGTTGCAGTCAGCAGAGATTGCACCACTGCATGCCAGCCTGGGTGACAGAAGCAAGACTCTGTCTGGGGGAAAAAAAAAACATATCAACTACTTCTTTAAAATATACCCCTCTTTGAGAGGCCTAGGTGGGCAGATCACCTGAGGTCAGGAGTTCGAGATCAGCCTGGCCAACATGGTGAAACCCTGTCTCTACTAATAATACAAAAATTACCCAGGCGTGGTGGCAGGTACCTATAATCCCAGCTACGCGGGAGGCTGAGGCAGGAGAGTTGCTTGAACCTGAGAGGTGGAGGTTGTAGTGAGCCAAGATCCGCCATTGTACTCCAGCCTGGGCAACAGAGCGAAACTCTGTCTCAAAAAAAAAAAAAAAAAAAAAAAAAAAAAAAAAGGAAAATACACCCCTAAGTCCTGTCTAGCTGTGCAGTTAAACTTAAAGAGAAGGCCAAGAGCCATATTAATAACTTTTGATAAAGATATGAGGGTTATTTTTCAACATACAGTTATTAATAGAACTGTTAAAAAGACATAAACTTACATTGAAATGGGAAAATGTTTTCATTCCATAAACCACTGTTATTTTTGTTAACTTGATTTTTATTTGGACCACATTTTAGCTGTGTAACTTTGGGTAATGTTTGACCTCTGAGCTTTAGTTTTTTTAATTTACAATATTGAAATACCAATAGCTTCTATATCAACTATAAAATGGTATCTTTATTTCCATTCTCCAGAAAAAGAAACATGTTAGTGTCTCAGATCTCACTAGACTGTTCTACAATATCAATCTCTCCTTCATCTGAAGAGCTAAGAAATGGCCAGGCGCAGTGGCTCACGCCTGTAATCCCAGCTCTTTGGGAGGCCAAGGCAGGCAGATCACCTGAGGTCAGGACTTCAAGACCAGCCTGGCCAATATGGCAAAACCCCATCCCTACTAAAAATACAAAAATTAGCCAAGCGTCTTGGTGGGCACCTGTAATCCCAGCTTCTCAAGAGGCTGAGGCAGGAAAATCACTTGAACCTGGGAGGCAGAGGTTGTAGTGAGCAGAGATCACGCAACAGAGTGAGACTCCTTCTCAAAAAAAAAAAAAAAAAGCTAAGAAAGACACAGGACCCAATAAAAAGGCCCAAAAGGAAAAAGGGACTAGGTCACTTAACTTCCTAAGTTCTTCTAACTTGCGATTAACCAAGCCATTGAAAGATCCGTCCATCCAGTATCTTCAACACATTTACACTCTGCGATGAGTTCCTACTGCTGGGGGAATAGAAAACATACGGTAGAGCTGGGCATTTAGATTTATATGATGACATTAAAGGATTGCGGGCTGATAGCTTTGGGGGGGTTTGTTTGTTTGTTTTGCTTTGTTTTTGCTAAAGACAGCTATTTTTAAAGCGAAGAGGGCAGACGTTGAGTGAATTCACATTCAAGCTAAGCTAATGAGAGGCTACCTAGTAAAGATTCTAGAGTGCTTTAGTGAATCCAGTGAACTGGCTTACTAGCACAGCAGTTGTTTATATGTAAATTATGCTCTGTAGCCATAGCTACCATATATTAAAGTCTTCTAGCCATCAGGTTTTGTGCAGGGGCCTTTACAGTTGTCATCCTCACCAAAACCCATGTAAAGTAGGTAGTGGTTTCCTCACCACACAGCAGAAGAAACAGCTTAGAGAGATTCAGATACTTCCTCATTTATTAGCCACACAGCAAATAAATGATAGGTCTGTGTCTAACCAGATCCCGTAATAGGTTAGCCTGCTTCTGGATATTTTGTTCTCAAATATTTAAGAACATCATTCTTGCAGACTTATATAATATATAATATTAATGTGTACTGTCTTAAAGGGGAAGTAAATTATAGTATAACTTAATCTGGGTTGTCAAAATTTCTGACATACAGAAGCCTATACATAGGATTCTTAAAGTTTTACTGTGGGTCTTGTGAATTTTTAATAGAGCTTGGTCATGTACATGAAACTGCTTTTTACATTGTCCTTTTGCAGTATTTTATAAGCTTAGCCTAATGGTCAAGAGCACAGAGTGGTTAAGAGATCCTGTCAGAATCCTAACTCCACCCCTTCTTAGCTATGTAACTGTGGACGGATTATTTACCCTCCGTATGTCTCAGTTTCTACCATAAGAAATGTGTAATAATTGTACCTACTTCATGGGATTCTTGTAAGAATAATGTATGTTAAGCATTTAGGGCAGTGCCTAGCACATAGTGAGCACTCCATAAACATTACCTATTGTTATTATTGTAGTTGCTATTTTTATTGCTGTGTTTTATTGTTAAATTTCTATTCCATATTTTTAATGTACACAATATTTTCTATAGATTGTATTTGCTATAATTTTCTAATTGGGGGGTATTGTATATAATTTTTAAATCTCTTTCACCTGTATAGCTTTCCAAATAGTTCATATTTGACATTTAGTATGCTTTTTCAATATATCATATGAATTATTTTTAAATAGAGTGAGTTAGCTTCTGTTGTACTTAGTATTTTTTTATCTGACTGAAGTAACTCTTATAATTATTTTAATTCAGGACATGGCCCAGTAATTCATAATGCTGAAGCTAAAATTCAACAATACATTTCTCACAGAAATATTCGAGAGCAGCAAATTCTTACATTATTTCGTGAGAACTTTGAGAAATCATTTACAGTAATGGAGCTTGTAAAAATTATTTACAAGGTAATTTTCAGTTTTCTTATTTGTATGTAGCCACAAATTTATTAGAATTATCTATTTAGTAGACTATAGAAATGATAAACTTATATCCCAGATCAGAAGTTACGCCACTTTTCTAGATTTGAGACCAGCAGCCTAAACTTTCTACAGTGCTAAAATTAAACAAAAACTGGCCTTAGAGAACAAAGATAGCCATTTCGAGCCATCATTGAACTTTATATACTTAACTATGTAGGAGAAACTGCCTAACTATGTAGGAGAAACTACCAACAGCCTGATGATTACATTTTGTAATAATTTTTGCATTATTCTAGCCATCTTGATTATCTTGTGTCCCAGCCTGCACCAAGAGAGGAGGGGTGACCTGCTAGACACAAATATTGGAATGTTAACAGTGAGAAGTAGTAGCAAAGCAGTGAGAAGTAGTAGCAATGCCAAACAATGGAGAAAAAGAAAAAAAAAATCAAAGAACATGAGTAAAATAGTATGTAGGGAAAGAGCCTTACACCTCACTGGCCTCTGAGAATATCACTGTATTGACAGCACTATATAGCAGTCAGTATAATTCAGTTTTTCAGCAAATGTTTATTAGATGTCTGCTGTGTAGGCAGCATAGCTTAGAGGTTAAAAATGTAAGCTTTTGTGGCCAGGCGTGGTGGCTCACCCCTGTAATCCCAGTATTTTGGGAGGCTAAGTGGGAGGTTTGCTTCAGCCCAGGAGTCCGAGACAAGCTTGGGCAACATAGTGAGACCTCATCTCTACAAGAAATTTTTTAAATGAGCCAGGTGTCATGGAACATGCCTGTGATCCCAGCTGCTCGGGTGGTTGAGATGGGAGGATCACATGAGCCTGGGAAGTCAAGGCTGCAGTGAGCCTACATCGCACCGTTGCACACCAGCCTAGGTGACAGTGCAAGACTGTATCTCAAAAACTTTTTTTTTTGAGATGGAGTTTTGCTCTTGTTGCCCAGGCTGGAGTGCAGTGGCGCCATCTTGGCTCACCACAACCTCTGCCTCCTGGGTTCACGCGATTCTCCTGCCTCAGCCTCCCGAGTAGCTGGGATTACAGGCATGTGCCACCATACCCAGCTAATTTTGTATTTTTAGTAGAGATGGTGTTTCTCAATGTTGGTCAGACTGGTCTCGAACTCCCGACCTCAGGTGATCCACCCGCCTCAGCCTCCCAAAGTGCTGGGATTACAGGCATGAGTCACTGCGCCCGGCCCAAAAACTTTTTTAAAAAAATTAAATTTAAATTAAAATATACAAAGATATTACCCTGTAACCTAATAAATAAATTACAGGGCCAACTGTCTGTAGCATCATGAAAACTTTCTAAGAATAATTTTACATTTATTCATTCATAAAATATTAATGTGTTTCTGCTATGTATTATTATGCTAAACACTGAATATTCAGTAATGAACAAAACAGATACTGCTGCCAGGCCGGGCATGGTGGCTCACGCCTGTAATCCCAGCACTTTGGGAGGCCGAGGCGGGCGGATCACCCGAGGTCAGGAGTTCGAGACCAGTCTGGCCAACATGGTGAAACCCCATCTCTACTAAAAATACAAAAATTAGCGAGGCATGGTGGCACACGCCTGTAATCCTAGCTACTCGGGAGGCTGAGGCACGAGAATAGTTTGAACCTGGGAGGTGGAGGTTGCAGTGAGCCGAGATCGCGCCATTGCACTCCAGCCTAGGTGACAAGAGTGAAACTCTGTCTCAAAAAAAAAGATACTGCTACTGTCTTTATGGAGCTTACAACCTATTCTATCTATAGGAGTATATATAGAATATAAAACAAGATGTATACAAAGTGAAATTGTTAAAAATGTCAAACAAGTTAAAAATGTGTTTAAGATAGGCCAGGCGCAGTGGCTCACGTCTGTAATCCCAGCACTTTGGGAGGCCGAGGCAGGTGGATCACAAGGTCAAGAGATCGAGACCATTCTGACCAACATGGTGAAACCCCGTCTCTACTAAAAGTACAAAAATTAGCTGGGCGTGGTGGTGCTCGCCTGTAGTCCCAGCTACTCGGGAGGCTGAGGCAGGAGAATTGCTTGAACCTGGGAGGCGGAGGTTGCAGTGAGCCGAGATGCACCACTGCATTCCAGCCTGGCGACAGAGTGAGACTCTGTCTCAAAAAAAAAAAAAAATGTGTTTAAGATAAACTTTTGCTACATTTTGCTTTTCTTCAAAGCTTTCAAAAAATTAACTGTGTTCTTTTTTTTAAAAAAAAAGGAATTTTTTTCACCTTCATTTTTCTTTTAGAATACTCCTGAGAATTTACATGAAATGGCTAAACATAATCTCTTACTTCATTTGAAAAAACTAGAAAAAGAAGGAAAAATATGTGAGTATGCTTCCAAATTTTCTTCTATTACCAGCATTTAAAATATTTTTACAGATGCCTTAGTTTCCTTTGAGGAAAAATAATACCCATCAGAGTTCTCCCATGAATATCACTTTAAGTTGGAGAGACAGGCGCTAGGAAGGTCAGTAGCACAGGGCCAGTGGACCACAAGCTGGAACCAAAAGCTCCCAGGGGAATTAGAATCTCAGTTGGAATTCCAATCCTTACCCACCAGAATGGCAATCAAAGACATGTAGCAGGAAGATAACTTTTCTTCTCCCAGACCCAAAAACCACGAAGAATTTCACATGTGGTAGATTTGGGAACAGCCAAAGGTTTTAAACAGTGGTAAAGGTAGTAAACTTAGAGATGTCAAAGCAGTAATTATGTAATTATTTTCTAGTGTTAGTTTGTCAAACTAATAATCTTTATAGAAATGTAATCCTTAAAATCCAGAATTCTAAGCTTGAATTTGATGTAGAAGCCTTAGCAATGTTTTTACATGTACCAAAAATACCCAACTTTATATTGAGCAACAAAATTATTTTAAGAATGAATGCTTTTTCTAGCCACAAGGTAACTTAAAATTCAGTGCATTTACTTATCTATTGTTAAATTTTTACTCTCTGATTTTCTTTTTACAGTTAGCAACACAGATCCTGACAAGAAATGGAAAGCTCATCTTTAGTTTCAGATTAAAGAAAGCTTTGTTTTATTTTGCTTTCAGAGAATGGTATGTTTTCTTAACTATAGGTTATTTTATAGAGAATATAAAAGTATAAAACATTAAAAATAACCCTAGATATACTTTAAAATAATGTTATATTTATGCTAAAATATGTAAATTACACTATACAACCATATGATAGGTTATTTCTCTAACCTTGTCTTCTAACGTTTTACCAAAAATTCATAATCTAATAGTTTATCAGTTTTCAATAGATTAAATAAAATGATTACTTTAAAAATAATAAAATTTATCTAATTTAAAGTTGATATTATTTTTGGCCGTTAGTTATCTATTACTAGTGATCAGTTATACTGTTTTCTATAGCTACTTTATTTAACAGCACAGATTTCTATGCACCTTTACTCTTTCCTCAACCCTTGTCTCTATCTGTACATAATTGCTTTGTCTTGATGTTTCTATCAACTATATCATGACTATCTATTGGTTCCATAACTCTGTATCATGTGTATTTTCTTATTCTGGTATACCACAAATGATTCATGCAAATGAATTTTTGGTGATTGAAAAATATTAAATTCCCAATTTAAAGTATTATATGATAAATAATTATTTCTGTAATCCATTAATGCAACCAACATACTTTCCAAGTTTAAATCTTAGTATGTAAATAGTCATCAGCTTATACATGAATTAGGTACCAAAAGTTTACATTTAAATTAAAGGATTATAAGATAGGGCATTTTTTATATTTTTATATAAGTAGTGTTCTTATATAGTGGTTAGGTTCACAAGGTAGTCCACCAATGCTTACTTAACTTATACAGTTCTCAAACTACAATACTAAAATAAGCCCAGAATCCTGAGTGTATTTTGTTTACTCTTCCCTAAAGATTGAGACTTAAAAATTTTTTTTTGTTTTATTTGTTTGCTTTTGAGACAGTGTCTCTCTCTCTCTGTCACCCAGGCTGGAGTGCAATTGCACAATCTCCGCTCACTGCAGTCTCTACCTCCCAGGTTCAAGCAATCCTCCCACCTCAGCCTCCTGAATAGCTGGGACTACAGGCACATAGCACCACACCTGGCTGATGTTTTTATTTTTTATACAGACAGAATCTCACTATGTTGCCTAGGCTGGTCTTGAACTCCTGGGCTCAAGCAGTCCCCCTGCCTCAGCCTCCCAGCATGCTGGGATGATAGGCATGAGCTACCACACCCAGCCAGACTTAAAATTTTTTTAATTTCCTTTGGCAGCTTCACCTCTTTCTGCCTCTTTTCCCAAGGTCCCTAGCATTTTCATGCCATCCTAATACACTTATTCTCATGCTTTGAAGACCTAGACCCGTATTCCTAGAACTGGTTCTTATTACAAAATAACTTATAAACTCAAAAACAAAAGCAACCTGATTGAAAAATAGACAAAGAACTTGAGTAGACATTTCTCCAAAAAAGATATACAAGTGGCCTATAAGCACATGAAAAGATATTCATCATCACTCATCATTAGATAAATGTTAAAACCCTGAGATACCACTTCAGGCCCATTACGATAGCTGTTACTAAAAATTAAAAATTAAAAAAAAAAAACAGAAAATAACAAGTGTTGGCAAGAATGTGGAGGAATTAGAACCCTTGTGCATTGCTGACAGGAACATAAAATAGTGTAGCCACTATGGAAAACAGTATGATACTTCCTCAAAAAAACCTTTAGAATTACCATATGATCAGCAATTTATCTTCTGACTATATACCCAAAAAATTAAAAGCAGGGACTTAAACAGACATTCGTACATCCATGTTCACAGCAACTTTATTCACAATAGCCAAAAGATGGAAGCAACCTAAATGTCCATTGAAGGATGACTGGATAAATAAAATGTGGTATACACATACAGCAGAATATTAGTTCTTCTTAAAAAGGAGGGAAATTCTGACGTGGGCTACAACATAGATGAACCTTGAAGACATTATGCTAAGTGATATTAGCCTGTCACAAAAGGATAAATACTATACAATAGTACTTATAGGAGGTGCGTAGAGTAGTCAAATTCATACAGACAGAAAGAAGAATGGTGGATACCAGGGAATAGGAGGAAGGGGAAATGGGAAAATAGTGTTTCATGTAAGAAGTTTTGCAGTTTGGGTAGATGAAAAGAGTTCTGGGGATAGGTGGTAATGGTGATTGCAAAACACTGTCAATGTACTTGATGTCACTTAATGATACTGTGTTAGGGTTCTCCAGAGGGGCAGAACCAATAATAATATTACTGTATATATAAAAGGGAGGTTATTAGGGAGAATTGGCTTACACAGTTACAAGACAAAATCCCACAATAGGCTATCTGCAAGCTGGGGAAATGAGAAGCCGGTAGCCTGGCTCGGTCCAAGTCCAAAAGCCTCAAAACCAGGGAAGCCAACAGTGCAGCCAAGGCTGAGGCCAAAGGATTTATTCTTTTTTTTTTTTTTTGTAACAGAATCTCACTGTGTTGCCCAGGCTAGAGTGCGGTGGTGCGATTTCAGCTCACAGCAACCTCTGCCTCCTGGATTCAAGCAATTCTCCTGCCTCAGCCTCCCGAATTGCTGGGATTATAGCCCCAGCTAATTTTTGTATTTTTAGTAGAAACTGAACTGGTTCTTATTAGAACTATATTTTTAGTTTCACCATGTTGGCCAGGCTGGTCTCAAACTCTAGGATTCATTCTTGATATGCCTCTCTTCCTCCTCTTATAACCAAATCTTCACCAAGTATGTAATGCCTATTCCACCTCCAGAATGTATCACTACCTCTTACCCCACCAATACTCCTTAGTCCAGGCCATGGTCCTCTCTTGCCTGAACTAGTGCAATCAATTCTGGGCTTCCTACTTCTATTCTTGGAGGAAATTGGGGAACAGGGGTGAGAAGGGCATTCTGAGCTGAGGAAATCTTACGTAAAAGCCATGGAATTATTGTCTTTTTATAGTACTGTGGCCCACTTCAGATACTGCAGGCTGCAATTAGATATATTGGAAGAGGGGTGATAATGGAAGGCTAGTACATTTATTGTTTATGGAAAGAGTCTAGCAACTGAGAGCTTTAACCAAAACAATGGCATTCATTAAATGTCTGCTTTGTCCTGGGTACTGGGCCAGGCCCTGGGGATACAAAGGTAAACAAAAGAAGCTCATATTTTAGTTATGAAGACATACAATTACCATGTGCTAGAGTAAAGGAAGAGGAGCTAACCTGGCTGAGTTATAGAAAGCTGCTTAGAGGACCCTGAGCTCAGTCTTAAAAGATGAGTACATGGTAGGCAGACGAAGTTAGGGGTATTTGTATGGGAGACGAGAGGAATTGTTCTAACTGGAGGAAATCGTGTATGCATATAAACAGATATGGCAGAGCATCATTTGGTTGGGGAACTAATTTATACAACTAGAATTTATGGTATTGTGTGTTGAGGCCATAGGGATAACAAGAATCTCATGGGAACACAGAATTCACACAGAAAGCAACGTATTGTCATCCAGCCATGCTTCATACAGATTGGAGTATATATACTTTAGGAATTGGAAAGCAGTTCAGGTTCTGGGGCAATTCTAGTGTTATTTAGTTGTATCCTCACAGCAAGAGTTGGCCCTCTTCTATTATGGTGATTTCATTCCTCTATTCATTTCCATTACTTCAGACAATCACTTTACCTTCCGTTCAGAACACCCGGAAGTTTTGGCTGACTCATTTTCTGTTTATTCAAGAGTTTCCGAAGCCTGCTTGTCGTCACCTCTGCCTTCTCTCTGCATATCTTCAGCCTCTGTTTGGCAACTGAGTAGCCCTCTTTGTATCTCGGGTACTGATCTCCTCATAGAAAACAATCTGATTGGTGTGTTTGTTCTCTGTTTGAGAGAATTTTCTTGCCACACTTTCTTATATGTTACTGACCAGCCTTTATGCTGACTGCTCTGGACCAATCATCTGGGACGAGAAGTTTTATCAGAAGGGGACAGGGACCCCATTGAACAGAGGCAGTGGGGAGCATAAGCACTCTGAGATTTGGTCTTTTCAGTATAGTGGGGGAAGGAAAAAAACAGAAGAGGTACCAAGGATACTAGAATAAGGGATAAGAGATAGGATAAATATTTAAGAAGAGGAATAGCACTTAGAAACCTATTAGATATTGAGAGATGGGGGATCAGGCAGAAAGAGAGAAGTCTAGAAGAGCTATAGATTTCTGGCTTGGGCGGCTGGGTAGATGTTGGTAACCAGATTGAGAGAATAGAGGAAATGGGACAGGTAGAGTACAGAAGAGAAGAAAGATGCATTTTACTACAGATACAAGTTTGAAGTACCAGGAAACATCCAAAGGGAGATACCTAGTAGGCACTCAGATATATGGAACTGGAGCTAAGCAGATAAGATATATTTTGTTACAGGTAACAGAAACTTATTTCAACAAGCTTAAGCAAAAGGGGAAGTTGGTTGGCACATATAACCAACCTGAGAAGAATAAGGGTAGAGCAGAGCCAGGCCTGTGAACAAGAACAGATGTTTACATCCCATCAATACAACCCCAAACCTCTCACCTCTATTTATCTTTGCAAGTAAGAGACCCCACAGTCAACTGGGTTCTTCACATGATGAAGGACATGGACATGGTTATGGGAGCTCTGGGCTCATGTTATTTTTTTTTTTTTTTTTTTTTTTTTTTTGGAGACAGGATCTTGCTGTATCACCCAGGCTGGAGTGCAGTGCCACAGACACGGCTCACTGCAACCTCTGCCTCCCGGGCTTGAGTGATCCTCCTGCCTTAACTTCCCCAGTAGCTGGGACCACAGGTGCAGGCTACCATGCCTGGCTAATTTTTATTTATATTTTTTTTTGTAAAGATAAAGTCTTGCCATGTTGCCCAGGCTGGTCTTGAACTGAGCTCAAGCAATCCTCCTGCTTCAGTCTCCCACAGTGCTGGGATTATAGTCATGAGCCACCATACCTGGCCTCTAGGCTCATATTCTCACCACTCTATAACCAGCAGAAAAAGCTGGTTTGTCTAGCTTCGAGATGAAAAACCCTAGGGGAAGAATTCAGTGATTTATACTGGCTCATTACCCATTCCTTAGACCAGTCCCTGTGGTCAAGGAAACATTAGGTACTGCATTTAGCCCAGCTACCCCTGTGGCTGGAGTGAGCAAAGTCTGTTCCCAGAAGAAGACTGTCACAGGAAGATTCTGGACAAATATAGTTACCTTACTAAATAACTTTGCTTTCTTTCTAATTTGTGTAAAATATATAATAAATAAATCCAATTTTTCTGCAGCAATTTACAGAATGACTGGGTCAACTCTGTGCAACGTTAATCGTTTCTGTGTATTTATCTTGCGACTTTGAGTATTTTGAAGTCATCTCTCCAGAAAAAGTTAGTGAAGTGGCTGGTAGCAGGGAAGGTAGAATCCTGGAGAACATGTGAAAAGAATCAAGGGCAGATAGTCTTATTTCTGCCAGTGCTGTTTATCAGTGCCCCCTCCAAAGTCTGTGCTTATAAACACAACACATCAAAATGAGACCTGCCGCCAATTTTCAGGGAATGTTGGAGAAGGAAAACTCTCATTATTATCAGTCTTTCCCTCCTATTCTATTTTTGGGGGTGCTTGGAAGGATACTTTTGCTTTAACTTTTATTTTAAAAAATAGAGATGGGGTTTGCCATGTTGCCCAGGCTGCTCTAGAACTCCTAGACTCAAGCTATCCACCAGCATCAGCCTCCCAAAGTACTAGGATTATAGGCACGAGCCACCACACCCAGCCAATACTAAGTGTTTTGTTAGGGGATATATGTTCAGTATTTGAAATATTGGGGGATCTGTCCCAAGATGGCCGAATAGGAACAGCTCTGGTCTGCAGCTCCCAGTGTGATCGATGCAGAAGACGGGTGATTTCTGCATTTCCAACTGAGGTACCTGGTTCATCTCACTGGGACTGGTTGGACAGTGGGTGCCGCCCACGGAGGGCAAGCTGAAGCAGGGTGGGGTGTCGCCTCACCCGGGAAGTGCAAGGGGTCGGAGAATTTCCCTTTCCTAGCCAAAGGAAGCCGTGACAGACTGTACCTGGAAAAATGGGACACTCCCACCCAAATACAGCAATTTTCCCAAGGTCTTAGCAACCACCAGACAAGGAGATTCTCTCCTGTGCCTGGCTCAGTGGGTCCCACGCCCACGGAGCCTTGCTCACTGCTTGCACAGCAGTCTGAGATCAAACTGCAAGGCAGCAGCCTGGCTGGGGGAGGGGCATCCACCATTGCTGAGGCTTGAGTAGGTAAACAAAGCGGCCAGGAAGCTCGAACTGTGCAGAGCCCACCGCAGCTCAGCAAGGCCTACTGCCTCTAGACTCCACCTCTATGGGCAGGGCTTAGCTGAACAAAAGGCAGCAAACAACTTCTGCAGACTTAAACGTCTGCAGCTCTGACAGCTCTGAAGAGAGCAGTGGTTCTCCCAACATGGCGTGTGAGCTCTGAGAATGGACAGACTGCCTCCTCAAGTGGATCCCAGACCCCCATGTAGCCTAACTGGGAGACACGTCCCAGTAGGGGCCGACAGATACCTCATATAGGCAGGTGGCCTTCTGGGACGAAGCTTCCAGAGGGAAGGATCAGGCAGCAATATTTACTGTTCTGCAATATTTGCTGTTCTGCAGCCTCCACTGCTGATACCCAGGCAAACAGCATCTGGAGTGGACCTCCAGCAAACTCCAACAGACCTACAGCTGAGGGACCTGTTAGAAGGAAAACTAAAAAACAGAAAGGAATAGCATCAACATAAACAAAAAAGACATCTACACCAAAACCCCATCTGCAGGTCACCAACATCAAAGACCAAAGGGAGATAAAACCACAAAGATGGGGAGAAACCAGAGCAGAAAAGCTGAAAATTCTAAAAATCAGAGCACCTCTTCTCCTCCCAAGGATCACAGCTCCTTGCCAGCAATGGAACAAAGCTGGGCAGAGAATGACTTTGACGAGTTGACAGAAGTAGGCTTCAGAAGGTCGGTAATAACAAACTTCTCTGAGCTAAATGAACATGTTCGAACCCATCGCAAGGAAGTTATAAACCTTGAAAAAAGGTTAGACGAATGCCTAACTAGAATAAACAGTGTAGAGAAGACCTTAAATGACCTGATGGAGCTGAAAACCATGGCAAGAGAACATCGTGACACATGCACAAGCTTCAATAGTCAATTCGATCATATGGAAGAAAGAGTATCAGTGATTGAAGACCAAATTAATGAAATAAAGCGAGAAGACAATGTTAGAGAAAAAAGTAAAAAGAAATGAACAAAGCCTCCAAGAAATAAAGGACTATGTGAAAAGACCAAATCTACGTTTCCTTGGTGTACCTGAAAGTGATGGGGAGAATGGAACCAAGTTGGAAAACAGTCTTCAGGATATTATCCAGGAGAACTTCCCCAAGAAATAAAGAAGGCCATTACATAATGGCAAAGGGATCAATTCAACAAGAAGAACTAACTATCCTAAATATATATGCACCCAATACAGGAGCACCCAGATTCATAAAACAAGTTCTTAGAGACCTAAAAAGAGACTTAGACTCCCACACAATAATAATGGGAGACTTTAACACCCCACTGTCAATATTAGATCAATTAGTCAGAAAATTAACAAGGATATCCAGGAATTGAACTCAGCTCTGCACCAAGCAGACCTAATAGACATCTACAAAACTCTCCACCCCAAATCAACAGAATATACATTCTTCTCAGCACCACATCACACTTATTCCAAAATTGACCACATAATTGGAAGTAAAGCACCCCTCAGCAAATGTAAAAGAACAGATATCACAACAAACTGTCTCTCAGACGACAGTGCAATCAAATTAGAACTCAAGATTAAGAAACTCACTCAAAACCGCTCAACTACATGGAAACTGAACAACTTGCTCCTGAATGACTACTGGGTAAATAACGAAATGAAGGCAGAAATAAAGATGTTCTTTGAAACCAATGAGAACAAAGACACAATGTACTGGAATCTCTGGGACACATTTAAAGCAGTGTGTAGAGGGAAATTTATAGCACTAAATGCCCACAAGAGAAAGCAGGAAAGATCTAAAATTGACACCCTAACATCACAATTATAAGAATTAGAGAAGCAAGAGCAAACACATTCAAAAACTAGCAGAAGGCAAGAAATAACTAAGATCAGAGCAGAACTGAAAGAGATAGTGACACAAAAAAACTTTCAAAAAATCAATGAATCCAGGAGCTGGTTTTTTGAAAACATCAACAAAATTGATAGACCGCTAGCAAGACTAATAAAGAAGAAAAGAGAGAAGAATCAAATAGACACAATAAAAAATGATAAAGGGGATATCACCACCAATCCCACAGAAATACAAACTACCATCAGAGAATACTATAAACACCTCTACACAAATAAACTAGAAAATCTAGAAGAAATGGATAAATTCCTGGACACATACACTCTCCCAAGACAAAACCAGGAAGAAGTTGAATCTCTGAATAGATCAATAACAGGCTCTGAAATTGAGGCAATAATTAACAGCCTACCAACCAAAAAAAGTCCAGGACCAGATGGATTCACAGCCAAATTCCACCAGAGGTACAAAGAGGAGCTGGTACCATTCCTTCTGAAACTATTCCAATCAATAGAAAAAGAGGGAATCCTCCCTAACTCATTTTATAAGGCCAGCATCATCCTGATACCAAAGCCTGGCAGAGACACAATAAAAACAGAGAATTTTAGACCAATATCCCTGATGAACATCGATGCAAAAATCCTTAATAAAATACTGGAAAACTGAATCCAGCAGCACATCAAAAAGCTTATCCACCATGATCAGGTCGGCTTCATCCCTGGGATGGAAGGCTAGTTCAACATATACAAATCAATAAACATAATCCATCACATAAACAGAACCAACGACGAAAACCACATGATTGTCTCAATAGATGCAGAAAAGACCTTCAATAAAATTCAACAGCCCTTCATGCTAAAAACTCTCAATAAACTAGGTATTGAGAGAACATATGTCAAAATAATAAGAGCTATTTATGACAAACCCACAGCCAATATCATACTGAATGGGCAAAAACTGGAAGCATTACCTTTGAAAACCGGCACAAGACAAGGATGCCCTCTCTCACCACTTCTATTCAACATAGTGTTGGAAGTTCTGGCCAAGGCAATCAGGCAAGAGAAAGAAATAAAGGGTATTCAGTTAGCAAAAGAGGAAGTCAAATTGTCCCTGTTTGCAGATGACATGATTGTATATTTAGAAAACCCCATCATCTCAGCCCAGAATCTCCTTAAGCTGATAAGCAACTTCAGCAAAGTTTCAGGATACAAAATTTAATGTGCAAAAAACACAAGCATTCCTATACATGAGTAACAGACAGAGAGCCAAATCATGGGTGAACTCCCGTTCACAATCACTACAAAGAGAATAAAATACCTAGCAATCCAACTTACAAGGGACGTGAAGGACCTCTTCAAGGAGAACTACAAACCACTGCTCAACAAAATAAAAGAGAACATGAACAAATGGAAGAACATTCCATGCTCATGGATAGGAAGAATCAATATAGTGCAATTGGCCATACTGCCCAAGGTAATTTATAGATTCAATGCCATCCCCATCAAGCTACCAATGACTTTCTTCACAGAATTGGAAAAAACTAAAGTTCATATGGAACCAAAAAAGAGCCTGCATTGCCAAACAATCCTAAGCCAAAAGAACAAAGCTGGAGGCATCACGCTACCTGACTTCAAACTATACTGCAAGGCTACAGTAACCAAAACAGCATGGTACTGGTACCAAAACAGATATATAGACCAATGGAACAGAACAGAGGCCTCAGAAATAACGCCGCACATCTACAACTATCTGATCTTTGACAAACCTGACAAAAACAAGAAATGAGGAAAGGATTCCCTATTTAATAAATGGTGCTGGGAAAACTGGCTAGCCATATGTAGAAAGCTGAAACTCGATCCCTTCCTTACACCTTATACAAAAATTAATTCAAAATGTATTAAAGACATAAATGTTAGACCTAAAACCATAAAAACCCTAGAAGAAAACCTAGGCAATACCATTCAGGACATAGGCATGGGCAAGGACTTCATGACTAAAACACCAAAAGCAATGGCAACAAAAGCCAAAATAGACAAATGGGATCTAATTAAACTAAAGAGCTTCTGCACAGCAAAAGAAACTACCATCAGAGTGACCAGACAACCTACAGAATTGGAGAAAATTTTTGCAATCTACCCATCTGACAAAGGGCGAATATCCAGAATCTACAAATAACTCAAATTTACAAGAAAAAAACAACCCCATCAAAAAGTGGGCAAAGGACATGAACAGACACTTCTCAAAAGAAGACATCTATGCAGCCAACAGACAAATGAAAAAATGCTCATCATCACTGGTCATCAGAGAAATGCAAATCAAAACCACAATGAGATACCATCTCATGTCAGTTAGAAAGGCAATCATTAAAAAGTCAGGAAACAACAGATGCTGGAGAGGATGTGGGGAAATAGGAATGCTTTTACACTGTAGGTGGGAGTGTAAATTAGTTCAACCATTGTGGGAGGCAGTGTGGCGATCCCTCAAGGATCTAGAATTAGAATTACCATTTGACCCAGCAATCCCATTACTGGGTATATACCCAAAGGATTATAAATCATTCTACTATAAAGACACATGCACACATATGTTTATTGCAGTACTATTCACAATAGCAAAGACTTGGAACCAACCCAGATGTCCATCAATGATAGACTGGATTAAGAAAATGTGGCACATATACACCATGGAATACTATGCAGTCATAAAAAAGGATGAGTTCATGTCCTTTGCAGGGACATGAATGAGGCTGGAAACCATCATTCTCAGCAAACTATCACAAGGACAGAAAACCAAGCACCACATGTTCTCATTCATAGGTGGGAATTGTTCAACTGAACAATTGGACACAGGGCAGGGAACATCACATACTGGGGCCTGTTGTGGGGTGGGTGGCTGGGGGAGGGATATCATTAGGAAATATACCTAATGTAAATGACGAGTTGATGGGTGCAGCAAACCAACATGGCACATGTATACCTGTGTATCAAACCTGCATG
This sequence comes from Homo sapiens, assembly GCF_000001405.40. NCBI lineage: Eukaryota > Metazoa > Chordata > Mammalia > Primates > Hominidae > Homo > Homo sapiens. The sequence continues at coordinate 70,626,720 of NC_000008.11, read as the reverse complement.
TTGTGCACGTGGACCCTAGACCTTAAAGTATAATAATAATAATAAAAAGAAATATTGGTTGTGAAAGTCTTGGTTCCACCTGCATTGGTGCCTTTTAAAACAAATTTGGAATTAAAGTGACTAGTGGGGGAGGGGGCACATAAAAGTGGACTTACTTGTGTATGCAGAATGTATCTCTGGAAAGATATCAAAAATATTAAAAGACCAATAACATTGGTTCCCTCCCAGGAGGAGAACTTTTAAGTGGCTAAGGGATGGAGGATAGGACCGGAAATTTTACAGTATACCCATTTATATCTTTAGGAATTGAATTATTTGAATGTATTGCCTATTTAAAGTATAAATAATAAAACATTTTAATGAAAATTAAAGGCCTGAGCTGTCTCATAGAATCTAATGGGGAAGTAGATGACCACTGGGAACTAGTGAGAACTAGTCTACAGTGAGGAGTTTATGATAGAGGTCTGGGTTAGAGATAGAGATTGGGAAGTCATCAGCACTGAGGTTGCAATTGAAGCAATGGGTGAGTGTGTGTAGACAACCTTGGGGTGGATACAGTAGTCCCCAGTTATCTGCAGTTTCACTTTCTGCAATTTCAGTTACCCACAGTCAACTGGGTCCAAAAATAGCTAAGTACAGAACAATAAGATATCTTGAGAGAGAGAGAGACCACATTCACATAACTTTTATTACAGGATACTGTTTTAATTGTTCTACTTTATTATTGTTAATCTCTTACTCTGCCTAATTTATAAATTAAACTTTATCATAGGTATGTATATATGTATGTATAGGAAAAAAACAGCAATGTATATATAAGGTTTGATGCTATTTGGTATGCAGTTTCAGGTATCCACTGGGGATCTTGGAATGTATCCCCAACAGTTAAGGGAGGACTACCGTATATAGGAAAAGAAGCTGCCAAAGATTAGAAAGATTGAATCAAGCACAGGACAATCACTGGGGGAGTAGTGTTTATCAGCCAAAAGAGGTGTCTGAAAAAGGAAGGTCAACAGTAGTAAATGAGGACTCTATTTTATGTGCTGCTTATGCTTATTTTGTCCATTATTGGATGATATAACATTAAATTATCAACAAAGTGCTTGTTACCAGTTTTATCCAGAGAAATTACTCATAATGCTAAATTTTAAACATTCTGAATCCCCAACAATCCACATTAAAAGCCATTAACATTATGTACAGTTTTTTAAAACATTAAGCATTATTCTTTGAAATAATGCTTATTATTATTGCTACTCCTTTCCCAGACCCAATAAAAAATAATAAGTATATAGAGGTATATATTCAAATAATAGTAAAAGAGGCTAGGCATGGTAGCTCACACCTGTAATTCCAGCACTTTGGGAGGGTCAGGCAGGAGGATCACTTGAGCTCAGAAGTTCACAAGAAGCCTGGGCAACATAGTGAGACCTCCTCTCTACTAAAATTAAAAAAAAAAAAATTAGGTGGGCATGATGGCGCTCTTGTAATCCCAGCTACTGTGGGGGCTAAGGTGGGAGGATCCCTTGAGCCTGGAAGGTTGAGGCTACAGCGAGCTGTGATCATGCCACTGCACTCCTACCTGGGCAACAGAGTGGAACTTTGTCTCAAAGGGAAAAAAAAAGGAAAAGAAAAATAGCTCTATGAAAAAACTTTGGAAAATAAAAACATATATAACCAAAATACATGGAAGTTTGAAAAACAAAGTTGAGAAATTTTTTAGAAATAGAACAACAAAAAACAAAAATGGAAAATAGAAAAGATAGAAGAATTTAGGAGGCAAGCTGAAAGTAAAATATTAATGTAATGAGTCCCCCCAAAAAAAGAACTGAAAATAGGCAGAAATTATCAAAGAAGAAATATAAGAAATTTTCCCAGACCTGCAAGATGAGTCTAAATTGAAAGGGTCTACTTAATATCCAACAACGTAAAAAAGATAAAACAATCCAAACCAAGACATACCATTGTGAAATTTCAGAACATCAGAAATAAGGAGAAGCTCTTAAGAGATTGTAGGTTGTAGGTGTGGTGGTAGGATTAGGGATTTGTAATCACTTAGAAGGGAACACAAATCAAAATGGCACTGACGTTTTCAGTGCTCAATGGGTATTAGGACAGAAGGCCTTCAAAAATCTGAGGGAAGGCTGGGTGCAGTGGCTCACACCTGTAATCCCAGCACTTTGGGAGGCCAAGATGGGAGGATTGCTTGAGGCCAGGAGTTTGAGACCAGCCTGGCCAACATAGCAAGACCCCATCTCAAATAACTAATGAATTTTAAAAATCTGAGGGAGAAATTATTTGCATCCTAGAAATGTATAACCGACCAATTAATTATGTGTGAATGTAAGGACTCAAAAAGTGTATCTGCCATGCAACTCTCTTTAGAGAACTGCAGGATGATAATACTCTAGAAAAATAGGAAAAAAGGAAAACACAAAATTGAAATAGTAAATCTACCACAGAAAAATGCCAAGAGGAAGTTATAAGACAAAGGTGTGCCCAGAGCCTTCTCCAGATTGGAGCGGGAGGAAGGGGGAGCTTCAGAGAGAGAGATCTCCAGGGGGAAAAATGGAACCAATATATTATCTGATATAGTTGAGCACTGGGGGTAAAAAAAAACTGCTGGTGGTCATACAACAGCTCTAGATGAACAATTGAAATAATGAGTTCATAGAAAACTACGCAGGTAGAAAATATGAGACAATTGTTTATTCCAGAAAACTAAAGTAGTGCAAGGAAGGAAATAATCATGAAATACTTTCTGCCTCTGCATCTTTTCTTAGGAAATAGTGTAAACACTGACCAAAAAATGGTGATACAGGATAACAGGAGATAGGAAGTGGGAAGTTAAGAATACTAAATCATCACCTATGATAATAGAAAGTCAATAAAGCCTAAAATTGGCAAATCAAGAAGTAGTAGAAGTGTTTTATTGGTTAATACTAGAAAAAAATGTCTAAAAGAGTTTAGTCATTGCCTTTGGGAAGTGTGGGACTGGGAGGAGAGAGAATGGAGAAATGTTTTTCCTGCTGTTACTATTTAATATTTAAATTACGTCTATTTATTAGTTTGGTAAAAATTTAAATTTTTAATGTCAAAATACTGATAGTATGCAATGGATGGGTTCCAACTTTTTAGTTCAGTGGAATAAGCATTTTTGCCCTAGAATTTTTATCCTGCAAAAGCTATCAGGAATTGGAAACAACGAAAGGTACATGCTTATTTATTGCTCACTTAGGTTTAAAAATAGGAATTTTCAAATTCATATTATTTCATGGATGCTATTCTGAAGTACAAAGTTTTCCCTAAAAAGAAATCCTGCACTTAGTATCTAGACTAAAGGACCTAGAGAATTAAGGTGAACTGGATTCAGACTTCTATGACCTTTACTGCAGTATGAAAACCATCTAAAGGGAACTAGATCCAAAGTTACCTGAATCCAGCAGGGTGCTATTTATATGTCTATGGTAGATCCCACCTTTGTTTTTTAGTCACAATATATTAGAGTATTAAAAAATCTATGATAGTTCAAGTTTCTCTCACTGAGAGTTGACTTGAATTTAGGATTCAGTAACTAGTAACTAGATTCGATAACTAGTAAAGAGAAAAAGGACCCTGCCTCTATCCCTCAGTCTTCAGCCAACACCACATTTTCTCTGTGTGTGGTCAAGTTACTACTAAATCTGTAGGAATGCAACATTTATATGGCAGACTCCCCTACTTATTTTTACTAGTGTTTTTAAGAAGTATGAGATGACTATGACCACAAAGAAGCACTCCCCTTAAGAATATTTTTTCCTGATGTATTTGAAAATAAAGACCAATCTTGAAAATCGTGTTGCTACAAATCAGATGTTTCCAAATATGTTGGGTTGCAGCAATTCAGGACCATATATATGACCTTATATTACATATGGTTGTATTAACACAGTGATGTCTTTGGCTCTTTAATGTTTTGAGTAAAGTGCATCTCTACCAAAAGACTAGTAAATTTGTTTTCCCATGTTTTATCCCATGATTTTAAAAGGTTTTAATCCATTGAGTATGAATTTCTTCTTTTTAGAGTGAGACTAATATCTACTCTAGTGGCATATAAAGCAACCCATGCTTTTAATATTTTCCTGAGTGTTGAAGAAAAGTTTTACCAGAAGTGTTCTGGTTTTATACCACAGAAGTCTTCCCAGCTTATAGAAGTAGATTAACCCTGCTTCAGTTTTCAAAAATGGTGAAAATGTCTATTACAAATGGTATACCTTAACATTTGATATCTAAACCTAAAATGCTAAGGACTGTTGTTAACCATCCATTCTCTCAGTGTAAAAATGCGTTCCTGGACCATTTGTATCACTGTCAATTGGTGGCTTATTACAAATGCAAATTTCTGGGCCCCAAAGGAGTACAGTTTTTTCAACTGGCCCAGATGATTCTTTTACTACAGCAACAGAATTGTAATTTAATATTATGTTGGTGGCTTTTATTTTGTCAAAAGTCAGTATAAAGACACAGACATATAAGTCTGAGTGTGGTGGTACACACCTGCAATCCCAGACCTTTAGGAGGCAAAAGGCAGGAGGTTGGCTTGAGGCCAGGAATTCAAGACTAGCTTGGACAACATTGCGATACTGGTCTCTACAAAAAAGTTAAAAATTAGCCAGGCACAATTAGCTGGGCATGGTGGTGCACACCTGTAGTCCTAACTACTTGGGAGGCGGAGGCAGGAGGATCACTTCAGCCCAGGAGTTTGCTACAGTGAGCCACAACTAGCATCACTGAACTCCAGCCCAGGTGACACCAAGACTTTGTCTCTATTAAAAATAAAAAAAATAGACAGATAAAATCTTACCTGTTTTTTTTAAATTCCATTGAGGACATTGTCTGTTTTATTATCGAATGTTCTTCAATGTCAATGGAACAAAATCTCTTTCTGATTTCAGAGCTAGAAAAAAAGTTTGTCTCTCCTGTGAACTTCTATGTTTCCTTTATTAGAGTAGTGCTTGTCAAATCTGATTAATTCTCAGAATTTCCTGGGGAACTTTTAAATTAAAACAACACAGCTTCTCAGCTGTAAGACCATTCACTGGACTCTCCTGGTGAGGGACAGCCCTTGTGATACTGATAATTAGCCATGTTTCCAAAACTCTACATGGGATAATATCTAGTTAATTCTCCATGATCACTTTTTGCCTTGGCTTCCTGGAAGCTAGTCTTACAGCAATTATTCTTGGAATTCAGTTATTTAATGTAATTATTCTCCATTTCTTTCCCTATTATATTACTTGGCTCATTTAGTATGTTTTTAATACATTTCAAAATGGGAGGAAATAACCTAATAGTACTGTCTTTTAGACCAGCACATTCCTTGCAATAGCATTTAAGCCTAAAATAAATAAGTTACTAGGATTATAGAGTAAAAGAATATTATGGACTTTTAAAAATTTCCTCATTCAGTTTTATGGAGACTATGGGAAACTTATCATTTGAAAAGGACTCTGAAATTTGCTATTAAAATGACAGATACGTAATTAAATTCCTGATCCCCCTTAAGCCTCTTTCATATGGACACCCCCAAGACTAAATGCATTGTTCTTTCTTTTTATTCACCACATCAACGAGCTAATCCATTTTGGTGGTGTTAACATTACCACCATGCTGAATAATTTCCAAATGTGTGATTAGCTTGAATCACTCACCAAAGCCCCAGGCCTGAATCTTTTGCTGTCTGTAGGGATCCTTTATTTGGCTGTCTCCCAAAGACCAGACATGCATGTGAAGAAACCCAGTGCACCTAAAACCAAACTTTTCAGCTTACTGAACAATTTCCTGATTACCTCCCTTTCCCTACACACCATGTGGGTAAATGGCATTACCATTCTCCCATGTCCCAAGCTGAATTAGTCCTTTGTCACCTTTGTTTCTTTTTAGCCCCACTCCACTTAACTGGGAAATATTTATGCTACAATTTGAGGATGTAGTTTGAAGGCAGATCGAAAACCAAAGAAAATGCTGATTGGTATAAGTGATACTCAGAAGGAGGGATAAATGGCCTAAGAAATAAAAGTGGTTTGCTTCACAGGGAGAAAACCTATCATTTGTCTTAGACAGACTCAAGGATTTATTCCTTTCTCTTCTTTCCCTAGCCTAGTGCTCATTTCCTAATTAAAATCAACTACTATTAGTTGATTTCCCTGTATGCAGCCTATTCCTGTTTCCATTTATCATGGTGGTGGTATTAACAGTTTAGTAATATTTGTCTAATCAGCCTTCATCTGTAGAAAAGCAATGGTAATAGGATCTGACTCAATGAGTTGTTGTCACTATTAAATAAGTAGTTTGTAGTGTTAGGCATAGTGCTTGGCATCCAATAAATATTAATTTTATTTTGATGTTGTTAACAGTACATTCACATATTCCCTTATGATTATTTCACTTTGACTTATACCAATTAATTGCCACAAAGTACCATATTTAGTCTTTAGTATAATCTGACCATAATTTTATAAGCTAAAATTCACATTCTTCATCCTGGGAGTTAAAACTTAGTTGTAAAACCTTAAGTTATTTTTCTGAGCCTCTATCTCCTCATTTGAAACAGGGATAACATTATGTTCTAGATTTATATAAAGTTAAAATTAGTAATGTGTATCAAAAGCGCTTTGGGAACTGCAAAGAATTGTATATGTTATAGTTTTAATTTGTGCCATAAGCTTTGTCTTGGAACACATGGACTGATGCAAGCAAGGAAGGAGCTCCAAAGAATCCTTGGCCATCACCCCAAGACCTGGGTTCTACTAGGCACTGAGCCACACACCAGTTTTTGATGGCTACAAGATATCTATTCAGTTCCATCAGTCACAAATTCCCTGAGGCATAAGTCCTTCTAATTTGGGGAAGGCATTTTGCACAAAATGATGTTGTCAATGTTTAATTCTCATCAGGTGAAAATGTTCTACTTGGTGGTCCGTGGCAGATGTCAGTGCATAATAGCCTTATGAAGCATCCCCAGAAACTGCTGCTGTCTCCAGAATGTGCCAGCCTCCCAGGAACCAATTACCTGTCACCATTTTCCTGTCTGTTCCTAAGAACTAGAACCCTCTTGAAAGTACAACAAATTCAAACTGAAGTCCTTCCTCTATCTGTGATTGCTGAAATTATTTTAGAAATCACCCTACTAGATATGCCCACAGTCCTTGGCCATTGCCTCAAATACAAGTCACTCCATCCATTCTTCTCATTCACTAACATTCACATTACTGTTGGATTTTTCTTCCCTGATCCAACCACCTCGCACTGTTCCTGTACCTCCAGATCCTTTACACCATGTTCTCTAGGACATCAACGGTGATTCTACTTGTCTAGTACTTGTTCCTCCACACCTTCTGGTACTAAACTAACCCTACCCACAAGGAAAAGCATGTGGCCAAGATGGGCCACAATAATTGACCCAGAAATGATCATGCAACCTAAACCAGCCTACTTTAGGTCTTTCCTTGGAATTGTTCTGATAGAACCAGCAAGTGACCATGTTCTCTGCCATGTAAATAAAGTCCATTTACAACAGGAAAAAGTGAAGCCAAGCTGAAACAGAAGACAAAAGAAAAATAAAGAGAGAGAGAAAGGTAGAGAGAGAATCTAATGAAGTCAAGTGCCTGGTTCTATTTCCTAAGATCCACAATGCACCCTGGCTCCTGAAGCTTTTCTTTTGACTCTCTTAACTTTTGGTTCACTATATTCCCATTTCAGTCACTTGCAACTAAAAGAGTTATAACTAATATAATTCATTCCATTATAAATAAACTTCCTACAACTTCTGCCACTGCACCAAACATTCCCTCTCACCAGTTGCTTTAACTATATACCAGGCTCTCCCCTCAAAACACCAATCCCTTTCAGCCCTCTTAAATGAACATCTTTCCTCTGTCAAACTTTGTATGTCTTGAGGTGGGGCTAATAGCCTTCTCCCTCTCCAAACCATTCACTGCCCCCTATGCCTGAAAAAACCCTGTTCCTGCTGACATATTTCCTTGGGCCCTTATTACTGCTACTCTCCACTCATTCATTCTGTTAAAATAAGTAATTGGCTGAGTGCGCTGGCTCACACCTGTGATCCCAGCACTTTGGAAGACCGAGGTGGGTGGATCACCTGAGGTCAGGAGTTCGAGACCAGTCTGACCAACATGGCAAAACCCTGTCTCTACTAAAAATATAAAAATTAGCTGGGCATGGTGGTGGGAACCTGTAATCCCAACCACTCGGGTGACTGAGGCAGGAGAATCGCTTGAACCTGGGAGGCGGAGGTTGCAGTAAGCCGAGATCACACCATTGCACTCCAGCCTGGGCAACAGAGCAAGACTCTGTCTCAAAAATAAATAAATAAAATTAAAAAAAAAAATAAGTAATTGGGCAGTCATAAGGCCAATGAACACCTTAGGCTCCTACACAAACAAACTAAAACCCAATTCAATAGAAACAGTAAACAGACACTTAAGCTTAACCAATCACAAACCACCAACTTACCTCTAAGGACTTCCAACAGATTGTACCCAAATAAGGGAAATGTTTAGCTGGACCCAATCAAGTAATTCTTTTTTTTTTTTTTTTAGACAGAGTCTCACTCTGTCACCCAGGCTGGAGTGCTGTGACACAATCCTGGCTCACTGCAACCTCTGCCTCCTGGGTTCAGGCGATTCTCCTGCCTCAGCCTCCTGAGTAGCTGGGATTACAGATGCGCTCCACCACGCCCAGCTAATCTTTGTATTTTTAATAGAGATGGGGTTTCACCATGTTGGCCAGGCTGGTCTCGAACTCCTGACCTCAGGTGATCCGCCCACCTCAGCCTCCCAGAGTGCTGAGATTACAGGTGTGAGCCACTGTGCCTAGCCAAGTAATTTCTTTACTTGTTCAGCCTATAAAAGCCTGCTGCTCACACGGCTGAAACACAATTCTGTGAACCTCTTCTGGTTTTGAGTGCTGCCTACTTCGTGAAACCTTTAATGTTCAAGTAAACTCTGTTAAATGTATTTTGCCTGTAGTTTTTATTTTTAACAATTCAAAACAGAAACTTGGCTCACAGTTCTCCTTGCAGTGCCCTTCCTGAGTTCACCATCCACATGGAAGAACATCCACTGTCATTCTGTGACTGCCCTGTCTCTACTAGCCTCTCCTCCTACCTCCATCCTTTTGGTGTAAAAAGAAGTGTCCCTTCCTATGTAAAGTTCTAGTGGATTCCAAAGTTTAGAAACCTCTGTCCATCATTTTGCCCACCTCTTCCCCCTGTCTTCAGCCTGTTCATCTCTCCCCTCCTTACCATCTATTAATAAACATGCTCAACTGTGACATCACTCAAAAAACAAAAACAAAACCTACCTTGACTCCGTTATTCCTCTTTATTTACACACCCTGCTCTCTTCTCCCCTTCAAAGTTAAACTTCTTGAAAATATTCTCTCTACTTCCTGTTTCCATTTTTCACTTTGCATTCACCACTTACTGAAACTGGGCTCTCTTTCATCAGAGAAGTAGTACTCAGGCCCTGATGTGCTTGGTTAAATAGGGTGAGAAAGTCCACCTTGTGCTTGGGCTCCTTAAGCTTCTATAGGTCACAGGATTACATTCTACCCCTAGAGAGACACCTAAGTAGTGGTCAGATGGGTCACAGAATCTTCGTAGCCATTACCAACCAGCTCTCTCCGAATTGCCAGATCTACCTCTAAATGTGACATGCCATCTCCTGCCAGTCTTACATACTAGTAGCAACACTGTTTTATAAATTTGTTTTCTCGTTTCCATAGCAGCGAAGTGTATACTCAAGGAAATCATATAATTTCCAAGTATTAATGAAGTGGTTTTGCTTCCTCATGAAAATACAATTTCCTTCTCACCAGATGAGTACGATTTTATATTTTTAAACTCACTGTAAATGATATAACAATAGCATGTAAACAGAAAAATGATCTGTTGGGGTCTTTTTCATGGGCTTTGTGTTTCTACATAGGCAGCAACCAGTCTCTTGAATAGATCAGCAATGAGATAAGATTGAGAATCACTGCTCTCTGAAGAGTCAGAGTCTTCCTGGCAAGTACAGACCCTGCAGGACTGTTTACATGAGACAAGAATGGGTTTCTTTGCTGCACAGCGATGCACACTTGTAGTTCCAGCTACTTGGGAGGTTCTCTTGAGCCCAAGAGTTTAAGGCCAGCCTAGACAACATAGCGAGGCCCTGTCTCAAAAAACATCAAAAAGAATGGGTTTGGCAGGCATACAGATACCTGGACCTATGACCTTGGGCAAATTACTTAACATCTCTGAGCCTCAGCTTCTCTGTCTTTAAATAAAGACAACAACACCTATTTTATAAGATTTATGTGAAGACCAAATGATATATGTAAAGGCAAAATGCCTGGAATTTAATAAGCATGTAACAAACATTCGTTTCTTACTTTTCATCAATTTGTCCCCAAGGAGAGGTTGAAATCAAACAGTCCCATTTTAGTTCTAACTTATTTCTATTAGGTAATTTCTTGTACCTACTTTCACATCATCTCAGAACAGGTTTTTCATTCTTATACATGTCTTGTAAGGCCACATAAACACAACCTCATTGAGGGCAAAGATCATATTTCTGTTCTTTTATATTTCTCATAATTACAGCAACCTTGTACCACAAATTTTCCTGGATAGATCTAATCCCAAAAAGCTGCCTTCTGTCCTACAGTCATTAAAAGAATCCTGAGAATTTTAGGATCCAGGCTATGTTTGCCAAAGTCTTAACTTACTTGGAATGTGGCCTCCAGAGCTGAACACACATAAGAAATCAATCTGCCTGAGGGGTCCCTGGTGGGATAGCTCATCCCTGTAATCCCAGCATTTTGGGATGCCAAGGCAAGAGGATTGCTTGAGGCCAGGATTCTGAGACCAGCCTGGTCCCCATTCTAAAACAAAACAAAACGAAAAATCTGCTAAGGGAGGCCTCCAGAGCCCATGTGTCTTGGTAGGACCACTTTCCCCACCACCATGACCTACGCTTGGAGAATTTAATGGCAGCCACCTTTCACTATAAACTTAAGAGGCTAATCCTAAAAAAGAAGCTAAAATTATTATTAAACCTCCACATTCCCCTAAAAGACCTCAGGATCATTCTGTAATGCTTCAAAACTCTTTCCACCTTAGTCACCTCCAGAGTCAAACCTCCATTGTTATCCATCATCACCACAATCTCCTCCCCACAAAGCTCTATTCATCCTTTTATTTTGCTTAAGCCAAAAGCCCCTTCGCAGCCCCCAAACTCTTGCAGTGTATCCCCCAAAGCTCCAGGTGTGCCATCTACCAAATCCCCAACACCCTCTGCCTCTTTCTGAATGTTTTCTTCACCTTCTCGCTCAGAAACCTGGAGGCAGCTCTAACTGAAAACTGAAACCTGCTTCCCTGGAGCCTTCTCAAGAGGTGGCTGTTTCTTCCCTCCCACGCACCACATACCACAGAGCCTAGGGGTGGAATGGGTGTCTTTCATGGTCCTCATTGCTGCTGACAGACAATTCTCCTCCCTTGCTCAAAAACCCCAGCTTTTCTGGAAGTCCATGCCCTGAAACTACACCACCCACTACCCTCCTGTGGCAATCATCTGCCATCCTCTCAGGCTCTTCCTCATTTGCAGCAGATGTTAGTGCCCAGCTCCCTCACTGGCTCCCTTTCCATTCTTCTCCTTCACTCATTCTTGGTGATTTAGCATCCATGTGCTGAGCACCTTAGCCTCCTACTGCCTTGACTTCTCACTCTCAAAGCTCTCCTCCTCCATTCACCTCAGCTACCCACTCCCACCTTTCTACCCTGTGCATCTCATTGCCAGTGACTGCACAACCTCTGAAATCATTTCCAGCATCCCACTCTCTCACCACTTCCTCCTCAGCCAGCCCCCCTCCACAACAATTCTTCAGCCCCATAGGTGCCTCCAATTCAGAGGCCCTAGCACTATTTCTCTGTCCTCTGTCTCTGTCAGAGAACTGGCAAGGAATAGATGGCCCATTCAAAAGAATTTAGCTGGAGAGCACTTAATGAAGGGCTTATTCACAGAGGAGTAGCAGGTTGAATGAACCAACAAGGGATGGTGAAGTATGCGGGGAGTAAGAGCATGGGAAGCTATTACAACCAACAGCCTGAAGCGGCGGGGGAGAGAATGAGGTCCCTGGAGCCCACTTAGAGCTGAAACAGTAACAGAAAAGCTACCTGACACAGGCAGTGGCCACAGGAGAACAAACATAGTCACTGTTGGAACCATAGTAAGGCAAGGAGGGATGATGGGAGTATAAAGAAATCCCCAAACCCTCTGTTTTTTGGCTAGTGTCTTCCACAGACTTCCAGTCCCATTCCAATGGGAAGTCAAGGGCGAGGGAGCCCCAGTACTGCAGTCTGCAGACATTTGCCTTTCACAGCAGAAAAGGGTGGACTCTCAGGGCAGAGGGTGACAGTATAACAAGCATGACCACCACCTCATGGCCTTCACTTCATCACCCCTGCCCTCACCCTTGCACATCCTCCACATCCTTTGTCATACTGGCCTGGCAAAGCCCAATTCTGCCTTCTCCATACCTGTATCCAAACAGGGAGATATGCCTGGAGAAAATTATGTGGCTCTGCTTACTAGTCTCGCTTTAAATGTATGGCCCCAAATCTCAAGTGGGCCCTGCTGTCTGATTACATCCCTTTAATCTACTCACCCTCCACAGTTTTCCTCCATTCTCTTCTCAAATGTCATCACACTATCTCCACTCCTGATGATTTTGTTTCCTATTTTACTGAGAAAGCAGAAACAATCAGAAGCAGACAACTTCATCTTGCCATTATCAGCCTACCCCTAAATTCTGCCCTCTATCTGGTTGCTGTGGGCACCCTATCTTGTCACTGTGGTCAGCTGTGCACTACATGCCATCAACTCTGAGCTGCTCAAGGACTTTGCTTCTGCAAGCAACTCCTGTAGAATAAATCTTTCTTATAGATCATTCTCATCTGCATGCAAATACATCATAATATAGCTCATCCAAAAAGAAAAGCAAAACCCTTCCCTACACCTCTCTTCACCACGTGCCCATTACTCCGCCTTCCCTTGCAGGGAAATCCCCTCAAATGAGTTGCTTATACTCATGCCTCCATCTTGCCATTTCCCATTCTCTCTTGAACCCACTCCAGTCAGCCATTTGTTTCTACCATTTCCAAAGAAAATACTGTCTTAAAGGTCACTAGTGACTCCATAAGAGTCAGGGTCCTAGCAGAAGCAAATGGCATGTTTAAATTGGATGATTTGGGGAAATTTGTATAAAGGCACTCTCTTCAAGCGTGTGGGTTCGGGTAAGGAAACGGCAAATGATACTGCAGTACCCCAAGGCTATAAACAATAGGGTCCCTGAAGGAGCAAGACAGATAATTACCAAAGCCCAAGAGAGATTTGTGGAGAGAGGGTCTCCTGACAGAAGCCAGGACCTTCTGTGGAAGATAGCAAGAGTGCAGGGTAGGAGCCCACAGTGCATGACAGGGCACTGTCGCGGTCCAAGGACTCATCATCTCCATCCAATGTGGAAATCCTCAATGGGAAGTCTCTGTGCTGGAGCTCTACACACAAGGCTGGCCAAAACTTTCTCAGCTGCACCTCAGTCTGAGGCTCTTCCTGCCTGATCCTTCTTCCTTCCTTTCACAGGGATCAGATCTACATTACAGCCTGAAGCTTTTCCCTGTTAACTCCCCTCCCCTTTAATTTTCACAAATGTTATTGCCAATAAGTCTCTTATGCTTCTAACTCCTTCTTGGCATCTATTTCCTGGACAACCCAAACTAACATAACCACACAACCTCCATCTTACCAAACCCAGTGGTCACTAGGCGCAATGGCTCACACCTGTAATCCCAGCACTTTGGGAGCCTAAGGCGAGTGGATCACAAGGTCAGGAGTTCGAGACCAGCCTGACCAACATGGTGAAACCCCATCTCTACTAAAATACAAAAATTAGCCAGGCCTGGTGGCACGTGCCTGTAATCCCAGCTACTCAGGAGGTTGAGGCAGGAGAATCACTTGAACCTGGGAGGCAGAGGTTGCAGTGAGCTGAGATCGTGCCACTGCACTCCAGCCTGGGCAACAGAGCGAGATTCCATCTCAAAAACAAACAAACAAACAACAACAACAAAAACCCAATGGTCATCTCAAGTCCTATGGCTGGCCAGAGTATGATATGTTTAAGCAGCTGAAAGAAGACCAATGTGGTCTTCTCACAAAGGAGTGAAAAATCACCAGATTCTAAGGTTTGAAAGGACCAATTTCAGTTTAAAAACTGACATTAGTAGAGCAATTCATTTCCAAATGACCTAGAACACTTCTACTGCACCTTGCACTGTCTCTTTGTAAATATCCATCACATTGGTCATTGTTTACTGTCTGTCTTCTATTCCAGGTATGCGTTTCAAGAACAAAGACTAAATCTGTCTTGTTAATAATTATATCCTACAACTCAGGACTTGCTTGGTGCATTGCAAGTCTTCTTTAAATATATTTAAAATGAGTAACTTTGTAGAGCCATATATCATTTTTATGTTTGTTTCTTGGTTAAACTATCTTAAGGTTTTATTCTCATTTATGTGAGGTATTTTTTCTTTTCATTCCCTCAATAAATAATGACCACTAAATATTTGACAGTATAGCACCAGGTAGTAGGAGCTGGAAAAATGAAACAACTCCCAGTTCCTGAGGAGTACCAGTCTAGTGGGAAGACAGACTTGCAAACAATAGAAGATAGTATGATTATTGCTAAAATGAAATTATGTACAAAATACAAGTGAGTCCTCATAGACCCAAGTGTAAGAGCTAAAACCATAAAACTCTTAGAAGAAAACACAGGAGTAAATCTTTGGAATCTTGGGTTAGGCACTGATTTCTTATATAGGACAACAATAGCAAGTGATTAAAGAGAAAACAGGTAAGTTGGACTTTGCTGAATTAAAAACTTTTGTGCTTCAAAGAAAACCATCAAGAAAGTAAAAAGACAGACTGAAAGAAAATATTTTCAAATCATATATCTGCTAAGATCTAGAATCTATCTTTTATTTTTTAAAATAAATTACAGAA
Organism: Homo sapiens; assembly: GCF_000001405.40. Lineage (NCBI taxonomy): Eukaryota > Metazoa > Chordata > Mammalia > Primates > Hominidae > Homo > Homo sapiens. The sequence continues at coordinate 70,611,619 of NC_000008.11, read as the reverse complement.
CAACATGGACATATAGAATAGATATTTTTAAACCCTTACAACTCAATAAACTTTAAAAAATTAATCCAACTTAGAAATGATAAAGGATTTGAATAGACATTTCTACAAAAAAAGATATACAGATGGCTTCTGAGCACCTGATAAGGCTAGTAGTCAATATCATTAGTGCTCAGGGAAATGCAAAGCAAAATCACAATGAGATATTACTTCACACCCACTAGGACAGATAAGATTAAAAGACAGAAAATAAAAGTATTGGCAAGGATGGGAAGAAATTGGAACCTCTACACATTGCTAATAGGATGGGAAATAGTGCATTCACTTTGGAAATTAGTGTGAGAGTTCCTCAAAACGTCAAACATAAAGTTGCCTTATGATCAGCAATTCCACTGCTAGGTATATACCCAAAGGAATTGAGTTCAAACAAAAACTTGTACACAAATGTTCATCAACTGATGAATAAGATGTGCTATAGCCATACAATGGAATATTATTTGGCCATAAAAAGGAGTGAAGTACTGATACATGTTACAACATCGATGAACCTTGGAAACATTATCTTCAGTGAAAGAAGTCAGTCACAAAAGATCATGATTCTATTTACATGTAATGTCCAAGCTGGCCATGGTGGTTCACACCTGTAATCCCAGCACTTTGGGAGGTGGGAGAATTTCTTGAGGCCAGGAGTCCAAGGTTGCAGTGAGCTATGATCATGCCACTGTACACCAGCCTAGGCAACAGAGCAAGACCCCATCTCAAAAAAAGAAAGAAAAGAAACAAAGAAAGAACAAAAAGAAATGTCCACAATAAGCAAATATAGAGAGGTAGAAAATAGGTCAGTTGTTGCCAAGGGCTGCCAAGACTATGAGGGGAAATGGAGAGTTACTGGTAATGTGTATAAGGTTTCTTTTAGAGATTACAAGAATGTTCTAAAGTTATATTATGGTGATTGTTGCACAACTTTGCAAACATACTAAAAACCACAGAATTGAATATCTCAAATAGCTGAACTATATGACATAAATTATACTGCAATAAAACTATTTCAAAAATGCAATTGAATCATAAAAGATAAATTGCTTAGGTCACAGAATTCAGTGAAGCTTTCGAAGAGGTCATGTGTAAATGAGACATGAAGGAACAGCAGGAGCCTGCTGTGTCTATGAAAGGACAGGAGAAAACATTCCAGACAGAGACAGCAGTACACGCAAAGGCAGGGGAGAGCATGGGAAGAGAGCATGTCATGGCATGTACAGTCGTCCCTCAGTCTTCACAGGGGACTGGTTCCAGGGCCCCCGCGGATACCGAAATCCACCCATGCTCAGGTGCCTTATATAAGATGATGCAATATTCTGGTAAAGAATATCCTAAATCCTCCCACAGACCTCCAATCATTTCTAGATTACTTATAATAACACAACATAACTGCTAAATAAATAGTTGGCTGTACTATATTATTTAGGGAATAATCATGGGGGGGTAGTCTGTAGATGTTCAGTACAAATGCAGTTTTTTTCTTGAATATCTTTTACTCCAGGTTGGTTGAATCCACAGTGTATGCGGCACCCACAGATATGGAGAGGCAACTGTATAGTGTGTGTAGTCAATAATGCTGGTACAGAGATTATGGCCTGTAGATGCAGGGCTCCAGTCTGTTGGGGTAGGCAAGGACCAAATCAGAAAGGGCTATTTCATCATGCTAGCTTTCCATGAAGGGAAAGGGAACCCGCTGAAAAACTTTCTGCCAGTAGAAGCATCATTCTAGTATAAACGTTGAAAGGTGATCTGAAGGGAAATGAAACTAGTGATTGCCCAGAAGGAGGAAAAGAATAATCCCTGACTAAATTTATAAAGCCCTTACTCCCCGCTAAGCAGTTTCCTTCAATCATCTCATTTAATCACTAAAATGAGCAATAGTTATCCCCACTTTATAGATGATATCCACAGGGCTTGCTCCCTCACCTCCTGCAGGTCTTCAGGCAAGTATAAGTGCCTCGCACTTTCCTATTCCCCTTGCTTTATTTTTCTCCTGGTTGCTCAACTCAATTTAACATCTGTTTCGCTTTTGAAATCTTGTTTAAAGATTCTCTCCCACACTAGAATGATAAGTCCCTAGGAATAATTTAATTTGTATTTCAGTTCTGTATCCCCAGTGCCCAGGACACAGTCAACCCTCAGTAAGTACATAAATGAATACATTTTTAAAAATGAGGAAATCGGGTCCCATAGAGATTAAGTAACTTGTCCTTGATCGTACAAGTAATAAGTGGCAGAATTCTGATTTAACAACCCACATTCTTAAACCACTAAGTGGTTACACCAGAGTTGTAATATTGTAGGCAAGAGGCAAGTACCCTCGGACTGCGGTAGTGGGGAAGCGGGGTGATAGGTCTGCCTCGAATTGGTGATGACTGGATGTGGAAGGGCGCTGAAAGGGCTCAATCTAGCATGACTTTGGTTTCTACATTTGGCTTATGGGTAAACAGGAGAGCAATTCTTCAGGAAAAAGAATACAAAGGACTCCAGGTTTGGGCAAAACGATAAGAGGAGGACGTGTCTTAATCCACGATCCTTTTTAACTCTTTTACTATTTCCCTTAGATTACTAAAACATGTTGTTAATTTGAATATATGTGAAGCCAGTAAACCCAAACTGATCCCTTCGTCTTCAGTCTGAGGCCAGTGGGGGATAGGGGTGGGGATGGGGACGGGGATGGGGGTGGGGACGGAGAGGCAGACCAGAATAGGGTCAGCTCTTTTTTTTTTTTTAAGTTAGTCCAAACTTACCAAGAGTAGAAATAAGTCCCCAGCAGTGCTTAACTCTGAGGTAATTTTTAAGGCAGATGCTAAAACTGGAGAATACACCGTACCCTTGTGGAGTCAGGTAGTATTCGTAGTTTTAGATTATCCTGACGGTGTTAGTCACTTGTAGAAGTGACAATGTGCAACAGGCCACTGACACCCAATCCCTGGATGGCCAGGAGGGCAGGAGGGCACCCGGCCGCGGCCTCAGGCTGCTGAGCAGGCGCAGGAAGCTCGCGCCTCAAACGACTCCCAAACCCGGGCCCGGCGCGAAGCAGGGAAGCGCCGCTCACATTCCTGCACGCTCGCCCGGCCGCGGGCCAGCGGCCTCCGGTCCCCAGGTGGCGCTGTGGGCTCGCGGAGGCGGCCGCGGCACCAGGGAGCGTCGTCTCCCTGGTGCGCATGCTCGCCCCCGCTGCGGGCTAGCTGTTGTGTTTTTTTTTTTCCCCCGGGCGGCCCGGCGGCTGCGTACTGGCTGTGGGATGGGAAGTGAAGCCCCAGCGAGCGGCTGCAGCGGGGCCGTGAGGAGCAGCCAGCGGGAGGCGGCGGCGAGTCGGTGAGCAGCTGGGAAGAGCAGAACCGGGGCGGAGCACCTGCAGGCGCGGGCGGCGGCCCCACCATGGCGATTCGCAAGAAAAGCACCAAGAGCCCCCCAGTGCTGAGCCACGAATTCGTCCTGCAGAATCACGCGGACATCGTCTCCTGTGTGGCGATGGTCTTCCTGCTGGGGCTCATGTTTGAGGTGAGCCCGCCCCGAGTCCCAACCGCCTGCCCCGCCACCTCCAGCCCGGGCCCGGGCTCCAGATGCCAGCCCCGGCTTCTCCGCCCAGGACGCGGGGGGCTCGGGCCCGGGGTGGGTGCAGACCCCCAGTCCCTGAGGTGCAGGCCTTCCCTGCCCTGCCCCACGTCGGCGGCAGCTCCCCGGCGGCCGGCCCGGAGATGCAAAGTCCCGGTGGGCCTCATCGCGGCCCGCAGGGGGTGGGGACCGCCGCGTCGCCCCCTTCCTGACCCGCCGCCGCCCCCTCCCGCAGGCTGCGCGGCGCAGTTCCTGGTTCCCGCGAAGGGTTACGTGGCAGCCGGCGAGGGGCCTGCGGGCGGGGGCGGCCCCTGCGCTGCCGAGCTGGCTCGGGGCGGGTGGGCGGACTTGGGGGGACTGCCAGCCTCGGCCGCGGTGAGCGTCAGCCCCGCGAGGGCCGGGGAAGGCCGAGGCCCGGCCCCCGGGTCTGAGGAGTGCCGGCCTGGAGACCACAGGCCCCGAGTGACAGGGGAGCCCCCGGTAGCTCCGAGATTGGGGTGAGCGAGAAACCGGAGTCAGGCATCTGCTTTCGACTTGAAGGGCGGTGGCCGCCGGGCACCGGCGCAGTGGAGGCGCGCCAGATTGTTTTCATTTTTGTCTTTTAAACTGATATTATTACCAGTTAACGAACTTTTTGCCCTGACGCTTTAAAGAAACAAGGTCTGATGGATAAATCGAGGTTCTGAACAGCGGTGCCAAGGAATCGAGTAATTTTGTTTCTTGAAGTAGGAGAGGATGGGAATGTCAGGAGTGTGTAAATTCTCTTCCCACGTATCTAGTATTTTGATGACTTATTTAACAGCTGTTGAATGTGGATGATAAACTTTGCAAGGTGAACGAGTAACATCCTACGTTTTTCCCCTCGCTCCCCAATACACACGCTCATTCCTTTGCTTTTTTCCCTTTTTAATTTTTCTCTGGAGCCTTTATGTCTCAGTAAATATACAAATTATTTTGCTCCTGCCTTGTTTTGTCTCCTCTCTCCTGCATGTAACAAGTGAGAGTAGAGATTTTGGAGTATTTTTACGAGTCTGTATTTCCAGAGTCTAGGATAGTGCCTGGGACATAGGAGTGCTTAAAAAAAGATGAGCGACGTTAAGAATCCTTGAGAAAACCTAATGGAATGATATTACCAGTGACCAAAAGGTGAATACATTTTCTTTTTAATGGAGCATATTTGTTTTTTTTTTTAATTTTAAAATTAAATAATATTTTAACCTTATTTTCGCCTCTCATCAAATGGGCTTTTCTGGATCTAGATACAGATATTATTTACTCCTGATTGTGTCATGCATGTTTGAAACCACTGCTAAGGAGGTAGCAGGTATAGTTAAAGGGTAGGTAGAAGGAAACTAACATTCTCAAGCTTTAAGTCTGGGCTGTGCCACCTACCTACTGGGTGACCCAAGTCTGAGCCTCAATTTTTCTGCTCTTTATCAGGAAATAATATCACCTGTACTGTTCTCCTCACAGCCATTTTTTGCAAGTATCAGATGATATGGTGTGAAGGTAAATACAGTGCTAGGCCTGGTGCTCTGGCTTATGCCTGTAAACATCCCAACACTTTGGGAGGCCAAGGCAGGAGAATCACTGGAGCCCAGGAGTTCGAGACCAGCCTAGGCAACATAGGGAGACCCTGTCTCTACAAATGATTTTTTAAAAATTAGCCAGGAGTGATAGATAGCACGCACCTGTGGTCTCAGCTGGGCGGCTGAGGTGGGATAATTACTTGAGCCCAGGAGGTGGAGGCTGCGGTGAGCCAAGGTTTCACCACTGCACTCCAGCCTGAAGGACAGAGCAAGAAGACCCTGTCTCAAAAAAAACCCAATGTTAAACATTTGTATTCACTTTCTGAATTTGATACTTGCATGTACTTTCTGCTTTGACCTTAAAGTAGTACTTTAATATATGTAGTATATTCAATTTTCTGTAACTTGTCATAAACCATCTCCACATGGTAAGAATTCCTGACTTTAAAAACATATTTTAGGGGTACTGTGACCTGCAAGGTATATTTGCAGTGCTTTGAATGAAATGAAATATAAATCAGAAATTCTGACACATAGTATAACTTTGATTTTATATAAACTATTTTACATTCTCTTACTATATTTCTAGGGAAGTCCACCACCTATACCTTGCCTCACATGTTAGTGATTTTTTTAAACAGTGGATTTTCACCTTTATATAAATTTATAAAATTTGAAAATCTAAATAGACAAAAATACTAAATAGAGGTTTTTAAGTCAATTCAAAAGTGAGTGTTAAAGTGATACACAAAAGTGAAGTTTGTGCGAGTTCTTCCTTTTTCTTACCATATATTAAGGTGTTAGGATTTCAAAGCATGTTATCTATATATAGGACTTTGTAGACTAGGTTAGTTTTGCTATTCGACTTTTAAAACAATTGCTGCTGAATCTCAAAGTTAACATAATTATAGAATTACAGTACTTGTGCTAGAATAATAGAGAAATTGATTTTTTTTTGCAGAACTGTTAAGCCTGTTGTGCAGATACATTGAGGAAATGTCAGAGGATTTATGGTGACATTGACAAAGAAATTCAGAAAGAAAGAAATACTGTATTACTAGCCAAAATGAAGAAGCAATGGAGATACACTGTAAAAGCATGGATTCTGGAGCTGAAGGGATTCATGTTCAAGTTAGGGCTCTGCAGCTTGCTAACTGGGTGACCTAGGGCAGCTCAGAACTGAAGTTTCCTCATCTGTAAAATGGGGCTTATTGGGTTACTCTGACAAATTAACCAATTTGTATTATGCCTAGTTCAATACTTGACTTCCAAAAGGTGTGCAATAAGTGGTAGCTATTATTATTCTTTAAAAACTCACCAAAATTGGGAAATAGAAAGCATTTTTATGTGAGAGAAGGGCCTGGAATCTCTTTAGTTAGCATCTAAAGAGATTATACATACTGAAAAGGCTAACAAAGTAGTCTGTTTGGCAGTAATGTAAGAGTTTAATTTCCAGGGAACTTCACATTAATCAAAAATTGCTTGTAAATTTTGGAATCATAGTTTTATTACAGTAAATATCTGTCCACATAATTCAAATCATAGTATACAATGAATGGCTTCATATTTGAGTTAGGAAAAATTGAATGGTCAAAAAATGTTAGGGATGCTTGGGAAGCTTTCTGAAAGTGAGTATGTGGAGGAGGGGTGAAGAATTAGGGGTTCACAAGAGAAGTATTTCTTTTAAGGAGTGTATAAAGGAAAGATATTCAAAAGGAAATATATTCAAAAGGAAAGATATTCAAAATCTGCAAGTTCTTTATGCCATACAGATTTTGGGGACGTTTACAATTTCAACAATCTTGAAACAGTTTTCAAGGTTTGGGTTTTTTTTTTCTTTCCTTTTTTTCTTTCTTTTTATGACAGGTAAGGTGCTCAGGTCAGAACAAAGTTTGAGGGAGAGACACATCTCACATATAAGCGTGAAACCCCAATCATCACACTTGTGAACTACAAAAGGGTCTCTCTTTTTTTTGAGACAGGGTCTTGCTATGTTGCCTTGGCTGGAACTTGACCTCCTGGGCTCAAGTGATCCTCCCCTCTCGCCACCTGAGTGGCTGGGACTACAGGCACGTGCCACTGAGCCCCACTGGAAGTGGAATTTGATATTCAGAATTGTCTTTACTTTTCAAGGATCCAGTCCATGTAGTGACTGGTCACATCTTCCTCTAAAACAAGTGCAAAGTAGTTAACATCTCTATATAACAAGAAAGATACCAAGCCCCAACCGGTGACATTTAATTAAAGAAATGTTGTATTTATGACATTGCATACAGCATAGAATTAGGTAATTCATTACAGTTTCTGGTAACCTATTTAAGATGCATCTGAATAAGTCTCTTTTTTCATTTTTCCATTTTTGTAAATGGAGAGCAGCTCTGTAAATGTTCAAACTGTCATAAACTCAGGTATTTTTACTTTCGAGTGCATTATATATTTCTGTAGCCTATTTATATTCTAAACTAACTTATCTTACTACTAATTAATTGTGGTGTGAGTTTAACTGCAGCAATGCTAGCAGGGTGTGAGGCTTAGGAGGCCTGGAAATGGCTAGGAGCAAGACTGCTAGCTTAAACTTGAAACTTTTTGGAGTGTGTAGTTTACATTTTTCCTCTTCTTCTTCTATTTAAACTCACATGCTAAACCAGCTGGAGGTCAAATTTTAATTTTATTTGGAAGCCTGGCTAAAAGGATAATCTAATTTTTGCTGCTTTTAGAATTTGATGCTAAATTTATCTTTGAAGAATCTCATTTGTTGTTTGTAAAGGACTCTTTTTGAGATGGAGCCTCACTCTGTCACCCAGGCTAGAGTGCAATGGCGTGATCTCAGCTCGCTGCACCCTCCGCCTCCTGGGTTCAAGTGATTCTCCTGCCTCAGCATCCTGAGTAGCTGGGATTACAGGCTCCCGCCACGATGCCCAGCTAATTTTTGTATTTTTAATAGAGATGAGGTTTCACCATGTTGGCCAGGCTGGTCTTGAACTCCTGACCTCAGGTGAGCCAGCCACCTTGGCCTCCCAAAGTGCTGGGATTACAGGTGTGAGCCATCACACCTGGCCTGTAAAGGACTCTTTAACAAAGTGTTCTTAGGTGTGACAGTGGTGACTTCATATTACAAACTGGAAACAGGGATGTGGAGTGTTTGTGTGTAAAACAGATTGTGTGTGTGTGTGTGTGTGTGTGTGTGTGTATAAAACATATATATAGTGTGTATATATAGATATATATTGTTTAGACTATATATATATATAAAAAATCTAAACAAAGATAGCAAAACTAAATGAAATGTAGTGACCACTCAACTTTACTAAAAATAATCACATGAAAGTAGTGTTGCCCTGGAGACTCATGTCATCGTTCTGCTCTAATGAGTCCTTGTTAATGACCCAAATTTTAATAGAGTAGCCTTAGTAGCCTTTTCTACTCAAGAGACCTTCATATCTAACCCAGTTCGGCAACTCACTTTACTGGCCGTATCCTGCAGTTTGTCATGCAAGCCTGACTTCTTCCACTTCCTGAATTCTAGGATAACAGAGTTCAGCTACAACCTACGTTTTGTTCACCTCCCTCATTCTAGTACTCATAAGTCAGTGCTCTACCTAGTCCAAGCTTTTGTGGTACCACGGCCCCCTTTCCCTTTCTCCAGTATATTAGCCCCCTCATTGTTTTGCCTTTCTTCCTGCAATCTTTACTCCACTATTGGCCTTTTCGGTGCCTCTCAATTCCCAGAGAAAGTCATACTCATGCTAGTAGATAATATTGCAAATCAAAGGTTTCTAACCTCAGACATTCGCATCCGGTATCTTTTTACTTTCCCTGGCCATCTCCTTTCCCTATGGGAACTATATAAATAGTCACCATTCATGTCCCCATTATGCTTAATATGTGACATTGCTTTTTTCTCACACAGGGAAAATAAAAGTTTATCAAGCACGGATTTCCTCATTTTCCTGTCTTTTGAAGTTATGTGTCCCATCCATTACTGCCTTCTTCCCATCTAAGAGGAAAAGTTGTTCAAGAGTGCAATACTCAGTCCTTACAATTTTGTTCCCTGTCATATGCCTCCATCCGTTATTCTCTTTCTATCCTGTGTGTTTAACTTCTCCCTTTTCCCTGTTGCCTTCACTGTTGCCCCCACACAAGCTCAATCTCTCCTATCCTGAAAACAACATAAAATTTGACCTGGCATCTACTGGATACCACCTTGTGCCTCTGTGTTCTTCAGTCCACTGCAATGCAGCTCCTGCTCTCACTACTTAGTTGGAATCACTCAAGCTGTGACCACTGATGACTTCTTAAATTGTCCAGTCTATCGTTCTCTTTCCTCCCACATCTCTTTTGAAACTTTTGACTTTATTAACCACACCTTTTAGAAATGTTTCCCCTTTGGCTTTTGGGACTACAAGCTCTTTTTATTTCTTTCTCTGTCTCTCTAACCATTTTTTCTTAGTTTCAGTGACTTGAAGTTTTGCTTTTTTCCCTGTTCTCTCCATGGGTCTGATGTTGTCCTACTTCTCTACAAATACTGTGCACTCTCCATATATGATTTATGTATTTTCACAGCTTCAGCTATTATCTGTAGAAAGAGACTCCCAAATCTTTATTTAAGCTAGGTTCTCCCTACTGAGTTCTAGACTTAGGTTTTAGCTGCCTTACTGCTCATCTCCCAGAAATCTCAGCTGTAGGCATCAATAAATAACCTTGTACTCTTTCTTCTAGCTTACCAAACCTTATTTTGCCTTATGAGTGCCTCCTGTATCCCACAGTCACTGTCTTAGTTCAGGTCTCATTATCTTTCATGTGGTCTCTTGCAGAAGTTTCATTCTTGGCTGCATGCTCACTCCGGTTTGTACTTTTAACTGATATTTATTCAGCGATATTGATTAATTACCTAATATGTACCAGGCCCCATGCTGGGCTCTGAAATATAGTGATGAGTGGAAACAGGCATGATCCCAGTTCTAATGGAGCTTACTTTCTAATGGGCGAGACAGAAATTATTAATATAATCAACCAGAGTATGCCTTTGAAGGAAAGGAACACAGTTCTCTGAGATAATCTAACAAAGGAAATGACCTACTCTAGGAAGACAGGGAGACTTCCTTGAAAAGGTGTAATGCAACTGAGATCTGATGGGAAATATTTTCCGACCGTATTTTAGATAGAACAGCATGTGCAGAGACCCTGTGGTAGAAGGTGCTGCAGAGGCAGAGAGAGGAGTCAGACCATAGAGTCCTATGGTCACATTCTCCTAGAAAGATGGGAATCTAGTGAAGGATTTTTAGCAGGTAGGGAGGGGGATGTGGTAACATGATGAGAAAATCATTCTAGTTGCAATATGGAGAATGGATCTGAAGGGGCCTGGGATACCACTTAGCAGGTCACAGAGAGCAATCCTTCTAAAAGGCATAAATGAACTTTCCCGTCCTCAACATTCTCCACTTGTGCGAAAGTGAAATCTAAACTACTTAGCTCAAAAAACAGAGTCCTTTCTAGCACTCAATAATGTTTCTAGTCTTTTCTAACGCTTCCTGATGTGCATCCTGTGCCTGGCCTTGTGTTCACTGCTACTTGATCTTGCCACGCTCTGTTTCTTCTATCTGTACTGTCCTCTTCATCCCCCTTTGTGAACCTAGGGAACACCTATTTTCCAGCAAAACACAGCTCCTTCATTTCATTCCACCCCAGAAAAAAAACCAACAAAGCTCATTGTTTATCCCAAGTACCCACAGTGCAAGCTATTGGCACTTATTCTACAGTATTATAACAGTTTATTTACCTGTACTTTTCACACCACGGAGCTCCTTGTCATTAGGGATTATTTTATCCATCTTCATCTCGTCCTTTTTTGTCTAGCACTTTGCCTGGTGCCTGTAAAGATTGGGTAAGCATTCCATTTTTCTGCTCTGACCAGTTTACTTTTACCAGTAGTCAGGTCAGTTAAACAGTTATTGACCACTTAACTCTGCTGGGTGTGTGGGATACTAACACACCCACACCACAGACCCTATATTTGATCTGCTTTTCTCATGCTAACTGTGCTTCTCTTTATTTTATTAATTTACACTTGAAATTTGTCTTAATAGGAACTTTTTATTCATTGTATAGGGCTAGAGTAGAGAATCATCATTTGTCAAATAACTGTTTTCTGGAACTGCAGAAAATGTCTTTTGAAATCTTAAAATTAAGGATGAATTACACAATTTTACCTAAACCGCAGAAGAGTACTCTAGTGAATTACATTAGCTCCTTGGCAATCAGTAATTTCCATTGTGTCTGTCAGGATTCCACAGGAACGAGGAGGCCCTTGGTGCTTCGATTTAGGGACAGATTTTATAATGTTTTTGCCCCGATCTGTTATTTGGGAGAGGGTCACAAATTGACTTGATCTTTGTTTTTCCTTCTTTGTAGATAACGGCAAAAGCTTCTATCATTTTTGTTACTCTTCAGTACAATGTCACCCTCCCAGCAACAGGTAGGTAATTTACGCTAAGAATTTTCTACGTAAATAGAAGTTCAGTTGAACAAACTTGGAAATTTTCATGAATGCTAGGTCCTGCGTTAATTAATCGTCAGAGATCTCATCCATGATGTGACTGAATGTTATTGTGATGATTTTATAATACAAGATCTGATGTTTTTGATTGACTTTACCCTGTATATGTTTTCTGTTTACTATATATTTTTGTGAATGGACTTGAAATTCCATAAAATAATTTTGTTTTGCTTTCTCTGCTTTCTGATTTTTTCCTAAGAAAATTATAAGAAAAGATCTTTTTAAAATTGTTTAAATGTCATTGTTCATTCAAGACTTCTAAAAGCACAATGGCAGATTTAGTTTTTCTGTAAGTTACATTTTGGACCTGTAATAGCAATCAATCCTTCTAAGATTATTTTCACTTTTTCCTGTGCTCTACTTTTAACAATTATTTTGATTCCAGAAAATGTGTTAGTAAGCTCTAGGAATTATCTGGTAATAGCATCCAAACTATTAGGTTTTATTTCAAAAATCTTATTTCTTAATCTATGTAAAAATTAGGTGTTTCTTGGAAGTTGATTGTAATTTAATACAGTGATATAATTAACTAGCATGGGTGAGGGATGGGGTATTTTTTGGTTGAGGCAGTAAACCTGCACAGTTTTTTATTTAGAATGTAAGATAATATAGTATACCACATTTAGTTGGGGTTTTTTGTTGTTGTTGCTGTTATTTATATGTGTGTTTTTAAGAGATGACAGGGTCTTGCCAAATGTGTTACCTAGGCAGGAGTGCTGTGGCGTGATCGTAGCTCACTGCAGCCTCCAGCTTCTGGGCTCAAATGATCCTCCCAGGTCAGCCTCCCAAGTAGGTGGGACTACAAGGGCACACCACCACGCCCAGCTAATTTTTCAATTTACTATAGAGATGGAGTCTCACTATACTACCTAGGTCAGTCTTGAATTTGGGCCTCAAGCAATCCTTGCCTCCCTAAGTGTTGGGATTACAGGGGTGAGCCACTGCATCTAGCCCCTGAGTTGGGTTTTTGTTCAGTTATGTACAGTTTTGTAAATATTTAATTTAGTGATTTAGTTATCAGGTTACTCAAAACTACAATACTGTTTTGAAATTTGAATATGCCAGAGAAGAATAAAGCTCTTTTATGTATATGTTCCCCATAAACATAAAGTTTGAGAATAAGTGTCAGCAATTCACAAGTATTTGATAAAGATTTGTTTTGAAAAATTATAGCAATTGCAAGGATTAAAAACAACTTTAGTAGTTGCCTTTATCTCTGCTGCTTATAGATCAAAACTAAATCAAATACAGGTCAAATCAGCTTTTTCATCAGAATCATAATTTAGTGTGTAGTTAGAAAGTAGAAGTAGAAAGTTTCAAAAGCCCTTTGAAAAAAATAGGTCAGTAGGCTAAGTATAACTTTATCAACCTAATTTATACCCCTGGGATAATATCAGTTTATTGAGTGTGGCCTCCTCTTCCCTGTTTTTTGGTCTTTGGTGGCTGTGACTAACATGTGTCAAGTCTTTGTAAGTAATTTCTAAAGCTTTAGATTTCTAGATAGTTTTGATTTTCATTGCCCCTCTAAGACTCAAGATGTCCAAGACCACGTTATTTATGATGTTAATATAGAACTTTTTTATTAGGTTATTCTTCTTTGTTTCCATAACTATGTTGTACTTAATGCTGTTTTTATAACCTTGTGTATATTTTTGTGTATTTGTGTCCTTTTTGGTCTTCAGAAGAACAAGCTACTGAATCAGTGTCCCTTTATTACTATGGCATCAAAGATTTGGCTACTGTTTTCTTCTACATGCTAGTGGCGATAATTATTCATGCCGTAATTCAAGAGTATATGTTGGATGTAAGTATGCAGTCTTAGAAATCTATACTTTATAAAGTACTAGCTCTCCATAATCTGCTAGTCATATATTAAATATAATTTATAATTTATTCTTAATTACTAATGGCTGTTTTTATTTTTAGAAAATTAACAGGCGAATGCACTTCTCCAAAACAAAACACAGCAAGTTTAATGAATCTGGTCAGCTTAGTGCGTTCTACCTTTTTGCCTGTGTTTGGGGCACATTCATTCTCATCTCTGTAAGTATGTCCTCTTAGGTTGTTGTTCTCCTTCCTTATCTAAGATTAGAAACTCTGCTAATGAAATAGTATTAAGTTAAGAGTTTCAGTGATAAATCTGTTTTAGGTATTTTTTTATACAGCAAAAATTCTAAACTATGTTTACTGTTTCAGAAAGGCTTATTCATTTTTAGTCACTCTGAATGTTACTTTTATATCTTTCTTTTTTTTTTTTTTTTTTTTTTTTGAGACAGAGTCTCGCTCTGTCTCCAGGCTGGAGTGCAGTGGCATGATCTCGGCTCACTGCAACCTCCGCCTCCCGGGTTCAAGCGATTCTCCTGCCTCAGCTTCCCAAGTAGCTGGGACTACAGACGCACGCCACCACGCCCAGCTAATTTTTGTATTTTTAGTAGAAACAAGGTTTCACCATGTTGGCCAGGATGGTCTCGAACTCCTGACCTCGTGATCCACCCGCCTCGGCCTCCCAAAGTGCTGGGATTACAGGCTTGAGCCACCAAGCCCGGCCTTACTTTTGTATCTTATAGTGGTTTACAGATACCTCTGTATCAGCAAAAAGCGTAGGTTACATGAGTTGTAATGTTCACAGTCATTTCCTCCTTTAAAAACAGCCCCAGTGTTTTCCAAGCTTCTTAAATGTTGTATAACTTTTCAGTTATGGCAATCAAAACCTTTAGTTGTATCACTCTAACTAATGAGAAAAAGAAAGGCAGTATTTGCTTTAATATTAGTGATAACAATCCCTTAAATTTATATGGTGTTCCATAGTTTACATACTTTTGAGTTTGTCAGACACATAATTCTTTCTAATCACTGTATTAGAGATGAATAACAGTGAGTTTTCCAGGGTAAAGCACTTCATGTTGGAAGTAGACTAAAACTCAGCTTTTTATTCCATTGCTCATTCCATTTTACTGTGCTGCTTTAATAATACTTTATAGGTAATATGTAAATTTTAGTTTAAAAACTATTATACATTTTTTTAAAAAAACATAAAAGTTATACTTCTGTGGGAAAATACTCTTACAAAAATCACTTTAGATTTTATTTATTTTTTAATCTTTTTTTTTTTTTTTTTACATATGCAGTAATTCTCACTGAGTAGATCTGATTATCTAAGAAAAAAATTGGGGCAGTATTTTATTGACGTAATTCCATAAAACTCGGTAGCACCCTGATCCTTTGTCTCCTGTCAGATGCTACAAACTTTTCCTGAAATCTTCTGATTACCTAAGACAAAATTCTTCTCTCCTGGTCACTGTTGTGCCTCTTATTGGTGGTTTTATGTTTGTTTGTGTACGTGTATTTTTATTCTATGGGATTGAAAGATTTTTTAGGGCCAGGAATTATGTCTTACCTGATTCCATATCTCATTTCTATCATTGATTTTCATTTTGCTCAAGTAACCAACTCAAATTGGCTTGAAAATAACTAAAACAACTAAGGATTTTGACATTAGTGGGTTCTTTGCAACCTGGTATGGGACCTGTAAATGTTTGAGAAATGAAAGTAATGCCTTATTTTCCAAGAAGTTTGCATTATGCTCACAGGTTAATTTTTATATCTTCTTTCTTAGGAAAACTACATCTCAGACCCAACTATCTTATGGAGGGCTTATCCCCATAACCTGATGACGTAAGTCATTTTTAGCAGCCCTTTCTTTGTTAAGGACCATGGTCATGTCACTATTAATCAGAATTCATTCTTGTTATTCTCTTTAGGACCTTAGGCAAATGCATAAAATAGATGAAAATATGTCTTTGACAGTCCCACTGCCGTAAGAAAAAAAAAGCTGTGTACCTTTTTTTAATGTTTCTATTCTAATCTTTTCAACATCTTTGTAAGCTTGAGACAACTGATTTTAACATAACTTAATTTGGTACTCGCTTCTTTTCCCTTCTTTTCACTCATACTTTCTCCTTTTTATGACTCCATCTTCTCTATATTTTTGCTCCTTTTCTTTGTCCCCACCCCCTGTCTCTTTTCACATCTTCCTTTCTTTCTCCTATTATAAGCTTCTTGAGGTTAGGAATTGTTTCTTTTTTATTTCTCTAGTCTGTACAGTGCTGCTGGGTTAAAGTGCTCAGTGGTTACCAAGACGTCTGAATAATTCATTATTCGAGCCCAGCTCTAGTACAACTATTCTATATTAATTTTCCTTGCTATTTTAGCCTGTATTGGTCTTTTGTATCCCCAAATTTGTCATTTTGGTAGAAATTTGATGTAGTGTCTATATATTGTTTTGATTGTTCTATAATTGTCTCATTTTTGTAAGTCTTGTATTGTGCCCATACCCACTAAGACTATATGTGCCTTGGTAGCGGTAAAAACTATTTTATATCCTTCATTGTGCCAGGTACATTGCAAGTGCTTGTCACCTACACAGTATTTAGTAAATACATTGTGATGTGAGAATTGGAGAAGGGAGAAGATACGAAGGAAAGAAGGGAATAACCTGACTGTGGGTATTTTAAGTCTAGCAGTAATACCCACTCTACTGAATCATACTCTGATTTCTAAAGTTTTATTAGTTCAACGAACTTTGTAAATATTATATTTATGTGGGACTGTATTCTCTCCACCCCGACCACCAAGAAATTAGGTTGGCTTTGTGTTTTCTATTTTAGACTTCTGGAGGAGAAGGAGCAGGGAGAATAAAGAGGAAGCAGAAGGGCTAGAGGGATATAATGTCAAGAGGAGAGTATTGGTTCTAGACTGATTATGATATAGCTCCTGGAGAGCCCTTGTGTGCCTTATTCTGACTGTCTTTAATCCTAGCTCTGCCTCCATTTATTTGGGGCTTTCTCCATGTTCCAACCAGGTACAGTTACCATATTTGCCTAAGAAAAAAAAAAAAAACAGAGGATATTTGAAATTGGGATTATTCCAGTTTCAGGTGATTATTAATCTATGAGCCTTTGCTTTTGTGTCAGTCTTTTTCCCCTTCTTGTCTTGATGAAACTGTATAGACATGTGGGTTATGTTTTCAGTAGCTAACATGACATACTAGTCAGTATTAATGAACTAATAGGGGCTCTGACTCCTCCCAACTGGCTTACATGTCAATAGCTTTCTGCAGATAGTATCTTTGCCTGCTGTTTAATCCAGGGGTCTTGTCCAATGGTGGGACTGTCACAGGGAGATGGGGAAAGAGGTTGTTGAAGAGTTGTTTAAAGGTGCACAGATATTGTATGGAATGATGACACAAAGGTAGTTACTTAGTATATCCTGATTTCCAGTATTTGTTTACTTTTTTTTAAAAAAATTATGCTTTAAAAGGTACTCTTCATTTTCTTGTGTTGTACAGATTTCAAATGAAGTTTTTCTACATATCACAGCTGGCTTACTGGCTTCATGCTTTTCCTGAACTCTACTTCCAGAAAACCAAAAAAGTAAGCTGGGATTTTGTAGTGTTAAAAAATGTCTTGTCATTTTTTTTTTTGAAAAATTTTTCTAAAATTAAGTATTTTCTTACATGTTTGCCCTTCCTCCATTCTTCTTACCTCAACTCTTACCCCATCATTCTCCCACCAACCCTCTTTCCACAAAGCCTAAAATCCTTAAGCATTTCTTGAAAAAAAAAAAAAAAAAACCTTCAGTCAGTATTTTAGCTTAGATTTTTTACATTTGATATGTTAATGGCTTGTCTTAAAATTATGTTAGTGGTAATGTAAATTAAAATTTAAACTAATTTTTAAATGTAATATTTGTTTTATCTTACTGATATTCTTAGCAAATTATTTCACAAGTGAGCCAAAAAGGATTAGTCACATTACAACTAACAGTTCTGTGTGTAAGTCCTAAAGCAAAATTCAGTATTGGAAAAAAAAGTAAAATATATTTAAATATTCACCAGCAAAGCCTCTCTTGAAATGGGTAGAGCATTCCCTTTTTAGCATGTGGAAAGGATATTTGTTTGTTTTATTTGAACAAATAAGTAAACTGCTGGAGCACTGCAAAATCCTCCTTCCTAGTTTTACCCTCAGTGCTTCTGAAGTCGGGTTCCATGCTATCACAAAAGTCGTTTTCTTTACCCTCTCCCTTCTGAAACCTGTATTGGCTCCCTATTACTTTAAACTAGAGTAATGCTGCTCAACTGTGCCCTGAGAGTTTCTCCCATCGCCACCATCTTTTCTCGGGGACCTCTTTCTCTGCTTACTCCTTATGCTTCATGCACACTGATAGTCTCTAGTTTTGTAATCCCAGCACATCACTTCTTTTTCCTGGAACACCTCTTCCCTCGGATAAATTAATCAAGTACTTTCATTTCCCTTTTTTCTGGGAGTTTTTTTTTTTTTTTTAATTCTCATATATGAAATCCTATGTGGGATTTTACTTCAAAATAATACCAGGTGAAGGAAAGTGAAGAGGGATATAGATGAAACAAGTTTGATCGTTTATTAATAATGATTGAGTTACGGGTATGTCAGAATCTTTTCTGTCTGTTGTGTATATGTTTACATTTTTCCGCATTTAAAATTTCTTTTTTTTTTTTTTAATCCCCTTTGAGAAACCTGGAGTGAAAGTGTGACAGCCAGTCTGGTGACTAGTTTATCTTTGCCTACTCAAAAGCCATAAAACACTATTTTTATGTGTGCTACAAATAGTTAATTCATGGACTAGGCACTTGATTTCCTACTGTTTCGTGTCTGTGTTCTGTGTATCTGTCGTTACTCATGTTGTCTGCTAGGATTAGAAAACAGCACCAAATTAAAGGCCATATGCTATGGTACTTAAGTTCTTTTTATGCTGATTTCTTTTATAAAGTAGATTGTTTCTCCAGCTATATTGATAAGGAATAGGATGAAGACCTTTTATTTTTAAACCCTTGATTTAGAACTGTCTTCAGATAAAATTGTTAGGCCCAGATTCCAGTAGCCCTTCCATGTTTAGTAAGCTCCTAATGTGAATCATAGATATTGTGGAGCTGTACTGTCCAAAATGCTAACTACTAGTCACATCTACATGAACTTAAAAAACAAAAACGAAATTGACTTTTTTAGCCCCAGTAGCCACATTTCAAGTGCTTATTAGCTACTGTGGCTAGTATGTACCATTTTGAACAGAGGAGATATGGAACATTTCCATGATTGCAGAAAGTTCTATTGGACAGCGCTACTGAGAGTATCATAGTTTCTTGATGTCTTAGTAGCATGGCTCAGATATTTAAAGCCTTCTTAAGGTATTTGTATACTCATGAACAAATACCTCTGGATTTCATTATTAATCCATGTCTATATCTTCTTCATTGACTATGGTAAGTAAGAAGGGACATTTCAAAGTAATTGTTCATTTTAGTTCCTGAAGCTCTTTTCTTATCAGTTCCTGCCAGATGGCACTTCTCCAGAAATGCAGTCTAATTTTTATGGAATAATTTGCATAACTCAGAACTTAACTGAAACTATTTTTAACACCTGCATATGACAGTTGAAAGTAACTGTTTCAAGTAATTAACATAATTTGAAAGTAGCAGCTGCATATGTGTTAAACAGTTTCTTAAAATTTACTCTATGAAAATTATTTTTGGAACTCTTTACTGGAAGAAACTAGTACAGTGATTGTTTTGAACCAATCATACAGACAAATAGGAAAGAAAGGAACGCTGTTAGTAGCAGTTCAAGAGGTGTGTTAGTCACAAATAACTTAGTTTCTTTCAAAGATAAAACTTAAATTACATATACTGTGTATATAAACAGTTCTCCATTTTGCCCATGAGAAGATTCAAAATATTTCGTAGACAGCTTGAATATATGAGCTTTTAGGGAAGTCATGAAATAGCCAAATGTTTTATTTCTAATATTCAATTTTAGTTTAATTATACATACATATAATTATACATACCTATAATTGCATATCATATAAAGTATTAGAAATAGTATTTTCCCCCTTCCTACTTCATGAAAGTTTCATTACACTTTTCATATGCAACTTTGATGTTAGTATCTGTCATTCATCATCACTAGAACCACTTTTTTTTAATCTGATGACATTTTTTCCACATCATGACGTCATCTTCTGTCTCACTGGTTCCTTCATTAGACCTTATAAACCTTTAAAAATGACATTGATTGAAGTTTTCGGGTGTATGTGTCTTACGCAAACATTTATTTGTCAAGATAATTAATACAGAGCTCTATAATGCAGAGCTTTGTAAAGATTTAATTATAAGATGTACCATCTGGGGTTTGGGGGGAGATCTTTGCCTTATATTTGGGGCATATATTTGATATTCAGCTTTGTTTATTTTTCAGTATAGAGTAGTCAAGAAATGTGTTTTTTATAAAAATAAATTTTTTGAAGTATGTTATATTTTTTAATAAACAGATGTTGGAATAACAACTGAAAATGGCACTTGAAGTTATTTACGATTTTATAATTTGTTATGATTTCACCCAGCCTTCTCTGTTCTCTCCCTTCCCCCACAACCCATGTAAATGTGTACGTCCAGAGACCATTGTGCTGGTGCTAGGCAAGGCTTTGTTGTCGGCCTCAGACATGTGAACACCGTGCCATCGGGGCTGTAACCCCAGAGGAAATGGAGAACATTGAGGGAGGCTGGCCTACCACAGGAATACTAAAAAGTAGCCATTTTCTAGATAAAATTTATCATTTTAAAAATCATGGTAAGCCAGGCATGGTGGCACACACCTGTAGTCCTGGCTACTGGGGAGGCTGAGGCAAGGGGATGGCTTGATTCCAGGAGTTTGAGACCAGCCTGGGCAATGTAATGAGACTCATCTCTAAAAATAAAATAAAACTCATGGTACACTACCCCTACTTCCATGTATTTTTTGTAATCATTTGGGAATACCTTTATGTAGGGTGTTTGTTAAGTTAGCCACAATTCCTACCACCCCTTGTGGTATTCTACTCATCTCTTTTTTTTTTTTATTATTATTGTTGTTGTTATCCCCATTATACAGAGAGATTAATTAGCTTGCCTAAGGTCCCTCAGCTAGTAAGTGACACAAGTATTTACCCATTCTCTTACTAATTTACTTTTTCTGTGGTAAGCTTTGAGTGTACAAACACTGCTTTAGAGACACTAGTCAATTTGTGCAAAGCTGAATGGACCATTACTTAGAAAAAGGTTTCTTGATAATCCTTTTTGAAAGCAATAGATACTATTTTTAAAACTTTTGCATAGGCATTTGATGGTTGTGAAGATAGAACCTAGTGATGGCATTTTACCCTCTATTATTATTGACTCGGTTGACTATCCAAAAGGAAAGGCTACTGGGCACAGTGGTGCATGCCTGTAGTCCCAGTTACTCAGGAGGCTGAGATAGCAGGATCACTTGAGCCCTGGAGTTGGAGGCTACAGTGCAGCATAATTGCACCTGTGAATAACCACTGCACTCCAGCCTGAGTAACATAGTGAGACCATGTTTCTATTTTTTAAAAAGGAGGTATGGGGCTAAGATACAAAGTTGAATCTGAACTTAGGAAAGAAACTCTATGGATTTTTCCTTAGCTAATGTCAAGCACAACTGCGCTCCACCTAATTGGGTTGAAATTTAAAGACAAAAGATCAGAAATGGAATGGCTTTTTGAATTATAGTTTGTTTGTAATTTATAATAGTGTTTTTAGTCTTGTCAGAGAAGAAAAGAGTAGGCAGCTTAGGTTCTCTGCTAATTGACCAGTGTGAATTTTAAAAACTTACTTGTATTTCTTTTAAATTAAAAAAAAAAAAATCCTCCTAAGTAGTTACATTACATTATAGTTTTTCCAGCAAATTAGTTTTTTTTTTTTTTTACATTGCCTTACCCAAGTTTTTATGCAATGAAATGAGTTCAATCAGCAGTTAAAAACTAAAACGCTTCCCTCATAAGTTTTAAGGGTTTTCTTGGTCTGTTTTCTCCTCTGAAATGTGGAGCATTGAGTAACACATATGAAAGAATATGGCAATATTTTTTATACCTAGTCATTTATGTGCCACCTTCCTGCTTTACCATATTCACATACTACTAATTCATACTTTTGACATTTTAATTATTAAGGTATATTAAATAACAAAATATTTTGGGTTTTTGTTTTGTTTTGTTTTGTTTTGAGACAAGGTCTTGCTCTATCACCCATGCTGGAGTGCAGTGGCCACAATCACGGCTCAGTGCAGCTGCAGCCTCAACCTGCCAGGCTTAAGCAATCCTACTACTTCAGCCTCCCAAGTGGCTGGAAGTACAGGCATGCACCACTATGCTTGGCTAATTTTTTGTATTTTTTTAGAGATGGGGTTTCGCCATGTTGCCAAGGCTGGTTTCGAACTCCTGGGCTCAAGCAATCCACCTGCATCAGCCTCCCAAAGGGCTGTTATTACAGGCGTGATCCACCACTTTATTTAAAATTTTAGTTACAGTTAAATAAAAGTATTTCATTGTGTACTGTCTGCAATCATTTTGTTCAGTACCAATGTACACACCACACTGGGAAACACTGGCATATATATAGTGGCACTTCTACATGCATTGTACATCAAATTGCATTGATAATACTAAGTGAGCTTTTCTGAGATGATTATAACGGGAGAAGAGAGGTTCCCTTGTGGTTGCATGTTATCTCAACACCCTTTCTCCTTCCTTTTGTAAGCTGAAATATTTCATTGGAAATTTACAAATTATGTAGAGAGGATCTTAAGACCGTCTATTTTCAGAGATACTTCTCTCTTCCATTGGAAGAATGACTGTAAACTTGGTATCAATTTTCCTAAGAGTCCCAAAATACAGTACTGTAAATTGTAATATTCAGACTGTCTTATGTTCTACCTAAAACTTGATCTTTGCGCCATGCTTACTAGAGAAGAGTTTTCCATTTCAAAACTAGACTTCAAAAAATCTCTACTCCTCAAAAGATTTGGTGAAGTAGCTCTCAGTACTGAAACACAGAGAAATGGAGGACCAGTAGACCTGCACTCAACTGTGCTAAATGCAAGAGATAAGTTTAGTGAGGCTGCAGAGGAACACAGTTCAGCCTGCCAGCAGCAACCCACCATTTCCATCGTTCTAATTAGTAGCTGTAGAACATGAATAGTACTAACTAGACTAATATAATCCTTGTAAATATACATACGAAGAAAACTGCTACAACAAAGGAAATTAGAAATGAGGTATAGGTGTTTCATTAGTCAGTAGGCTGGCCTGTTGAGCTTATCACTGTCAGTGTTTTGTAAACATTTTTACTGCAACCAAAGATGAAAAACTTTTTACATCATAATTCATTGTGTGTTTGTGTGTGTGTAAAATGTGGAATACAATTTTCATAATACAATGTGCTATATACTCTAGCATTTTCTTTTTCTTTTTTTTTCTTTTTGAGACAGCGTCTGGCTCTGCCGCCCAGGCTGGAGTGCAGTCACAATCCTAGCTCACTGCATCCTTGAACTCCTGGGCTCAAGCAATCTTTCTGCCTCAGCTTCCCAAATAGCTAGGACTACAGGCACATGCCACCATGCCTGGCTAATTTTTAAAACATTTTTTTGTAGAGATGGGGTCTCTCTCTGTTGCCCAGGCTAGACTCAAACGCCTGGCTTCAAGCAATCCTCCTGTCTCAGCCTCCCAAAGTGCTGGGATGACAAGTGTGAGTCATGGTGCCTGGCCACATTTTCTATTTTATTTCATGTTTTAAAAGATGCTGGTGTGACCCCTAAATTGATTTCATGATCCACTAGTAGGTCTTTTTTTTAAAAGACAGAGTCTTGCTCTGTCACCCAAGCTGGAGTACAGTGGCATGATCATAGCTTACTGTAACCTCGAACTCTTGTGTTCAAGTGATGCTCCTCCTGTGTCTGCCTCCTGAGTAGCTGGGACTACAGTTGCATACCACCACGCCTAGCTAATTGTAGTTTTTGTAGAGACAGGGTCTTGCTGTGTTGCCCAGGTTGATCTCGAACTCCTGGCCTCAAATGATCCTCCCACCTCGGCCTCCCAGAGTGCTGGGATTATAGGCATGAACCATCACACCTGGCCCCACTAGTGGGTCTTGACTTGTGTTTTCTAAAAATACTGTTTCTGAGATAACCAGCTCAACTAGATAACTGTGGGAGAAAAAAAGAAGTAAAAATAAAATCTAGGTACTTGGGCTTGCAAAGTAATTGAGGAAAAAGAATATACAATTAAGGAATAGTATAAATGAGAATACAAAATGTTAAACTTGTTGTAATGACTGACAAGGGACTAAAGCATGAGCTGAAAATGTGAATCCTATTTTAGGTAAACAGAAGTGTCTCTACTACTATGAACATAACAATTTTAATATTAGAGGAACATCAAATTGTCAGCATGTAACTATGATTAATATTGTGTCATTTAATACACATTAGAAAAAAGAGCCATAGATCTTAGCTCTAAAAGGGATTTTGAGTTTATCTGATTGAAGCAAATCTAAGTATTCACATTTTATGGATGAAATAACTGAAGCCAGCAGAGGTTAAGTGACTTGCTAATGCTATATACCTAATTGAGGATGAGAGATTGCGGTGGGGTGGGAGCAGAATAGCTTTCAGATCTCCTACTTCTACATTTTTCACTTACTCTTAAAGAACAGAAATGAGCCAAGCACAGTGGGTCACGCCTGAAATCCTAACCCTTTGGAAGGCCAAGGTTGGGGGTTCTCTTGAGTCCAAGGTTTTGAGACCAACCTGGGCAACATAGCAAGACCACACCTCTTAAAAAAAGGGAAAGGAAATGTTTTAGCATGTTTTAATCTATAATGTATTTTTTTACAGGAAGATATTCCTCGTCAGCTTGTCTACATTGGTCTTTACCTCTTCCACATTGCTGGAGCTTACCTTTTGAAGTGAGTTGGGATATTTCATGGGTGTGTAAGTAGGCTGGGCAGATAGTATGCTGACCTGTCTTAATTGATAATTAATATTCCCATTTTTAATTTGCTCTTTTAACAGCTTGAATCATCTAGGACTTGTTCTTCTGGTGCTACATTATTTTGTTGAATTTCTTTTCCACATTTCCCGCCTGTTTTATTTTAGCAATGAAAAGTATCAGAAAGGGTAAGTTGTTTAGCCATTCTATTTCTCGTGTACTAGGTATTTAAAGTCAGTGCCTAACATTGCCAAGATCCATGCTTTAGGCCATTATATTAACTTTTTAAGCGATCAGTAGCCGCTTTAAATAAAACGAAATTATTTAGCAATTCAGACTTTGTATTTTACTCTCTAAAATGGAGGCTTTCTCAGCTAGAGAGATACTGTATTGTATCTTGCAATTTTGAAGGCTTCTTGGGTTTACTTTTCTGTTATAACTTTTACTTTGTTTGTTGCATGGTTTTTCTTTTGGAGGAGTGATAGAGAAGTGAACTCTCAGAAGAAAGTGAAACAATAGATAATTAGCCTTATAGATAACTAAAATATATTGATGGTGAAATTGAACTGAAAACAGAATTGGAGAGGTGTAACTTGTAAAGAGTGCAAAGTTGTCTTAAAAAAAGTAAAACTGGGACTCTTTTTTTATTATTTTATTATTATTATACTTTAAGTTTTAGGGTACATGTGCACAATGTGCAGGTTTGTTACATATGTATACAAGTGCCATGTTGGTGTGCTGCACCCATTAACTCGTCATTTAGCATTAGGTATATCTCCTAATGCTATCCCTCCCCCCTCCCCCACCCCACAACAGTCCCCAGAGTGTGATGTTCCTCCTCCTGTGTCGATGTGTTCTCATTGTTCAGTTCCCACCTATGAGTGAGAACATGCAGTGTTTGGTTTTTTGTCTTTGCGATAGTTTGCTGAGAATGATGGTTTCCAGTTTCATCCATGTCCCTGCAAAGGACATGAACTCTTCATTTTTTATGGCTGCATAGTATTCCATGGTGTATATGTGCCACATTTTCTTAATCCAGTCTATCATTGTTGGACATTTGAGTTGGTTCCAAGTCTTTGCTATTGTGAATAGTGCCGCAATAAACATACGTGTGCATGTGTCTTTATAGCAGCATGATTTATAATCCTTTGGGTATACACCCAGTAATGGGATGGCTGGGTCAAATGGTATTTCTAGTTCTAGATCCCTGAGGAATCACCACACTGACTTCCACAATGGTTGAACTAGTTTACAGTCCCAGCAACAGTGTAAAAGTGTTCCTATTTCTCCACATCCTCTCCAGCACCTGTTGTTTCCTGACTTTTTAATGATCACCATTCCTAACTGGTGTGAGATGGTATCTCATTGTGGTTTTGATTTGCATTTCTCTGATGGCCAGTGATGATGAGCATTTTTTCATGTGTTTTTTGGCTGCATAAATATCTTCTTTTGAGAAGTGTCTGTTCATATCCTTTGCCCACTTGTTGATGGGGTTGTTTTTTTCTTGTAAATTTGTTTGAGTTCATTGTAGATTCTGGATATTAGCCCTTTGTCAGATGAGTAGGTTGTGAAAATTTTCTCCCATTTTGTAGGTTGCCTGTTCACTCTGATGGTAGTTTCTTTTGCTGTGCAGAGCTCTTTAGTTTAATTAGATCCCATTTGTCTATTTTGGCTTTTGTTGCCATTGCTTTTGGTGTTTTAGACATGAAGTCCTTGCCCATGCCTATGTCCTGAATGGTATTGCCTAGGTTTTCTTCTAGGGTTTTTATGTTTTTAGGTCTAACATGTAAGTCTTTAATCCATCTTGAATTAATTTTTGTATAAGGTGTAAGGAAGGGATCCAGTTTCAGCTTTCTACATATGGCTAGCCAGTTTTCCCAGCACCATTTATTAAATAGGGAATCCTTTCCCCATTGCTTTTGTCAGGTTTGTCAAAGATCAGATGGTTGTAGATATGCAGCATTATTTCTGAGGGCTCTGTTCTGTTCCATTGATCTATATCTCTGTTTTGGTACCAGTACCATGCTGTTTTGGTTACTGTGGCCTTGTAGTATAGTTTGAAGTCAGGTAGCATGATGCCTCCAGCTTTGTTCTTTTGGCTTAGGATTGACTTGGTGATGCGAGCTCTTTTTTGGTTCCATATGAACTTTAAAGTAGTTTTTTCCAATTCTGTGAAGAAAGTCATTGGTAGCTTGATGGGGATGGCATTGAATCTATAAATTACCTTGGGCAGTATGACCATTTTCATGATATTGATTCTTCCTACTCATGAGCATGGAATGTTCTTCCATTTGTTTGTATCCTCTTTTATTTCATTGAGCAGTGGTTTGTAGTTCTCCTTGAAGAGGTCCTTCACATCCCTTGTAAGTTGGATTCCTAGGTATTTTATTCTCTTTGAAGCAATTATGAATGGGAGTTCACTCATGATTTGGCTCTCTGTCTGTTATTGGTGTATAAGAATGCTTGTGATTTTTGTACATCGATTTTGTATCCTGAGACTTTGCTGAAGTTGCTTATCAGCTTAAGGAGATTTTGGGCTGAGACAGTGGGGTTTTCTAGTTATACAATCATGTCATCGGCAAACAGGGACAATTAGACTTCCACTTTTCCTAATTGAATACCCTTTATTTCCTTCTCCTGCCTAATTGCCCTGGCCAGAACTTCCAACACTGTGTTGAATAGGAGTGGTGAGAGAGGCCATCCCTGTCTTGTGCCAAAAACTGGGACTCTTAAATGAGAATTGGGCATCCTGTTCTTTATAACACAGCTTTTTTGGTTTGTTTTGTCCAGCATTTTCCAAAATTATTCTGAATACTAGTAGTTCTGAGGAATATTAATAGTTCTTATACAAGAAAAGAGATAAGCTAAACAGAAAATTAAACATTTATTTCCTGGATTGTTTTAGAAATTTAAATAGGCTAATATGTGTTATATCTCTCTGAGTGTGATATATAGCCTTTCCCAGATATTTGACTCAAAATTCTTTTTTGCAGAATAAGAAATGCTATTTTAATAGGCTTTTACTTAATAGGAATCTAGTTTCTTCTTTATTTATTTATTTATTTTTTTGAGATGGAGTTTCGCTCTTGTTGCCCAGGCTGGAGTGCAGTGGCGCAATCTCTGCTCACTGTGACCTCCACCTTCTGGTTTCAAGCAATTCTCCTGCCTCAGCCTCCCAAGTAGCTGGGATTACAGGCGTCTGCCACCACGCCCAACTTAGGAATCTAATTTCTAATAGAATCTTGTTTTTGAGATTTCAGGAATTTGACTTACGGCCTTTTTCTTGCAGATTTTCTCTGTGGGCAGTTCTTTTTGTTTTGGGAAGACTTCTGACTTTAATTCTTTCAGTACTGACTGTTGGTTTTGGCCTTGCAAGAGCAGAAAATCAGA
This sequence comes from Homo sapiens, assembly GCF_000001405.40. Taxonomy (NCBI): domain Eukaryota; kingdom Metazoa; phylum Chordata; class Mammalia; order Primates; family Hominidae; genus Homo; species Homo sapiens. The sequence continues at coordinate 70,583,692 of NC_000008.11, read as the reverse complement.
AGCTGGATTTCAGTACTGGAAACTTCAATGTGTTAGCTGTTAGGTACGATCAATTTAACATTTTTTTCACTTTATACAGCTAGATAATATATATTATCAGTTTCTCTACATTGAATCATCTAAAAAAGGATGAATATGAGGTTGGGGAAAATACTCATTTGATTTTATTTCATACCCGTTGCTATTTTACATGTCTAAAGTGAAGTACTAAAGCATTTAACTTTTAGGATAAATTATTAATGCAATGATTATTAATACAATTTTCTCAACTGAGTGGGAATTATTACTAAATACTATGAAAGATGATAGAATGTATTCAGTGGCATTGTTTTTTATACACTAACTTTTTATGTCTTAATATTTCTTAGAATCGCTGTTCTGGCATCCATTTGCGTTACTCAGGCATTTATGATGTGGAAGTTCATTAATTTTCAGCTTCGAAGGTGGAGGGAACATTCTGCTTTTCAGGCACCAGCTGTGAAGAAGAAACCAACAGTAACTAAAGGCAGATCTTCTAAAAAAGGAACAGGTTTGTATTCAGTAAGCAATGAAAAACTCATGGAAGTAGAAAACTTTTAAAAAATTTGTTGTTGGATCTTATTTATTAGTTTTAAGGTGTCTTATAAAGAAAATACTATTCTGCTTTTCAACAAAATTAGAGGCAAAGTAATCTTACTGCATTCCACAATTGGGTGATCCCTTGGGTGAGGAAACTCAGTTACTCCCCTCAAAAGCTGTCCATCACATTTCTCTTTAACAAGTTTTCCATGCTTGGTTACCTTGAGCTACTTTAGACCAAACTTTATGGGCAGGTTTAAACTAAACCTGAGGATGGTAGTTTGTTTTCAAGCATCTTATTCACATTTTAAAAAGCTCTTCACAACCTCTTCCCATCTGCCCATTTGTCCCAAGTGGAATAGCTTTTTTTTTATAACTTCTGATTGCTTGATTCTTTGTCTTTAAAGCCTTCATTTAACCTCTTTTTTCCTTATGGTTTTTGCAAAAATTGAAAATGCATCGATATTACAGTTAATTTTTTCAGTGTGTATGTGGTATTAGGCTTAGAACTATAACACAGGAAGTTTTTAGAGTATGTCCACTCTGGTTTACTCCTTTGTAAGTATTAATACCTGATAATTTACATCCTCCAGCCCTGCCTTTTTTTTTTTTTTTCAAGTTTGTCCCAGCAAGTCTTGGCCCTTTGCATTTTCTTAATACATTTTAGTACAACTTGATCTAGGTGCAGTGGGGGGTGCCTGTAGTCCAGCTATTCAGGAGGCTGAGGCAGGAGGATCACTTGAACCCAGGAGTTCAAGGTTACAGTGCACAATGATCATGCCTGTGAAGCCCTACTACACTCCAGCCTGGGCAACATATGCCTCTTTAGAAAAAAAAAAAAAAAATTATACAACCTGGTCAATTTCCACAAAAGTTGCTGGGATATTAAGTTGAAATAACATCAAATCTGTAGATCGATTTAGGGATAATTGACTATTTCAACCCATTAACATGATATATACCTCTGTTTATTTAGGTTGTCTTTAATTTCTCCAAGTAATATTTTTAATAGCTTTAATGGGATGTAATTCACATAAAGTTTACCCTTTAAAGTATACATTTCAGTCATTTTTAATGTATGTTCACAAAATCGTGCAAACCACTATCTAATTCCAGAATATTTCTATCACTGCAAAAAGAAACCCCATGCCCCTTAGCATCACTTCACTTTGCCCCCTTCATTCTGCTCCGGCACCCTCTAATCTATTTTCTGTCTCTAAGGATTGGCCTTTTCTGGACATTTCATGTAAACAGAACCATGTGATATGTGGTTTTGCAAATGGATAATGCTTTGAGGTTCATCCATGTCATAGCATATAGAAAGACTTCATTTATTTTTACAGCCAATTAATATTCCATTGTATGGAACCTTTTGGATGGATGTATACCATATTTTGTTTATCCATTCATCATTTGATGGATATTGAGTGCCTTTTACTTTTTGGCTATTATGAATCGTGATGCTGTGAACATTTAGGTGCAAGTTTTTGTTCAAACATGTGTTTTCATTCTCTAGGGTACATACATAGGAGTGGGATTTCCGAGTCATGCGGTAACTATGTTTAACATTTTGAGGGAACTGCCAAACTGTTCTTTGAAGTGGTTATACTATTTTACACTCAGTTTAGCATCTTGATACTCAGTTGTCCCTGTGCCATTTGTTAAAAAGACTCCTTCACTTGAACTGTCTTGATACCCTTTTCAAAAATCATTTTTAAGAAAAGTTTATTTCTGGATCATGAATTCTATTTCATTTATTCGTATGTCGATTCTTATGCCAGAACCACACTATCTTGATTACTGTAGCTTTGTAGTAAGTTTTGAAAGCAGGTAATGTGAGTCCCCATTGTTGTTGTTCTATTTTATGTTTTGGTTATTCTGGGTTTCTTACATTTCCATATGAGTTTTTATTTAAGTGACGGGATCTTGCTATGTTGCCCAGGCTAGACTTGAACTTGTAGGCTCAAGGGATTCTCCCATCAGCCTCCCAGGTAGCTGGGACTACAGGCATATGCTGCCTTGCCCAGCCATTTTAATATGAATTCTATAATGAGCTTGTCAGTTTCTGCAAAAAAGCCAGCTGGGGTTTTGGTATGGATTATCTTCAATTTGTAGGTTGCTTTGCAGAGTATGAACATGAATGTCTGTTTATTTAGATCTTTTAATCTCTTTCAATTATATTTATCAGTGTATACATCTTGCAGTTCATTAAATTTAATCCTATTTTATTCTTTTTGATGCTGTTGTAAAATAGAACCATCTTCTTAATTCCATTTTCAGATTCTTCATTGCCATTGTATATGAAATACAATTCACTTTTGTATATTGATCTTGTATCCTGCAACCTTGCTGAATTTATTTATTCAAATAGGTTTTTTTTTTTTTGGTGGGCAATCTGGATGCTTTCTATTGCATTTTCTTGCCAAATTGCCCTGCCCAGAACCTCCACAACAGGTGTTGAATAGAAATGGTGAGAGCAGACATCCTTGTCTTGTTTTTGATCTTAGGGGTAGGCATCCATCCAGTCTTTTACCATTAAGTATGATGTTAGCTATGGGTTTTTCATAAATGACCTTTATCAGGTTGAGGAAGTTCCCCTCTGATTCCTAGTTTGTTTTTATCATGGAAGGTTGTTAGATTTTGTCAATTGCTTTTTTTCCTGCATCTATTGAGATAACCTTGTGGGGTTTTGTCATTTTTTTCTGTTGGTATTATAGATTAGATTGATTTTCAGATGTTAAACCAACGTTGCATTCCTGGGATAAATTTCACTTGGTTATGGTGTATGATCCTTTTTATCTCTTGATGGATTTTGGTATGCAAGTATTTTGTTCAGGTTTTTTTGTGTCTGTATTCATAAAGGATAATTGGAGTATATTTTTCTTGCAACATCGTTGTCTGGTTTTAGTATCAAGATAATACTGGCTTCATAGAATGAACTGGGGAGTGTTTTTTCCTTTTCTGTTTTTTGGAAGAGTTCTTCACTTGATCTTAGCCAAAATGCCAAGAAGCAATGGAAGAGTTGTTGAAGGAGATATTTTATAGGTTTCTGTATAGGGATCTCATACATTTTTCATTAAATTTATTCTCAGGTATTTTCTTTTTTAAGCTAATGTACATGCTCTTTTTAAAAAACAGTTTTAACTATTTGTTACGTAGTAGTGCCATTTGTTTTCTTTAAGATACTATCCAGGTACTGAAAAAAGTCTTCCTAATTCACTTATTCTAAAGTTTACACTAAAATATACAGTTACAGCGTCTATAAATATTATACCTTTTCATTTTCTTCCTGTATTACACTAGCTAGGACTAAACCATAATATTCAATATAAGAAATGAATACTCTTGTTCCTCATATAAGAGGGAGACCTTTCGGTATTTCATTATTAAGAATGGTCTGTAGATGCCCTTTATTCAGTTCTCTTCTGTACATCATTTACTAAGAGTTTTTGTCCATGACTTGTGGAATGTTAAGAAATGCTTTTTCTGCAAGATTTAGTTAGTCATAGAGTTTTTCTTTACTCTATTAATGTTGTGAATTGCATTGACTACATTGACTATCAATGTTAAAATAATTCTGCATTTCTGACATGCATCCAAGTTGGTGATAATACAGTTGTCTCCCTGGGGGAATACATTCCAAAACCCCCAATGGATGCCTGAAACCAGGGGTAGTTTCAAACTATATAGTTACGTGCTAAATAATGACATTTCAGTCAACAGCTGTACAACATATGTGTATACATGACTCATTTATGACACTGGTCCTATAAGATAATGCTTTATTTCTCCAATACCATTTCTATGTTTAGATATGTTTAGATACATAAATAGTTACCACTGTATTACAGTTGCCTAAAGTATTCCATACAGTAACATGCCATGCAGATTTTTAGCCTAGGAGCAATAGGCTATACCATATAGCCTGGGTGTGTGGTAGGCTCTACCATCTAGATTTGTGGAAGTACATTCTGTGATGTTCATACAATGATGAAATCGCCTAACACATTTCTTAAAACATAGCCTGTTAAGTGATGCATGACTGTATATACTATGTTTTCTCCTAATTAGCTATGATAAAGTTTTATTTATAAATTGGTCACATATAACAGCATATTGTAGCAAAAGTTAATTGAATGTGGTATTTTTCTCTCTCAAAATATTATACAGTACTCATCTATTTTCAGACCATGGTTGACTGTGGGTAACTGAAACCGTGGAAAGCAACACTGCAAATAAGGGGAGACCATTGTACATCACTTTCGCTGAATTCCCTTTTTCAGTATTTCATTAGGATTTTTGCATCTTTGTTCATGTAATAATAGATCAGCCTGTATTAGCCCTTTTTTGTAATATGTCAGATTTTGACCTCAAGGTTGTGCTGGCTGTAAAGAAAGTGTTGGGCAGATTTGTCCTTTGTGTAATATCAGCATTATTTATTATTTAAGTGTTTGGAAGTGTTCACCAACTAAGCCCTCTGACCTAGAGTCTTCTTTTTTTTCGAAACAGGGTCTTGCTCTGTCGCCCAGGCTGGAGTGCAGTGGCACGATCTTGGCTCACTGCAGCCTCAACCTTGTGGGCTCAAGCAGTCCTCCCACCTCAGCCTCCTGAGTAGCTGGGGCTACAAGCACATGTCACCATGCCACTACTTTTTGTGTTTTTTGTAGAGATGGGATTTCACCATGTTACCCAGGATAGTCTTGAACTCCTCTACCCAAGTGATCTGCCCACCAGTCTCAACCAATTGGCTGGGCACCCAGCACTTTGGGAGGCTGAGATGGGTGGATCACTTGAGCCCAGGAGTTCAAGACCAGCCTGGGCAACATGACGAAACTCTGTCTTTACAAAAAATACAAAAATGAACCAGGCATCGTGGTGCATGCCTGTAGTCCCAGTACTTGGGAGGCTGAGGTGGGAGGATCCCTTGATCCTGATGTCACCCTTGGGGTGTCACTTCACCAGCTGGAAACCTTTTTGGCTGGTGGCACCTTCTGCCTGAGTATTGCTTGCATCCGCTGGGCTCATTCCACCCACTTGGCCTGACAGGCTGTGCTTGGCTTAAGCTACCGGCCCAGATCCTACACCTGTCAAGCATGAGCCAGACGTGGAGCAGCAGGGGGTGTGTGGGCAAGCACACACAAGGTCTAGCCACTGCGCACAGCCAGACACACAGGCTGCTGCCACGGGGCAGGCAGCTCTAGGCACCAGCAGGTGCTGGCTCTGTGTGAGGCTGCAGCTGGACCAGATGTACTGCATGCGGCTTCCGCTGCAGGGACCCATGACTGGACAAGGGGAGTGTGGTGGCATCTCCAGAGCTTGGAGATGGTGGGAACCACTGAACCCCAAAGAGGGTGTCATAGCCCTGGCTCAGGGAGCCCCTAGATCTGGGCTTCCCAGAGGAGCACAGCTCTTCTCTCTTTCTTGTCATCCACAACGTGGTGAGCAGAGGGGCATGTTTCAGCCTTGTTTGTGCTATAGCCCTTTCAGTCCCACCATTCAGCAGGTCCCAAGTTCTTGTCCTGCATCCAGGAAGAATGAGGTATGCAGACAACTGGAGGGTGAGCAAGGCAGAGAGGAGGTTCATTGAGAGGCAGAACAGTTCTCAGGAGACCTGAAGTGGTTAGCTCCTATCCACAGTCTCATCATCTGCCCAAGTCTGGCTGAGTCCAGGATTTTTATGAGCTTCAGGGGGGAGGAAGTGCATGCTGATTGGTCCATGGGTGGGCCCAGAAAACACTGTAAGTTCTCACTCCAGTCCATGGAACTGGTGGCCTGGCCCCCAGGTTTCAGGCTGTCCCTGGCTTGAAGAGGGGGGCTTCACCAGGGCCCACCCCTTTCTGCCCAGGAACCTGTCTGCCTCCTGCTGCCATCAACCTGCCATCCGTGGTGCCTAGGCTGGTCATGCCAAGGGGTGCCTACAGACCCACACCAAGCTGCCCTCAGCCCCCCTCGGCCTCCCTCTCGTGCTCATCAGCACCCAAAGTCCTGACAGGGCCAAGGGAGCAGGGAGCTGCCTTGGGAACTTTGGACCTGCTGAATGGCGGGACTAAAAGGGCTATAGCACAAACAAGGCTGAAATATGTCCCCCTGCTCGCCACGTTGTGGATGACAAGAAAGAGAGAAAAGCCCCCAGATCTAGGGGCTCCCTGAGCAGGCATATCAGTGCTGCTCTAATCCCAGGGTCAGTCTCACCTTCACTCCAAAACTAGCAGACGCCAGGAGCAGCAGAGTGGCCAGGCAGTGGGAGCAGGCACTTCCAAGCCTGCAGAGGTAGTAGGGCTTCCTGAACACCGAAGAACTACAGCTGGGTGGCTGCCACTGTGCCCAGGAGTGCGGGACTCCCACCACTCCAACTTTGAAAGGGATGGGGCTCCTGCTAGCTATGTGGAGCACACAGCCCTGGATGCACCTCTCACACTACAGCCAATGTCATGGCAGTAGCCACTCCACAGGGGCTGCCGCTGCCATCACTGAGAAGTGGAGGTTGCAGTGAGTGGAGATCATGTCACTGGACTCCAGCCGGGATAACAGAGTGAGACCCTGTCTCAGAAGAAAAAAAAGATAATACTATTGTTCACATTTTCTGTTTCTTAGTCGTTTCTCTTTTGGTAAATAATGTTTTTCAAGGAATTTGTCTAGTTCATATAAATTTGCAAATACATCGGCATAAAATTATTCATATGACTTTCGTTATCCTGTTAACACCTCTAAATCAGGAGTGATTCCTGTTTTTCATTTCATGTTGTTAGTAACGTAAGCCTTTTATCTTTCCTTCCATCAGTCAAAACCAACATTTGTCTTTTTGTGTTGATTTTCCTAGTTGTCTCTTTTCTGGATCATTGATTTCTATTCTTTCCTTTTCATTGGGTTTAATTTGCGGTTTTGTTTGTGATTTACCTTCTTGAGATGGATCTTTGGAGCATTGATTTGTATCTCTTGTGAATTACATTCAGTTAATGGTAAACTTTTCCTTTCAACACTGCTTTAACTGTATTTCACAAGGATTTTTTGTTTTGTTTTGGGGTTTTTTTTTGTGTGGTTTTTTTTTTTTTTTCTTTTTTTTTTAGATGGAGTCTAGCTCTGTTGCCCACGCTGGAGTGCAGTGGCGCGATCTCAGCTCACTGCAACCTTTGCCTCCCGGGCTCAAGTGATTCTCCTGCCTCCCAGGTAGTCAGGATTACAGGCACCCACCACCACAACCAGCTAATTTTTGTATTTTTAGTAGAGATGGCATTTCACCACGTTGGCCAGGCTGGTCTTGAACTCCTGGCCTCAGGTGATCCACCCACCTCAGCCTCCCAAAGTGCTGGGATTACAGGCGTGAGCCACCATGCTTAGTCTGTATTTCACAGGTTTCAATATGTCTTTTTCATTATTATTCAGTTCAATGATATCTGTGCTGGGATTCCACTTGTGCTGTGATTATAGGTGCAAGCCATTGCCCCCGCCTCAAACATCCATTTCTGTATGCAACTTTTGTATTTTTGGAGAGAGAGTCAGTCACACATACGCTACTCCATCATAGCTTGAAGAAGGCCATTACTATTAGCCAGGTGTGGTGGCACATGCCTGTAGTCCCAGCTATTTGGGAGGCTGAGGTCCCCGGGAGCATCACTGGTCCCCGGGAGTTCAAGACTGCATTGAGCCATGATCGTGCCACTACACAGCCTTGGTGACAGAGTGAGACCCTGTCTCAAAAAACAACAGTAACATAAATAAATAAAAAGAAGGCCATAATACACGCCTCCACATAGAAATTATCCTAAACACCAACTTTACTATATTGTAAACAAATATCCCCAAGGACTTCGCTGTCAAATGTGAAAAGTTTCTTTATTTCTACAGAAGGTATTTCTCTTGAATACTATTTTTAAATTCTTGTGACTTTATAGTTTTCTGTGCTGTCACTTTTTTCTGCTTTTAATAGTAGTTTTCTTTTAATTTGCTACTTTCAGTTCATTGTGTTAAAAATGTTACCAGGTTTTGTGATTGGTTAAATACTGGTAAGTAAATTTCACCTGAGTGAATTGGATTTTACATTTTCTTTTCTGAAGGTATCTTTACATATAAAGATTATAACTTGCATTTATTTATAAAAGAGAGTAACATGGATTCTTTTCTTTTTGCAGAAAATGGTGTGAATGGAACATTAACTTCAAATGTAGCAGACTCTCCCCGGAATAAAAAAGAGAAATCTTCATAATGAATTATAAACTAATTGATTAATGTCCCCAAAGAAATCTGCTTTCTACTATATCTTTCAGCATTAGAGATTTTTCTGTTCTTGAAAATACAGTCTGTGCTCTTTGATTTTTGCTATTGTACGGTTTCATGCATTTTTTTAAAGGGCATTTGAGGGGAGGATTATTGCTATGAATGAAAAAAATATTTTAGCTTAGACTAAGCTACCTGCCTTCAAAATAGTTTAGGGACCACCACCATATTTTATTTTGTTTTTATTTTTGAACATTTTTCTAATGATTTGGAGAGAAAACTATTTACAAAAATTCCACATATCAGTGATACAATTTCTTGCTGTCACCAATTTTTTATAATAGCAGAGTGGCCTGTTCTAAGAAGGCCATATTTTTTAAGTTATCTTTCAGGGTAACATGGAAATACTATAAAGTTGGATGTCAAACTTTAATATGTTTTCAGTGTTCTCTAATTTTTTGGAATTTTTGTAGACTTTACACCTGGAAAAAAAGATTTGTAAAATCACCGGAACAATTGTGTGCTTTATTTTATAGGTAGTGGTTATTAGTATTACATCCCCATTTTAAAAACAAAAACATAATAATCGTTACAACACGTGGAGTTTTACTAACATACATATTAAATCAAAGTATATTCTTAAAAGTACTTGTGAAGTAAAATCTTTCTTGTGCATTTTCAATACTTGTAAACTGGAAATCAGAAAATATTTACTATGAACAGGAAAATCTGACATATAGCCCTTTTTGATATGTTTATTAATAATGATTCTTAATGGGGCTCATAATAAGTTTAATATGCACAGCATCTTAGAAAAGTTTAACCTGCAAACACTTTTAAAACATAATGCCTACTTGATTTATATCTATAAAAAGACTGACAGGTAATTATATTTGGAAAACATTTAATGCACTAACTTTAAAGAAATTGAAAATTCAGGTGGATAAATAGTCTTACAAAAGACAATGTGCTTTATGTTATACCTATAGCTTTGGTCCCATCTTTAATTGAGAAACATTTATCTGTATAAAACATATTTTTGGATAAATATATATATATATATTTGTATCTCTACAGAAAGGCTCTAAAAAGCATTTGAGGAAAATATTTGGTTCCCTTTTCTATAATCATCCTTTAAGATTCTTATAGCTACATTTGGTTTATTCATCATATTTACAGTATATATATTGTTCTTTTCAGTGTTCACATCTTGTTCCCCATTTCTCACTTGTGTCACCAGCTGTTTGTGCCATTTTTAGTGTAAAAGTTGCAGACCTATTAGATCTGCAGTTTAAGTTGCCATGCTGCTAGGAAATTGTCCTTTTTCTTTCTAGCTGTTAACCTACTTCCTGGAAAAAGTAGTAGCTCTCTGTAGCATTATGGAGTTTCAGTGGAACCAAATTTTTGCCATTAAAAACTGGCATTATACTGAACTATACATTGAGAAATCAATCAAAATAAAAATTTTTACTTTCACAAGTTGTATCCTGGATGTTTCTGTCATTGTTGGTGTTTAGGCTATTTTGGTATATAACCTCATTAAAATGTACCATATTTAAAACACTTCATAGACATTCAGAATAACCCTTTTCAAAATTGTGTTCTGCAAATAAACAGATTTGTTCCACAGAATATTGGTGAGGACTACTGGGGGGATAGATGGTCATAACCAAATAAATCTGGGAATCACTGGATTAAACTAACCTAAAGGTGTCTCTTTATTATGGGACCGTTCAGTCCTTAATATGCAAACGTGTTTCCTGGTGCACCAAGAATGTTGGATATAATATGCAGTGTTTCCCACCTTATTTGCCTGTAGAATTTTCTGTTCACTGAATTACTATAGCACTTTGTTTTCTGCAGCATACACTGTGTTTAGGCAAAGAAAAAAAAAAGCCCTTGACATGTCATTACCAAGGGCTAATATATACACAGAAGCACATATACACACAAGTATGATTATAAATTATGAGCCCTACATCCTGCTCTCAAATGTGCTGAGGAAAGTCTGTACTGGCTTCCAGATCCTGCAGAGCCTGCCATTATCACCTGGGCTCAAGTCGAGCTTCAAAGCATGATGGGAATCCTGTAGGGACCCACACCTGGACAAGGCTCATGGCTCTGTCTTAAACCCGGGGGGACCATGAATTAGTTGCTTTGCTACTCTGGGGTTTAGTCTTTCCCTCCACAAAATGCCTCCTGCATTTTTTTTAACTGTAAATTGACAATTTATAATTGTACGTGGGGGTACAAAATGGTGTTATGATTTATGAGTATAATGGAATAATTAAGCTAGTTAACATCCATCACCTCAAACACTTAACATTTTTTGTGATGAGAACATGGAAATTTAGTTTTGAAATGTATAATGCTGTTATTAACTATATTTACCATGCTGTGCAGTAGAACTAAAAAATTCCTTCTGCCATATTTTACACCCTTTGACCATCATCTCCCCATTCCTCTCAGCCCTGAGCCTTTGTAACCGTCATTCTACACTCTGATTCTGTGAGTTTGTTTTAGATTCCATATATAAGTAAGTATGTGCCATATTTGTCTTTCTGTGTCTGATTTACTTCACTTAGCATAATGTTCTTCAGTTTCATCCATGTTGTCACAAATGACAGAATGTCTTTTTTAAAGGCTGAATAGTATTCCATTGTGTATATATACCCCATTTTCCACATTTTCTTTAGCCATTCATCTGCTGATAGACATTAGGTTGATTCCATAACTTGGTTATTGTAAATTTAGTGCTACAGTGAACACAGGGCTGCAAACATCTCTTCGACACACTGATTTCAAATCTCTTCGACACACTGATTTCAAATCTTTGGGTTGAATTCTCAGAAGTGGGATTGCTGGATCATATGGTAATTCTATTTTAGTTTTTTGAAGAACTTCAGTTTTCCTTAATGGCTGTACTAATTTACATTCTTAACAGTGTATACTGATTCCCTTTTCTCCACATCCTTGCCAACATTTGTTATCTTTTGTTTTTGTTATGATAGCCATTGTGACAGGTGTAAGATGACATCATACTGTGGTTTCAATTGGCAGTTTTTCCATTATGTTTCCTTTAGTAGTGTTACAGTTTCTGGTCTTACATTTAAGTCCTTAATCTATTTTGAGTTGATTTTTGCATATAGGTAAGATGAAGGTCCAATTTCATTCTGCATGTGGGTATCTAGTTTTCCTAGCACCATTTATTGAAGAGACTATTCTTTTCCCATTGTATATTCTTGGCACCTTTGTGGAAAAGCAATTGACCATGTGTATACCTGGGTTCATTTATGGGCTCTCTATTCTGTTTCATATGTACTTGGTGTTTTTGTTTGTTTGTTTTGCAAGTACCATGCTTACTTTTGTTTTTTAAAATATATACACAGGGAGCCAGGGGTCTTACTATATTGCCCAAGCCAGTGTCAAACTCCTCACCTTGAGCGATGCTCCTGCCTCAGTATCCCAAAGTGCTGCGATTACAAGTGTGATTACTAACACTTTTTTTTTCAATAGATTTTAGGGAACAGATGGTTTGGGTCACATGGATAAGTTATGTGGTGGTGATTTCTGAAATTTTGGTGCACTTCCCACGTGAGCAGTGTACAGTGTACCCGATGTGTAGTTTTTTATACCTCACTCCCCTACTATCCTTCCCTGAGTCCCCAAAATCCATTATGTCATTCTTATGCCTTTGCATCCTCATAGCTTAGTTCCCACTTGTAAGTGAAGATATACGATACTTGGTTTTCCATTCCTGAGTTACTTCACTTACAAAAATGGTCTCAAGCTCCATCCAGTTTGTTGCAAATGCCATTATTTTATTCCTTTTTATGGCTGAGTAGTATTCCATGGTATAAATATACCACATTTTCCTTATCAACATGTTGGTTGATGGGCATTTAGGCTGGTTCCATATTTTTGTAATTGCAAATTGTGTTGCTATAAACATGCGTGTGCAAGTGTCTTTTTCATATAATGACTTCTTTTCCTCTGGGCAGATACCCGGTAGTAGGACTGCTAGATCAAATGGTAGTTTTAGTTTATTAAGGAATCTCCATACTGTTTTCCATAGTAGTTGTACTAGTTTACATTCACACCAGCAGTGTAAAAGTTCCCTTTCACAACATCCACATCAACATCTATTTTTTTTTTTTAATTATGGCCATTCTTGCAGGAGTGAGGTGGTATCTCATTGTGGTTTTAATTTGTATTTCCCTGACAATCAGTGATGTTGGGGATTTTTTCATGTTTATTGGCTATTCATGTATCTTCTTTTGAGAATTTTCTATTCATGTCCTTTGCCCACTTTTTGATGGAATTTTTTTCTTGCTAATTTGTTTGAATTTGTTGTAAATCTGGTTATTAGTCCTTTGTTGGATACATAGTTTGTGAATATTTTCTCCTACTCTGTGGGTTGTCTGTTTACTCTGATTATTTCTTTTGCTGTGCAGAAGCTTTTTAGTTTAATTAGGTCCCATCTATTTATTTTTTCTTTGTTACATTCGCTTTTGGGTTCTTGGTCATGAACTCTTTGCCTAAGCCAATGTCTAGAAGAGTTTTTCTGATGTTATCTTCTAGAATTTTTATGGTGTCAGGTCCTAGATTTAAGTCTTTGATCCATCTTGAGTTGATTTTTGTATGAAGTGAGAGATGGGGATCCAGTCTCATTCTTCTACATGTGACTTGCCAATCATCCCAGCACCATTTGTTGAATAGGGTGTCCTTTCCCTACTTTATGTTTTTGTTTGCTTTGTTTAAGAACAGTTGGCTGTAAGTATCTGGCTTTATTTCTGGGTTTCTCTATTCTGTTCCACTGGTCTGTGTGCCTATTTTTCTACCACGATCTTGCTGTTTTGGTAACTATAGCCTAGTTTGAAGTTGGGTAATGTGATTCCTCCAGATTTGTTCTTTTTCCTTAGTGTTGCATTGGCTATGTGAGCTCTTTTTATGGATCCGTATGAATTTTAGGATTGTTTTTACTAGTTCTGTGAAGAATGATGGTGGTATTTTGATGGGAATTGCATTGAATCTGTAGATTGCTTTTGGCAGTATGGTCATTTTCCCAATATTGATTCTACCCATCCGTGAGCATGAAATGTGTTTCCATTTGTTTGTGTCATCCATGATTTCTTTCAGCATTGTTTTGTAGTTTTCCTTATAGAGATCTTTTACCTCCTTGGTTAGGTATATTCCTAAGTTTTGGGGGTTTGTTTGTTTTGCAGCTGTCATAAAAGGGATTCAGTTCTTGATTTGATTCTCAGCTTGGTCATTGTTGGTGTACAGCAGAACTACTGGTTTGTGCAATTGATTTTGTATCCTGAGATTTTACTGAATTCATTATCAGATCTAGGAGCTTTTTGGATGAGTCTTTAGGGTTTTCAAGGTACATGATCATATCATCGTTAAACAGCAACAGTTTGAATTCCTCTTTACTGCCTTGGATGCCCTTTATTTCTTTCTCTTGTCAGATTGCTCTGGCTAGACTTCCAGTACTATATTGAATAGTAGTGATGAAAGTGGGCATTCTTACCTTGTTCTAGTTCTCAGGGGAAATACTTTCAACTTTTCCCCATTCAGTATAATGTTGGCTGTGGGTCTGTCATAGATTGTCATTATTACCTTGAGGTATGTCCCTTCTGTGTCAATCTTGCTGAGGGTTTTAATCATAAAAGGATACTGGATTTTGTCAAATGCTTTTCTGCATCTATTGAGATGATCATATGATTTTTGTTTTTAATTGTTTATGTGATATATCGCAATTGTTGATTTGTGTATGTTAAACCATCCCTGCATCCCTGGTATGAAACCCGCTTGATCATGGTGTGTTACCTTTTTGATATGCTGTTGGAGTCAGTTAGCTAGTATTTTGTTGAGGATTTTTCCATCTGTGTTCATCAAAGATATTGATCTGTAGTTTTCTTTTTTTGTTACATCCTTTACTAGTTTTGGTATTAGGGTGATACTGGCTTCATAGAGTGATTTAGAGAGGATTCCCTCTTTCACTATCTTTTATAATAGTTTCAGTAAGATTGGTACCAATTCTTCTTGGAATGTCTGATAGAATTCAGCTGTGAATCCGTCTGTTCCTGGACTTTTTTTGTTGGCAATTTATTTTACTACTGTTTCAATCTCACTACTTGTTATTGGTCTGTTCAGAGTTTCTGTTTCTTCCTGATTTAATCTAGGAGGGTCGTATATTTCCAGGAATTTATCCATCTCCTCTAGATGTTCTAGTCTGTGTGCATAAAGATGTTAATAGTAGCCTTGAATGATCTTTTGTATTTCTGTGATATCGGTTGTAATGTCTCCTGTTTCATTTCTAATTGAGCCTATTTGGATCTTCTTTTCTTGGTTAATCTCGCTAATGGTCTATCGATGTTTATCTTTTCAAAAAAATAGCTTTTGTTGCATTTATGTTTGTTTTTGTTGTTGTTTCAATTTTATTTACTTCTGCTCCAATTTTTGGTGTTTCTTTTCTTCTGCTAGGCTTGGGTTTGGTTTGTTCTTGTTTCTCTAGTTCCCTGAGGTGTGACTTTAATTGTCTATTTGTGCTCGTTCAGACTTTTTGATGTTGGCATTTAGGGCTATGAACTTTCCTCTTAGCATTGCTTTTGCTGTATCCTAGAGGTTTTGATAAAGTTGTGGCACTAATATTTTTCAGTTCGAATAATTTTTAAATTTCCATCTTGATTTCATTGTTGGCCCAAAGATCATTCAAGAGCAGATTATTTAATTTCCATGTATTTGTATAGTTTTGAGTGCTCTTTTTGGAGTTAATTTCCAGTTTTATTCCACTGTAGTCTGAAAAGATACTTGATATAATTTTGATTTTCTTAAATTTACTGGGACTTGTTTTGTGGCCTATCATACGGTCTATCTTGGAGAATGTTCCATGTGCTGATAAAAAAACGTGCTGATGAATGTATGTATAGTCTGCATTATTGGATAGAATGTTCTATAAATATCAGTTAAGTCCATTCTGAGGTATACTTTAAGTTCATTGTTTCTTTGTTGACTTCTATCTTGATGACCTGTCTAGTGCTGTCAGTGGAGTACTGAAGTCCCCCATTATTTTTGTGTTGCTGTCTATCTCATTTCTTGGGTCTAGTAGTAATTGTTTTATAAATTTGGGAGCTCCAGTATTAGGTACATATATATTTAGGATTGTGATATTTTTTTGTTGGACTCACCCTTATATCATTATATAATGTCCGTTTGTCCTTTTAAACTGTTGTTCTTTTAAAGTCTTTTGTCTGATATAAGAATAGCTACTCCTGATTGCCTTTGGTTTCCATTTGCCTGCAATATCTTTTTCCACCCCTTTACTTAAGTTTATGTGAGTCCTTATGTGTTAGGTGAGTCTCTCGGAGACAGCAGATACTTGGTTGGTGAATTTTTATCCATTCCACCATTCTGTATCTTTTAATTAGAGCATTTTGGCCATTTACATTCAATGTTAATATTGAGATGTGAGGTACTACTCTGTTGCCTAAATATCTTGATTTTCTTTCATTGTGTTATTGTTTTATAGGCCCTCTGGCATTTATGCTTTAATGAGGTTCTATTTTGGTGTATTTCGAGGTTTTGTTTCAAGATTTAGAACTCCTTTTAGCATTTCCTGTAGCGCTGGCTTAGTAGCGGTGAGTCCTCTCAGCATTTGTTTGTCTGAAAAAGACTTTCTTTTCTTGACTTAGGAAGCTTAGTTTTGCTGGATACAAAGTTCTTGACTGACAATTATTCTGTTTCAGGAGGCTAAAGATAGAACCCCAATCCCTTCTAGCTTGTCAGGTTTCTGCTGAGAAACCTGCTGTTAAAGTTTTCCTTTAACTTTATAGATTACCTGATATGTTTGTCTCACAGCTTTTAAGATTTTTGCCTTCGTCTTGGCTTTAGATAACCTGATGACTATGTGCCTAGGTGATGAACTTTTTGTGATGAACTTCTCAGGTGTTCTTTGAACTTCTTGCATTTGGATGTCTAGATCTCTAGCAAGGTCAGGAAAGTTTTCCACAATTATTGCCTCAAATAAGCTTTCCAAACTTTTAGATTTCTCTTCTTCCTCAGGAACACCAATTATTCTTAGGTTTGGCCATTTAACATAATCCGAAATATCTTGGAGGCTTGATTCATTTTTTTAAAATTTTTTTTCTTTTTCTTTGTCTGATTGAGTTAATTTGAAAGCCTTGTCTTCAAGCTCTGAAATTCTTTCTTCTACTTGTTCTAGTCTATTGTTGAAACTTTCCAGTGCATTTTATATTTCTCATATAATGAAATGTGGCTTTCATTTCCTGAGGCTGTGATTGTACTTTCTTTATGAAATCTATTTCTCTGGAGACTTTTTCATCCATATTCTGCATTGTTTTTTATATTTCTTTTAGTTTTCACTTTTCTCTGGTATCACCTTGAGTAGCTTAATAATCAATCTTCTGAATTCTTTATCTGGCAATTCTGAGATTTATTCCTGGTTTGGATCCATTGCTGATGAGCTAGTGTGATCTTCTGGGGATGTTATAGAACCCTGTTTTGTCATATTACCAGAATTACTTTTCTGGTTCCTTCTCACTTGGGTAGGCTATTTTAGTGGAAAGCTCTGGAACTCAAGGCCTACTTCAGATTATTTTGTCCAATAGGGTTATCCCCTTGATGTGATGCTCTCCCCCATCCCCTAGGAGTGGGGCTTCCTGAGAGCCTGACTGCAGTAATTGTTATTGCTTTTCTGGGTCTAGCCACCCAGCAGAGCTACCAGGCTCCAGGCTGGTGCTGGGGAATGTCTGCAAAGAGTCCTGTGATATGATCCATCTTTGGGTCTTTCAGCTGTGAATACCAGCACTTGCTCTGATGGAGGTGGCAGGGGAGTGAAGTAGGCTCTGAGAGTCTTTGGTTGTAGATATGTTTAGTATACTGGCTTTCTCAAATGCTGGTTATGCTAGCAGTGAAGTTGTCACATGGACAGACTCAGGACACCTGGTTAGCCAGGATGTTGCAGGCAGTACAATTAGCTGTTGTTTTCTCCCTTCTCCCTGGGATCAGGGTTATTCTGTCATGAGTTGCTGTAATGGCCTGAGTTGGTTGGCCTCCAGCCAGTACATGGCACTTTCTAGAGAGCACCAGCTTCAGTAGTAGTAGGGACATATAATCTTGCCTTAAGTTGGCTTGGGTAAGTATTCTGGTTTCTCAGGTGATGTCCAGGGCCATAAAAAGCTCCCAAGAGTTTATATCTTTTGTGTTTGGCTACCAGGGCAGGTAGAGAAATACCATCAGATGGGGGCAAGAATAGGTGAGTCTGAGCTCAGACTGTCCTTGGGAGGGGCTTCCCACGGCCACTGTTGGGGATGGGTAGTGGTTCTCAGGCCAATGGGGTTATGTTCCAGAGGGGATTATGGCTGCCTCTGCTGTACCATATAGCTCACCAGGAAAGTGGGGGATAGCAGGTAGCAAAAGGCCCCACCTAACTCCCAGGCAGTTGGCTAGGCCAGTCTCGCTCCCACATTACCCCTGTCAGACCTTGTCCCATGCTGTAAACTTCCCTGCTGAGAAAGGAAGCGCAGCTTTCAGGTCTTGCCCCTCCCCATCTGCCCCAATGTCAGAGGCAGCTCCTTCACTCGTATCTGTAGCAGTTCCCATTCACTCCTTGGATTCTGCTCAAGAAAATTCATGTCCAGTCAAAATTATTACAAATTTCAGTTGGAAGCTTCTTTCACCCTGTGACCCCTCTGTAATTCCACTGGCTGCCTTCCCTGAGGGTCCCTGTGAGATATAGTCAGGAATGGCTTCCCTGGGCTCCGGCTGGAGACTGGGAGTGCCTACAAGACTCTTCACGCTGCTGCTTCTACTTTTACATTTCATGTGGCTCCCTAAATCAGCTCTAGATAAGGTGAAATTCTTCTCCCATGATCTGGATTTTCAGATTCCCCAGTGGGGGTTGTGTGTCCAGAGGCAGGTTTTCTCCCTCTCATGCTTTGGGAACTCACAGTTTTTTGCCTCTCTCGTGGAATTTGCAGTGGTGTGCCACTTCTTTCAAAGGATCTATGATTTCTTTTGGTTTTCCTGGTACATTTCAGGCATGGTTCTTGGAGCAAAAGTTCATGGCGTGAGTCACCACACACTGTTCTGGTCATTTAAGTGGTAGCTGCACATTAGCTCTGTCTCCTATCTGCCATCTTCCTCAGACTCTACATCACTTTTTAGTATAGTTCGAAATACTAGTTTAAAATCAGATAGTGTGATGCCTCTAGCTTTGTTCTTTCTGCTCATAATTGCCCTGGTTATTCAGGGTGTTTTGTATTTCCATTTGTATTTGAGGATTGTCTTTTATGTTTCTAAGAAAAACAACATTGGAAGTTTGATAGGGATTGCATTGAATTTGCAGATTGCTTCAGGCAGTATGGACATTTTAACAATATTCTAATCTGGCCAGGTGTGGTGGCTGACACCTGTAATTCCAGCACTTTGGGAGGCCAAGGCAGGCAGATCACGAGGTCAGGAGATCAAGACCATCCTGGCTAACACGGTGAAACCCCATCTCTACTAAAAATACAAAAAATTAGCCGGGCGTGGTGGCAGGCGCCTGTAGTCCCAGCTACTCGGGAGGCTGAGGCAGGAGAATGGCATGAACCCGGGAGGCAGAGCTTGCAGTGAGGCGAGATCGCTCCACTGCACTCTAGCCTGGGCAACACAGTGAGACTCCATCTCAAAAAAAAAAAAAACAAAAAAACAATATTCTAATCCATGAATATGGGAAACCTTTCCATTTATTTGTCTTCTTCAATATTTTTCCATTAGTGTTTTACAACATTTAGTGTACAGGTTTTTCACTTTCTTGATTTAGTCCTAAATGTTTTATTTTATTTTTTGTAACTATCAGAAGATTATTCTATTGATTTCCCTTTTAGATAGTTTGTTGAAGATCATGTTGCCAACAAACAATGACAATTCTACTTCTTTCTTTCCTATTTGGATGCCTTTTCTTTCTTTCTCTTGCCTAATTGCTCTGGCAAGGACTTCCAATACTACATTGAATAGAAGTGGTGAGAATGGGCATTCTTGTTTTGTTCCAGATCTTAGAGGAGAGACTTTTGATTTTTTCACCATTGAGTATAATGTTAGCTGTAGGCTTCTCATATATGGCCTTTATTGTGTTGAGGCACATTCCTTCTATACCTAATTTGGTGACAGTTTTTATTATGAAAAGATGTTGAGTTTTGGCAAATGCTTTTTCTGTGTGTAATGAGGTGATGGTATGGTTTTTGCTCTTCATTCTGTTAATATGATGTATCGCATTTATTGATTAGCATACCTTGAACCGTGCTTTCATGCCAGAGATAAATTCCACATGATCGTGATGATGATCTTTTTAATGTGTTGTTGAATTTGGTTTGCTAGTATTTTGTTTAGGGCTATTGACTCTGTGTTCATCAAGGATATTGGCCTGCAATTTTCTTTTCTTTTTTCTTTTTTTTTGTAATGTGCTTTGTCTGGCTTTGGTACCAAAGTAATTCTGGCCTCATAAAAATAGTTTTGAAATATTCCCTCTTGTAATGTGCTTGTCTGGCTTTGGTATCAGGTTAATTCTGGCCTCATAAAAAATAGTTTTGAAATAGCCTTCCTCAGCTGCATGCAGTGGCTTATGCCTGTAATCCCAGCACTTTGGGAGGCCAAGGCTGAAGGATCACTTGAGGCCAAGGAATGGAGACCAGCCTGGAAAACAAAGCAAGACCCCAGTCTCTAAAACAGTGAAAACTTAGCCAGGCATGTTGGCATGCACCTGAAGTCCCAGCTACTTGGGAGGCTGATTGAGGCTGAAGTGGCAGGATTGCTTGAACCCAAAAGTTTCAGGCTGCAGTGAGTCATGATCTGCCACTGCAGTCCAATCTAGGCAACAGTGAGACCCTGTCCAAAAAAAATTTTTTTTTTAATTTCTTCTCTTTGTTTTTTTTGGAAAACTTTGAGAAGCGTTAGTATTAGTTCTTCAAATGTTTTGTAGAATTTAGCAGTGAAGGCATCAGGTCCTGGCCTTTTCTTTGTAGGAGACTTTTTGTTACTGATTCAATCTCCATACTGATTGTTGGTCTGTCCACATTTTCTATTTCTATATGATTTAGTCTTTTTAGGATGTACATGTCTAGTAATTTATCCATTTCTTTTAAGTTACCTAACTTATTGGTATCTAATTGTTCATAGTAGTCTCCTATGATCTTTTATTTCTGTGGTATCAGTTGTAATGTCTCCTCTTTCATTTCTGACTTTATTTGGGTATTCTCTCTTTTCTCTTAGTCTACCTAAAGGTTTGTGAATTTTATCCTTTCAATAAACCACCTCTGTTTCATTGATCTTTTGTATTTTTTTGTATCTATTTTATTTATTTCTGCTCTTTATTATTTCATTCCTTCTGCTAACTTTGGGTTCAGTTTTTTCTTGTTCTAGGTAGTTCCTTCAGGTGTAATGTTAGGTTGTTTGCGTTTGTTATTGTTGTTAGGAGACAGGGTCTTGCTCTGTCACCCAGGCTGAAGTACAGTGGTGCAATCATGGCTCACTGCAGCCTCTACCTCCTGGGCTCAAGTGAATCTCCCACCTCAACCTCCCAAGTAGCCGGGACCACAGGTGTGTGCCATCATACTCAGCTAACTTTTTAAAAATTTTTATAGAGATGGGGTCTCCCTGTGTTGCCCAGGCTGATCTCAAACTCCCGGGCCCAAGTGATCCTACCGCCTCAACATCTCAAAGTGCTAGGATTATAGGCATGAGTGACTGTGTGCAGCCATCTTCTTTTTTGATGTAGGCATTTATTGCTGTAAACTTTACTCTTAGACCTGCTTTTGCTGTATCACAGAAGTTTCTGTGTGTTGTTCCCATTTTTGATTGTCTCAAGATCAAGATTTTTTTTTAAATTTCCCTTTTAATTTCTTCATTGACTTAATGATTATTTTGGAGTATGTTATTTAATTTCCACGCATTTGTGAATTTTCTGAAATTACTCCTGGCATTGATTTCTAGTTTCATACCATTATGGTTAGAAAAAATACTTGATATAATTTCAGTCTTTCAAAATTTGCTAAGGTTTGATTTGTGCCGTAATACAATTTATCCTGAAGAATGTTTCGTGTACTTAAGAAGAATGTATATCTGTTGCTGTTATATGGAATGTTCTGCATATGTCTGTTAGATCTATTTGGTCTAAAGTGTTGTTCAAGTCCAGTATTTCCTTATTAACTTTCCATCTGGATGCTCTATCCATTGTGAAATGAGGTATGGAAGTCCCCTATTATTATTATACTGTGATCTACTCTCCTTTCAGGTCCCTTAGTATTTGTATTATATGTTTAGGTCCTCTAATGTTGGGTGCTTATATATCTACAATTGTTATATCCTCTGGATGAATTGACCTTTTATCATTGGATAATGTCTTTGTCTATTTTTATAGTTTTTGAGTTAAGGTCTATTTTATCTGAAACAAGTATCCCTACTCTCATTGGGTTTCCTTTGCATGAAATATCTCTTCCCATTCCATCACTTTCAGTCTATTTGTTTCCTTAAAAGTTAGTGTCTTGTAGGCAGGATATAGTTGGGTCTTGTTTTGTTTTTGTTTTTCTATTTTGTTTTATCCATTCAGTCACTGTGTCTTTTTACTGGAGAATTTAAATTTACATTCGTGGTACTTACTGATAGGTAAATACTTGCTCATGCCATTTTGTTAGTTGTTTTGGAAATACTTCATTTCTTTCTTCCTCTTATCCTGTCTTCCTTCATGGTTTGATCATTTTCTGTAGTCGTACGCTTTGAATCCTTTTCTATTTTCATTTTGTATTTCTACTAATGATTTTTGCTTTGTCATTACCAAGATGCTTGCATTTTAGAATATGATTGTGAGTGGTCTAGGTGGACTATTCTGAAGCAAAGGTATTAATGACAATCTTCTATACTTAAGCAATCTTGCAAAGTCCTTGAGTTCGAAACTAATCCTGAAGCCAAGCTTGTGTTGGTGAGGAAATAGGAAAGAGAAATTTTTTGCATAGATATGTTTAGCAAAATCGTTCAGTGACATCCTGTGTCTCCATGGTGTTGACAAATGTTTTTATTGAAAATTGGTTCTGCTATTTGTCTACATATGAACAATAATAAAAGTTCTTTTTAACAAATATGAATAGTGACACTGATCACATGTTTGAATCTTTAAACAAGTGGCTCTAAAAGTAACCCTGGAGAAAATCTTAGGGGATCATGCCGAAACAGATGTTTTCCCCAAAAGATCATCCTAGATGTTGAGGGTGATTCAGTTAAGAATTATTTATTATAAAGCCTCAACACAAGACAGGTTTGAAAATTTCAACATAGGTATCAGCAAGTGTTGGGAGGAATAATTAAGATTAGAAACCCAGGGTCTGGGGAGAGTGAGTGTGGTTGTAACTTCTAGGTGCTTTAGAAAAGCCCTGGTTGCACAGCCCAATCCCCTAGAATAAAATGAGAGGCAAAAGGACAAACTCATAATAACAGTGCTTTGTTAATCTGGTTACTGAACACTTTTAAAAACTATTAGCCATTTACAGCAGGCAACACACCTCCACGCCTCAGTTTCATATTGTGCCAATAGCAGAGAACCCAGTATTTACAAAGACAAATCAGGTCTGTGTTTATCTAAGCATGATTTGCTTTATAAAAAAATCGTACTAGGTATCTAAATGTTGCACATTGATGAGTTTTAATTCAAGCTGATTTATTCAATTAATCTAGATTATCTTTAGTGAAAAGATTATTATTATTATTATTATTTTTTTTTTTTTTTTTTTTTGAGACGGAGTCTCGCTTTGTCGCCCAGGCCGGACTGCGGACTGCAGTGGCTCAATCTCGGCTCACTGCAAGCTCTGCTTCCCGGGTTCACGCCATTCTCCTGCCTCAGCCTCCCGAGTAGCTGGGACTACAGGCGCCCGCCACCGCGCCCGGCTAATTTTTTGTATTTTTAGTAGACACGGGGTTTCACCTTGTTAGCCAGGATGGTCTCGATCTCCTGACCTCATGATCCACCCGCCTCGGCCTCCCAAAGTGCTGGGATTACAGGCGTGAGCCACCGCGCCCGGCCAAAAGATTATTAATGTAGTTGTTCAAGGCTGAAATCAAACATTTTGGGTATCCTGAAAACAAGCAAATAAAAAATTTAAGAAGCTTAGGTCCATGTTATACTCTCTTTTGTGACTATTAGTAACTTAACTTTGACCTAATTTAAGTTTACTGAAGAAAACAGTCATATTTTGAAGATCCAAACTTCAATCAACTCAAGTGATAAATAGCCTTATTGATTTCAGTTATTATGAATAGTTACACAGTGGTAAGACTAGCTAACCAGAGTTCAAATCGTGACTCCTCCACTGATCAGCTCTGTGTGATTAAATGTCTGTACCACAGTTTTCTGTGGTAATAACACCTACTCCACAAGATATGAACATGAACTGTGCATAGCCCTATGCCTGATGTTTATTAAATGTTAGTTGCTAGCTCATAAGGTTGTGACAAACACAGCAGTAATTGTCACTGCTGTTACCACTTTTCTGTTTTATGTTGAAGTTTCACAACACTGTTCAGCATTCATGCCATGCAATGCAAGCACAGTGTTCCACGACTCTACTCTGGAGCAGATGGGCCAATAAAGTTGCAAGAAATGTTCAAGCCAACATTACAGCCAGCAAAGTTACACTGAATCATTGGATGACTGTGCAGGCATGCTTCACCAACACAAACATTCATAAATCAAACATCCAAGTCTGTGCTGAATCATTTATACCTATGTGATATAATAATTATAAAAGCGAGTTGTAGGTATGGTTTCTAAGGAATGACTTTTTAAAGTCAGATATCTATGGTTTATGGGGCCATATTTCCATTTAGCTGATGTATATAACTTCTAGAGAATTTTTGGCTGCTTGGAGTTGCCTAACCTTCCAGTGTAAAGAATCAAACTTCATTAGGTAAATGAGAACGTTACAACACAATGTTTATCATGAAGTTTGAACTGATATCATAAAATGTCCTAGAATTCACATTTCTCCAAGTGGGCTGGAAGGCCTGGATGTGACAGTACATGGGGCATCCACATGTAAGTGTGGGTCATGTGTGAAAGAGTGAAATCTGAAGACTAAGGTACATACTCTGTTGTGTCCTTGCTGATTGCCTTCTGAACTAATCCTTTTCTCTTCTTATATCAAATATAAGAAAATACGGCCAGGCACGGTGGCTCACGCCTGTAATCCCAGCACTTTGGGAGGCCGAGGCAGGTGGATCACCTGGGGTTGGGAGTTTGAGACCAGCCTGACCAACATGGAGAAACCCCGTATCTACCAAAAATAAAAAATTAGCCGGGCTTGGTGGCGCATGCCTATAATCCCAGCTACTCAGGAGACTGAGGCAGGAGAATCGCTTGAATCCGGGAGGTAGAGGTTGTGGTGAGCCAAGATTGTGCCATTGCACTCCAGCCTGGGCAACAAGAGCGAAACTCCATCTCAACAACAAAAAAAAGAAAACACAGTAAAGTTACTTATGAGAACAATTATAATTTACCTAGCTCTGTCGCTCAGGCTGGAGTGCAGTGGCGCCATCTCAGCACACTGCAACCACCACCTCCTGGGTTCAAGCAACCCTTTCACATCGGCCTCCAGAGTAGCTGGGACTACAGGTGCACACCATTACGCCCAGCTAATTTTTGTATTTTTTATAAAGATGGGGGTTTCACCACGTTGCCCAGGCTGGTCTCAAACTCCTGCGCTCAAGCAATC
The DNA here is from genome assembly GCF_000001405.40 of Homo sapiens. Lineage (NCBI taxonomy): Eukaryota > Metazoa > Chordata > Mammalia > Primates > Hominidae > Homo > Homo sapiens. The sequence continues at coordinate 70,558,157 of NC_000008.11, read as the reverse complement.
CACCTGCCTCAGCCTCCCAAAGTGCTGGAATTACAGGTGTGAGTCACAGCACTTGGCCTATAATTTAATTATCAATGCAATTTAATCAACCTCATCTAAGTCACTAGTGACCTCAGGATCACCTATAGTGGTCCTTTTCCATTTCAAAGGAATGACAACATACAAACAATGTGACACCGGTTATTTGTCACTTAGGTCTGAAGGGAAAATATCTATACTGTATATACTAAGTAAATGAAAAATTAAGTATGGTTTTTAAGAAGTAAATTCAATTCTGTAGAATTAAGGCCTTGAAGACTACCAGGAATATGTTACAATGATTGGTGGTTGTATCCATTTGTTTTGCATTGCTATAAAGGAACCCCTGGGGCTAGGTAATTTTTAAAGATAACAGGTTTATTGGCTAATGGTTCTGCAGGCTGTACAAGAAACATAGCATCATCATCTGCTCAGCTTCTCATAAGGCCTCAGGAAGCTTTTACTCCTGGTGGAAGGTGAAGGGGAAGTAGATGTGTCACATGGTTAGAAGGGGAACAAGAGAAAGAGGAGGAAAGTTCCAGTCTCTATAACAACCACATCTCACACAAACTCATTACTTTGGGGAGGGCACAAAGTCATTCACAAGGGATCCACCCCCATGACTCAAACACCTCCCAGTAGGCCCCACCTTCAACATTGGAGATCACATTTCAACATAAGATTTGGAGGGGACAAATACCGAAACTATATCAGTGGCTTACCTACACCCTAATACATGTAGGAAGCTTTAAAAAATTCAAAAGAGATGTGAGGCTGGGTTCAGCTTCATCTTCAAAGAGAAATTCCATAACTGCAGAATCATCAATCATTCTCTGGGAACAGAAAGCCCTAGTTGAAACCTAGAAGTCATTTCTTTGTTGATATGGTGAGTCAACTCTGTCTCAGTGCAGAAATACTGGTTCGAAGGAATGAGATGGAGAAGGACAGATAATTGTTAGCAAAAAGAAATCTCTTTCTGAAGAGATAATACTCTGCAGTGATTTTCATTGAAATTTACAAAACATCTCTAAATATTGGCCTTTATACAGTAAGCTCAGGCTTATTCTGCTATTATATAGCAACTTAATTTTGCATGACCTGTGGTGGCGGGGTTTTTTTTTAATTTGTTTTTATGAAGGATCAAACAGAATAAGGAATTTTTGTTTGTTTGTTTGTTTTGAGACCAGGTCTCGCTCTGTTTCCCAGGCTGGAGTGCAGTGGTGTGATCACAGCTCACTGCAGTCTCAACCTCCTGGGCATAGGTGATCCTCTTGGCTCAGCCTTCCAAGTAGCTGTGACCACAGGTGCACACCACCACACCTGGCTGATTTTTTAACTATCTGTAGAGATATAAATAATTTGCAGATGTCCCTATGTTGCCCAAGCTAGTCTCGAACTTCTGGACTCAAGTGATCCTCCTGCCTCTGCCTCCCAAAGTGCTGGGATTACAGATTTGAGCCCCTGCGCCAGGCCAGAATAAAGAACTTTAAAAAGCAATGCCATCTTGTAACTTCAGGTTTAAGTAATCACTGCTCTCCTTGTTTTACTGTATTTTGATGAGTATCAACATTCCGATTACAGTCCGGCATCTCTTAATAGGCAATGCCAATCATACCCCATTATATATTGCTGTGGAGTAAATACTCAGTAGGGGCTACTGCAATCACCAGCCTAATTTTCCACTCACACTCCATTCATGTCAGCACTTTAGTCTCCAAAGGTAAGAGCAGCTGTATTCGTTATACTCATCAACCCAGCTGCTCTTATTTGTTCCTTTTCTTTTTTTTTCTAATGTCCCCACTTCTCTACTAAAAGAAACACTTTTGCCCTGTGATTTTTTTTTTCAGTTGGTTACTTCAGCTGATCTTTATGTCAGCTGATCCTTATGCAGTATTTGCCCTTCCATCTAAAATTGTGTTCTTACATACCACAATTTCCAGTTCCAAAGAGGAGACCCCCACACTGCTATGGTTTGCTCTGACGGAATGGCCAAAGTGGGGGAACAAGTTAAAAGTGGGTCCAGAACTTTGCTCATTTATATGAAAGTTTGGTCTTAAAAGTATTGGATCAATAAAAGTATTAGAAATTAATTTCTTCTTGATATTTTTAATTGCCTAAAAAAACAGAAGTTATCAGTTGCATGGGATGTTTTGTACTTAGTGATTCTCATTTCAGAGAAGCTTAGTTTTAATGAGTTCCTATCCGGAAATGCTCTGACTCCCCTTCAGTTCTGCAAATGTCTGTTCCTGAGAGGATGGTTCACATTAATTACAGTGTCTCTTCATCTTCCCCTGCATGCAGCAGGGTTCAGCACCTTGCTTTTGAAATGAACGAAATGGGGAAAGGATGCTTGCCTTTCATACATCCTAGTATTATATATAGCACAGGACCTCTCCTACCTCAGAGTCCCCACAATAACCTCCCACAGCCCAGTCTTTATCTTCCACAATCTTATTTATTTTGAGGCAGGATCTCACTCTGTCCCCCAGGCGGGGGTGCAGTGGTATGATCAAGGCTTACTGCAACCTCCACCTCCCAGGTTCAAGCGATCCTCCCACCTCAGCCTCCTGAGGAGCTGGACCTACAGGCGCACATCACTACGCCTGGCTATAAATGGTGCATTCTTGCTGTGACAGCAAGGACATGGCAGAAAGGACAAGGCAGCTCTCTGGACCTCTTTTATAAAAACACTAATCCCAATCATGAGATCAGAGCCTTCATGACCTAATCACCTCTCAAAGGTCCCACTCCTAACACCATCATCACCTCGTGGGGGTAGGATTTCAACATATATATTTGGGGGGCATGGTGATATAAACATTCAGACCATTGCTACAAGGATACTGTATTTTCTTTTTTCTAAATGTGCTCTCTTCATACTTTAGCATTTCTGAAATAAAAATGGGTCTTTCAGTAGCAAATTTCTCTTAGTGGCCTACAGCATAAAGACTTTTTTTTTTAACCTGATTGTTAGGGTTTAAATGTTTGTCTCTTCCTAAACTCATGTTGGAATTTAATTTCCTTTGTAATAGTATTTAGAGGTGGGATCTTTAAGAGGTGATTAGGCCATGAAGACTCTGCCCATATAAATAGATTAATGTTAATATGGGAGTGGGTTTCTGATGAAAGGACAAGTTAGGTCAGGCATGGTGGCTCATGCCTGTAATCCCAGCACTTTGGGAGGCCAAGGTGGGAGGACTGCTTGAGCCCCAGAGTTCAAGACTAGCCTGGGCAATATGGTGAAACCCCACCTCTACAACAGATTAAAAACATTAGTAGGGCATGGTGGCACATGCTTGTGGTCCCAGCTACTCAGGAGGCTGAGGCAGGAGGATGACTTGAGCCCAGGAAGTTGAGGCTTCGGTGAGCCATGGTTGTGCCACTGCACTCCAGCCTGGGTGACAAAGTGAGACCCTGTCTCAAAATAAATAAATAAACAAATAAATAAATAAATAAATAAAAAGACAAGTTAAACACCTCTATTTTTCTCTCCCTCTCTCTGTCTCTCTCTCTCTCTCCCTCTCTTTGCCTTTATGCCATGGAGTTATACAGCAAGAATGCCCCTGCCAGATGCTGGACCTTCAGTTTTGGACTTCCTAGCCTCCAGAACCATAAGCCAATACATTTCTGTCTATTATAAATCATCCAGCCTGTGGTATTCTGTTATAGCTTCACAAAGTAGACTAAGACACTGACGAATTCTTAGATTGCATGAAATTCAGTATATATTGCTAATATTTATCGATGGATAAGTCCCAGTTGGTATTTTATGTGCTTTACCCCCATCATTTATAAACTCCACAAGGATACCTTGAATAGTTGGGGATCATCCTATTAACACTGTTTTATAGAAATTGAATCTCAGAGGGGTCAAGTGACTTAGTAAGTGGCAAAGCCAGGTTTTGCACATGTCTGTGGTGGAGCCTCTGTTCTTCACTGTGTCCTACCACACAGTCTGGCAAAACAAGGACAAGACTGCTTAGAAGATGTACAAAGTCCTGGCGTGGTGGCTCACACCTGTAATCCCAGCACTTTAGGAGGCCGAAGTGGGTGGATCACCTGAGGTCAGGAGTTCAAGACCAGCCTGGCCAACATGGTGAAACCCTGTCTCTACTAAAAATGCAAAAATTAGCCAGGCATGGTAGTGGGTGCCTGTAATCCCAGCTACTCAGGAGGCTGAGACAGGAGAATCACTTGATCCTGGGTGGTGGAACTTGCAGTGAGCCAAGATTGAGCCACTGCACTCCAGCCTAGGTGACAAAGCGAGACTCCATCTCAAAAAAAAAAAAAAAAAAAAAAGAAGATGCACAAAGAGGTCGAACATGGTGGCTCACGCCTGTAATCCCAACATGGATAACCTGAGATGAGGAGTTTGAGACCAGCCTGGCCAACATGGCAAAACCCCGTCTCCACTAAAACTACAAAAATTAGCCGGGTGTGGTGGCAGGCGCCTATAATCTCAGCTACTTAGGAGGCTGAGGCAGGAGAAATGCTTGAACCCGGGAGGTGGAGGTTTTAGTGAGCTGGGATCACACCACTGCACTCCAGCCTGGGCAACAAGAGTGAGACTCTGTCTCAAATCATTAAAAAAAAAAATAGAAGTCACAGAAACTAAGCAAGAGGACTTCAGGGAATGAATGGTTGGCAGTGCCAAAAGTTTCAAAGAAGAAAAAATACAAAGCCTAAAAAAAGTTCATCAAATCTGTTTCCTAGAAAGCCATGGGTGCCCTCAGTGAAAAAGAGCAACAGGTGTCACCAAGGGGTTCCCTCTGCCTCACTTTCACGCATTTTTCTCATGCACCTAAGGTCAAGAGGATTGGGGGTTGGGGTGGATCTTTGTCTGGTCTGGTCCCCCGTGGGCAGCAGATGCTGGACTCCTCCGAGCACATGGGAAGAGACTGTGAGTGTTTTCCTGGCACTGACAAACACCAACTCTGGCCTGTAGAAGACCTGGATGGGAAAAGTGTGGGGAGGGTCGCTGGGGTACTGGGACATGCCCAGCACTTCCCTCACTGGGATGGGGAGGGACTGCTTCCTCCTCACTGGGAGCTGAGCCAGGACCTTTCAGGCATTGCTGCAGGCATGAGTTTTGAGGACAGAGTTTCACACAAATCTGCCACACAGGAGAGGGGGTGATGAATCCCCAATGGCTGGATGTGCTCATATAGGCCTACAGCTTGGGAATGCCCGCAACAGGGCACCTGAGAAAAGAGGACCCCAGACAGGGTGCCCTTTCCTCCTACTGCCTGGCAGGGCGGACCCATGAAGAGTGCAGCAGCTGCTGCATCTGGAGACTGCCACAGCCTGTGCCCCCGACCCAGGAGTTTTGATCATTTCACTGGTCATGCCTCAGTTACTAATATAAGTCAGTTCTTGCCATTGAAAGTGACTTTGTATGGCCTACAACTGTCCTTGCAAGCTATAGGGACCTGCCTGAGATTATATCCTCAGGAAGGAAAAGATGTAGCCCATAGAGTAGGTTGGGAGGGACAATGAAACTAAAGTGGCTTTGATCCAACCCTGTCAAACCCAATTCACTCAATACAAAGGTTACAAGCAAGAATTAGAAGAACAAAAAAGCAAAACAAAAGACGACGGCAAGTACTGTCACCAATACAGCTATGTAATGTCTTTATTCCAGACATTGTGCCAAGGCATGGAATATATAGGAATGAATAAGACAGGCACAATCCCTGCTCTCACGAGCTTAAAGTATGGCATAAAAGAAAAGTGACCATGTATAAAAATATTATGACAACTTGTAAGTGCCATCACAGGAAAAGGCAGAGCTGTTATGAGAGAGCAGGATGAACAAGATGGCAGGCCACTCTGGGAAAGTGGCATGTAGAGAAGGCCTGGGTAAGCACAACTTGGACAGGTGAAGAAGGGAGGCATCCACCCATGATAAGAGTGTAATCAGGCAGGGTAGGCAGGCAGACCGGATCTCCAGGACAAAGCTCAGAGCCAGGCCTAGGACTCCAGTTGGCGCCCTTTCCCTGATGGCAGGGCATCTCCATATCCTCCTCATCTCACAGTTTCTTTCCATCGTGAGCATGCCCTACAGGCCTTTACTGTGCTGGATCTAGTGAAAAAGTATTGATGTGGCTTGGCTGAGTCCCCACCCAAATCTCATCTTGAATTGTAGCTCCCATAATTCCCACATGTTGTAGGAGGGACCAAGTGGGAGAAAATTGAATCATGGAGGAAGTTTCCCCCATACTGTTCTCATGTTGGTAAATAAGTCTCACAAGATCTGATGGTTTTATAAAGGGCAGTGTCCCTGCACACACCTCTTACCTGCTGCCATGTAAGATGTGCCATTTCTCCTCCTTGCCTTCTGCCACGATAGTGAGGCCTCCCCAGCCACGTGGAACTGTGAGTCCATTAAACCTCTTTTTCTTTACAAATTACCCAGTCTCAGGTATGTCTTTATCAGTAGTGTGAAAATGAACTAATACAAGTATATTTATCTTTTCCTCTCTCTTATTTTCTCAGCAGGTCTTTCTCCTGGAAAGACAATGGTGAAACCAAAATTCCTTCGGACATTCCCAGCAATGCTTGTAAGTCTAGTGGGTAAATTGTCTGCTTATTTTTCAGCACATGTAACTAGTGTTCCTTCATTCCTCCTCCCCACATGTATTGAGCAGTATTGAGTGAGACCTTGAAGCTTGGCAAAAGAGATAAGAGGATACATAAATAGTTCTATAGGAGTGGGCAGGAGGAGCTTGTATCTCAGCTGGGAGGCAAAGAGGAATGGCAACTGGCTTCCAGGGACAAATACTGATTGCAAATTTTCTAGCTCTGACTTGAGTCAGAACAAATGACGACATGAAATCAACGAAAGGAGATCTGCTCCTCGACCCTCCAACAATCTGGGTGATGGGCTTCCACTTTGAAACTAATGCAAAGCCCATCATCTTTTAGGCCAGTGCTTAAACTATAGTCAGGGGACCAGTTCCTGCTCGATTCTACGAACTGTAGAAATTCTGCAATGAGATAAGTACAGAACAAAATAAGCAATTACAACTTTGATGGCAATTGGACAGAGTAAGTTTGTGTCTCTTGAATCTAGTAAAAAGAATTGAGCTTGTGATTTATATGCCATTACTTTTTATTTCATTTTTTAGTAGTTTATTTTATTGTATTTTTAAAAATATTGACCCATGATGGATTGAAGACAAAATAGTCCCTCCCCACAGGTGGTCTGGGATGCACTGTTCTGAGCCATAAGTGGGCTTTGAAGGCACATCACTCGCAAGCACAGTGGGTAAACCCAACAGTTTCCTGAGGAGCCTAGGAATACTCGCAACAAGACAAAAGGGAGCTTGGTGCCACCCAGCAGTGTTGCTCATGCAAAACACAGAGTTCTCTGTCTCTGTCGCCCAGGCTGAAGTGCAGTGGCACTGCAACCTCGCCTCCTGGGCTCAAGCCAACCTCCCACCTCAGCCTCCCAAGTAGCTGGGACTACAGGAACATGCCACCCCACCTGGCTATTTTTTTTTTTTCGGTAGAGACGGGGTTTTGCCATGTTGCCCAGGATGGTCTTGAACTCGTGAGCTCAAGTGATCTGCCCGCCTCAGTCTCCCAAAGTGCTGGGATTACAGGCATGAGCCACTGCGCCTGGCCAGAGACACAGAGTTCTTGAGCAGATTCTTGAGCAGTGCTCTCGATTTCTGTGAGCAGGAAGCACAGAAAAGGAGGCTGTGGAAAGTAGAGTACACTCCCCTGGAAAGTCAGGCAACAAACCCTTATTCCAGAGTGGAGACTTGCTTTCACATGAAATCCACAAAGTGGTAAGCTGGCCAAACAGACGGCCTGAGTGCTACCTATGATGTCTTCATAGCCATGTGCCATGCCTGCTTCTTCTAACTTTAAGAGAGATAAAGAATCCTGAGCTTACATAGACACAAATCATGTGGCATAAATCCTCAAATGGCCAACTCTGATTAAATAAAATCAGGGGCGGGTGCAGTGGCTCACACCTGTAATCCCAGCATTTTGGGAGGCCAGGGCGGGAGGATTGCTTGAGCCCAGGAGTTTAAGACAAGCCTGGGCACACAGCGAGACCTCATCCTACAAAAAAATTTAAAAATTAGCCAGGCATAGTGGGACACCCCTGTAGTCCCAGCTACTCGAGAGGCTGAGGCAGGAGGATCACTTGGGCCTGGGAGGTCGAGGCTGCCATGAGCTGTGATTATGCCACTGCACTCCAGCCTGGCAACAGAGTGAGACCCTGTTTCAAAAATAAAATAAAATAAAAGCAGGTATTTTTTGGTAAGGAACCAACCCTCCAAAGTCACCAAATTTACCTGCTTGGATACTCTTACAGTGACTAAGAGATAGGAGGTCTGCTGTTGGCCTGATTTTTCCAGAGATGCCACAGCATCCCCAGGTAGAATGCTTCATTGCAACACACAGGCTTCCAAAGGTCCAAGGGCTCACTCAATGAGCCCTCCCTTCCACACTCACAGGTGATTGAAACTAACATGTCCCAAGGTCAGAAGATAGAGACCATTCTGGCTAACACGGTGAAACTCCGTCTCTACTAAAAATACAAAAAATTAGCCAGGTGTAGTGGCAGTTGCCTGTAGTCCCAGCTACTCGGGAGGCTGAGACAGAAGAATGGCATGAACCCAGGAGGCGGAGTTTGCAGTGAGCAGAGATTGCGCCACTGCACTCTAGCCTGGGCGATAGAGCAAGACTCTATCTCAAAATAAATAAATAAATAAATAAATAAGAAACTAACGTGTCCTTAGTGTCTTTAGTGGACATTGTCATGTTTCCATTATTTGTATTCTCAGCTGTTCTCATGTCTTTAGTTGGTGTCTTCCTTAGACTAAATTAGTTGGATTTTTGCAGTCAGAAAAATATACTTCCTGTATCTTTTCTTACTTTTCTACATGTCTATTACATCCTGTACCTGGTGGGTTTTCAGTAAATGTTAACTAACTCAAATTAATAAAATGATGTAAAGCAAACAGCATGTTCCTTTTTATTTTGCACTTTAGAAGTACATTTATTTTACTTGCTGATTTACTCTGTTGTTCAAGGATCCATGAATTTGATTTAAACTTTTAGATATTAAAGAGCACAGAAAAATAATACAAAATATAGTTAATTTGAATCTCCTGTGTTCTGGTATTATGCCCACCCATAGATCTTGGCACATACATGTCAATACGTAATTAGCTCAGGCAAAATCCAAGCTATTCACCCACTTGAGGAAGCCTCAGCTGACTAGATTTCTTTATGGGGAATTAAGAAACTGAGACCTGAAGCACTTGTTCTTTTACATTCTCTTTTCTTTCTTTCCTTTTTTCCTTGAATTTCTTGAAAAATATCCAGAAAGGCTCAGTTGGAAACTAAATGTATTCTTTCTTGTAGCAGCAAAACTCAGCCACAATATTTCATGGGCAAGCCCTTCTCCCCAGCTATGAATCTGGAGAGAAAAAGAGGGGCATGACCAGGCCAAGGGAGAGACAGTGGAAGAGAGAAAAGCGCAAACTGTGGGAGCAAACTGCAGCCACCACTGCAGACACACCTCCATTTCATGGAGACCTGGCAGTTCTGAGGGCATAGAAATTTCATTCCATTCACTCATCATCCCTTTGTCTCCTTCTCTCCTGCCTCCACCCATCCCACCCCGATCTTTGCTTAGCCAAACTCACTTCCCTTCTCATAGAGAAAAGAAGGAAAATTGTTCTATTGAGGGTTTGTTAGGTTAGGTTCTGAATTTAGGGTCCCATTTTTAGCAATGTTACCCCATTGCCGCTGTTAGTATCCCTACAAACTTAGCAAGTGAAGTCCAACAGTTCCTTGGAGAAAGACCCAGAACTCTTCAAATGCAGCATCTCAGTCTTCCCAGGTGTATTAGTGTGTTTTGTGTTGCCATAAAAAAACACCTGAGATGGGGTAATTTTTAAAGAAAAGAGGTATATTTGGCTCACGCTTCTGCAGGCTGTACAGGAAGCATGGTGCTAGTACCTGCTCAGCTTCTGGTGAGGGCCTCCGGAAGCTTTTACTCCTGTCAGAAGGCAAGGGGAGCCGCTGTGTCACATGGCATGAGAGGGTGCAAGAGAGAAAAACGAGGAGGTGCCACGTTCTTTTTAACAACCAGCCCTTTTGGAAACTAAGAGTGAGAACTCACTCAGTCCCACGAGAAAGGCACCAAGGCTTTCATGAGGGATTGTTCTCCTGTGACCCAAACACCTCCCTCCAGGCCCCTCCTCAACACTGGGGATCAAATTTCAACATGAGATTTGGAGGGGACAAATATCCAAAGTATCTCACCTGGTAAGATTATACCTGCACTAACTAAATCCTTTGAGAATTACAGTTGTGTTTTAGAATCTTGTTATAACTTGTTCCAAAAAAGATAACTTACACATTTGGTGATGCTCTCACAATGCCGGTTGGCAACATTACTGTTCGTATCATGAGTGAGCACAAGCCATAATAGAAAAGGTAAAGTGAGGGAAGGGAACCATAAAAGAGAGTCCAAATAAGCAGAGCACAAATCTCTAGAATTGTGCCCTTTCTCAAATGGCCTTATGAAAACTGAGAACTGGGCAATAGGGAAAAAAAAAAAAAAAAAAAAAACGAAGAAGAAATGAACTTTGCCTATTCCTTCCTATTGCCTTTGTTTGGTTTTCTGAGAAATGTGTTTTGTAGCACAATTATAGTATATTTGCTATCAGCAGAAGCTTGTAGAATACTTCCTTCATTAGTGCTCAGAATTTGATTCAACAATTCATCTTGAAATCAGAACTTAATTACCTGCTGTGGAATGACATAGGTTATATAGGATTTTCTCTTAGTAATCAGAGAAAGGATTATGATTTTTTTAAAAATCAAGAAACGGAAAGCGATAGAAAGACCGAGAGAAAGAGAGCTAGAAAAAAATGAACACCCAACTCTAATTTCTGCTAAGGTGGGGCCCAGTTGCTTGCACAATGTCATGCTTCTCATTAATAGGTGTATGTGAGGGTGCAGTGAATGTCTAGGTGAGATACATGATGCTTTCCCAAGTCTTTCAGAAACTTTCTTAATTCGCCTCCCAGAACAACCCCTCCCTCTTAGCTATCTGACCATTTGCAGCAAGAAGTGGAGAATGAAGGGTGCCCAATAAGATAGACCACGATTGATCTAGATTGCACACTAGCATTAAACCTTGCCCTGAATTTCAGGAGCAAACATCTGTCTTCTTTCTAGGAAAAGGTCACAGCTCTCTAACATCTTCCTGGCCAAGGACTTGTGCTCCACCTCACTCACAGTTGGAGATCTGGAAGCAGATCCAGAATGGAAGAGGTTGCTAACACTGAAAAGTAATCCTCTGTCTACTTTAATGATTGTGAGGCCAGTGAGGGTTGAGGGTTACTGAAAAACACATCAAAGAAAGTGACAGCTGACCAGATGCTCACATTTGACAAAGAAATGATATGGAATGATAAAGGAATGAAGAGAGAACATTCCCACTCTGCCCCTCACATGGAAAACCACTCACATGGAAAACCCCCTCACATGGAAAACCACTGTTCCCCATTCTGTTTCCTTCCCAAAGCGATTCTCTGCTTGTAGAGACACATCCATACTATATGCAGATTTTTTTTGCTGGGGAGTGTGGGGGTGTGCGCAGGGGGTTGGGATTGTTACCAAAACTTGGATCATATCTACAACTTGCTTTTTTCACTTAATAATAAATTGTGGACATTTTTTCAGGTCAGTATAGAGAGAGCTACCATTTTTTCTTATTAGATGCTTGGTTTTCCATTAATGGATATTCCACCAAAATCATCATTTAAATCATTTCCATTATTTGTATTCTTACAAATAATGCTGCAATACGTATGTGTGTCTATATATGTATATATTCATACATTTTTACATATTTGAAGAGAGCCCAAGAAATGGGACTGCTGGTTCATATAGTATGCATTTATCTTTCCAAATTGCTGTATTACTTTAATAACCAATACTTGCCCTTTTCTTCCTCACCTGCATCAGTCAGACATTATGTATCTTTTGAATGTATGCCAACAGATGAAAAATTTACCTCTTTTTCATTTGCATTTATTAAATTACTAGCTTAAGTAATATATGTTTATAGATCTGTTACAAACTGAATTTTGTATTCCTCCCACCTCCCACCTCCACCACCAATTCATATACTTAAATCCTAAACCCCAATGTGATGGTATTTGGAGGTGGGGTCTTTGGAAGATAATTAGGTAATGAGGGTGGAGCCCTCACGAATGGGATTAGTGGCCTTATAAAAAGACACAAACGAGCTTGCTATTTCTTTTTCTGCTCTCCACCATGTAAGGATGTAATGAGAAGGTGCCATCTGCAAACCAAGCAGTAGACCTGCACCAGACAGCAGATTTGCTGGGTCCTCAATCTTGGACTTCCCCGTCTCTAGAACTGTGAGAAATAAATGTTGTTTAAGCCTCCCAGTCTACGGTAATTTGTTATAGCAAACTGAACTAAGAAATTCCTTGAATTTCTTCTTAATGAATTGTTCATTTATATCCCTTGCTCATTTTTATTGTATTTTTCTTATTAATTTGTTAGAGCTAGTTATATTTCAGAGTTATTCATTTTTGTCTATAATATTTGTAATAAATAATGTCTCCCAGTCTGTTGCTGTTTTTTGTACTTTGTACAAAATATGTTTTGTACATTTTTCTTTTGTTGAGGAAAAGGTTTTAAATTTATGAGTCAGATCTGTCAATCATTTCTTTATAGTTCCCAGGTCTTATGTGTGTCTTAGGAAGATCTATCTTGCCTCCTAAATATGCTCTTCTTTATTTTCTTTCTTTTAAATACACACTTAATATGTTTTTAAAATTATAAAAATAATGTACAAGTTTATACTAAAATGATTCAAATAACACAGATGAATAAACAGTAAAAATTATTTTCACTGTTTACTCTTCCTAGTCTATTTCGCTTTTTTCCCAGGAGATAACCTCCATTGGTATGGAAGACATTTTTGCCCTATCACATGGATTCATACTTTATCTTATTTTCCAAAAGGGTTTAAGACTGTTTTTTTTCTTTTTTTTTTTTTCGAGATGGAATCTCGCTCTGCCACCCAGGCAGGAGTGCAGTGGCACCATCTTGGCTCATTGCAAGCTCTGCCTCCCGGGTTCATGCCATTCTCCTGCCTCAGCCTCCCGAGTAGCTGGGACTACAGGTGCCCACCACCATGCCCGGCTAATTTTTTGTATTTTTAGTAGAGACGGGTATCTCTGTGTTAGCCAGGATGGTCTCGATCTCCTGACCTCATGATCTGCCCGCTTTGGCCTCCCAAAGTGCTGGGATTACAGGCGTCAGCCACTGCGCCCGGCCTAAAACTGTTTTCAAAGATATTAACAACATAGAAAAAAATATATTGTAAATTTCCTAGGAGTTAATGTGATAAAAGGGGAAATGATCCATCCTCATGAGATAAAAACAAACCACATGCTCATGAAAAGCATGATTTCTAATTCTGAGATCTGAGAACAACGTCTTATTGGGAGGACTTGGTAATGCAATGAACAAGATCCTCATAGTAATCACAACCAATATTTCATTTAGCTTTTCTTACAATAACATTTAAAGTCAATGGCATCATTCCATTTAATCAATTTAATATGAGTCAGTATCAACACTTACATGTTACCCCCACTCTGATAGGCTAAATTTTGAGTGATGGATTTATAACACAACATTAATTTTATGAAGACAGGAATCAGGGAAGGCCGCAAAAGTAAAAGTACTACAATCTTTGCCTTTCATGAAAAGTGAGTTAAAGTAATTGTTTTTACTGTGATTTTGATAATTAAACAGACTTATGAAAATGGTTGCAGATTACTTTACAGTAACCATTAGTAAAACTAAAACCAGATTTTCTACCCTCCAGATTATTGCAAAAGGCAAGTGAAAACAAAGTTCTGTTTATACTGAAAAGAGAACTGAATTTTAAAAACAGCAAAGGAACCAAAACAAAACCACAAAATCACATGACAGTGGTCAAAACAATTATGACAATTTAAAACTCTTATTAAAAGGCAAGATTTATGGGAATGCAAATTGGTACAATCACTTTGTAAAGTTGTTTAACACTGTTTTCTAAAAATATGCATATTCTGTGACCTAGCAATTCCATCCCAAGGTATGTTCTGAACAAAAATGCATATATAAGCTAGCCAAAATGCACACAATGAGTGTTCATGGCAGCCCCATTTGAGATAGCCCTAAATTAGACAATACCCAAAAGACCATCAATAATAAGTAGAATATTATTCAGCAATAAGAATGAGCAAACTACAGCTACATCCACCTATGTGGATGAATCTCCCAACAATAATGTTGCATGAAAGAACATAGACACTAAGGTACAAGAATGAATCCATTCATCTAAAATTAAAAATCATTTAAAATTAATCTGTGCTCTTACAAGTGGCTACCCTTGTAAAGGCTAATGACTAGAAGGAAGTAAGAGAAGAGTTTCCGGGATATTCTTGATTCAAATGCTGGCTCACAGCTTTGTTCACTTTGTGAAAAATCATTCAACTGTACACTTAGGTCTGTACTTTCCTGGATGTATATTATTTTAATAAAAATACATTTTAAAAACAACATTCAGTGACTTTCTGTGTACAAGAGAACACAACTTGCACAAAATGAAAAAAAACTAAAAGTAAAAGAATTAGAAAATAGATTGGCTTTTTTATTTTTTGAGACAGAGTCTCACTCTGTCACTCAGGCTGGAGTGCAGTGGCAAAATCATGGCTCACTGCAGCCTTGACCTCCTGGGTTCAGGTGATCCTCCTACCTCAGCTTCCCAAGCAGCTGAGACAACAGGTGTGCATGACCATGCCTGGATAATTTTTGTATTTTTTGTAGAGATGGGGCTTCACCACACTGTGCAGACTGGTCTCGAACTCCTGGACTCGAGCATTCTGCCCACCTCAGCCTCCCAAAGTGTGGCATTATAGGCATGAGCCACCACACCCAGCCCCAAGTGTTTTTCTTATATTATTTTGTTTACTTTTCCAATAATTTGCTTTATACAATAAGGTACAAATTATTTATATTTCTAATAGATATAATCAATAGAGAATTCATAATAGTATTAAGCATTTATTCATCAAATGATACAGTACCAAAGATACATAAAGCAATAACTTTGGAGATAAAAATAAGGATTTGTAGAAATGCAATTGACATGTAACATAATAACAGCCCCTTCACAAGCTCTGTACAAAATCAACTAGACAAAAATAAGGAAGGTAAGGAAATTTGAACCATATACTTTCTTTACATGTGTCCAAAGAACATCTTTTTGAAAAATAATCCGTTATTAGAGCAAAGAAAATCTAAAAGAAATAAATCAAAACAGCAATAATTGAAAAGGCCACATTATCTGATTAAAGAGAATAAAATTAAAAATTCGTAAAACATTTAATTTACAACAACTCTTTTAGCCTATTTTCATTGTCACATTGCTATACAGCACTACTGGAGAGTGGGTAATTTATTAAAAAAAAAAAAAAGGTTTATTTGACTCACAGTTCCATAGGCTGTACAGGAAGCATGGCTTGGGAGGCCTCAGGAAACTTACAATCATGGCAGAAGGCCAAGGAAAAGCAGGCACATCTTACATGGCCAGAGAAGGGGGACTAGAGTGAAGGGGGAAGTGCTACACATTTTAAACAACCAGACTTCATGAGAACTCATTCACTATCACAAGAGCAGCAAGGGAAAAGTCTGCCCCCATGATCCAATCACCTCCCACAAGGCCCCTCCTCCAACACTGGGGGTTACAATTCGACAAGAGATTTGGCTGAGGACACATACCCAAAACATATTATTTCACCCCTGGGACCTCCCAAATTTCATGTCCTTCTCACATTTCAAAATACAATTATCCCTTCCCAACAGTCCCCCAAAGTCTTAACTCATCTCAGCATTAACTGAAATGTATCATCTGAGATAAGGTATGCCTCTTCCACCCATGAGCCCATAAAATCAAAACCAGTTAGTTACTTCCAAGATATAGTGGGGATACAGGCACTGGCTAAATATGACCATTCCAAAATGGAGAAATCAGCCAAAACAAAGAGACTACAGGCCCCATGCAAGTCCAAAACCCAGCAGGGCAGTCATTAAATCTTAAAGCTCCAAAATAATCTCCTTTGACTCCATGTCTCATATAGAGGCAACACTGATGCAAGGGGTGGGCTCCCAAGACCGTGTGCTTCTCCACCCCTGTGTCTCTGCAATGTACAGCCCCCTTGCCTGCTTTCACAGGCTGGCACTGAGTGCCTGCAGCTTTTCCTAGCACACGGTGCAAGCTGTCGGTGGATCTACAATTCTGGGGTCTGGAGGATGGCTGCCCCCTTCTCACAGCTCCACTAGGCAGTGCCTCAGTGGGGACTCTGTGTGGGGGCTCCAACCCCACATTTCCCCTCTGAACTGTCCTAGTAGAGGGTCTCCATGAGGACTCCACTCCTGCAGCAGATTTCTGCCTGGATATCCAGGTATCTCCATACATCCTCTGAAATCTAGGTGGAGGCTCCCAAGCCTCAACTCTTGCACTCTGTGCACGCTCAGGCTTAACATCACATGGAAGCCACCAAGGCTTATGGCTTGTACCCTCTGGAGCAGCTGCCTGAGACATAGCTGGAGCCCTGTTAGCCACAGCTGGAGCAGGAGCAGCTGAGAGACAGGGAGCAGTGTCCTCGGGTTGCGCAGGGCAGCAGGGCCCTGGGCTTGACCTACAAAACCATTCTTCCCTCCTAGGCTTCCAGGCCTGTGAGGAAAGGAGATGCCATGAAGGTTTCTAAAGTGTCTTCAAGGCATTTTCCCCAATGTCTTGGCTACTAACATTCCACTCTTCTTTACTTATGCAAATTTCTGCAGGCAGCTTGAATTCCTCCCCAGAAAATGGGTTTTTGTTTTGCTACCACGTGGTCAGGTTGCAAATTTTCCAAACTGTTATGCTCTGCTTCCTTTTTAAATATAAGTTTCAGTTTCAGATTATCTCTTTGTTCACACATAACAAAAATGAGCTTGGTTCCAGTTCTCAATAAGTTTCTCAAATCCATCTGAGACCTCCTCAGGCTGGACTTCACTGTCTATATCACTATCAGCATTTTGGTCACAACAATGTAACAAGTCTCTAAGAAGTTCCAAACTTTCCCTTACTTTCCTGTATTCTTCTGAGCTCTCCAAACCCTTTCAACCTCTGTCCATTACCCAGTTCCAAAGCTGCTTCCATATTTTCAGGTATCTTTATAGCAATGCCCCACTTCCCGATACCAATTTTCTGTTTCTGTCACCTCTCACATTGCTATAAAGAACTACCTAAGACTGGGTAATTTATAAAGAAAAGAGGTTTAATTGACTCACAGTTCCATAAGCTGTACAGGAAGCATGGCTGGGGAGGCCTCAGGAAACTTACAACCATGGCAGAAGGCTAAGGGGAAGCAGGCACATCTTACGTGGTCAGAGAAGGAGGACTAGAATGAAGGGGGAAGTGCTACACACTTTTAAATAACCAGACCTCATGACAACTCACTCACTATCATGAGAACAGCAAGGGAGAAGTCTGCCCCCATGATCCAATCCTCCAACATTAGTGGTTACAATTCGACATGAGACTTGGGCGGGGACACAAATCCAAACTGTATTAAACACTAATAAAAATTCACATTTGGGAAAAAAAGTAATCCTTTCTTATCCTAAAAATAAAATTCCATAAAGCTATACTTAGAGGTGAACTTCTGGCCTTAAATGCTTTTATGATCAAGAAGAGAAGATAAACTAATAAAATCACTACTTAAATAAGTAAGATGTAAACAATAACTTTCCTTTAAATCACTATTAAACTGTTAAAAGTAAAATGGAGGAAACATCCCATTTATAATAGTAAAACAATAAAAATAGAACCATATATACTTAAAAAATGTGCAGGAACAATACAAAGGAATTATAAAATTATATGAGGACATTAAAAATGTGAATATTCAGTTAATAGGATTGTTTAAAAAATGTGAATACATTGAGAGATGCATCATGCTTCTGAATGTAAAAGCTGTGAAATGATCAGTTTGTCCCAAGTTAATTTCTGGATTTCATGTAAGTCTAGTCACATTGCTAATTAAAATTTTTAAATTGATAAAGTAACTAAACATTTATCTTGAAGTATAAACAATGAAGACTATTTTCTAAAAATTAGAAAACTAGGAGTAATGAGGAAAGAGACAACCAGCAACTAAACATATCAGAGACTTCTACTTCTGGTAAGAGAGGATAATGCAGACTAAGTGTCTCAGATAAACACTCTCCTGAAGGCAACTAGACAAACTAAACAAAATATAATGATCCTCTGCTCTAAGGTAGAGGATAGCTAACGAGAAAGTGAAGAATTCTTGGGTTACGAACCAGGGAAGTACAGTGGCCCAGGGAAGTAAACCAGGGTAGTGTTGGTCATTCCAAAGGGGCTGCTGAGGGACTAGGAGGCTGATCTGTGCTTTCACAGTCTCTTGGGGCAGAGAAAACAGGGAAAGGAATTTCAGGTGCACTGAAGGGAACTCCAGTAAAGCCTCTCACTTTGGGTTGAGATTCTAAAGAGCTGCTTCTAAGGATTTTTTTTTTTTTTTTTTTAGAGAGAGACAGGGTCTTGCTCTGTTGTTTAGGCTGGAGTTCAGTGGCACAACCATAGCTCACTGCAGCTCACTGCAGACTTGAACTCCTATTCTCAAGTGATCCTCCCACCTCAGGCTCCTTTAGTGCTAGGATTACAAGTGTGAGCCATTGTGTCTGAACTCAAGGAGGATTAATAAACTGAAATACATGGGGCATAGGTGGGAACTACAGTTTAATTTCTAATCATCTTAGCTCCTCAGTTTGGTGCATGTGACCCCAGGCACTACAAATGTAAATCCTCTCAGAAGGAAGAAATTATTACCCAAGTTCTCTCAATTATTTCTAAAACAATTTTGCAAGTATGTATGGCACATAATAGAAAATAGCCATGTACATGAGGAGGTAAGACAATAGGAATACAACACAGCACAGACAAAGGAAAATACAAACATCTCCAGGTGCAGCAGCTCACGCCTGTAATCCCAGCACTTTCGGAGACCACGGTGGGCGGATGGCTTGAGGTCAGGAGTTCAAGAACAGCCTGGCCAACATGGTGAAACCCCATCTCTACTAACAAACCAGAAATTAGCCAGGCGTGGTGGCACACACTGGTAATTCCAGCTACTCAGAAGGCTGAGGCACAAGAATTGCTTGAACCTGGGAGGTGGAGGTTGCAGTGAGATCATGCCACTGCACTCCAACCTGAGTGACAGAGTGAGACTCTGTCTCAAAAAAAAAAAAAAGAAAAAGAAAAATATAGACAGACACATGAGGTCTTTAAATATTAGAGTTTCTAGACACAGACTTTAAAATAACCATGTGTACTCTCTTCAGAGAGATAAAAGATTGAGAATTTTGGCAGATATTTTAAAAAATGGAATTTAGAACTGAAAAACTCAATAACTGAAATTAAGGAGTCAATGGATTGAGTTTAACAGCAGATTAAAACAACTGAAGAGAAATTAGTGTCCTGGAAGACAGACTACAAGAAATTTCTAGAATGAGGTACAAAGAGACAAGAAGATGGAAAACACAGATGAGAAGGTAAGAGACATAGAGAATTCAGTAAGGACTAGCTTAAGTGTAGAGCCCCAAAAGGAGAGAATAGGGAGAAGGGAGACAAACAATATTTCTATAGATAATTTAGTTAGAAATCATTTAATAAACATGAATTACATATTTAAGGACCTCTAAAAGTTCCAAACAGAATAGAAAAAAAGAAAAAGAAGGAAGGAAGGAAGGAAAGAAAGGAGGGAGGGAGGGAAGAAGAAAGACAGAATGAGATCTATGTTTAGGCACATCACAGTGAAAAACAAGATAAATAAAACTTAGAAGAAAAGAGAGATTGTCTTAAAATAAACCCCCCAGAAAGACAATTTAAATTCAAAGAAGCTACATTAAACTGACAGTTGATTTCTAGCAGAAGTCATGGAAGTCAAAATATACTGGAATAACATCTTTAAGATTCTAAAAACACCAATCAACAAACTAACCATTTCAACCTAGAATTTCATATCCAGCAAAAATATCCTTCAAGAATAAAGGTGAAAGAAAGGCATTTTTAAAATTGCTTGAACCTGGGAGGTGGAGGTTGCAGTGAGCTGAGATAGCACCACTGCACTCCAGTCTGGGTAACAGAGCAAGACTCCATCTGGGGAAAAAAAAAAAAGTTCCAGGTGCTAGCATCTTCTGCATTTGTGCAAACAACAATAGTAACGTTGGTATTTAAAATACAGGGAGAAAATACCTGACAACAATGGCATAAAGGTTAGGTGAAGATTAATAGAAATATTCTAAGGTGCTTGCACTCCCTGGAAAGAGGCAAAGACACCAATTCTTATTAGACTTTGTAACGTCAAAAAGGTAGGCTATACTCATTAGAGTAATTACCTAGAGACCTAGGGTACCACCAAAAGAATAATTAAAAGGCATACAATTTCCAAGCTAATGGACAGGGGGAAATGAAATAGTAAAAAATCTTATCAATCTGAAAAAGGGCAAGAAAGGAATATAACATGGAGCAGGCAGAAAAAAGAGAGTGTGTTTAATAAGAAGGTATATTTACACCCCCAAATATCACTAATTAATGAAATGTAAATGGGCAAAATGCTATAATTAAAGGCAAAGATTGTCACACTGGATAGACAAGCATATTTTTTTCTCTGTATAATTTGATGCTACATTATTAGGTAAAGATAGATACACGCACATAAGCACATGCTCAACTTTCTGTGTTTACAACATAAAAATACAAAAACATAAAGTAAAAAGATGGAAAAAGCCAAAAACTAGTTCTCTGAAAATACTTGTATCTCCCTAGTGAGAATAATTTTTGAAAGAGAGAGGAGGCACAGATTACCAGTGTTAAGAATGAGAAAGAGAACATCACTACAGATCATTCAGACATTGAAAAGACAAGAGAAGGATATTATGGACTATTTTATGCCAATGCATTTGAAAATTTGGATGAAATGGACAAATTCTTATAACAATAAATTTTATAAAATCGAGCACAGAAAGACAATAAAGAACTCTTGATTTATGACAAAGGTGACACACAGAGAAATGGGAAAAGGATGATCTCTTCAATAAATAGAGCTGGGGCAATTTCCAAATACAAAAAAAAATTAACAAGCTTGATTAGTATGTCACACCAAAAAGAAAAATAGATTCCAAAATATTTATAGGTATAAATGTGAAAGTCCACAAAATAAACCTAGAAGATAATTTTGACTATCCTCATAACCTCAAAGTAGGAAAAGATTTCTTAAATATATATAGAAATATACTTTAAAATGTAACATATTTATATAAAATATAAAACATATATTGTAACATACAAATTTATATTTAAATATATTTTCTTAAAATATATTTTAAAATATATTTCTTAAATAAATGTGAGATTTGAACAATAATGTTAACCACAGAGGAAAAGATTGATAAATTGGATTTCATCAAAATTGCGAACTTCTTTTCATCAAAATGACGAGAATAAGAGGGCAAGTGACAGAATAAAGGAAATTATTTGCAATATATTTATCATATAAAGAACTTGTATTAATCAATAAAGACAGACAATCCCGTAGCAAATGAACAAGACACTTCACGAAAATGATATTCCAATGTCCAATAAATGTATATAAAAGTACTTTATTTCCTTATCAGAGAAATGCATACCATTTCAATGTTATTACAATTACAATCTCACCAGAATGGCTAGAATTAAAAGGATTGGCAACACAAATGCAGAAGATGCCAGCAACTGGAACTTTTTTTTTTCCCCAGATGGAGTCTTGCTCTGTTACCCAGACTAGAGTGCAGTGGTGCTATCTCAGCTCACTGCAACCTCCACCTCTCAGGTTCAAGCAATTCTCCTGCCTCAGCCTCCCAAGTAGCTGAGATTACAGGCACTCGCCACCACGCCCGGCTAATTTTTGTATTTTTAGTAGAGATGGGGTTTCATCATGTTGGCCAGGCTGGTCTCGAACTGCTGACCTCATGATCTGCCCACCTCAGCCTCCCAAAGTGCTGGGATTACAGGCATGAGCCACAGCTCCCGGCAGCAACTGTAACTTTTGATGCAGGATTTTTCTTCTCGGTCACTTTGCAAACCGGGACCTCCGGCCAGCGATGCCCCACCCGCGCCCTGCTCAGCCACGCTGGCATGCCCCAGCTCGCCTGTGTTATAGCTTCTATCCGCGTTCGGCGGTTCCCAAGCTCTTGTACCCACGTTCGGCGGTTCCCAAGCTCTTGTACCCGCGTTCGGCAGTTCCCAAGCTCTTGTACCACGCCTGAGAAGAATGAGGATACGTTGGACATTGAAGGGTGAAGAGGGCGGAGAAGAATTTTATTGAGCAAGGGAACAGCAATTAGCGGAGAAGGGACTCTGGGGGGTGGTCGCCCACCCCCTTAGTCGGATGGTTTTTTCCTCCCCTCGTGGCTGGGTCACGAGCTTTTTATAGGCTTAGAATAGGGGAGGGGCAGGTCATAGGTAGTATTGGAAAAGGCAACGCTTGATCGGTTAAAACGCATTATTTAGAAATAATTAATCAGGAAAGAGCGGGGGCAAAAAGGAACAGAAATACTCAGCCTGTGTCGCGGGTTTCATCTGGGACCAGCAGTTCAGTGTTTTTGGCTGGAAGGTGGGGTTTCACCCCATCCTCCTGGGCATTTAGCAGCCTCCAGCCGCTCTCACTTTCGTGTGCCATGGACGAGATGATAAACTGAGATTGTAGAGGAGTTGCAGTTCTTGGCAGTGACCAGGTCTAGAGAACGACCACTGAGGTAAGTGACTGAGGTGGGTAGATGACAAGGGGAGTTAAAGGTGCTGAGAGGCCTGGGTACAGAAGCAGTCATCAGCGTGGATATTAAAATCACCAGGAACAAAGGCTGACGTGGTTTCGGAGAGACTTACAGAAAGCTAAAAGCTAAAATGATGGAGATGTGAGGGGCTCAGCTCAACTGATGACGGTATCAGTAGGTGTGGTAGACGGTGGATGGTATAGTCTGAGGACAGGAGGTGAAAGCTAGGGGAGCACAGGGACTTTCTGGTCCACCACCATCCTCGTCTGTCTGACCAATACATCTCTCTGCTGGGTTTCTATGTTATCTTTTTCTCTTTTAAAATTTAATTACATTCCATCTCATAGATTTCAATCGTTGATTTACTTATTCCCTTTCCCAACCACTCTATGAGAACACCACGTCTAATTTGATTTTGTGTTCCCGAGGCCTCGCTCATTGGAAGCACTCAAAGATTCTTTGTTGGATGTATGAATGAAGAACTTGTTAAGTGCACCCGCAGAGTATACGTGGTTGGCTCAGCCACGCGAGGTTCAGTGTTAAGCACAGTCCACTGGGAGGCAGTGTTGTGCAGTGAAAAGGTCTCAGCTTTACGAGACAGAAGGCCAGATCTCCAACATCAGTTCTGCCACCTTCTATCTGCCTGACCTTGGGCCACAGTCTCCTTAAGACACAGGCAAAATGGGAATACTGAGAAAGAGAGTCATTTTCTTACAGGAGTACTGTGAAAATTAAAGGTAATTTAGGTAGATTTAGGTACAATATCCGCATATAGTCGGTGTATTTATCATAGGGTAACTTGATTGCTTTCTAATAACAGTAAGCACGATTGCAGGTTAAGTCTTCCAAAGAAGTGTTTTTCATAATCATGCTGCAAATGATTCTCACTCTAAAATTGTCAGCCCAATTCTCACCTCTCTCAGAGGCCTTGTGGTTGGATGCTTGAGGCTCAGAGGTTCTCAGGGCTCCATGAGACTGGGGGCTCCACTGGGGATCAGGCAAGTCCAAGACTTAAGGGACTGGCCCTGGTTCAGCTGCATGTGCATTAAATAGATTTTTGTGCACTGGCCTGGGAAACAAGCCACCATCTATAATTCTGTTTCTATGGGGAAAGGCTTTCTGTGTTCCAAACAACCGACTTACTAATGAACTCCTGGAACACAACCTATGTGTCGATGGGGACTGGCCGACTGGGTTTTCATGGCCGAGTCAGCCGCCCAAGCAACTGCACAGTGTTGAGCTAATTATAATGGGTTCTCTACGGTGACTAATCTAGCTGTGGTCTCCACAATTGAAGTGGAATTTTGAAAAACTGGAGAAGGTTCTGCAAAAAACCACAAAGATGATTAAAGGACTTAAGGAAAATCTAGTCTGGTCTCTACAGTTTTAAGAGGACTGTAGAAACTATCCATGTAATCATCACTCTCGATTGAAAAAACAAAGTATGCACGCCTGTAGTCCCAGCTACTCGGGAGGCTGAGGCACAAGAATCGCTTGAACCTGGGAGGTGGAGGTTGCAGTGAGCCGAGATCGTGCCACTGCACTCCAGCCTAGCATCAGAGCGAGACTCCATCTCAAAAAAGAAAAAGAAAAAACAAAGTATTTGATTCTGTACTGTGGCAAGTGCATTTCTCACTTGTAAATTTACTATAAATTGGCAGAGAAGGGAGCCAGAGTTTGTTGGGCACCCACACCAGGGGATTAGACACTCTGCAGGCCCTTTACATGCAATATTTATACTTATTCTCACAGCTACCCTGCCAGATAAGGCATACTAATAATTATCTCTGTTTTACAGATGAGGAAACTGAGATTGTGTGAGATTAAGTAATTTTTTGAAAATCTTAAAATTAATAACATGGACCATAGATTTAAACCTAGGCCAGATTAATTTCAAAGCTTCTCTAATCAATTTTCCACATGCAGCCAGAATGATCTTTCTGAAACATAAACCTGAGAGGGTCCTTCCCCTGCATCAACACTTCCATGGCCTCACTATGCTCCTGGGATGAAATCCAAGCCTAACATGACCGATGTGACCCCAGGTGTTCTGCCTCCCACATAGCAGCCCTGGCTCCTACTGTCACCCACTCCCACTCTGCCCTGATGATAGCATCTATATTCAGAGATCTTTCCACTTCTTGATTTCTCCATATGCCTCCAGCCTCCAAGCCTCACACACATAGCTCCACCTGCCTTCCTGCTGTGTCTCCTGTTGGCCAACTTTCTCCCACTCACCCTATGCATCTCAGCTTGCACATGCCTTCTAGGTACAGGCTTATCAGCCCTTCTCTTGGGTCTCAGGGCGTGCCACATTTCCTGTATAACAGCATTCATCACTAGGAATTGGTTCAGCCACATCTCCCAACACAAACACACACACCCCTCACTCAAGAATTATCTGTTAAAGAAATGTTGAATGGAGTGGGGTGTGGTAGCTCACACCTATAATCCTAGCACTTTGGGAGGCTGAGGTAGGAGGATCACCTGAGGTCAGGAGTTCGACACCAGCCTGGGCAACATGGTGAAACCCTGTCTCTACTAAAAATGCAAAAATTAGCCGGGCATGGTGGTGCACGTCTGTAATCCTGGCTACTCAGGAGGTTGAGGCAGGAGAACTGCTTGAACCCGGGAGGCAGAGGTTGCAGTGAGCCGAGATTGTGCCACTGCACTCCAGCCTGGGCAACAGAGTGAGACTCCATCTCAAAAAAAAAAATGTTGACTGATTATATCACAAGTTATTTAGTTATTTTTACAAGCAATAGTTAAAAGACTGACATTTACAAAACATTTACCTTTTTAAAAAAGAGGAGTTGAGGTTATCCTGATCACCAACAAGTAGCTCTTGTTTCCTAATATGTTTTCTTGAGAAGAAGGAAAGGAACACAGCTGCCCGTAGGATGCTGGGAGTTGTGCAAAACGTTAGTTTAGCATGCACATCGAGTGTGTCCCACAGTGAACATCATCCACTGCCATCCTGGTCATGGTAGAAATGAGACTGCCAGGCTTCCCGCCCTTTACTTCAGGAAAGAGCCAATCTACTGCATTTAAAAGAATATTGATTTTGCAAAGTCCTCCAAAGAAAAATCTCCAGCCCTATCTGGTGTCAAACAACCCTAGGCATCAGGAAATTCTTCCTTTTGTTTAACTTTAATGAGCCCATTCTTTTTGTGTCCTTGGCAACAGAGGGAAAAAACAGTCATCATCCTCCACGCAATGGCTCTTCTGAAGTTTAAGTCCAATGCTGGCACTTCTTAATTCACCTCTGATGCATCTCCTCTCTAGGCTAAATAATCCTAGGTCCTTTAGCCCTTGTTTGCTGGTCACAGGATGACTATTCTGCTTTAGCTCTGAACTCTCCACATTCTCTCAATTCCCGTAGAACTATGGAGCCGGGAGCCAGCCCCAGCTCTCCGTTACAGCTCTGGACAGTACAGAGAGCAATGTAACAATTACCTCATGATACAGACATGCTTTTCATTTGCTACAGTTCTCTGCTTGCATTTTTTTCAATCAACAGAGCTGCAGGATTGTGACAATTCTTCCCGGTCAACTGGCTGTCCACTAAAGCTATACTTTAAATTTTCCAGCCAACTGCCTTTGAGTAGTTGGCACCTTGCCTTTGAACATGTTCACTTTTCAACTCCAAGTGCATAACCCTGAATTTTTCTCTACTGAACCCCATCCAGTTTATGTCCCATTATTCCAGTTGACCAGGATTGCCTTCTCTGATGACTCTAGCCCCCTGAGATCTTCCGGTTTTATGATATTTCAGGGTTTGCGTTATGTTTCCCATGCGTATTTCTTATTGACCAGTGCATTAGTCAGATTAAGCTAAAATATGCTGCAGTAAACAAATCAGCAAATCTCAGCGGCTTAGAACAATAGTCTGGGGTAGTTTTTTGTTTTGTTTTGTTTTCGAGAAGGGGTCTCACTCTGTTGCCCAGGCTGCAGTGCAGTGGTGCAATCTCGGCTCATTGCAGCCTCCACCTCCTGGGTTCAAGCCATCCTCCCACCTCAGCCTCCGAAGTAGCTGGGACTACATACGTGCACCACCACATCCAGCTAATTTTTTAATTATATATGTATTTGGGAGATGGGGCTTGCTATGTTTCCAAGGCTGGCCTCGAAATCCTGGACTGAAGCAATCCTCCCCACTTGGCCTCCCAAAGTGCTGGGATTACAGATGTGACCCACCATGCCCAGCCAGATTGTTTTTCATATTCACACTACATTTCCCACACTAATTGGCGGAGGGGTTCTGATCATCAGAGTCCAGGTGGCCCAGGTTGACAAAAGTTCTACCACTGTGTGAAATCAACAGAAGGCTTCAGGGTTCATGGAAAATGGAGAAGTTTTATACATATTTAATACAAGTAGAAGTGATACCCGTTGTTCAGTTAATAGGGTTGCTAAAGTTAACAACAAAAAAAGCTAAAAAAATTTTTTTAAAGCGATACCCATTGTTATGCCAACATTTTGTTAGCTAAAGCAAGTCACATGGATGTGACTAATTCTGAGGGGATGTGTGCTCCCAAGGAAAGAACTGGAGAGAAATCTTGGCATTCACTAGTTGTCTCCCAGAACCAATGAGATTCCATTTTCCTAAACACAGTGATCTTGTCTTTTATTTCTGCATCATCATAAATTCAACCATAAATTCTCAAAGAAGACTTATAGATTCTCAGCCAATTTTTCTCCCACCCAGCATCTCTTACAAAAGTAGGGGCATTTTTCTATTCCGTGGTCCAGATTATATACGAAGATATTAGTTCAAAGACCAGATTCTGCCAAAAGCTGCTGGGCAGAATGATGAGGACTGAGCCACTGAGAACAAATTTCCTCTTTACTAAGAGCACTGTACAATATAGAATTGTTTAGAAACCAGTGTCATGAGCTTGTGAGGGACATCTCTTTCAGTCTACCAAATCCACTGCTCAGCCAAATTTGGGTTAGAACTGATCACATGTTACAAACACAAGAGGGAAGTGCAGACCCTCATCAGTGGCTTTAAAATCGAAACAAGACCAAGGAATCTGGTGGAGAAATGAGCCCCACAGAGAAGAAACGACAGTGGCCTAGGAGTCTGAGCTTCACTCAGCTTCTAGGGAGCTCTGTGACCTTTGGAAAGTCTCTCCACCCTGCAGGAAATCAGGTCTAGCTCTGTCATGGAAGAGGGTGGGACTGACCTGTGACTCCCAGCTTGGGTTGCTGCTCAGAGTCCCTGAAGAGATTTTTTTAAAACATGGATTACTAGCCAGGCGCGGTGGCTCACGCCTGTAATCCCAGCACTTTGGGAGGCAGAAGTGGATGGACTGCTTGAGCCCGGGAGTTCGTCAACAGCCTGGGCAACATGGTAAAACACCGTCTCTCCTGAAAATAGAAAAATTAGCTGAGTGTAGTGGCCTGCACCTGTGGTCCCAGCTACTTGGGAGGCTGAGATGGGAGGATCACCTGAGCCCAGGAGTCAAAGGTTGCAATGAGTCAAGATCGCCCTACTGCATTCAGCCTGGGTGACAGAGTGAGACTCTGTCTCAAATAAATAAATATATAAATAACAAAAACAATAACAATAACCATGGATTCTTAGGCTTCACCCAGGCCTTCTAAATCATCTCAGGTGGGACCTGGAATCTATTCTAGAAAATAACCTCTTATGATGCCCTTACGATGTGGGGCACCCCATGACTCTGTCCTTGACCTTCTTTTGGACTGCTCTGTCTTCAGTCCAGACACAAGGAGCACAAAAGTGAACTCAGCCCTTAATGGCTCTGTTAATATCCAGACATCCTACAGGTGATTGCTGCAACCATGAATCCCATCAGCGAAGCCCGAGAAACCTGGATTCATCTTTTAGTCTTTCCTCTTTCCACCCACTTAGTCTTTTTTTTTTTCTTTAAAAGACAAGTTCTAGCTCTATTGCCCAGGCTGGAGTGCAGCTGTGGTATCTTAACTCACTGTGACCTCCATCTCCTGTGCTCAAGTGATTCTCCAATCTCAGCCTCCCAAGTAGCTGGAACTACAGGTGTGTTTCACCACGACCAGCTAATTTTTATATTTTTTGTAGAGACTGGGTTTCACCATGTTGCCCAGGCTGGCCTCGAAGTCCTGAGCTCAAGTGATCTGCCCACTTTGGCCTCCCAAAGTGCTGGGATTACAGGCGTGAGCCACCACGCCCGGCTCCAGTTAGTTTTTCAGCCCTAAACATTCCTCCTGTTTATGCCCAGAGCCACTGCCCCAGCTCAGGCCTTCAACGTCAGTGGCCTGGACTATTGATTGTATCAGCCTCTCTCTAGATGTCCCTGATTTGAATCTCATTGATTCCTCCTCCCATTCCATCCACACCCCTTATTTCCCCAAAGATCTTTTTTTTCTTTTATTTTTTATTTTTATTTTTCTTTTAAGATGGAGTATCGCTCTGTCGCCCAGGCTGGAGTGCATTGGCAGAATCTTAGCTCACTGCAACCTCTGCCTCCAGGTTCAAGCAATTCTCCTGCCTCAGCCTCCTGAGTAGCTGGGATTACAGGCATGCACCACCACACCTGGCTAATTTTGTATTTTTTAGTAGAGATGGAGTTTCACCATGTTGGCCAGGCTGGTCTTGAACTCCTGACCTCGGGTGAACCACCTGCCTCGGCCTCCCAAAGTGCTGGGATTACAGGTGTGAGCCACCATGCCCCACCCACCAGAGTGACCTTTCTAACATAAAAGATCTGCTTAAAAATCTTCAATGTTCTTTCTGTTGACTCCAGTTTAAAATCGAAATTCCCTTGCATGGTATTCAAGGTCCTTGTCCCAGCATGACAGGGCCATGGGCAGGAGCTTCCCTGCTCACAATGCACCCTACAGCAATACTCGGCCATTAGTCGTGCCCCAGCTTCTCCCTGTCTTTGCAGGGGTTGCTTGCTCTGATGGAAACGTTATTCCTAGGCTTCATTTCTGAATATGGATGTCCCACTGCCAGCTTTGGGAAGCCTTCACCATCTCTGCCTATACAGATGGACACACTCCCTGCCTGTGCTGCTGCTAGACTGTGCTTACACTTCCATCACAGAATTTATTTGATTGGGTTATCATGGCTTCTCTGCTGGAATGGAAGCTACTTGGGAGCCTGGGGAAATGCTTGGCTCAAAGCGTAAGTATGTGAAGAATACATGAATGAATGAATGACCCTGTCAGCTCTAAACATCCTATAAGTTTATCTTGCTTCATGGCCAGCACAGGGGCTCATGCCTATAATCCCAGCACTCTGGGAGGCAGAGGCGAGCGGATCACCTGAGCTCCGGAGTTCGGGACCAGCCTGGCCAACATGGCGAAAACCGGTCATACTAAAAATATAAAAATTAGCTGGGTGTGGTGACAGGTGCCTGTAATCCCAGCTACTGGTAGGCTGAGGCAGGAGAATCACTTGAACCTGAGAGGCAGAGGATGCAGTGAGCTGAGATCACACCACTGCACTCCAGCCTGGGCAGCACAGTGAGACTCTGTCTCAAAAAAAAAAAAAAAAAAGTCTATCTTTGCTTCAGTACAAAATATGAAGTATAATATTAAATTCCAAGATTAAATTAATACCTGAGCAATGATTGGCAGCAAGGTATGAATGAAATAGAGGTCTGAGCAGGAGGGGAAGAAGCAGAGAATGGGGAATCAAGATGGGGAAAATGGGTCAGGCGCAGTGGCTGGTGCCTGTAATCCTAGCACTCTGGGAGACTGAGGCAGAGTCTTGAGCCCAGGAGTTCAAGACCAGCCCTGACAACATAGTGAGACCCTGTCTCTACAAAAAATAAAAAAAAAAAATTAGCAGGACATGGTAGCATGCACCTGTAATCTCGGCACTTGGGAGGCTGAGGTGGGAGGATTGCTTGAGGCCAGGAGTTCAAGAGCAGCCTGGACAACATAGTGAGACCCCTGTTTCTTAAAAAAAAAAAGACTGGTCAAAATCAGGGGGTGCACAGAGAAAATAATGTTCAGGCCCCAATTCTGCCCAGAGCAATTCTCAATACTGAAGTTGTTTTAGGGAATCTCAAAGTACAAGTCAAGCAACTAGAAAATTAGGATCCACTTGATTGAAAGTCTCTGAATAGCATGATTTCACAGAAGCACTGCCTGCGTTCTTAAAGCAAATTATTTTCACTTTCTGCTGCTTTTCTCTGACCTTCTTCTCAAGTACTGACATGCACTAAGTTTGAAAAAGCTGAAACTATCCTTAGAAAAATTCCAAGACGCAGAACTTCCAAAGTGAAGAAACCTTTCCGTTGGCTTTTCCCTGGAGGAAAGCTTCACTGACAGGCTCCTTCATGCTCCCTGCAAAGACCAGGGCTCAGATATGTGCCCTCGGTAGTCAAGGCCATCATCACTGTGAAAAATGTCTCTCTTTTAAAACATTTCTTGTTTAAACAAACATTAAAGAAATATTTGGTGCCAGATGCTTAGAGCTGGTGGCACAATGAATTTTTTTTTCTTGAATGTTTATGCTGCCCAGCCTGTAGAATTTAAGTTAACAAAGAACGTTTAGTATAAGGTAGCAATGTGGATGAATAGTTTTTTTGTGTGCTTACTAAAAAGTGGGGCTCCAAAGAACAAATCAGAAACCCATTAGGCATAATTTTGCTTCTCCAAAGATGGACAGAAGTCATGTAGGGGAAATGGAGAAAATTATAAAAGACTGTATTCTAAAGGGGCAATAGTCAAATGTCAGTCGAAGAACTTTTAAATGAAAACCAAACTAGCCAGCAGTTGGGCTATAAGAATGAGCCACCACAACCTGCTCTCTGCATCTCTCCTGTGTGTCTCAATCTCCCTCTGTTTCCCTCTCATACGCAGACACACACACACACACACACACACACACACACACACACACTCTTCACAAATGGAATTTAATAAATCAGAACTTCATCATGGCTCTTTTGGCTTGACACTTAAACTTTCCAATAGTTACTGATATAAAATTTTTTTTTGAGATGGGGTCTCACTCTGTCACACAGGCTGGAGTACAGTGGCTTGATCACAGCTCACTGCAGCCTCAACCTCCTGGGCTCAGGTGATCCTCCCACCTCAGCCTCCCAAGTAGCTGGGACTACAGGCTCGCACCACTGTGCCTGGCTAGTCTTTTATATTTTTTGTAGAGAAAGGGTCTCACTCTATTGCTCAGACTGGTCTCAAACGACTAAGCTCATGTGATCCTCCCATCTTGGTCTCTCAAAGTTCTAGGATTACAGGCATGAGCCCCTGTGCCCACTTTTGCAAAAAATTACAACAGTGAAGCCAGGCACAGTGTCTCATGCCTGTAATCCCAGCACTTTGGGAGACCAAAATGGGAGGGTGGCTTGAGCTCAGGAGTTTGAGACTAGCCTGGGCACTTCAAAATTTTTTTTTAAAAATTAGCCAGGCATGGTGGCATGTGCCTGTAGGCCCAGCTACTTGGGAGGTTGACATGGGAGGATTGCTTAAGCCTGGAAGGTTGAGGCTGCAATGAGCTGAGGTCATGCCACTGCAATTCTGCCTGGGCAACAGAGGAAGACTGCCTCTAAAAAAAAACAAATAAATCACAACAGTGAGAAAATGCCTACAGGGAAAGGCATGGGCCAAACTAACTATGGGAGAAATTTAGTTTATAGTTTAAATAATAATAGCCCTTTTATAATAATTATTATAAAACTAATAAAAGGCCACAAATTTAGGATTAAGAGAAGGGCCTGAATTCTGCTAAGAAGTAGGTTTAGTTAAACAATTACCAGCCATTGTACTGGAGATCACAAGATTTGTAACTTCCCCTATTACTCCTGTGAATAATGTCACTATTGTAGAGCCTAAGATTGGACTTTTGAGATGTCTTTTCAGACTTCTGCACTTCTGATGGTTGGATGACTCCACTGAGACCCAAGACTTAAGACTCACCTGGTCCTATAGCCCCCACCCAGAAGTGGACTCAGCACATAAGAACCATTTTCTACATCTCTATGATTGCACCCCTGACCAATCAGCAGCACCCATTCCCTAGCCCCCAGCCCACCTAACTATCTTGAAAAAACTCTAGCCTCCAAATTTTCAGGGAATCTGATTTGAGTAATAAAATCAACCCATCTGTTATTATTAGTCTGGCCATTTAGCTGGTTCTATGTATATTAAACTGTTTCTCTATTGCAATTTCCCTGTCTTGATGAATCAGCTCTATCTGGGCAGTGGGCAGGATGAACCTGTTGAGTGGTTACACATCTGGGTGTCAATTATTGCTGAGTAACAAACAACTCCAAATTCTGATATTTAAAACTATATTCGGCCAGGCACGGTGGCTCATGCCTGTAATCCTGACAGTTTGAAAGGCAAAGGCAGATGACTCACTTGAGCCCAGGAGTTCAAGACCAGCCTGGGCAACACAGCAAAACCCTGTCTCTACAAAAAATACAAAAATTAGTCAGGCATGGTGGCATGCAACTGTAGTCCTAGTTACTCACAAGGCTGAGGTGGGAGGATGTCTTGAGCCTGAGAGGTTGAGGCTGCAGTGAGCTGTGATTATGCCACTGCCCTCCAGCCTGGGCCACTGAGTGAGACACTGTCCCTAAACAACAACAACAACAACAACAACAACAACAAAACCACATTCATTTACAATCACTCATGTATGCAGAAGTTAGTTAGAATTTGGCAGATCTAGTCTGGGCTCAGTTGGGCAACTCTATTGTAGATTGCAGCAGCCAGAGTGGCTCTGCTGCTCACTGTAGGTCTCAGGGGTGACTCTATGCCCCATGTCACTTATCCTTCTTGAACTAGCAGGCCAGTCTGGGAATGTTTCTTTCATGATGGCTTCTGAGGTTCAAGAGCACAAGTGCAAACACATAAGGTCTCTTAAATCCTAAGCTTGGAATGGCATACTGACATTTCTACTTATGTCATTGGCTGAAGCAGGCAACATTGTCAAGCCCAAAGTCTACCCACAGTAAGGCCTTGACAGTGATATGAAGGCAGGGAGGGGTGAAGAGATTCAATATACTACATCTTCCTTTTCTTTACTTCCTGTAACTGACATGTTACAGAGGCCTATTGATTTTACCACAAAAATCTCCTGAATAGTTCTGCTTTTCATCCTCTCCCTCATCACCGCTCTCATCTAAGCTATCAGGTTTTATCTGGACACTGCAGTAGACTCCTAAATGGTCTCTAGTTATTCAATCTCGGGCCTAACCCCAAAGGGATCTTTTAAATTCACAGACCTGCTCATGTCACTTGCTATGGCTGTTATTTTTTGAGGATAATGACAAAAGTTTCTTCTATGGCCTAGCACCCCCATATAATCTGACAGTCATCAGCTCTCCGGTCTCATCTCTAAACCACTTCCTCTCACTCTCTGTGTTTCAGTCCTAAATGGCTTCCTTGCAGTCTTTCATAAGTGCCTTTACAGATACTGTTTCTTTGCCTAGAACCCTATTCTCTACCACTACCCCATTAATTCTGACTTATCCTTCAGAGTTTAGCTTGAAGATTTTTTCTTTAAGAAAGCCTTCTTTGATGCCACAGACCAGACCACCTCTTTGTTTTGGAGAGTCTGAGTCTCATGTCACCATATACCTTTACATCACTTTTTGCATTTTGCCATCATGGAGCATTTATTTGTGGGATTATTTAATTAATGTCTCATTTCTCCAACCCACAGTGGTAAACTCCTTAAGGATAGGAACTATGTCTATTTTTGCTTATTATTATATCTCAGTGCCCAGCATGGTACTTAGCACATGACAGGGACTCAATGCATTTTTGTTTAGTGAATGAACAAACTAGCCCAAACAATGAAGAAAATAAAACTTACTCTCTTTTCATTAATTTTCTCAAGAACCTGAGAATACCCACATACTTTTTTTTTTTCAGACAGGGTCTCACTCTTTCACCCAGGCTGGAGTGCAGTGTCACAATCTTTGCTCACTGTACTTTCCACTTCCCAGGTTCAAGTGATTCTCATGCCTCAGCCTCTTGAGTCGTTGAGACCACAGGAACATGCCACCATGCCAGGCTAATTTTTGTAGTCTTAGTAGAGACAGGGTTTCACCATGTTGGCCAGGATTGTCTTAAACTCCTGCCTTCAAGTGATTCACTTGCCTCAGCCTCCCAAAATGCTGGGATTACAGGCATGAGCCACTGCGCCCAGCCCCCACACATTTTAAATCAAGCTTTAACAGGAAGAAAAATGCAATCTCAGACAAATTACAATTTCTAAGGACAATAAAAATCTTCACCCACAGACTCCTCTGGCCCTATATCCATCCCTTCCTAGTCTTAATCCAGATTCAATTTAGCAGAAAAAATCTTCCAAGACCCAAGGACCTTTGTTTATGTTTCATTTCCTGAATGTGTCCATGATGACTGAGAAGAACTATTGTAGAACTTGAGTTCCTCTAAGAAGAAAAACTTGGCTGCGTGTGGTGGCTCATGCCTGTAATCCTGGCACTTTGGGAGGCCAAGAGAGGAGGATTCCTAGAATCCAGGAGTTAGAGTCCTGCCTGAGCAACATGGGGAGACCCCATGTCTATAAATACATTTTTTTAAAAATTAGCTGGGTATGGTGGCACGTGCCTGTGGTCTCAGCTTCTTGGGAGGCTGAGACAAGAAGATTGCCTGAGCCCCAGAAGTTGAGCCTGCAGTGAGCCTTGATCATGCAGCTGCACTCCAGCCTGAGCAACAGAGCAAGGCCCAGTCTTGAAAAATAAAAAATTTAAAAGAAAAACACAACTAAATAAAGACAATACATTCAGGTTTTTTTGTTGACGATGATCCTTACTATTTTCAATTCCAATCAACAACTTTTATTAATATTATGGTAAATTGATTACATTCATAGCCCCAATTGGTGGTCTCTCTGTACCCATGATTTTTGCAATATGACATTGTAATTTGTCAAGCGATAAGTATATTTCCCCAGCCCTTGAATCTGGGTTGGTATTGTTTTTTATCTTGACTAATGTAGTGCAGTGGAAATGACATTGAGCCACTTATGAATCTATGCCTCAAGAAGTCTTTCATGCTCCTGTTCTCTCTCGTGGACCTCTCTCAAATGGATGATGTGATAAAAACAAACCCAGGCTGGCCTAATGAAGGACAAGAGACCATGTGGAGGAATGACAAGTTGTCCCAGCCAAGGCCCTAGGCCAGTCAACCCCTTGCCAATCTCCAAGCAGAAATCTGCCAAGATTGGCCCAGATTCACAGGAATGATTTGCTGAGCTAAATAAATGTTTATTGTTTAAATTGGGCTTGGTTTGTTACATGGCAATAACTAACTGGAACAATATTTAAGACAACGTGCTAAGTTTATAAAATAAATTATTACTATTCCCATCCCCTTTGCTCTGCCCTCAAAGATAGACCTAGACAGATGTAGTTTTGAATCCTCTGTCTTTTATCAAGCAGGTGACTTTGGGCAAGTAACGTAAATGGGTTAATCACTCTTTCCTCCGTTTTAGATCCTCAAAGTTGTAGTTGGCACATGGCCACCCACCTACACATGTTTATATGACTGCCTTCTGGCCAATGGACTCTAAATGAAATATCATGTAGTAGAAACCTTACTAAGCAAAGCAGTATGTTTCCTTTGCCCTCTTTCTCTTATCCCTTTCTTTGCTGTTGGCACTGCAGCCAGTGAGCATTTATAAGAGAGAAAGAGCTTCAGTCCCTAAGTACTTTGTAGAGCAGAACTATAAAGCCAGGCCTAGAATGCCTACCTCTGGACTTTTATGTAAGATAATACAATTCATTCTTTTTAAAGACATTATTATTTTAGGTTTCTATTACTTGCAATTGAACCTAATCCTTGCTAACATATAGTAAGCATGCTAGCAAATTTCTTTGCTGGCTTGTTGTAAGCTAGATGATAAGTGCCTGGCATCATTTGTAATGCACAGTGACAATAAATGAATGCAGTTATTACTATTTTTTATTGATAATAATAATAGAAGCAATACCAACATACCTCCCTAGCTAATGTTGAGAGAAAACTGGCAATACTGTTAAAGTCAGCTGAAGTAATGGGCTCCAGTCACAACATTTGCATAATAGCATAGATCTATGAAATGTGTTTCTTGATAATTTTGTCTTAAAGAATTCTTGATTCATCCCTCACTAAAATAAAAATTTTACCTTAATGAAATTTAGGAAACAGATGTCCATTAGATATGTTAGTATAGCAGTCACTTTGTTACAAATTCTAACGCATAAAAGAGTTTTGAGCATGTTCTATATAATTCTCATTTCTTCATAAACATTTCAAAACTCTATGAAGAAAATATAATCTTCATATATATTTGAAAAGCAATGTTATATATTTTAAATGCTATGTTTACTAAGGTAATACAGTTTCTTCACAGAAAATTATACATCAGCCTTAAAATATTTAAAAATTTTATTTTAAATATTGGAAGAAGGAATCGTTTTTAGAGAACAACTACTATTGTGATCCTGCCATTAGCATCTTTGATATTCTCTACTGTGAAGATCATTGAGACTTGGAAAGTCAGCAAAAAGGCATGCGGAACCTCCCTAAGTCTTGAATCCAATTTTTAAGACAATTTTTCCTCAGAAATATGGTGAAACACAGAGAAGTCATTCATAATGAGTTCCTCAAGCAAAAATTCTTTTTAATTATTCTGACATTGGAAAAAGAACTCACAGAGACATACTCTTCACAGTGGATTCCATATAGCATTTAATAGTTATGTGTCATTAGCAAAATAACTGACAGGTCCCAATTTAACTAGAATGGGCCTTTTCCCATTAAGGTGCTTTTTACAATTCATTTGTTCCCAAAGCCTATGATAAAGGCTTTTCTATAAATCCTATGCTGTGAAGATCAATAGAGAGATTTAAAAATGGTTATTAGGGGAAGCTGGTCAGAATATTGCAAGAAAATCTAAACTAATTCAACAAGAAAGTCAAGAAATGGTTTTAAGGTGTAAGTAGACTTGAGATGTTTTTAAGAGAGGAGTAGCAGTCCGCCTAGTGAAACACACAAGGGTATAAGAAGTACAGGTCAAGGCAAGAGTTGAGATAGAGGCTGTGGACAAGTGGCAGGTGGGAGATTAGTTGGGAATAGTAGGACATACTACTGGGAATGCATATCATAGGATGTTATATTGAATTCATTAGGTGATTGGTAACCATTGAAGGGTTTCAAAGAGGAGGATGAAAAAGTCATTGCTGGCTTCACTGGGTGAATTTTACCAAACACTTACAGAAGAATTAACACCAGTTACTCATGAATTCTTCAAAAGAAATTATAAACCAGTATTTCTTATGAATATAGAGATGAAAATCATCAACAGAGAATTAGCAAACCATATCCAGCAACCCATAAAAGGATTATACTCCATGACCAACTAGGATTTAATTCCAGGAATGCAAAGTTGGTTTAACATTCAAAAATGAAATAATGTTATCATATCAATAGAATAAAAAATAACCACATAATCATCTCAATAGATGCAGAAAGAACATTTGAAAAAACCAACTCTTGGCCGGGCATGGTGGCTCACACCTATAATCACAGCACTTTGGGAGGCCAAGGCAGGCAGATCATGAGGTCAGGAGATCAAAACCATCCTGGCTAAAACAGTGAAACCCCATCTCTACTAAAAATACAAAAAAATTAGCCAGGCATGGTGGCTAAATTTTTTAGCTGAGTAGTCCCAGCTACTCAGAAGGCTGAGGCAGGAGAATCGCTTGTACCTGGGAGGTGGAGGTTGCAATGAGCCAAGATTGTTCCACTGCACTCCAGCCTGGGCGACAGAGTGAGACTCTATCTCAAAAAACAACAACAACAAACAAAACAAAACAAAAAACCAAAAAAAACCCCAACTCTCTCTTATGATTAAAAAAAAGTTCAACAAATTAGGAACAGTGGACTTCCTGAACCTGATAAAAACCATCTAGAAAAACCCATAGCTACTATCACACTTAATAGTGAAAGACTGAGTGATTTCACCCAAGATCAACAACAAAAGGAGGACTGGGCACAGTGGATCACACCTGTAATCCCAGAACCTTGGGAGGCTGAGGTGGAAGGATTGCTTAAAGCCAGGGGTTTCAGACCCACCTGGGCAACATAGTGAGACTCCTTTCTATAAAAAATTAAAAAATTAAAAGTAGCTGGGTATGGTCACACACACCTGTAGTCCTAGCTATTCGGGAGACTCTGGCAAGAAGATCAATTGAACCCCGGAGTTTGAGGATGTAGTGAGCTATGATCACACTCCTGCACTCCAGCCTGGGCAACAGAAAAAGACTCTAGTCCTTAAAAAACAAAGAGAAGGATGTCCATTCTAACTAGCTCTATTCAACATTGTATGGGGGTTCTAGCCAGAGCAATTAGGCAAAAGAAAGAAATAAAAGAAATCTCAATTGGAAAGGAAGAAGGAAAGCTATCACTATTTGGAGATGACATGATCTCATATACAAAAAAAACCATTAGAATGAATAAATGAGTTCAGCAAGGTTGCTGAATACAAGATTAATATGCAAAATCAATTGTATTTCTATACACTTTCACTGAACAATCCAAATATGAAATTAAGAATGTGATCCTACTTACAATAGCATCAAAAAGAATAAAATTTTTAGGAATAAATTTAACAAAAGAAGTGCAAAACTTTTACCTAGAAACTACAAAAATCGTTGAAAGAAGTTAAAAAGATCTAAATAAATGGGAACACATTCCACGTTCATGGATCAGAAGATTTAATTTTGTTATAATGGCAATACTCACTAAATTGACCTGTGAATTCCATGCAATCCATATCAAAATCCCAGCTGGCTTCTTTGTAGAAATTGACAAGCTGATTCTAAAATTCACATGGAAATTCCAAGGATCCAGAATAGCCAAAACAATTTTCAAAAAGAACACTGTAACCCTTGCACTTGGGGAGGCTGAGGTACGAGGATTGATTGGGGACAGGAGTTGGAGACTAGCCTCAGCAATATAGTAAGACCCCCATCTCTAAAAAATGTTTAAAAAATTATCCAGGTGAAGAGGCATGCACCTATAGTTCTAGCTGCTAGGGAGGGTGAGGCAGGAGGGTCACTTGAGCCCAGGAGTTTGAGGCTTCGGTGAGCCGTGATCATGACACTGCACTCCGTTCTGGGTGACAGAGTGAGACCTGTCTCTAAAAAAAAGAAAAAGAAGATCAAAGTTGGAGGGTTCATATTTCCCAATTTCAAAACCTACTATAAAGCTACAAGTAATCAAGACAGTATGGTATTGGCATAAGGATAGACCTACAGATCAATGAAATAAAATTAAGAATCCAGAAATAAACCCTCGCATTTAGAGTAAATTGCTTTTTGACAGCGTTGCCAAAACAATTCAATAGAGGAAAGAATAATATTTTCAACAAATGGTGCTGAGACAACTGGATATCCACGTGCAAAAGTATGAAGTTCGACCACTATCTTATACCATACACAAAAACTAACTTAATGGAGCAAAGATTTCAGTGGAAGAGCTAAAACTATAAACTCTTAGAAGAAAATGTAGGCGTAAGTCTTCCTAATCTTTATTTGGCAGTGATTTCTTAGATATAACAACAAAGCACAAGCAATCAAAGAAAAAAATAGATAAATTGGATTTCCTCAGAATTAAAAACTTCTATGCTTCAAAGGACACCAGCAAGAAAGTGAAAGGACAAACAACAGAATGAGAAAAAATATTTGCAAATCATATATCTAATAAGGGACTTTTTATCTAGATTACATGATATTCTAGTCAATAGCAAAATACAAATTACCTGATTTAAAAATGGGCATGGAATCTAAATAGATATATCTCCAAAGAAGATAAACAGATGACCAATAGCACATGAAAATATGCTCAACACCAATAGTCACCAGGGAAATGTAAATCAAAACCAAAAGAGATACCACTTTACATCCACTAGTTCGGCTATAATAGAAAGGACAGACAATAACAAGTGTTGCCAAGAATGTGAAAAATTGGAACACTTCTGCACCACTGGTAGGAATATAAAATAGTGCAGCCATTTTGGAAAACAGTCTGACAGTTCCTCAAAAAGTTAAACGTTAGAGTTACCACATGACCTGGCAATTCCACTCCTAGGTGTACACTCAGGAGAACAAAGTAGATACCTGATAAACACATGAAAAGGTATGTCCACACAAAAACTAGCAAATGAATGATCATAGCAGCAGTATTCATAATAGTCAAAAGGTAGAAAAAGCCAAATGTTCATCAACTGATTAATGGGTACACAAAATGTGGTGTGATCATAGAATGAAATTTTATTTAGCCATAAAAACAATGAAGTACAGACACATGCTATATCTTGGATGACCCTTGAAAACATTTGGTAATGGAAAGAAGCCAGTCACAAAAGACCACATAGCACATAATTCCATTTATCTGAAATGTTCAGAAAAGGGAAATCTAGAGAGACAAAAAGCAGATGTGTGGTTGCCTAGGGCTGGGTGGGGAAATGGGGAGATTGGGAGGTCATGGTTAAAGAGTACACATGATGAAAATGTTCTAAAATTGATTGTGGTGATGATTGCACAACTCTGTGAACATACTAAAAACAATTGAATTGTTAAAAAAAAAATCAATACTATGCTTTAGGGGAATCTCTTTGACTGGCGTGCAAAGAAACAGAAGGCATGAAGACCAATTAGGAGGTTTTTAATCTTGACTCTTAGAGAGAAAGCATCTCATCTCCAGGTCTTCTTTTCCTTCAATCTCCACACCCATTCCCTTTAAATATAATTAAAACACAGTTATGAAATCCATGCTTGATAAATTGGTAAATAAGCTATGGGATGGGGCTAGGAAAAAGGGGGTCATAAAAGGGAGCTCTTAACTCTATAGTGATCATTTTATTATTTAAGTAACCAAGGGCAAAAGATACTTCTCAATTGTTTACATAAAAGTCACAAATTTAAATTTAGGTTCTGAGCAAGACATGTTAAGCTCACGTAGAGCCTCAGACTAAATGGTGAATGAGTTTTTGTTTTGTGCCTGGCACATAGTAGGTCCTCAGTGTTTTTCAAAATAAATTAAATGAATGAATTTTAAGAGTAAACATAAACTTTATAATGCGTTATATAAATATGACCAAGAAAGGCACTGTGAGATGAAAAAACAACACATAATCTTAAACTGGTGAAGGAGAAGAAGGAAAGAATGAGGAGAAAGGAAAACTCGTAATTCAACAAGACAGCAAGCCACTAAAATGTGTAAGAAGTCTCTTTCATTCCCTTCAGGAAAAAAAAATTGATGAAGAAAAAGGTTATAAATTTATAAAGAAGAGTGAGGATATTGTACCTAAAGAATACAAAAGGATGAAAAATCAATAAAGGCAATTCATCACATTAGCAGGCTAAAGAAGAAAAATCATATGATTATATTAATAATGCAGAAAAAGCATTTGACCAAACCTAACATCCATTTATGATTAAAGACTCTCAGCAAACTAAGAATAGAGGGGAATTTCCTCAACTTGGTAAAAAATGAAAAAGGAAATTAACAAACCAGAAACCAAACCTTTTAAGGATGCAGAGGGGAAAAGAAATTGCTACTCATCCAAAAATTTGCTAAATAAAAAGTACAGTAGAGGAAAAAGAGATTAAGGAAAAGAATAAGGAAGTAAAACAAAACAGAAATAAGCTATCTTCAGTATCTAAAATGGAAAGTAAGAGTTAGACATCAGAAACTACCCAGGCACAGTCTTATTCTCCCAGACCAGTTTTGGCCAGAGAGATCTGGTTTCTCCTATTTAGAGAGCTCTTGTTCTCTGTCCTAAAAAATAATTAGGAAGTTGAAAAGAAATAAACGAGATTCAGGGATTACTAAATGCCATCTCACAAGAATGATGATTAAAATATCATGATTAAGAATCAAGGACCTTTAGCCCCTTTGAGTGCTGATTACAAAGTGATTAGTAGGGATTACTGTGAGATTAACAATGTTTGCAAGGAAGATGATTTGATTCATTCCAGGCGTTAAGGGACAGGGGTGGCAGATGGTTTCGTTATACCAAGAGAAACTGTAAAACACACAGACTAAAAGGCAATCATCTTTTTATTCTATTTCCTTTGAAAAGAGGGGAGGGAGAGACTCTTGACGGGTGAGGATATGTTGTTTAAAGTTGTATAGACTGTGTCATATTTTTTCCAATTTGTCAAGAGTGCGAAAATGAAATGATTAGTTTCTGCCTGGGAAGAATGAAGAGATCCAGATAAAGAAAACATTAAGTCCTAGGTGCCCATTTTGTCCTTTACATATTAATTAAAAGCCCTTTGATGGGAATTTATGGTGTGAACTAAACTGCTTGGTTTACTATTTAGACAGCTGTGAAAGGAAATAAAATAGTTTAGATGTTTAAACTAGTACTTGCATATGCAGATGACATGTCAATGATTGTATCAACTGATGAGTCTGTAAAAAACATCTCTTGAATGTTTGAAGCATATGTTGTAAAGCAGCTGGTTCTAAAATAAGTTTAAGAGTAGCTATTTGCTTAATAGAACTGACAAATAGGAACAGGTGATGGTCTTGGAAGAACCCATTGTTTAAAAATGAACCAGTTGGGAGCTTAAGAGGGTTTTTGGAGAGTCAAAACAATGAAAAAAATCAAAGAAGAGAATAGATGTAGCAGATAAGTTAGTGTCTCTCTAGCCGATTTGGAAGTTATTTTATTGTAGTGAATATGTTGTTAATCAAAAAAGTTTCTCATTGCCTTGAGCCATATGGAAGTGATTTACCATGTTTTTCTTGCTGTCCATTTGCAAAGTTATGTTTGAGGGAGCTGGCAAAGTGCCCTTCTAAAAAACACTATCTTTACAAAGTTACCTTAATGAGCTGATTGAAGACAAGATTCTTTGCATGGCAACCATGAGAGAAGAGGTTGTCTTAACTTGTAAGAAGAATCCATATAAGAAAGAACTTGACCAAAAAAAGAAAAAAAACACTCTTTCTCAAATAATTTTGTTATTCTGAGACATGCTTAGGAAGCACGTACACTAAATACACTGACTGCATAGAATTATCTACAGAAGGGCCTTTCCAGTCAGTACAGTTTGTAAGCATTATTTTCTAATCTTTTAAAAACTTTTACTATGATGAAGAGACTTACTGATATGGAATGGTTAAGAGGCTACTAAATCCTCTCTTTAGGCAAAATGATGAAAGGGAAAGAGGCAGAGTGAGAGTCAAGGGACTGGGTTTCCAGGAAGAAGTCCACCACCAGTTGTCACTCACTCTTCTCCTACTTTGTTTTCTTCACCTGAAAAAAATATTAATAATAACTGATGTTTATAAAATGCTTATGTCCGGGCATGGTGGCTGATGCCTGTAATCTCAGCACACTGAGAGGCGGAGGCATGAGGATTGCTTGAGTACATTTCAAGACCAGCCTGGGCAAGCAACATAGGGAGACCCCATCTCTACAAAAACAAAAAAAATAAAATGCTTACTAGTGGTCAGGCACTGTTTACACATTTTATATAAGTGTATTAGTTCGTTTTCATGCTGCTGATAAAGATATACTGGAAACAGGGAACAAAGAGAGGTTTAATTGGACTTACAGTTCCACATGGCTGGGGAAGCCTCAGAATCATGGTGGAGGGCAAAAGGCACTTCTTACATGGCAGCAGCAAGAGAAAATGAGGAAGAAGCAAAAGCAGAAACCCCTGATAAACCTATCAGATCTCATGAGACTTATTCACTATCGTGAGACTAGCATGGGAAAGACTGGCCCCCATGATTCAATTATCTCCCCGGGGTCCCTCCCACAGCACGTGGGAATTCTGGGAGATACAATTCAAGTTGAAATTTAAATGGGGACATAGCCAAACCATATCATCCTACCCCTGGCCCCTCCAAATCTCATGTCCTAA
This sequence comes from Homo sapiens, assembly GCF_000001405.40. Classification (NCBI taxonomy): domain Eukaryota; kingdom Metazoa; phylum Chordata; class Mammalia; order Primates; family Hominidae; genus Homo; species Homo sapiens. Next base: position 70,513,311 of record NC_000008.11, on the reverse strand, counting down.
CATTTCAAAACCAATCATGCCTTCCCAACAGTCCCCCAAATCCTTAACTAATTTCAGCATTAACCCAAAAGTCCACAGTCCAAAGTCTCACCTGAGACAAGGCCAGTCCCTTCCACCTATGAGCCTGTAAAATCAAAAACAAGCTAGTTACTTCCTAGATACAATGGGAGTACAGGTATTGGGTAAATACAGCCATTCCAAATGGGAGAAATTTGCCAAAGCAAAGGGGTTACAGGTGCCATGGAAGTCCAAAATCCAGCAGGGCAGTCAAACTTAAAACTCCAAAATAATCTCCTTTGACTCTAGGTCTCATATCCAGGTCACACTGATGCAAGAGGTGGGTTCCCATGGTCTTGGGCAGCTCCACCCCTGTGGCTTTGCAGGGTACAGCCTCCCTCCTGGCCGCTTTTGTGGGCTGGCATTGAGTGTCTGCAGCTTTTCCAGGCACATGGTGCAAGCTGTCAGTAGATCTACCATTCTGGGGTCTGGAGGACGGTGGCCCTTGTCTCACAGTTCCACTAGGCAGTGCCTCAGTAGGGACTCTGTGTGGAGGCTCTGACCCCACATTTCCCTTCTGCACTGCCCTAGCAGAGGTTCTCCATGAGGGCCCCACCCCTGCAGAAAACTTTTGCCTGGGCATCTGGGCATTTCCGTACATCTTCTGAAATCTAGGCAGAGGTTCCCAAACCTCAATTCTTGACTTCTGTGCACATGCAGGCTCAACACTACATGGAAGCTGCCAAGGCTTGGGGCTTCTACCCTCTGAAGCCACAGCCTGAACTGTACATTGGCCCCTTTCAGCCATGGCTGGAGTGGCTGGGACACAGGGCGCCAAGTCCCTAGGCTGCACATAGCACGGGGACCCTGAGCCCAGCCCACGAGACCACTTTTTCCTCCTGGGCCTCCAGGCCTGTGATGGGAGGGGCTGCCATGAAGGTCTCTGACATGGCCTGGAGACATTTTCCCCATGGTCTTGGGGATTAACGTTAGGCTTCTTGCTACTTATGCACATTTCTGTAACCGGCTTGAATTTCTCCCCAGAAAATGGGTTTTTGTTTTCTATTGCATAGTCAGGCTGCAAATTTTCCAAACGTTTATGCTCTGCTTCCCTTATAAAACTGAAGGCCTTTAAAATAACCCAAGTCACCTCTTGAATACTTTGCTGCTTAGAAATTTCTTCTGCCAGATACCCTAAATCATCTGTCTCAAGTTCAAATTTCTACAAATTTCTAGGGCAAGGGCAAAATGCCTCCAGTCTCTTTGCTAAAACATAACAAGAGTCACTTTGCTCCAGTTCCCAACAAGTTCCTCATTTCCCTCTGAGACCACCTCTGCCTGGACCTTATTGTCCATGTCACTATCAGCATTTTGGTCAAAGCCAATCAACAAATATCTAGGAAGTTCCAAACTTCCCCACATTTTCCTGTCTTCTTCTGAGCCCTCCAAACTCTTACAACTTCTGCCTGTTACCCAGTTCCAAAGTCGCTTCCACATTTTTGGGTATCTTTTCAGCAATGCCCCACTCTATTGGTACCAATTTACTGTATTAGTTGGTTTTCACACTGCTGATTACGAATACTTGAAACTGGGAACAAAAAGAGGTTTAATTGGACTTACAGTTCCACATGGCTGAGGAGGCCTCAGAATCATGGCGGAAGGCGAAAGGCATTTCTTACATGGTGGCAGCAAGAGAAAATGAGGAAGAAGCAAAAGCGGAAATGCCTGATAAACCCATAAGATCTGGTGAGACTTATGTACTATCACGAGAATGGCATGGGAAAGACCAGCCCCCATGGTTCAATCACCTCCATCTAGGTTCCTCCCACAACACATGGGAATTCTGGGAGATATAATTCAAGTTGAGATTTCAATGGGAACACAGCCAAACCGTGTCAATAAGTTATTTCATCTCCCAACAGCACTGTGGTGAATACAATAATCATCATTTTACAGATAAGTAAACTGAATGGAGATAATAGAATACTTCAAACCTCTCATGAGAATGCATTATAAAAATTTAAGGGTTTTTCCAAACACTGCATGTTCTCACTCATAGGTAGGAATTGAACAAGGAGAACACATAGACACCGGAAGGGGAACGTCACACACCGGGGCCTGTGGTGGGGTGGGGGGAGGGGGGAGGGATAGAATTAGGAGATATACCTAATGTTAAATGACAAGTTAATGGGTGCAGCACACCAACATGGCACATGTATACATATGTAACAAATCTGCATGTTGTGCACATGTACCCTAAAACTTAAAGTATAATAATAAAAAATAAATAAATAAATAAAAATTTAAGGGTTTTTTGATCTTAAAAATAATATTTAATCTCAACTGCAGAGTAGTTAGGCATAGCCCAGACTAAGAAAGGTGGACATAGAATAAAAGTTTCCCTCTATACCAACCCATGATAAAAAAGCTTAGCAAGCTAGGAATAGAAGAATATGGGGTTTTCGTTGTTGTTGTTAATTTTTAAAATTAAAAAAAAGAGAGAGAGAGACGAGGTTTCGCCATGTTACCCAGGCTGGTCTTTATAATAAGTCCTGGGATCAAGGGATCTTGGGTCTCCTGGGATCAAGGGATCCTCCCACCTCGACCTCCCAAAGTGCTGAGTTCTGATATCTAGGCAGAGGTTCCCAAACCAAATAAAGTTAGCCAGGCATGGTGGCATAAACCTGTAGTGCCAGCTACTTGGTAGGCTGAGGTGAGAGAATCGTTTGTGCCTGGGAAGTCAAGGCTACAGTGAGCCATGATCTCACCGCTGTACTCCAGCCTAGGTGACAGAGTGAGACTGCCTAAAAAAAGAAAAAGAAAAAGAAAAAGAAAACTACAAAACTGTATTGAAAGAAAACTGTGGTGGAATTCAAAATGCAATGTTTGTAGATTAGATGATGTGATATTGTAAAAATGTCAATCTTCCCAAATTAGTCTAGAGATTTACCATAAATCCAATACACATCTCAGCAAGTTCTTTTAAAAAATAAAAAACTGATTAGCAGGGCACAGATATTCACACCTGTAATCCCCACACTTTGAGAGGCCAGGCAGGAGGATCGCTTGAGCCCAGGAGTTTGAGACTAGCCTGGGCAACATGGTGAAACCCTGTATCTACAAAAAATACAAAAAAAAAATTAGCCAGGTCTGTTGGTGGGCACCAATAGTCCCAGCTACTTGGGAGGCTGAGGTGGAAGGATCACTTGAACCTCAGAGGTTAAGGGTGTAGTAAGTCACGATTGCACTACTGCACTCCAGCCTAGGTGACAGAGCAAGATTCTGTTTCAAAAAAAGGAAGGAACGAAGGAAGGGAGGGAGGGAGGGAGGGAAGGAGGAAGGGAGGGGAGGGGAGGGCAGGGGAGGGGAGGGGACGGGAGGGAAACTGATTAGCTGATTCTAAAATTTATGTGGAAGTTCAGTGGACCAAGAATAGTCAAGACAATGGTGAAGAAGAGCAAAGTTGAAGGACTTATTATAAAACTAATATAATTGAGACATATTATTAATACAGAGATGGACAAATAGACCAATGGAACAGAATATATAGTTCAGAAATAGAACCACTATAGTGCCATGAGGGAAAGAATGGTCTTTTCAAATGCAGCTGGGTTCACCAATATCCATATTGTATGAAAATAAAATTTGAAACTTATCTCTCACCACACACAAAATTAACACTAGATGAATTTTAATCCTAAATATAAAACAATAACACATCTAGAAAGAAGACATAAAAAATATTCTTGTGAGTTTGAGGCAGGCAGTGATTTCTTAAACAGGACATAAGAAGCATTAACCATAAAAGTAAAGATTGATAAATTGAACTACATTGAAATAAAAACCAGTGTTCATCAAAAGGCATTAATAGTTCCAAGACTAAGAGACAAAACAAGAAACAAAACAAGAGTGAAAAGGCTACAATGCCAAAAAAAAGTGAAAAAGAAAGCTACCAAGTAGAAAAAGATATTTGTAATACCTATATATAACAAATGAATCATAACTATCGTATATGAAACATTTCTACAAATTAATAGAAAAGAAGCAGACAACCCAATAGAAAAATGGGCAAAAGACTTAAATTGGCATTTCATAAAAGAGGACACTCAAAAAAAATCATCAATCATATGACAGGCTGCTCGACTTTATTAATCACCAGGACAATGCCAATTAAAACCAAAATGCAAATTTGAATCACTGTACCCCACCAGAATAGCTAACATTAATAATAAGACCACAATATCAAATTTAGGCAAGAATGCAAAGCAATTTGGACTCTCAGACACTGTTGGTGGAAGCGCACATTTGTAACAATGTTGGAAAAGTGTTTGATAATATCTACTGAAGTTGAACTTACCCAAACCCTCTATTTTTTATGTATAGCCAAGAGATGCTTATATGTACACCAAAAGTCATGTACAAGTGTTTATAACAGGACTATTCAAGATAGCTCAAAACTCAAAACAACTCAAATGCCCATCAATATTTCACAAATAGGGCCTGGCTACAGTGGCTCATGCTTATAATCCCAACACTGTGGGAGGCTGAGGCAGGTGAATCATGGGAGCTTAGAAGTTTGAGACCAGTCTGGGCAACACGGTGAAACCTCATCTCCACAAAAAATACAAAAATTAGCCAGGTGTGGTGGTGCACACCTGTGGTCCCAGCTATTCAGGAGGCTGACGTGAGAGGATCGCTGGAGCCCGGGAAGTCAAGGCTGCAGTGAGCCATGATCATGCCACTACACTCCAGCCTAGGTGACAGAGTGAGACCCTGTCTCAAAAAACAAAAATTCACTTGTTGCTCCATAGGTCCATGTAAGTTTATGAACAGGAATAAAGAAAAGAATATGAATAGAATCAATTGTTCTTCAAGCAATTCTTGCAGGACCTTCCTGAAATGTTGATCATTTCTGGGCTCATTGTCAGCACTGGGGTAGATAAAAAGCTACTGTGGGTTTGAATTTTTTTAAAAAATAAAGAAGACATTCATGCAGCCAAAAGACACATGAAAAAATGCTCACCATCCCTGGCCATCAGAGAAATGCAAATCAAAACCACAATGAGATACCATCTTACACCAGTTAGAATGGCGATCATTAAAAAGTCAGGAAACAACAGGTGCTGGAGAGGATGTGGAGAAATAGGAACACTTTTACACTGTTGCTGGGACTGTAAACTAGTTCAGCCATTGTGGAAGTCAGTGTGGCGATTCCTCAGGGATCTAGAATTAGAAATACCATTTGACCCAGCCATCCCATTGCTGGGTACATACCCAAAGGATTATAAATCATGCTGCTATAAAGACACATGCACACGTATATTTATTGCGGCACTATTCACAATAGCAAAGATTTGGAACCAACCCAAATGTCCAACAATGATAGACTGGATTAAGAAAATGTGGCACATATACGCCATGGAATACTATGCAGCCATAAAAAATGATGAGTTCACGTCCTTTATAGGGACATGGATGAAGCTGGAAACCATCATTCTCAGCAAGCTATTGCAAGAACAAAAAACCAAACACTGCATGTTCTCACTCATAGGTGGGAATTGAACAATGAGAACACATGGACACAGGAAGGGGAACATCACACACCGGGGCCTATTGTGGGGTGGGGGGCGGGGGGAGGGATAGCATTAGGAGATATACCTAATGTTAAATGACAAGTTAATGGGTGCAGCACACCAACATGGCACATGTATACATATGTAACTAGCCTGCACGTTGTGCACATGTACCCTAAAACTTAAAGTATAATAAAAAAAAATTAACAGCATAAGATCAGAACTTTCGGCTGGGCATGGTGGCTCATGCCTGTAATCTCAGCACTTTGGGAGGCCAAGGAGCGTGGATCACTTGAGGTCAGGAGGAGTTCAAGATCAGCCTGGCCAACATGGTGAAACCCCGTCTCTACCAAAAATGCAAAAATTAGCCAGGTGTGGTGGCACGTGCCTGTAATCCCACCTACTCAGGAGGCTGAGGCAAGAGAATCATTTGAACCCAGGAGGTGGAGGTTGCAGTGAGCCAAGATTGCGCCACTGCACTCCAGCCTGGGCAACAGAGCAAGACTCTGTCTAAAAAAAAAACTAAACTTTTTTTTTACTACTATGATAAAAAATAGTGTTGATTGTTGATATTACTGGGAAAACGTATTGTCATTTCTACTCTTTCTTGCTCTGAGTATTATAAGTAATTATCCCTTTTCAAATTTATTCCCAGTTAGTGCCTATCTTCAAATTTCTAATGCTCCTAAGTCTCATGTATTTATTGAACTTTCTATGTGTTACTTTATTTTCTTTCCTCTTAATCAACAACTCTGACTGGTAAGTAGTAAGGTTCAACCTCAAATAGCTGGTGTAAATTGCCAGGATACCAGGCTACTAAAAACAGCAAACTGCAGTTAAATTCTCTTTCTTCTTTGTCATTTAAGAAAAGTTGAGCCCTTTCCACTCAGCTGTTTTCTTGCACAGGAGGGCCATAGTCAGCCATGGAGCCCAGCAGGAAAGGCATGATCTTCAAGTCCCACTTCAACAAGCACTGGCAGTGGTGTGTGGCTACATGGTTCAACCACGTCTGGACCCATCCAGCCCATAGTAAGGTGCTGCATGGTGAGGTATCACACCAAAGTACACGCTGGCCAGGGCTTCAGCATGGAGGAGTTAAGGGTGGTTGGTATTCACAAGAAGGTGGCACAGAACACTGACATCTCTGTGGATCCGAGAAGGCAAAACAAGTCCACCGAGTCCCTGCAAGCCAATGTGCAGTGCTGATGGAGTGCCACTCCAAACTCATCCTCTTCCCCAGGAAGCCCTTGGCCCCCAAGAAGGGAGACAGTTCTGCTGAAGAACTGAAATTGCCCCAGTAGCTGACAGGACTACTTATGCCTGTCCAGAATGTCTATAAGAAGGAGAAAGCCCGAGGCATCACTGAGGAAGGGAAGAACTCCAAGGCCTTTGCTAGTCTCCACGTGGCCTGCACAAATGCCCAGCTCTTCTGCATATGGGTAAAAAGAACCAAGGAAGCTGAAGAACAGGATATTGAAAAAAAATAAAGATAAAGCCCTGGGGACTTGTAATAAATCAACAGTAAAAAATAAAAAGGAAAAAAATAAAAGAAAAAATGAAAAATTGAGCCAAGTGTGGAGGCTCACGCCTGTAATCCCAGCACTTTGGGAGGGCGATCACTTGAGGTCAGGAGTTCAAAACCAGCCTGGCCAACATGGCAAAACCCCATCTCTACTAAAAATACAAAAATTAGCCAGGCATGGTGGTACATGCTTGTAATCCAAGCTACTCGGGAGGCTGAGGCAGGAGAATCGCTTGAACCTGGGAGGTGGAGGTTGCAGTGAGCCAAGATCACGTAACTACACTCTAGCCTGGCCAACAGAGTGAGACTCTGTCTCAAAACAGAAAAGGCAAAATAAAATAAATAATTAAAAATTATCTGAGCACGGTGGTGTGCACCTGTAGTCCTTGCAACTAAGGAGGATGACATGGGAGGGTGGCATGAGCCCAGGACTACACCACTGCACTTGAGCCTGGGTGACAGAGTGAGACCCTGTCTCTAAAATGAAGAAAAGAAAAGAGAAGAAGAAAAGAAAAGAAGAAAAGAAAGAAAAGAAAAGAAAGAAGGAAGGAGGGAAGGAGAAAAGAAAGAGAAAAATAAAGAGGGAGGAAGGGGAAGGGAGGGAGGGAGGGAAAAAGAAAAAGAAAGAAGAAGGGAAGAGAAAGAAAGAAAAGTTGAAAAGTTCAGGGTAGCATCCAAATGTACTCTACTGTTGAAGCTTAACACAAATGGTGGAAAGGAAAAGCTGATTAATACTCTTCTAAACCAAAGTCCTTAGGACAATATTCAAAAACTTTATTCCTTTCAATAATCAAGGCAAAAGCAGAAGAGCAATCATGAATTGCAAGTTAAACTGGAACCTTGATTTTTACATTCTCTCATGTTAGAGCTTCCTGGATCCTTAGAAAGCGAATTCTGAACAAGCTCATTTCTGTACCTTAGACAGCACATACTCAAAAAAGAATTGGTCTGTACATTTCCACTTTATGTTTTAAAAATTTCTGTATCCAAGGTTTCTGAAAATCATATGAGTGAATTGCCTTGGGACAACTTCAGATCTGGTAAATAAACAACTTGCTTCCTCCTTATAAGCATAGATAGCTAGAAGCAAAACTCTTTTAGCCAGGGGTTGGAATTTCTCAAGAGAGAAATAAAAGATTCTTGACTTTCAAAGATTGCTAGTGATCTGAGGCAAAAGTTTAGAGCTGTTTTTCATTGACACTAGGATCTGTGATACAATTAGGCACCTTTCTCCCCTCCCAGCCCTTCCTTATCCAGAGGCTTATGGTAACTAGAAGACGACTAGTTGAAGCTCACATTCTTTAAAGTGGACACTCACCTTATCAGGAACTAATCTATGACTTCAAACATCTCTAAGATATAAGAACTAAAACCACCACATTTTAGGCCAAATAGAAATTAGCTAAGTCTCATTTTCCCCTTTGTGTCATCCAACTGACATAAAGAATATTATTGTCCATTAAGCACTCATCAATGAGGACACAGTGTAATCTCAGCACTTTGGAAAGCCAAGGTGGGAGGATCGCTTGAACTCAGGAGTTTGAGACCAGCCTGGGCAACATGGTGAAACCCCGTCTCTATGAAAAACATAAAAATTAGCTGGGCATGGTGGTATGTGCCTGTGCGCAGCTACTTAGGAGGCTCAGGCAGAAGGATCACTTGATCCCACAGAGGTTGGAGTGAGCCAAGATCATGCCACTGTGCTCCAGCCTGGGCAACAGAGTGAGACCCTGACTCAAAAGAGGGAGAAAAAAGGAGACCTACAACTCACTTTAACATAACATTTTGAAATTTTGAACACCAGGATGGTATTATGAATAAGTATTTTTCAAATTGGACTCATCCAACATCCTAAAATCAGTGCAATCAAAAGAGTAGGCATTTCATTGTCTTCTCAGAGACCAAAACTTGTGCAAAAAGTTAATATATTGATATATATTAAATGTGGTATAAACATGCTAAGAAATTCAGGTTATATACTGTATTAGTTTATTCTCACACCATTATGAAAAAAACTACCCAAGACTGGGTAACTTATAAAGAAAACTGGTTTAATTGACTCACAGTTCCACATGGCTGGGGAGGCCTCAGGAAACTTACCATCATGGCAGAAGGCACCTCTTCACAGGGCAGCAGGAGAGAGAATGAGTGCCCAGCAAGGCGGGAAGCCCCTTATAAAACCGTCACATCTCATGAGAACTCACTATCATGAGAACAGCATAGGGGACCTCCCCCAAGTCATGATTTAATTATCTCCCCCTGGTCTTACACTTGACATATGGGGATTATTACAATTCAAGGTGAGATTCAATGACACAGAGCCAAACCATATCGTTCCACCCTGGCCCCTCCCAAATCTCATATCCTCACATTTCAAAACCAATCAAGCCTTTCCAATAGTCCCCCAAAGTCTTAGCTCATTCCAGCATTAACCCAAAAGTCCAAGTCCAAAGTCTTATCTGAGACAAGGCAAGTCCCTTCTGCCTATAAGCCTGTAAAATCGAAAGCAAGTTATTTAGTTCCTGGATACAATAGGGGTACAGGCATTGGATAAATATTCAAAATGGGAAAAACTGGCCAAAACACAGGGGCTACAGGCCCCATGCAAGTCCAAAATCCAATAGAGCAGTTACGAAACCTTAAAGTTCCAAGATGATCTCCTTTGGCTCCATGTCTCATATCCAGTGATATGGACAGGAGGCAGGGAAATACTGCGTAGAAGAGGGCAGTTCCCTGGCAAAGGCCCCATCCTCAAGCCTAGAAACCCATGGCTCTAAATGGGAACAGGCATTCCTGTTTTATGCCCAATGTTGCCTTTTGGCCCACTATGCCCCCACCTATCCTGTACCCATATAAATCCCAAACCCCAGGCTCCATGAGCAGAAGAGCAGCAGAGAAGGAGAGAAGAGGAGCATCTGAACGTCAAGAGGAGTTCGTCTGGGGATGGTCAGAGAGGAGATCGGCTGTGGGATGGCCAAACTTCAGGGGAGGATCAACTTCCCACTCCATCACTCTTCCAGCTTCCCATCCATCCCACTGAAAACCACCTCAGTCACTCAATAAAATTCCTGTATTCACCATTCTTCAAGTCCATATGACCTGATTCTTCCTGGACACTGGACAAGGACCTGGGTACCAAGAGGGCAGGGCATAAAAGGCTGTCACCCTGACTCTCCACTGAGCTGGTTTAACACTTAGCTGTCTGCAGATGACAACTGCTAGAAAAGCATTAATTGTAACACAACCCTAGATGCTACCATGGGGCCAGAGCCCCAAAGCGCCTGCCCTGGCTCCTGCACCTGCCTGTCTGCATGATCCCCCTCCTATAAGGTGTTTGAGCATGCAGTGGCTGAGCAAACAAGCTGCACCCCTGTTGCAAGTCCTGTGAGGGGGACAGAGAACTATCCTGTTTCACCAGGTCATGCTGATGCAAGAGGTGGGTTCCCACAGTCTTGGGCAGCTCCACCCCTGTGGCTTTACAGAATACAGCCTCCCTCCTGGCTGCTTTCATAGGCTGGCATCGAATATCTGCAACTTTTCCAGTCACACGGTGCAAGCTGTCAGCTGAGCTAACATTCTGGGGTCTGGAGGACAGTGGCCCTGTTCTCATAGCTCCACTAGGCAGTGCTCCAGTGGGGACTCTGTGTCGGGGGGCTCCAACCCCACATTTTTCTTCTGCACTGCCCTAGCAGAGGTTCTCCATGAGCGCTACACCCCTGCAGCAAACTTCTGCCTGGACATCCAGGCATTTCCATACATCCTCTGAAATCTAGGAGGAGGTTCCCAAACCTCAATTCTTGTCTTCTGCAGACCTGCAGGACCAACGCCATGTGGAAGCTGCCAAGGCTTAGGGCTTGCACTTCTGAAGCAATGGTCTGAGCTGTATCTTGGCCCCTTTTAGCTATGACTAGAGTGGCTGGGATGCAGGGTACCATGTCCTGAGGCTGCACAGAGCAGGCCAGAAACCCATTTTTCCCTCTTAGGCCTCAGGCCTGTGATGGGAGTGGCCACCATGAAGGTATCTGACATGCCCTGGAGACATTTTCCCCATTGTCTTTGTGATTAACATCGGCTCCTTGTTACTTATACAAATGTCTGCAGCTGGCTTGAATTTCTCCCCTGAAAATGGGAATTTTTTTTCTATCACATAGTCAGGCTGAAAATTTTCCCAACTTTTATGCTCTGCTTCCTCTTGAATGCTTTGCTGCTTAGAAATCTTTTTCTGCTAGATATCCTAAATCATCTCTCTCAAGTTCAAAGTTCCACAGATCTCTAGGGGAGGGGCAAAATGCTGCTAGTCTCTTTGCTAAAGCACAGCAAGAACCACCTTTATTTCAGTTCCCAACAAGTTCCTCATGTCCATCTGAGACCATCTCAGCCTGGACTTTATTGTCCATATCACTATCAGCATTTTGGTCAAAGCCATATAAGAAGTCTCTAGGAAGTTCCAAGCTTTCCCACATTTTACTGTCTTCTTCTGCGCCCTCCAAAATGTTCCAGCCTCTGCCCGTTACCCAGTTCCAAAGTCCCTTCCACATTTTCGGGTATACTTAAAGCAGACCCCACTGTCTGTGTTACCAATTCACTGTATTAGCCCATTCCCACACTTCTGTGAAGAAATACCCAAGACTGGGTAATTTATAAAGCAAAGCGATTTAATTGACTCACACTTCCACATGGCTGGGGAGGCCTCAGGAAAGTTATAATCATGGCAGAATGCACCTCTTCACAGGGTGGCAGCAGAGAGAATGAGTGCCGAGCAAAGCAGGAAGCCCCTTATAAAACCATCACATCTCGTGAGAATTAACTCACTATCACAAGAACAGCATAGGGGAAGCCCCCACCCCGCCATGATTCAATTAGCTCCACCTGGTCCTGCTGTTGACATGTGGGGATTATTACAATTCAAGGTGAGATTCAGGCAGCAACACAGAGCCAAACCACATCATATACCAATTTTACAACAAAATTACTGTTAACTTTTTAAAGGTGTAACAAAAGTCTTCTTATATTTTAAAGATACATATTGATGCTGGGCCTGGTTGCTCATGCCTGTGATTCCAGCACTTGGAAGGTCAAGCAGATCACTTGAGCCCAGGAGTTCGAGACATGCCTGGGCAACATGATGAAACCCTGTCTCTACAGAAAATATATTTAAAAAAAAATTAGCTGGATGTGGTGGCATGAGTCTAGGCCCAACTACTCGGTAGGCTGAAGTGGGATGCTCATCTGAGCCTGGGAGGTCAAGGCTGTAGTGAACCGAGATCACATCACTGCACTCCAGCCTGGGTAACAGAGCAAGACCCTGTCTCAAAAAATAAATAAATAAAGATACTTATTGAAATGTTAATGGATGAAATGATAAAATGATGTCTGGGATTTACTTTAAAATAATCCAGGGAAGGAGTAGGGGGAATAGGGGATACTGATAAAAGAAGATTGGCCATATTTTGAGAATTGTTGAAGTGAGATGATGGGTTTATTATATTCTTTCCTCTACTCCTGTATGTGTTTGAAAATGTCCACAATGAAACGTTTAAATAATAGAGTTGTAAATTCATGAATGATTAGGTTTTGCTTTAATATATGAGTCTTTCCATAAACCCATTAAATTATTTAAAAATGGATTTCAATTCTCTTAATTGATCCTCCAAATCTATAGGTAAATGAATTTCTTCATCAAAATGTATTTACAACTTGCTTAACATTCATTTATTGAATGCATGTATTCACACAGACTTGGAAGTATTTATACTTTTAAAATCAGAATATATACAGTTTTCTATCTAGAAAGAATATGTAAGAAAAGATTCTAATGAAGCAGGCACTGCTGTATTGTGGGAGAGATCGACAGGTGACGTCAGGACACCTGGGAGTTCTAGCTCCAGCTCCACCACTAAGAAGCTAGGAGACGTAGAGCAACCAATCAAGTCCTCTGGGCTTCAGTTTCATCTATTAAATTACAGTAATGTTAGCTGCTCTATCTGCTGCACAGGGTGTTTGGGGATTCATATAAGTAGTAAATGTAACAGCCCCCTAAATGGTTAAAAAAAATAAAGTTGCTCTTTCTAGCAAGGCTTCATTAAAATGCACCACCAGAGTAGAATCTGAGGCAGTGTCAACATAGAGTTGGGAGCAAAGAAATCCATCATCTAGCCAATTGTTTTGCTATGTGACACCAAACAACCAGTTTGGCTGAATTTCTCACTGACTTGTCCAAAGGGAGCAGATGTTTCAGTCCTATTGTTGCAGTCCTTGGAAGACAGACCTTTGCCACGTGTGAAGTCAGGTACGGGGCTGAGCATCAGGCATTATGCTGGGTTGCTCTGCAGGGCTCAAGCTGAGTGCTGATGAGGCTAAAGGGAGGGGACAGTTGGGTAGATAGTGTCAGCACAGAGTCAATCAGGACCCTTAGGACCCTGTTAGAGACATTAAAAGACAAACAGCAGGAACCTGTACCAACAGCAAGCAGGAGAAGCCCCTTCTCTACCAGGGTCCTATATAGATTGGTGCAGAAGTAATGGCAAAACCACAATTACTTTTGCACCAATCTAACACATCTTGCTAGCTCCAGATTGTTTTAGAAGCTGGCAACTTTCTGAAATATATATCCTCAAAGCCTCTTTCCTTTGTTCTGTGTTTCTTTCATCTCCATTTGTAATGCATTTAGCCCATTTTTGGCAGGAAGGCCTCTCTGGTGTGTGCTGGGGAGAACTGTCCAAGGAGCTGAAACTCTGCAAGTTTCCGTTCTACATAGACAGAGAGGGTGAGGCACTTGGAACCAAAAGATATGGGGAAATTCAGCCCAATAATGGTTTTCATCCCTTGAAGATGACAATATGGTTTTGGTTTTTGTTTTTGAGATGGAGTTTCGTTTTTGTTGCCCAGGCTGGAGTGCAATGGCATGATCTCTGGCTCACCACAACTTCTGCCTCCCAGGTTCAAGTGATTCTCCTGCCTCAGCCTCCCGAGTAGCTGGGATTACAGGCATGTGCCACCACACCTTGCTAATTTTGTATTTTTAGTAGAGGTGGGGTTTCTCCATGTTGGTCAGGGTGATCTCAAACTCCCACCCTCAGGTGAAACATCCGCCTCGGCCTCCCAAAATGCTGGGATTACAGGCGTGAGCTACGGTGCCTGGCCGACAATAATGTCTTAATTTATTAGAATACTTGCGTCATTTCTTTATGAAACTTTCACAGTTGCACAAACAGCCATTCTTCTCGCTCTGCCATAGAATGAAGGTAATGTTCCATTGGAAATAAGACAAAACTCTTTCCCCTTCTTTTCTTTTCGAGCCTCAACAAGCAGCTTATATTAACCAATGCCTGCCTCTATGAAGTCGTGCAATCTTGCATAAGTCACAATGTCTCAGAGCAACTTTCTTCCTAATCAGCAAGATGAGTGGGTTTGGTGAGCTTCTCCTATCATCTCTGTGATATTCTGAAGTTCTCATTCTCTGGTTCTTACCAGAATGCTTAGAAAAGAGAAGCTTTTATAATCTTGAACTCCTGAGCTCAAGTGATCCTTCCACCTCAACCTCCTGAGATACTGGGACTACAGGTGGGCCACCATGCCTGGCTAATTTTTTAATTTCTTATAGACACAGGGTCCGCTATGTTTTCCAGGCTGGTCTTGAACTCCTGGTCTCAAGCGATCCTCCTGCCTCAACCTCCCAAAGTGCTGGTATTACAGGCGTGAGCCATTGTACCCAGCAAATAATTTTTCTTATAATTATTTTTATTCAAAAATCTTCCTAACATGCATTATAATCCTTCTGATGAATTCAAATTCCAAATTATAACACTAGCAAATTAAATCTAACAGACTATTAAAAGAATCAGGCCAGGCATGGTGGCTCACACCTGTAATCCCAGCTCTTTGGGAAACTGAGGTGGGAGGATCACTTTAGCCCAGGAGTTCAAGACCAACATAGGCAACATAGTGAGACCTCATCTCTACAACAATAAATAAAAAATAAAAAAACAACTGAGCATGGTGGCAGGTTCCCATGGTAGCAGCTACTTGGAAGGCTGAGGTGGAAGAATTGCTTGAGCCAGGGAGGTTGAGGTTGCAGTGAGCAATGATTGTGCCACAGATCAAGACCTTGTCTCAAAAAAAAAAAAAAAAAAAAAAGGATCATATATCAAATCAAAGGAGAATTTATTCTGGAAATGCGAGGAAGGTTTGATATTGCTAAGTGCATTAACATAATTTGGTATTGGCCAGTTGCAGTGGCTCACACCTATAATCCCAGCCCTTTGGGAGGCCGAGGTGGGCAGATCACTTGAGTTCAGGAGTTTGAGACCAGCCTGGGCAAAATGACGAAACCCCATCTCTACCAAAAATACAAAAAATTAACCCGGTGTTGTGGCATGCACCCGTAGTCACAGCTACTCAGGAGATTCAGGTGGGAGAATCACTTGAGCCTAGGAGGCAGAGGTTGCAGTAAGCTGAGATCACGCCACCACACTCCAGCCTGAGTGACAGAGTGAGATATATATATGTGTGTGTGTGTGTATATATATATATATGTGTGTGTGTGTGTGTATATGTGTGTGTATATATATGCACATATATACACACATATATGTAAAATTGGTATCAGTAAGACTAAAGAGAAAGAATCTGTAATTATCTTAGTTTATGATAAAAAGACAATTGATAAAATTCACATATTTTTTCTTATTCCTAAACTAGTACTATAAGGAATTTTTATTTATATGGTCTTAAAATTTGCCTTAAACCAATCGCCAACCTCATTTTTTTTTTTTTTTTTTTTTTTGAGACAGGATCTCACTCTGTAGTCCAGGCTGGAATGCAATGCCGCAGTCTCGGCTCACTGCAGCCTCGACCTCCCAGGCCCAAGCAGTCCTCTGGCCTTAGCTCTTCATGTAGCTGGGACTACAGGCATGTGCCACTATGCCTGGCTAATTTTTGTATTTTTTGTAGAGACGAGGTCTTGCCATGTTGTCCAGGCTAGTCTCAAACTCCTGAGTTCATGTGATCTGCCCATTTTGGCCTCCCAAAGTGCTGGGATTACAGGCATGAGCCACTGCGCCAGGCTGCCAACTTCATTCTTTAATAATGGAATTCACAAAAACTATTCATGTGTCTGTCCATGGTTCTTGAATCTCCTAAAACTATATACAACACTTTGTATGTCTATCTTTCTAGAGTTCGCATTAATCAAATACTTAAAGGGATAGGACATACCAAAAATTCTATAGAGGTGTTACCATTAGTATCAGGAAGAGGGAAAGGAGCTTGCTATTTGCTATTACCACTATTATTTAATAATATTCTGGAATTCCTGGCTAATGCAATAAGACAAGAAACAGAACCAAGAAGCACAACTATTAGACATTAAAAAGATTAAATTATCATTATTTGAGGATGATGTGATTATAGTAAGTTCTTTAGATTGCAAGGCATAGAAGCATGCTTAAGTTATATTAGTTTTACTTATCAGTTTATTATGAAGATACGTGGGAAGTCAAGAGGAGAGGAATCAGCCCCATTGAGTGGTATGTTGCCTGGGACAAGGGAATATGTCTAATGATCTGATGGCAGATGTCCCTTGTTCTTCACTGCTGTGCTACACCACCAAGGTGATTGATCTCCTATTTCTGCTATAATTAACTAATTGGCAGAATCTATATGTCTCTTCTTTGTAAACAAACTTGCTTTTTCCTGCTCATATGGCCAAACCCAAGTCATCCTGACTCTGGGGCCAACCCTCCTATTAGTTTAAGGGAAGTGAGAAGAAAAAATTCTCATTCTTGCTGTTGTTCAGGAATATCCACAACATTGTTCAGGACCACAATGCTTCAACCAATTTCTGGAATGTGCTATAATACTGAACACAGCCATCGCTAAACCTAATCCATGTGTATTTATTCACTTCAATGCTTCATTGGGAAAATCCAACTATCCATTGGCTTTCGTATGGGGAAGGATAGCAGTTTCACTAACGAAGTCAAACTTGGGATATGACAGCTTCTCTTGGTAATTTACCTGGCTTTTAGGCTCACGCAATCTGTTCCCATACATACTAAGTAATAATAATTATAATAATGATAATAATAGCTATTACTACTCTTTGAAATGGGGGCTGGGCGAGGTGACTCACACTTGTAACCCCAGCACTTTTGGAGGCCAAGGTAGGAAGATCACTTGAGACCAGGAGTTTAAGACCAGCCTGGGTAACATAGTGACATCCTGTCTCTACAAAAAATAAAAAATTTAGCCAGGCATAGTGGTGCACACCTGTAGTCCCAGCTACTTGGGAGGCTGAGGTAGGAGGATCACTTGAACCTAGGAGTTGGAGGCTGCAGTGAGCTAGGATGGCATTGCTGCACTCTAGACTGAGCAACAGAGTGAGACATTGCCTCAAAAAATAATAGTAGTAATTAATAAATAAGAAATAGCCTAATGGTTAAGAGTATGACCTCTGGAGCCAGAATGGATTCAAATCCCAGCTTCATCACTTGCTAGCTGTGTAATATTGGACAAGATATTCAACCTCTCTGTGCCTCGGTTTCCTTGTTTATAAAAATGAGAATGATGGAGTTGTTTTGAGGATTAAATGAGTCATTGCCTATAAAGCACTTAGATTACCTAGTTAATACCATATAAATTGTTTGTTAAATAAATAGCTAATGCTTATTGAGCACTTACAATGTGCTTGACACTATGCTAAGTATTCTGCACGCATTTTTTCATTTAAATCCGATAATCACCCTATAATGATGACTCTCACAATATAACAGGGTGTTTAAAAGGGACTCTTTCTGTCTAAGTTTCAGCTGGGAAGAAAATAATACTAGCTAGAATTTCCACATTCCAAAGTGTGATGCTAACTGACTTCTGCAAGACTTGCAAAGGAGGTGATTAAGAACCAGCTTTGAGCCTGAGGTTAAAATACCCAGGAAGGGGAGTATTTTGGGGAAAGGGCATAGTAAATGAAAAGAGGAGAGTAGTTCCCTGACTACAAATCAAGTGAGAGGGCAATAAGGAGAGACTTAGAAAGCTCACCCTGTGTCTCCTGGAGTTCGGGGACTCAAGGGTCTAGTATCTTGTGCCTGCCGTTTGATTCTGCAAAATCTAAAGAACTAGGACTTCCAACCTGTGGCTAGAGCAAGGACAGCTGCTTTCATAGGAGCAAGTTGACCTGCCAGAGATGGCAGGGCAGAAGTACGCGATTTCCCTGGGCAGCATACTCACATGGGATAGGGCAAGCCTGGGAGTCATTTTACAAGGGACCTGACGTCAGTGACATGGGACCTTAATCAGAAAATAGGGGGTGGGAGGTCACTGAAGCTTGTAAGTGACCAGCCCCAAGACAGCCATTCCTGTGTTGGGTGCTGCTAGTATGTTCCCAAGTAGGGGTCTCCAAAGAGCCAACAGAAACATCGCATGTAAGAAAGAGTCAACTTGATCATCTGTCAGCCCCAGAGAACTCCAGCCACAGCGTCAGTCAAGAAAAATCACTGATGGAGCATGGTGGCTTGTGCCTGTAGTCTCACCTACTCTGGAGGCTAAGGAAAGAAGATCACTTGAGGCCAAGAGTTTGAGACCAGATTGGGCAACATAGCAAGACCTCATCTCTAAAAATAAATAAATAATAGCCGGGAGCAGTGTCACTTGCTGTAATCCTAGCTACTCGGGAGGCTGAGGTGTGAGGATCGCTTCAGCCCAGGAGGTCAAGGCTGCAGTAAGCTATGATCACGCTGCTGCTCTCCAGCCTGGGGAAAGAGACACAGTCTCTAAAAAAATGAAACAAAAATCCCAGAGGGGTCGGCTGCTCTGGTTGGGGGTTGGGGTGGGAGAATGGGGGTTTGGGATTAGGGAAAACATAGGTTTGAAAGAGAAGAAGACAACCAGAACCCAGCCCTTTTCTCTTTGCAGATTTATGTAATCAATCAGTGCTGACGTCAGGGAAAGAGAAAATGAAGCTCAAATTGAGATTTTTACATAGGACTAGGCATTTCAATTACTGAAATGGGACTGTTTTGCAGTTACATGTGATAGAGATAGTAAAGTAACTGGAGTAGTCCTAGGACTACCTTAGATTTCATCCCAGGGACAGAAAAAGGCTAGCCCTACTGAGTAGGGGAAAGAAAGCTATTTTTCACTTGTAACCCATGGAATCTGATTCTTCAAACAAGATGGTGGCGGTAATAATGATAATAACAATAACAACTCTTAACATTTACAGAGCTTACTATGTGCCAGTTCAGGTTTAAAGCTTATAACATGTCTTTGTTCATTTAATTTTCACAACAATCCTAGGAGGTAAACCTATGGAGTATTGTAAGACCGATGGACAAAAAAAAACCACTGATGCTTAGAGGAATCAAGTACCCGCCCATGGTAATAAGCTCAGAAGTGGCAAATCTGGAATCCATTTGATGTTAGCACACTCAACTGTGACCCCTGGCAGATCACCTTCTGCCCTGAGCAACTTGTGAGCACAATAGCAAGTCAGAAGCTGTCTCATATGGACATAGGTGTGATTGAAAAGGGGCATCGACTTACTCCAAAACCCCCACGATTATCCTCATATCCCACACTTCCTGTGGGCTCCACACAGTACCCTGATCTACAGGGACCTCTCTAACTCATGAGACCAGTGGAAAATGTTCCTGAGTAGGTCTTTTTTGGAAAGACTAAGGGAAGATTCGTGACATACTGCTGTGGTTTTATAGCAGCCTTCTTGAAAGATATCTAGCCTTTCCTTTCCTTGAGAGTGCCTTGGATTTTTTAATTAACTTAAGTCTGGGACTTGCCTGAGGGCCTGGTACTCCTTGCTCTGTTGAGTTTGAATTGGGTACAGAATCCTGTTTGTCAGGTCTGAGGTTTTTCTTCTGATACAATCAAACAATCCTTAGCCTTACCTGATAGTCTTGTTCCTGTGCTCCTCTTAATTGATAAGCCAAACCGTGGGGTCCTGAGCCAATCCCATGCCCACTTGGCTCCCAGCGCTTCACAGCTGCAGCCCCCATGGTGGCATATCCCATGTGGCTTTAGTCTTACAATACCCACTACCTGGACCCTCCTGTCAAAGCTCCTCTCATCCCCATTGTAGTCAGTAAACTGATTTTTGTTTCAAGTTTTTGAGGTAAGATATGCGATGATAAGCAAGGATAAACTGGGCGTTAAGAGTTAAGGTAAGGTCCAGAGTTTGAAAGATAACAAAAATCAGCTGGGCATTTCAATCGCTTGAGCTTGAGATTTCCAAAGGTAGTATGAATGTCAAGATTTTCTTACTATAAAAAAGAATGTCTCCTAATGACTTATACCTTTATTATTATACCTGAAGGATTAGGAATAAAATCACATACAGTTAGGAAGACAGACATTGACAAATAGGTAAAAATAAAATACTAATAAACATAGCCAGTTGAGTGTGGTGGTTCACACCTGTAATCTCAGCACTTTGGGAGGCCAAGGTGGGCAGATCACTTGAGGCTAAGAGTTTGACACCAGCCTAGCCAACATGGTGAAAACCCATCTCCCCTAAAAATACAAAAATTAGTCCGATGTGGTGGTGCATGCCGGTAATCCCAGCTACTCAGGAGACTGGGGCATGAGAATTGCTTGAACCCAGGAGGCAGAGGTGCAGAGAGCTGAGATCATGCCTGCATTCTAGCCTGGGAGACACAGAGAGACTCTGTCTCAAAAAAAAAAAAAAAAAAAAAAAGCCACATGGCATATATTAAGCCATTATGAACAATTCGGTACTGGTGTATGAAGAGATAGAGATAAATAAAAAAGAACATAGAGACTTCAGAAATAGTCTTGAATATTAATATTTTGTCTAAGATAAAGGCTAGTTCCAATTCAGAAGGAAAATAAATGGTGTTGAGACACTTGGCAAGCTATATGGGAAAAAAAATCAAGTTTCAATTCCTACTGCACTCCTAATTAAACAATAAAATCCAGATAGCTCAAAGATTTAAAGATAAATGTAAAACCATAAAAGTACTAGAAGAAAACATGGAAGATTTTTTTTTTTTGTTTATAGTCTTAAATTAAGAGAGGCCTTTCTTTTTTTTCTTTTTTCTTGAGACGGAGTCTTGCTCGGTCACCTAGACTGGTGTGCGGTGGCACAATCACAGCACACTGCAGCCTTGACCTCCTTGGCTCAAGCGATCCTCCCAAAGTGCTAGGATTACAGGTATGAGCCACTGTGCCCGACCAAGGCCTTTCTAAGTATGGGACAAAAGACATAAGGAAAAAAATACATTTGGCTATGTAAATTAAACATTTCTACATGAAAAATTACCATAAACAAAGTTGAAAAGCAAAGACAAACTCAGAAAAAAATATTAGCAAGTATGATAGAAAAGGAGCTAATTTCCAAGAGTGCTTAGGAAGGACAGACAAAAACAGAGACAGAAAGGCAATGAAAAAAGCAAGAAAGGAAGGAGAAGATCAGGGAAGGAGAAAGGAAGAAGGAAAGAAAGAAGAAAAGACTTGGCAAGACTTGAAACAATTGTTCACAGAGAAACACATATTTGTGTAAACACAACAATATACTCATATTCAGTTGTAATCAAAGAAACACAAAATTTTAAAACAATGCGTCATTTTTAACCCATCAGAAAACTTTGTAGTCCATAATATTAGCACAGATATGGGGAAACAATCACTCTCTTACAGTGTGAGAAAATACATTAGCACAGTCTCTGTGAGGAACAATTTGTTAACATTCAAAAATTTTATACACTTAAGTTAAATACAAGCCAACCACAGTGGCTCACACCTATAATCCCATAACTTTGGGAGGCCGAGGTGGGCAGATCACTTGAGGTCAGGAGTTTGAGACCAGCCTGGCCAACATAGTGAAACCCTGTCTCTACTAAAAATACAAAAATTAGCCAGGCATAGTGGTACACGCCTGTAATCCCAGCTACTTGGGAGGCTGAGGCAGGAGAATCACTTGAACCTGGGAAGCAGAGATTGCAGTGAGCCAAGATCATTCCACTGTACTGCAGCCTGGGTGACAGAGTGAGACTCTGTCACACAAAAAAAAAAGGTAAAAAAAGTTAACTCCAAATGTCCTTTGACCTACAAGTGTTTCCAAAAATTTATGTTAAGATTCATAAAAACCAAATGAATAGTGATATTCATTACAGCATTTTTAGTAACAAAATGCTTGAAACACCTACATTTTTATCAATAAGGACATAGTTTAATAAATCATGGTACAGGCCAGGCATGGTGGCTCACGACTATAATCTCAACACTTTGGGAGGCCAAGGTGGGTGGATCACATGAGGTCAGAAGTTCGAGACCAGCCTGGCCAATATGGTGAAACCCCGTCTCTACTAAAAATATAAAAAATTAGCTGAGCATGGTGATGGATGCCTGTAATCCCAGCTACTCGGGAGGGTGAGGCAGAATTGCTTGAACCCAGGAGGCGGAGGCTGTAATGAGCTGAGATCACACCATTGCACTCTAGTATGGGCAACAAGAGCAAAATTCCATCTCTCACACACACACACACACACACACACACACACACAAAAAAAAAAAAAAGCCGGGCGTGGTGGCTCATGCCTGTAATCCCAGCACTTTGGGAGCCCAAGATGGGCAGATCACGAGGTCAGGAGATCGAGGCCATCCTGGCTAACACGGTGAAACCCTGTCTCTACTAAAGATTCAGAAAAAATTAGCTGGGTGTGGTGGCGGGCACCTGTAGTCCCAGCTACTCAGGAGGCTGAGGCAGGAGAATGGTGTGAACCCAGGAGAAGAAGCTTGCAGTGAGCCAAGATCGTGCCACTGCACTCCAGCCTGGGCGACAGAGTGAGAGTCCGTCTCAAAAAAAAAAAAAAAAAAAAAAAACCGCATTGCCAAGTCAATCTTAAGCCAAAAGAACAAAGCTGGAGGCATCATGCTACCTGACTTCAAACTATACTACAAGGCTACAGTAACCAAAACAGCATGGTACTGGTACCAAAACAGAGATATAGATCAATGGAATAAAACAGAGCCCTCAGAAATAATGCCACATATCTACAACTATCTGATCTTTGACAAACCTGACAAAAACAAGCAATGGGGAAAGGATTCCCTATTTAATAAATGGTGCTGGGAAAACTGGCTAGCCGTATGTAGAAAGCTGAAACTGTATCCCTTCCTTATACCTTATACAAAAATTAATTCAATATGGATTAAAGACTTACATATTACACGTAAAAACATAAAAACCCTAGAAGAAAACCTAGGCAATACCATTCAGGACATAGACATGGGCAAGGACTTCATGTCTAAAACACCAAAAGCAATGGCAACAAAAGCCAAAATGGACAAATGGGATCTAATTAAACTAAAGAGCTTCTGCACAGCAAAAGAAACTACCATCAGAGTGAACAGGCAACCTACAAAATGGGAGAAAATTTCTGCAACCTACTCATCTGACGAAGGGCTAATATCCAGAATCTACAAGGAACTCAAACAAATTTACAAGAAAAAAACAAACAACCCCATCAACAAGTGAGTGAAGGATATGAACAGACACTTCTCAAAAGACATTTATGCAGCCAAAAAACACATGAAAAAATGCTCACCATCACTGGCCATCAGAGAAATGCAAATCAAAACCACAATGAGATACCATCTCACACCAGTTAGAATGGCAATCATTAAAAAGTCAGGAAACAACAGGTGCTGGAGAGGATGTGGAGAAATAGGAACACTTTTACACTGTTGCTGGGACTGTAAACTAGTTCAACCATTGTGGAAGTCAGTGTGGCGATTCCTCAGGGATCTAGAACTAGAAATGCCATTTGACCCAGCCATCTCATTACTGGGTATATACCCAAAGGATTATAAATCATGCTGCTATAAAGACACATGCACACGTATGTTTATTGCGGCACTATTCACAATAGCAAAGTCTTGGAACCAACCCAAATGTCCAACAACGATAGACTGGATTAAGAAAATGTGACACATATGCACCATGGAATACTATGCAGCCAGAAAAAATGAAGAGTTCATGTCCTTTGTAGGGACATGGATGAAACTGGAAACCATCATTCTCAGCAAACTATTGAAAGGACAAAAAACCAAACACCACATGTTCTCACTCATAGGTGGGAACTGAACAATGAGAACACATGGACACAGGAAGGGGAACATCACACTCTGGGGACTGTTGTGGGGTAGAGGGAGGGCGGAGGGATAGCATTAGGAGACATACCTAATGCTAAATGACGAGTTAATGGGTGCAGCACACCAACATGGCACTTGTATACATATGTAACAAACCTGCACATTGTGCACATGTACCCTAAAACTTAAAGTATAATAATAATAAAATAATAAAAAAAAACATGGTACATTTATCCAATGGAATACTATACAACTGTTTAGAAGACTGAATTCCAGCATTATGAATTGATACAGCATTGCCTCCACAATATATTGTTAAGTAAAAAAGTATAATCTGTTGAACAATGTGAAGAGTATGCTCTAATTTGTGCTTATAGAAAAGGAAGCGGGCCATTTCTACATAAACATCTTTGTATATGCATATATGTTTGTTTTTTTTTTTAAAAAAAAACCTCAAGCTCATTTTGGAAGTAAAAATGGTATAAACCATCTAAAGAGAAAAACACTTTAATCCTTTATGTAATGGCAACAACAACAACTGTATCATCAACAAATTGTGATTAAGGATATCCTTGATTGATTATTTTTTATCTAGCTCTTGTATTGAAAGTTTTATTTTTAAAAAATATTATTTTTTTCCCCAAGATGAGGTCTCACTCTGTTGCCCAGGCTCTAGTGCAGTGGTGCAATCATAGCTCACTGCAGCCTTGAACTCTGAGACTCAGATGATCCTCCTGCCTCAGCCTCCCGAGTAGCTGGGACTACAGGCATGCACCACCAGCTTGGCTAATTATATTCGATTTTATTTTTTGGAGAGACAGGGTCTCACTTCGTTGCCCAGGCTGGTCTTAAACTCCTGGCTTCAAGCAATCCTCCTACCTTGGCCTTCCAAAGTGCTGGGATTATAGGTGTGAAACACTGCACCTGGCCAAAAATATAAATTTTAAATATAAGCATGCTTTCTCTGATTTCCTTTTTTCTTTTAAAAACAAAATAATTTTTCTTTTTTAAACTTCTTTCGTTACATAGTAAGTTCCAGTTAATCATGGTTTACTACATATGTTTGCTTAAGCAGTTAGAAGGACCACAAAAGGCAGGATGGAATTACCTTTGCAGATAAACAGAAAATCTTCCAGAAGCCTCTAGAGCACCCTTGCTTTTTGCAATTTTTCTTTCTTTCTTTCTTTTTTTTGATATGGAGTTTTGCTCTTGTTACCGAGGCTGGAATACAATGGCACGATCTTGGCTCACCGCAACCTCCCCCTCCCGGGTTCAAGTGATTCTCCTGCCTCAGCCTCCCGAGCAGCTGGGATTACAGGCAAGTGCCACCACACCCTGCTAATTCTGTATTTTTAGTAGAGATGGGGTTTCTCCATGTTGGTCAGGCTAGTCTTGAACTGCCAACCTCAGGTGATCCGCCCACCTCGGCCTCCCAAAGTGCTGGGATTACAGGCGTGAGACACTGTGCCCAGCCTTGCAGTTTTTCATCAAGGGCAGAGGACAATGATGAAAGGCAGGGGTCTCTACTCCAGGACCTTCTGCCAACAGGCCAGGGAGAGTTCTCAGGGAACTAGTCGGCAACATTGAATATGGAAGTCATGGTGACCTTGATGGTCTAAAATACTATAATCTAGTTTCTGCAAAAAAGGCTTAACTTCATAAAATACTTAATAATATTTAAGTATTATTATTTTATTAATGCTTTGATAAAAGCATTTAGAAACTAGGATAAGTTCTCACTTCCATAAATAAGTGTTGCCCACGTCAAATTTGAGCCATTTTCCTGGAGCATGTCTCAGACCCTGTTATGACTGGCAAGTAGAAAATGAGAATACGCTAGTCTTCAGACATGTTCATTTGATAGTTTTCATCACGATACATTTAGCAGTCATAGAAATAAGAGGAAAATATTTAAGTTGGTTCTCTATGAACCTTAATTTTCCATCTGCAGCTTAATAGCTAACTAAATATTATAAATACTTAACGAAATGGTCTTGGTCTTAGGCAGTGATTCTTCACTGGGGGAGATTTTTACCTCCAGGGGACATTTGGCAATATCTAGAGACATTTTTGGTTGTCACAACCAGGGAACTGTTTCTGGCATCTCTAGTGGGTAGAGACCAGGAAGGCTGCCAAACATCCTACAATGCACAGCACAACCCTCCACAGCAAAGAATTACCCAGTCTAAAATGCTACAGGCCAAGGATGGGACGCCGTGGCCTTTTTGTTCCTAGTGTAATAGGTGAAGTATCCCTGCTTGAACTCAAGCTCAGGAGAAAATCCAACCTTCCTTTGAGTTAAAGTCATCAATTCATTGTTTATGAACTTAATACAGTTCTAAGAATGATCAATTAGCTCCTGAAGAACATCTTCTTAGGATTTACTTCGTCTTTTTCTCTCTCCCACTTTCAGACTGAATTACATATTCTTGCAAGAGGCTCCCAAAATACCGCAGGCATTCTTCTACTACATTCTATATGACAGCTAAGACTTATCAGTCCTTTACTACGTGCCAGGGAGTGTAGTAGGTGCTTTATATGCATGGCTCTTTTTTTAATTTTTAATTTTTGCGGGTACATAGTAGGTGTAGCTGGTCTTTGTAAGCTCCATGGCCACCTTCCTCAAGAGGTGTTGCTTTCCTCCCTGCCTCAAGAGTACACCTGTGCTTTACAGTACCATGCCTTCCTTGTCACACGACCCTTGCTCTCTGATGCTCACATCAGACTCCCTCCTACAACTGGGTCTTATTCATTTCTCTATCTTCACAGCATCTCAGAGCCTCGTGCATAGTAAGATAAGTGATGAATGAACAAATGGATAATTGGCTATATAGATATATGCTGTCAAATTTGGAAACTTGTTGCATTTGTAATACCCCCATATAGATTCTCTGCCATATAAAGGAGACAATCTATTTCAGTTTTTTCTCTATGCAAAAGAAAAAAAGGATTGAGAAGTAGTATAGTATCTGGAGGCTTCTATAAAAGTATTCGGCTAAAAATACTGGTTCTTATCTTGACTCTGTGTTTCAGTGTCTTAATTCAATTCCCACTGACCTAAGAAAAGCAACATTATTCAAGAAGCATTCTATTGGAAATGTTTCCTGGGAACAGTTTATTTGGTTGATCTTTCAAATACTTTGTCACATGTAATAATATCTGAAGTAAGTGTTAAAATGGTTTTACAGTTTCTGTGTAGGGTGTTCTGTTGACTGGTGTCATCTGTCTGCAGCTTTTTCACAGTGAATGTGTAGCCCTATTATGTCTGTTCAGAGAAAGCTACATAATCACCACTTGGCTTGACCATGGGGTAGCTCTTTGGCACATGGAAAAGATGTACAAGTACAAGGCCACACTACAAGTCTTATCTTTTCTTATTTAGAGATCAGTGAACGCAGAGCTTTTTTTGTTTTTTCCAGGTTGTTTATTCTTTTTAATTATGAATGCACATTTATTTATTCATGAACATTGGGAAAAATGCAAATACATCAGAATCGTTAAAAATCTACAGCTCCTCATTCTTCACTACTAGTTTCTCTTCTCAGAGGTAAACACTTTTTCAAAAATTCGTATTTTAAATTTGGGGGTGGGTAATTCACATGGTGCAAACATCAAAAGCTATGAAAAGGTGAAGTTTCCCTCCCATTTCTCATTGCTCCAAAGCAGGAAATCATTGTGATTAATTTTGTTTGTTTTTCCAGAATGAACACAAAGTTTTATAATATTTGGAAAGGACACTGTTCCTCAGAGTCCACCCTCTAAGCTAAGCATTTGTGATATAAAGTCAGTAGAAAATATATTAACATTTTCCCCCTTTCTAGATGTATTTCTAGAACCAGAGAAAGGAAAGGCACACAGGGGAGTAATAGTCTCATTAAAAGTTTGAATCAACCAAATAAATTTGTTTTCTTCAGAGAATAGTTTATTGCTTCGATTTGTTGACTTGTAAGAGAGATGGAAAAGGAATTGTCCAAAACTTGGGCAACTTTTTTCTAACATACATATAGGAACCTGCCTAACACTTTAGATCTGGCACCTGGTTATACTGAGCAAAAGTAGTGCTTTGGCTTCAGTTCCCATGTTTCTTATAAATCTGAACCACAAACATCTCTGTGTGATGCAACTGTCCTAAGCAAAGGCCAATGGTTTTCCAGGAAATGTCTTCAGCATTGTATGTGTTCAAGAAGCATGTTCTCATCCCTTTCCTGACATAAAATCGTGCTACTTCTCCATGTGAGAAACACACTTGCTAGTGTGGACATTTAAGTCACAAATCTATCAGAGGGGACTTTAAACTTTAGCTTCATTCAGAATGCGTGCCTGAGGCTTAGCGTGACTGGCAACACTTTTGTTTTCAGACTTGCCTGTTATTTTGCTTTGCCTTCATTTTTCCTCCACATTTGTGCTGAAAAGAAAAAAAAATTGCCCAATAAATACAACACTCAAGGAAACAATACGTACATGATATGAACTGTCCAGATTTTTCTCCTAACAATACCTTCTATTTAATCAGAATCTGAAAATCTCCAAGTACTTTGAAGGCTTCCAAAACATTTTCTTCCTATTTTAAATCTCATTAACTAGCTATTTTATCCTCGCAGTGCCCATATAATGAAAGTGGAGAGAACAGGGTATTATACCTGTCTATGCATGAGGCCACAGAAATAGCCTAAGTGCTCAGGGACACACAACAAGCCAGAGATAAAATCTAGGCAAGAATTCTGGGCCCCCGCATCATTATTAGCTCTGCTGAGCCTACTGTGCTTATGGCATTCTTTCCTTTGCCTTTAAATAAGAAGTTCTCCTGCCTACAACAGTACACTGTCCATTTTGTCAATTGAAAAACCAATGTGCAGAGAGGACGAGTGGTCCCCCAGGTCACCTGGACCAAATACAGGAGCTAAAAATAGCACGTGCAATTGGCAGGCCCTGATCCTTCACTCAGCTCCTTTAACCTCACGTTTGGGGTTGCAATATTAGAAGATATTAGAAGTCCATGTATCTCCTGAGTGAAGGCTTTCCTCCAGCTGTGGCCAACCGCGAGCTTATTGCTAGCACTATCCAAGCCAGGTCTCTAGTTTGGCCATCGACAAAGGGCAGGAGGTGGAATCCAGGGCTACTTGGGAATAATGAGGATAATTCAGAGGAAGGTGTTGTGTGTCTGGAAAATACAAATAGGTCAGGGGAGGCCTGGAAAGTTGTGAGGCCTTGGAAAGTTTTCTCAATTTCACATTTCCTTTGCTTATGGGCATACGGCCTTAACAAGGTCCACATTCGCAGTCACTCATGTCCCTGCATGTCCAGGTGAGGAGAGCACATTGAATGAACCAAAACCCTTAGACATCTACTCCTCAGACATTTCGAAGTTAAAAGCCATTAAAATCAAATAGATGGAAAGAAAATCCTCATAGTATAAGGAGCGTTTCCACTATAGAACAGATCCCTGGAGTAGTGAATTTTTCATTTTATCTCCTTTTTATTTTAAGGCACATTTGAGCTCCAGAGACCTTGACAAGTTTCTCACCAATGGTTTCTTCAGTACACGAGAATTTCTTTAATTGAGGAGAAGCAAAAAAGTTGAAAAGAGAGTGAAAGAACAGGATTACAACATTAATTAGAACACAAATGGATGCCATTTTCTATTCAAATTCATAGACTGTCACATAAAATAAGCACCAAGTTTTGTTGGTTATAGTAAACTATTTTTATTATAGAAGTAACAGTTTTTCTAATTATAGAAAAATTAGACATTTCATGTGAACGAAAAAGAAAATTCACTCATAATCACATCACCAGAAGTAATCACTATATAATTTATGTGTGTGTATACATACATTCATTTAAAGTAGAGATCATATGATGCATACCATTTAGCAAACTACTTTTATTATTGTACTATATGGCATAAATATCTTTTATGGGAATAAATATCTACATCATTTATTTTATTTTTTGAGACAGTCTGTCTCTGTCACCCAGGCTGGAGTGCAGTGGCGTGATCTTGGCTCATTGCAACCTCTGCCCCCCGGGTTCAAGCAATTCTCTTGCCTCAGCCTCCTGAGTAGCTGGGATTACGAGCATGTGCTATCATGCCTGGCTAATTTTTGTATTTTTAGTAGAGACGGGGTTTCGCCATGTTGGCCAGGCTGGTCTCAAACTCCTGACCTCAAGTGATCTGCCCGCCTCAGCAGTGCTGGAATTACAGGCGTGAGCCACTGCGCCCAGCCAACATCATCATGTTGGCCAGGCTGGTCTCAAACTCCTGACCTCAACTGATCTGCCCGCCTCGGCAGTGCTAGGATTACAGGCGTGAGCCACTGTGCCCTGCTGACATCATTAATTTTAATAGCTGTATAACATTTAATTGTATGGATATACTTACATTTATTTAATCAACATTATTGTTGGACATTTAGGTTGTGTATGAATTTTTCAATAAGATGGAACAGGTCTAGAATAAACAGGCTTATACAAGTTCTTTACCTACTGGTTGAATTATTTCCTTAATACAAATTCCTAGAAGCAAAGTTTCTGGGTCAAAGAAATGCACATATTTGCAGGCTATTGACTCCTTCAATAACCATTTAAAAATAGTAAGCAAAGGAGGTAGTTTTTGTCTAAAGTAAACCTGAGTAATAGAATATTATATTAGAGGAATAAATTAAAAATCATATCAGAAAATAGTGGGGTTTTTTTTCATAATTATAGGCCAGGCGCGGTGGTTCACACCTGTAATCCTAGCACTTTGGGAGGTTGAGGCATGAGAATTGCTTGAGCCCAGGAGTCCAAGGCCGGCCTAGGCAACATAGTGAGACCCTATTTCTACAAAAAGTAAAAAGATTAGCTGGGCATGGTGGCATGTGCCTGTCGTCCCAGCTACTCAGGAGGCACAGGTGGCAGAATTGCATGAGCCTGGGAGCTCAAAGTTGCAGTGAGCCATGATTGCACCACTGTACTCCAGCCTGGGCAACAGAGAGAAATCCTGTCTCAAAAAAATTAATAAATAGTAAATAAAATAATTATAGCCAGTACCTTCGTAAACTCTCATTTTAGTTCTAAATCTCAGTTTAAGGGTGAAAGAGAGAAGGGTAATGTGGAAGGGATTGAAGGATACACAACAAAAATCTATGCATAAACCAAACAAGGGACAGAGAAAGGGGGACACACAGGGAGAAAACCCTACCGCCTATTTCAGTCCGTAACTCCCTCCCCACATTCCCTTTTGGCTTTTAACCAAAAGTATGGGTTCCCTGACATCTCTAAGTGGACTTAACTCTCAGTGTCCAGGCCCCAAACTAACGAACAAACACAGATCCACCAATCAACATTTCCAGCCATCTCACAGTGAAACTCACCAGGAGAGGGGCCTTTCTTTTTCTTAGTGTCAAACTTTTTAGCACAGTTTTATTGGCTGAATTTTCAATTTCATCTTCAAACATGTAGGAGACAGGGAAAGAAAACATTTTCTACAGTTTCTTAGAGTTATAAAGAGTAAAGCTGCAAAAGCGTGTGATAAATTATGCCTACTTTAAAAATATATTGACTAAAATTTAAGAAACTGAGGTCTGCAGAAAACCCCTCGTAAATGAGACCCAAATGCCTTTTGAATGCTCCAGGATAATCACTACCTTGCATGCTAGACTTTCTTAAGTGTGGTTAACTTTTAAGTAGCCAATTTTCTACTATTTTTCCCATAATGGTTTTTGCCTTGGATAGGAAAATTGAATATAAGGTCAGAGCACTTCGACATTCATTGAACAAATATGTATTTAGGACTTTTAACTTACATTTGTAACAAATGCCGTGAAGAAAACATAAACTGGCTCATGGAAGAGAAAGTGGCTGTTTCTTTTCTTTTCTTTTCTTTTCTTTGGTAGAGACAGGGTCTTGCTCTGTTGTCCAGGCTTGTCTTGAACTCCTGGGCTCAAACGATACTCCCACCTTGGCCTCTCAAAGTGCTGGGATTACAGGTGTGAGGCACCACACCCAGCAGACGGAGTTTTGACGAAGGAATAAGGAGCAGCCCTGGCCACAGCTGGTGGGAAGAAGCCAGCCAGCAAGAGAGAGCATTCCAGGCAAAGGACACAGCCTAGGAAACTCCAGACAATACATCGAGGTAAGTGTGATACATTGTGAATATGGGCTCTGTCGATATAAGAAGAGACAGTCCCTCTGCAACACGGAGCCATATTTGGGGCCTTTATAACTTTAGATAAGCAGGCACAAACAAGCCTCTGACCAAATAAAAACTAACTTGATTAGTTTCTCTTCGTCTTTAAAATATGGCACACTCAAAGTAGTAATCAATTCATTAACACATTTTTTTTTTCATGATGGGGTGAGCACATTGATTCTGCTATGACCATGCTTAAACCTAGTGGAGAAGAAAAATGAATACTGGAAGAATTAAAATGCATTGAAATGATAAACCATGGACGTTAACTGAACATTCAGTGAGAGTTCATAGATCATTTCTGAGAAGGGCAAGTGGTCCAAAATGGGAGGTGGGACTTCATCCATTTCATCAATAAACATTTGCTAAATGTTTATACTAAGGCTAGGTATTGAGACAGACACAAACACAGGATAACTAAAATATGTCTTTGTTGCTGGACATGGTGGCATGTACCTGTAGTCCCAGATACTTGGGAGCTGAGGCAGGAGGACAGCTTGAGCCCAGAACTTCTGGGCTGTAGTGAGCTATGCTCACTGGGTGTCCACACTAAACTGGCATCAATATCATGACCTCCCA
Source organism: Homo sapiens (assembly GCF_000001405.40). Classification (NCBI taxonomy): domain Eukaryota; kingdom Metazoa; phylum Chordata; class Mammalia; order Primates; family Hominidae; genus Homo; species Homo sapiens. Next base: position 70,480,343 of record NC_000008.11, on the reverse strand, counting down.
GGAGTGAGGCCCACTAGGTTGCCTAAGGAGAGGTGAACTGGCCCAGGTCAGAAATGAAGTAGGTCAAAATTTCTGTGCTAATTAATAGTGGGATCTCACCTATGAATAGCCACTTCACTCCAGCCTGGGAAACTTAGCAAGACCCTATCTCTAAAAGCTAGCTAAACAAATAATATGCCTTTGTCCTTGGAGAGCTCACTGCCTAAAGGAGAGAGACTGAAAATTAAATAAATAATTACAGTTCAACATTATAACACAGATATGTGCAAATGATTGAAGGAACTCTGATACTTACGGGAGCATGAAGGAAGACTGACCCACATCAGAGCAAATAAGAAACGACATTTGTGCCAAAGCTTAAAGAGTGAGTTAGATTTTATTTAGGGTTTAGGTTCTAAATGCTGATGTTGGCCGGGTGCGGTGGCTCACACCTGTAATCCCAGCACTTTGGGAGGCCAAGGCAGGTGGATCACCTGAGGTCAGGAGTTCGAGACCAGGCATGGCCAACATGGTGAAACCCCATCTCTACTAAAAATACAAAAATTAGGCATGACGGCGTGCTCCTGTAGTCCCAGCTACTCGGGAGGCTGAGGCAGGAGAACCACTTAAACCTGGGAGGCAGTGGTTGCAGTGAGCCGAGATCATGCCATTGCACTCCAGCCTGGGCAACAGGAGCAAAACTCCATCTCAAAAAATTAAAAAAATAAAAAATAATAAAATATAAACAAATAAATGCTGATGTTTGAAGTGAACCCTTAAATCACCCATAAAGTACAGCACCTAGGTATTTAGTATCTAGATATTCAGTATCCAGTAAGCCCCACACAGCCAGTTTTCCTCCAGCTTTGGAACAGATTGTTGCTGCTTCTTTGAGCACCAGATGCAGAAGTTGGCTTGTGTTTATTGGCTCTGTTGTATGAAAAACGGTTATCCTTCAACACTGGGATTACACCCTCTGTGGTGAAAGCCTCACACTAACACAGGACGGGCACCGGGGGTCTGAGTGGACTGAGGGAATGGTAGGGTAAAGTCTCGCATCTCACGTTCATTCACAAACATAAACTCATTATGTGAAATGAATGGGCAGGCAGTATTGTCCTCATTCTCCCTGTCTCTTTGAGTGAGAGACAGAGTGAATAGTTGAAATCTCAAAAATTAAACTGACAAATGAGTAGATCTAAGAAAAAAAAATTAAACTCATGTGATGTGGTTGCTTATCCTGTGAAGAAATGAGAGAAGGATATTGTACATAGAGCGACAAGATGTGGGAAGACTTGGAAACCATGGAGGATTTGAACTGCTTGAAGAAAACTAAGAAGTTAAGGATGGTTAAATTATTGGACAAAGAGATAGGTAAAACAGAGTTGGACGGGTTGTCACACCATAGAAAACATGGGACTTGACTATGCAGGCAATGAGAAACCATCTTTTAAGTTAGAGGGTGACTGGATGGGTGTATTTTTGGCAAGACCATTTTTGTAGCATGGTAAAGATGAGGTCCAAAAAATTATTTTCTGTAAAGGGTCAGATCATAAACATTTTAGGCTTTGTGGGTCATATGATCTGTGTCACAACTACTTATTTCTGCCTCGTAGCAGACATGGACAATGTGTAAACAAATGGGCATGGTTGTGTTCCCATAAAACTTTATTGATGAAGACAACCTGTGGGCTTGATTTGGCTCAAAGGGCCAGGGTTTGTTGATTCCTGGATTAGAAAATGATGAGGTTACTTGTGAAGAGATGAAGAGGTAAGTGAGGTAATAGTCTGGGCCAGTGGTTTCAAAGTGTAGTCCCTGGACCAGCAGCATTACCATCACCTGGGAATTCCAGAGGATGGGAGAGGCAGCAATCTGAGGTTCAACACACTCTCCAGATGACGATTTTTTTGGTTTTTGTTTCTGAGACAGGGTCTCACCCTGTTACTCAGGCTGCGGTGCAGTGGCATGATCATAGCTTACTGCAGCCACGAATCCCTGGGCTCGAGTCATCCTCCTGCCCCAGGCTGCCAAGTAGCTGGGACTGCAGGCGGACCACCATACCTGGCTAATCTTTTATTTTTCGTAGAAACAAGGTTTCACTATGTTGCCCAGGCTGGCCTTGAGCAATCCAACCCACTCAGCCTCCCAAAGTGCTGGGACTAAGGTGTGAGCCCCTGCACCCAGATGATGATTCTTATACCTGCTCAAGTTTGAGGACCACTGGTCTAGGAAAGAAGAAAGACAATGCATTTCCACATTTGGGAGGTGACACTAGGAAAGAACAGAATAGGGCAAATTTAAGGCAAGATGGTAATCTCAATTTCTAACACACGTACAATGAACAGGACTTTGATGATTATCTGGGTGGGAGGCTGGGGAGATGAAAAAATATTTAAATTCTATTCAGATATTTTCTACACACCTAGATCTCCCATGCCTAAAATACTGCTAGGTGTAAGGTAAGTGCTCAAAAAACGTTTTTTTGAATGCATCAAGGATGATTCAAAGTTCAGCTTAGGTGACTGAAGAGGTGAGACATGCATGGTATTAGCCAAGCTAGAGGACACACTTTGTTGTTTTTGACAGTTGTGAGGGAAAGAGATAAAGGAACATTTATTGATCAAGTATACCTGCTTTGCCTATGATGTGCCAGGAAGTATTTTACATCCATTATCTATTTGTCCCTCAAAATAACTTTTTAAGTAGTTATTATCATAATTTTACAAATGAAGACAATCACAGTTCCCACAGGGATCAATGGCAAAGAATGAGCCTATCCCTGGCAGTGAGTGACAACTAAACCCAGGCTCGTTGCACTTTGAAGAACAGAGTCCTGTTTTGCCTTCTGGCCAAACTTTGCAGAATATGTTTAAGCTGTCACTATAAAATATTCTGAAACTTTACTGTTTACAAAGCAGCTTCGTAGATTATTTCTTTTGAGGGACATCATTTGGTATAGCAGCAAAAGCATAAATTTCTAGGTTCAAATCCCAGCTTGGTCACTGATGCCATGCCTGGATGAGACCACAGGCCCATGTGTAAAATGGGGGTAATGATAATAACTATGCAAGTGAGATGCTGCTATGCAAGTGAGATGAGATATGTAAAGCACCTGGTGCAAAATGAGAGCTCAGTAAATGGTAGATACTATTATTTCATGATCCTTAATACAGCTTATTATGTACATTTGAGAGATGTCTTAAAAGTACCTCTTAATGAGTTCCATTGCTTTGCTTAAAAGACTTATCTTCTTGTTTAAGGCAAGTTGATGGTTAAACAGATTTTGAATTTGGGTGAGGCGGCTCCATGTAAAGGCTGGCTTTAGTGCACCTCCTTGCTCCTAGTCCTGCCCACAGTGGGCACCCACTCCACTGGTTTCAAGATCCATCCATACAGGTTCTCCTTCTTTAGATGAGTTAAAAAAAAAATCTTTCTTTCCCTTACTTGTCAAGTGAAACAATGGGTGGGGTTGACTATCAGAAAACAAAAGCTAAAGCAGGTAAAGATGTTCTTGAAAGAAATGCTTCCTTGTTTCAAAGGAATTTTACTCTCTGGGATGAAGGCAAAAAAGAAATAATCTGAAAAAGAGCTGGATTTTCTAAAGAAGTAAAACTAATCGCTGGTTCCCTTCCTCTCTTCCATACTTAGAAGGGCCTAAAGGGGTGGTGGCTCTCCACTTTCAGAATCTGAGAGTGTCACTTGTTTGACCTCCTGAAGGACACGTTGTGGACATCACCAGTGCCTTTATGGCAGACAGGTTGGTTTGTGACATTGTGTTTACCAGCTTTTGGGAGAGAACCTTCTTGCTTTCAGGTATGTTTTAGGTGATTAGAGAGCAAGGCTACTACTTTTGCAACATACTAGATAAACAGCAGTTTCCATATTAAGGGGAAATCATATCATACCTGACCATCTTGCCTCCTTGGTTCCACTGGATTAGAAAACAAGCAGAGATAAACACAACTTTGGTGGAGTTGGTTGCACAGCAAGGAAAGGAATAACTAAGCCCTTTAAGATCAATGTAACTGACAGAGTGCATTCTGCAAAAAATAAACACAGCTCTAGGAGAGTTATTGTGAACAATGGTATCTGAAAATGATAGGTGAATAATTTTGATGCACAGATCTTTTTCCCAAGATTGGAAACAAAATCTTCTCCCCTTCTCTCCCATCATTTAACCAAACTTTTGGTCCTCTGATAAAAATCATGCTGTCAAAAATGACTGAACTAATTTGTGACTTTTGACCAAATCAATTTTGATGTAATACAAGATTAAATGAGTGGTTTCTTTTATCCCTCAACCTGAGGTAGAACAAATTGTACTGCTCACGGTGTCCTGCCACACAGGGCTGACTTGACATAAAGCTCAGTATTTTATCACAAGATTTGGAGAATAATTATTAGAGATCCACTTTGCGTGATGTTTATTGGGTTCTTAAAAGATAACTGACCATTTCTTATCACAGAACAGTAGTCTGACATGACATTTGGGATTATTTGAAGGTCTAGTTCAGGACTCTCAGGCCTTCTGTGAGTCTGCCCATTTTTGCTTTGAATTTATTAACTGGGATGACAAGAACCAAGATCTCCCCGCTCATGTTTCTTCCACTCAGTGATAAATTGGAGGGGGAAATCATGCAAGCAATCCTTACAGTGATTTGTACTCATAGCCATTCACACTTACAGCCCTTTGCCAATTACACCCATGTTGTAACTTCTGACACGTAAACAGGCAGTTTCTCACATGAACATATGTTGCTCTCCCCTTTTGAGAAAATGAATCCCAACCTTAACCACACTAGTGGGCTGTGATTAGTTCTAATCCCTAGGTTTTACAACAGGAAAATTGACTATCAGAGAACGAGGGAATGGCAAGTAATCACTCCTGAGTTCACTTTTTTTCTTTTCCAGAACGGCATCACATAACTGCCCCAAACTTTCCTTCAATATACTCGTCAAAATGTCCTCAAGGAAATCATCCTGAAATCCATAAAATGAATAAGCCTGCCCATTGGAGTTGTTTTGCTTCAGTGTAATAGTTGGCAGGAAGATGTGGTCAAACAGACTGCACCATATTAAATGGATTTTATGTTTATTGACTACTTGTAGCACTACTTAATTGATTTATGTGTGTGTGTTAGAAAGCTTTATGCTATGAAACTAAAATATATCATTTATAGTTTATTAAGTCCTGCATTTAGTAAAAGTTGGCATAAGGCCCTAGGTCAGGAACTTTACCCTTCTGTTACAGCAGTGTTTCTGGGAGAAAATAATAGTTGATACACTTTATTTCCACGTATAGTAAATTGCCTAGGAATATAATCCACATGGAAAGGTGGCTTGTTTTTGTTTTTCTTAGGGTCTTGCCCTGTTGTCCAAGCTGGAGTATAGTGGCGTGATCTTGGCTCACTGCAACCTTCGCCTCCTGGGTTCAAGCCATCCTCTTGCCTGAGCCTCTAGAATAGCTGGGAATACAGTCACTCATCACCATGCCCAAATAAATAATTTTTTTTTGTATTTTTTGTTGATACTGGGTTTTGTCATATTGCTCAGGTTAGTCTTAAACTCCTGAGCTCAAGCAATCCTCCCACCTCAGCCTCCCAAAGTGCTGGAATTACAGGTGTGAGCCACTGTGTCTGGCTTGTGTTTCTCAAGTGCTACTCACTGTCATATTACCACTGTGTTTGAATGAGCATTCTTTTGTGATTCTGAGTTGAAATAATAAATTAGAGAAAATGGTAAACGAAGTATAACTTAGTACCTAAGGTTTTTATTCTACTAGTTTTTAGAACTGGCAGGAGAGGCCTAAGACAAAATAAAAAAGATATTATGATAATGCTAAGATCTTGCAAACTGTAATATAATAATGCTCAGATTTTGAAAATTATATTAAATATATATATATATACATATGTACTATGTATGAAAATCAGGCCGAGCGCAGTGGCTTATGCCTGTAATCCCAGCCCTTTGGGAAGCCAAGGCGGGCAGATCACTTGAGGTCTGGAGTTCGAGACCAGCCTGGCCAACATGGCGAAAACCTGTTTCTACTAAAAATACAAAAAAAAAAAAATTAGCTGGGTGTGGTGGCACATGCCTGTACTCCCAGCTACAGGAAGCTGAGGCAGGAAAATGGCTTGAACCCAGGAGACAGAGGTTGCAGTGAGCCGAGATCGTGCCACTCTGCACTGCAGGCTAGGCAAAAGAGCGAGACTCTGTCTTAAAAAAAAAAACAAAAACAAAAACAAAAGATTAATTAAAATTATAGTAAGTTTTAATATAATTACCACTGCTGCATGTTGGTACTCATAGATGGATAACCAACATTAGGAACCTGAGCCTGGCTGGGTGTGGTGGCTCATACCTGTAATCCCAACACTTTGAGAGGCTGAGGTGAGAGGATTGCTTGCAGCCAGGAGTCTGAGACCAACCTGGGCCACACAGTAAGACACCACACCTCTACAAAAAAATTAAAAAATTAGTTGGGCATGGTGGCACATGCACATAGACCCAGCTACTCAGGAGGCTGAGGTGGGAGGATCGCTTCAGCCCAGAAGCTCAAGGCTACAGTGAGCTGTGATCACACCACTCACTCTACCCTGGGTGACAGAGTGAGACCCTGTCTCAAAAAAAAGAACAAACAAAAAGCAAAACCAAAACACAAAAACCTCCCTGAACCTGGTCTTCAGTCACCAAGGTGCTACATAAAGGGTACCAATAATACTTAGAGTAATCAAAATCATAGAGACAGAAAGTAGAATGATGGTCGTCTGGGGCTGGGGGGAGAAGGGAATGGGGAGTTAGTGTTTAATGGATGTACAGTTTCAGTTTTGCAATGTTAAAAAAAAACTTTAGACAATTTAACAGAGTTTAATTCAGCAAAGAACAATTCAAGAACCATGCAGACTCCCCGACCTCCTTGAATAAGTTAAGAGCAACTCTGGCACTGCCTCGCAGTCAGAGAGGATTTTTCACAGAAAAATGCAAGTGACATACAGAAAACACACGTGAGGTACAGAAACAGCCTGATTGGTTACAGCTGGGTGTTGAACACATTCGATCAGTTGGCTACCTGTGATTGGCCAAAACTGGATGATTGGCACAAGAGTAGGTTACAGTCTGTTTACACCTCCAGTCAGGTTACAGTTCACTGTGTATGGAGAAACATTTAGACCAAACTTAAAATATGTAAGGAGGCAGCTTTAGGCAAAACTTAATTTAACAATTGCCCCCTTTTGGTCAACCTCTCAGTTTTGATTGGCCAAAACTTTAGACATTGATGTCACTCTGTCACCATTGTCAGTGTACTTATTTGGTCTCAAATCTCAGTGGGAAATAGCAAAACAGTGAGTTTTTAAATGTGAGAACCAGGACTTCAGGTTTGTTTTTTTTTTGTTTTGTTTTGTTTTTTTTGGTAAGGGTTAGAACAGAAGGGACCTCTTTATGCTGGAATCTCCTGTTTTCAGGTGAGAAAAAAAAACTGGTCTGTTTTTGTTGTAACCAAGAAAATGCTGAATCAGGAAAGTAGTAATCTAAAAATGGCAGCAAAGCTTTGCAGCTTCCTTAGTTTCATTTTGATTATGTCTCATTTAGCATGAGTGACTCCATTTTGATTTGGTCTGGTCTGTTGGGGCCTAGTGCAGAAAGAGGTCTGATCTGATTTGGCCTAGGTCCAAAACAATGGCCTCTCATAATTTTAACAGCAAGATGAAAAGAATTACAGAAGTGGGTGGCGGTGCTGGTTGCACAACATTTTAAGTGTATTTAATACCTCTGAACTGTATACTTAAAAGTGATTAGGATGGTAAATTTTATGTTATGTGTATTTTACCACAATTTAAAAAGTAAACCCAGTAGCAGCGGCTCCTGCCTATAATCCCAGCAACTTCAGGCGCTGAGACAGGAGAATTACTTGAGCCCAGAAGTTCGAGATTGCAGTGAGCTATGATCACACCACTGTACTCCAGCCTGGGTGACAGAGCCAGACCCCAGTTCACAAAAAATAAATAATTAAAAATTAAAAAAAAAAAAGAGGTGCCATTACCTCTAACTGTGGCGTCTCTTGAGCGTGATTTTGAGAGGAAGCCAGTGAGACCAAGAACCCACCAATTCCGGACACAATTTCAGGCCTCACTCTAGCCAGAGTTGCCGGGCTCTTGGGTATGGGCAGGTCCTGTTTTTCCTGCTTCTGCAGCACCAGGGCAATCTACTTGATATGGGAAAAGCTCCCTTGTCCCCCTCGCAGGGTGTGTGATGAGGTGTGGCTCGATTCTTCAGTGCCCTGCTGCTCAGACCTCTAGGGGAGCATACAGGCGGGCAGGCTGTGGGGCTCCGATCGCACAGCAGTGTCTAGGGGTGAATATTTACAGCTCCTGAAGCCCCAGTGGGCGGGCGTGTGTTACAGGATGCTCTTTTAGGTTGCCATCTATAGGCGGTTTGTGTTAGCTCAATTACACCCCCTTTCTTATCACAAGGACAGAAGGATTTCTGTATCCTGGGGTTTCTTGCCCTGGCTTACCTGAAGAATCGGATTACACGTGGGCTTGGAGAATGAGTGCAAGGTTTTATTGAGTAGAAGTAGCTCTCAGCAGATGGGGGAGCCAGAAGGGAGATGGTTTTCCCCTGGAGTCGGGCCCCTTGGCGGCCCAGGCTCTTCTCTGACTGCCCCGTCAAACTCCGCATCATTCTGCTGGTGCATGGCCTGCCGGTGGTGTGTCGGTGCCTGTCGTTGTGTGCTCTTCTGCTGGCATGCTCCTCTCAACGTCCTCTCGAGGACCAGCCACTTGCGTCTTCTTCTGCTAATGTGCTCCTCTCCATGTCTGGCTGGCTGTGTGTCTGCCCACTAGGGTCTTGGGAGGTTTTGTTTTGTTGTTGTTGTTGTTGTTGTTGTTGTTTTTGAAGGAGTCTCTGTCGCCAGGCTAGAGTGCAGTGGCGCAATCTCTGCTTACCGCAACCTCCACCTCCCGGATTGAAGCGATTCTCCTACCTCAGCCTCCCGAGCAGCTGGGACTACAGGCGCGCACGCCATCACGCCCAGCTAATTTTTGTATTTTCAGTAGAGTCAGGGTTTCGCCATGTTAGCAAGGCTGGTCTCGACTTCTTGACCTCGTGATCTGCCCGCCTCGGCCTCCCAAAGTGCTGGGATTACAGGCATGAGCCACCGTGCCCGCAGTCTTGGGTTTTCGTAGGTTCAGGATCGGCGTATGGCGGGCCAGGGAGGTCTTAGAAAATGCAACATTTGAGCGGGAAAGCAGGAATGGGGTTCGTCGGGGAGGAGCCTTAGCCAGGGACCCGCCTTTCTCTACCCAGCACTTCCCTTCCTCCATTCCGCATCATTTAAAGGGACCACGCTTTTCCCTTCCCAGCACTCCATATCATACTGACCTCACTCCTCCAGTCCTGTGAGCAGGACCCAACAAATAAGTAGTATGAGAAATAAAGCTTAGCATCTCTATTTGAAAACACAGGAAAAATTGGGGGCAAAAGTTGTGTTCCATATTGGAATTTATTTGAATTGTCACATCCAGTGTCACTTCTCTTTTGATATATGTCAAGAGCAATAACTATGAAATATTACATATAATTGTTTCCATTCTAAGCAATTGAACCAATGTTCAGCTAATAGCATTAGTGAAAGAGAACACTGCCTGAGCAATGTAAAATAGCGGCTGATATAAACATTACTAGTATTTGGCTTTGAAATATGCTTCTTATAAAGACTTAGATTTACACATGGCAGATTTGATCTCAAAAATTCCAGCAAGACTAGGTGCCATGGTGGCTCATGCCTGTTATCCCGGTGCTTTAGGAGGCTGAAGTAGGAAGATCACTTGAGGTCAGGAGTTCAAGACCAGCCCTGGTAACGTAGCAAGACCCCATCTCTACCAAAAAAATTCAAACAAAATAAAATAGAAGCGTAACTCAAGAGAATTGGGAGGCGGTCTTGCCTCGTTATCCTGGCGTTTACTTCCCACCCCTCTGCCTACTGGCTGCTGGCTGGCAAAGATTGCTAGTGCTCCTAATGGATGCAACTCACAAGGTCAAACTTTTGCCTCCCAATCTTTCCTGACTCAGAGACTTTCATTTTGTGTTTTGTTTGGGATTGATTTAAAGTGCTTCTCTCGCTAATGTGTAAGTTTCATGTAAAAATCAGTGTAAAAATAGAAAACTGAAAGGTCAAATTAAGTATTGTGAATAATGCAAGTGCTGTTAAAATTAAAAGCAAGATTTGCTGGAAGTGATGTGCCCTAGATTGATAGTAGATGGAATCTATTTGTATACCTCGCAGATTATTATGTGTGAGTGTATTGTTCATTTGTCGACCATCATAGACTGGCTTCCTTCTTCTACTTAACCTGTTTTCATTTAGTTTCTTTTTTTTGAGACGGAGTCCCTCTGTCGCCCAGGCTGGAGTGCAGTGGCATGATCTTAGCTCACTGCAACCTCCACCTCCTGGGTTCAAGCGATTCTCCTGCCTCAGCCTCCCGAATAGCTGGGACTACAGGCACGTGGCACCACGCCCGGCTAATTTTTTGTATTTTTAGTAGAGATGGGGTTTCACCGTGTTAGCCAATATGGTCTCGATCTCCTGATCTCGTGATCCGCCCACCTCGGCCTCCCAAAGCGCTGGGATTACAGGGGCGTACCACCACACCTGGCTAATTTTTTGTATTTTTAGTAGAGATGGGGTTTCACCATGTTAGCCAGGATGGTCTCGATCTCTTGACCTTGTGATCCGCCCACCTCGGCCTCCCAAAGTGCTTGGATTACAGGCGTGAGCCACTGTGCTCCACCTATTTAGTTTCCTTATGGCAGGTCTTGGTGGTATTATGGAGCCAGACAGACCAGACTTCAAACCCCAGTAGCAATGCCACTTACAAGCTGCGGGAGCTTAGGAACTTGGCTTATTGTCAGTTTTGACCCTTACTTGTGCCACCTCAAAATGGCATTAATCACACCTCCTTGATAAAACTGTTACAGGATTAGTGATTCCATGTGTATTAATAAGAGCACATTATCTGTTCCATCTTCTTTTATCAATTTTGCAATAACTAATACAGCAACATAAATATTGTGATTATTTTCTTTGGCAGTAAGTTTTGTACTGATAAAGTTAAATAGAATTATTTTATTGGATTTGGGGAGTAAAGAAAAGCTTTTAAAGGGAGAGATTTTAAAAAAACAGCTTTTAAACTAAGCACAAGTAGTTATTTAAGTCTTGCATAGTTATTTCCTCCATTTTGAGTATGATTCATCCTTCTTGCTTAATCATGTGTGGGTTTGAATTTCTTTCTGGAGTAGCTTCTTTATATAGACTACTTTAATAATACTGCTTGTTGTAAACCTACAGGATGCATTTACCTCTGGGAAGTTATTTAGGTCGCAGCTACACATTCAAAACGCTTCGATAATGGTGACCAAACTGATGCTGAATCATCATCAGTTGAGTGAATTTCTTGTGCCTGCAGTACCGTCCCTCATCCTTTAAGACTGGGTCTTGTGTCCACTTCTCTATGAAGCTTTCCTTCGTTCTCTAGAACCTTCTCTGAAAGGTCCAATCCAGTCAATGATTGCTCAGCCCTCAATTCCTATAATATATATTTCAACCCATCAATGTAGCTCTTAACTATATACTTTCACGTTAGTCTCCATTTTAGGTGGTTTCTGCTTTATTTATTTATTTAATTATTTATTTTTATTTTTTTAGACAGAGTCTTGCTCTTGTTGCCCAGGCTGGAGTGCAATGGCACAATCTCAGCTCACTGCAACCTCCACCTCCTGGGTTCAAGTGATTCTCCTGCCTCCGCCTCCTGAGTAGCTGGGATTATGGGCGCCTGCCATCATGCCTGGCTAATTTCTGTATTTTTAGTAGAGACGGGGTTTCACCATGTTGATCAGGCTGGTCTCGAACTCTTGACCTCGTGATCTGCCCGCCTTGGCCTCCCAAAGTGCTGGGATTACAGGCATGAGCCACCGCGCCCGGCCGGGTTTTTTTTGTTTGTTTGTTTTTTGTTTTTTTTTTTAGCTTTGAATAGATTATAAACTTCTCCAGAGCAGATACCATGAATGAGAGAGGTGAGAGTGTGATCCCGATGTAGGGCTATTGTGTTTTTGCTTTTTCTTAGTGCCTCCCACATAATTTGACACATGAAGAGAATTCAACATATTTCTTATGTGACTAACCACAAGCATTCATAAAAGGGAAGTTTTTGTGAAGTGGCTAGGCCTTTCTGGTCAACTCTGGTCTTTTAAATTTTTCGGTAATGTGGGAGGTAAATACTTTTAAGAACACAGGAAATTACCACGACACAGAATATTTGGTGATTTGTGAGGTGAATCAAGATGGAAAAGAAAACTTATCCTAATAACACAGACAGTGGGTGTGCACTCAGATTGCTTTCATGGTACATGAGGATGGCACATCTAACCACAGTCATGCTGCAAGCCAACAGGCCTACCATGTCTGGGTCACCTGCCGGAAATTATCATCGCAGCTGAAAAGACAAATCAGGTAGTTGATTGACTGGATCTAATTCAACTGTCTTCTAATATTATTTAGATTCTACTATTCTTTAGGTAAATTGTCCAGGAAATGTTATATGCTGATTAATTGTGCTTTCAGGAATGTACATGTGTCTATGATAATTTTTTTTTTTGAGACAGAATCTTGCTCTGTCACTCACACTGAAATGCAGTAGCATGATCTTGGCTCACTGCAACTTCCATCTCCCGGGTTCAAGCAATTCTCCTGCCTCAGCCTCCAGAGTAGCTGGGATTATAGGCTCCTGCCACCACATGTGGCTACTTTTTTTGTTTCATTTTTAGTAGAGACGGAGTTTCACCATGTTGGCCAGGCTAGTCTCCAACTCCTTACCTCAAACAATCAACCTGCCTCTGCCTCCCAAAGTGCTGGGATTACAGGCATGAGCCACTGCGCCCAGCCAACTATGATAATTTTGCAATCCCAGAGCAATATGAGAGAATGATACAAATCTAGAGAACCACAGTCCTGTATTAGTAAACACTGAGTCATTTTTTTAGTAAAAGGTATTTATTGAGCACATATTATGTGCCAAATCAATTTAGGTGCTAGGGACACATCAAGGCACAAGACAAACAAAAAATTCCTTCTGTCATGAAGATAGCATGCTGGTAGCTGAGAGAGATAACAAACTATAAACAGAAGTATTGTGATATAAATTCAGGTAGTGAAAAGTTCCGTGAAAAAAATACAGCAAATGAAGGATACTGAGAATGACAAGGGGCAGGTGACCTAACTTATAAAACATGGAAAGGGAAGGTCCCTCTGAAGAGGCAACATTGAACAGAGACCTGAGACATATGATGCGACAAGGCAAGAAGCTTCCAGGTAGAGGATGGAGTAGTAGAATAGCCCTGAGACACAAGCTAGCTTCATACCATACACATAAAGAATATCGAGATGCCCAGCATGGCTGGATTCAGGAGAGAGACAGGGAGAGTGGTAGTTGGGATCCAGTTCATGTAGGGTCTTGTAGTTCGAATTGTCTTCTGAATATTTTGGAAAGCTTTTGGAGGCTTCAGAGTATAGAAATAACATGATTCAGGCTACATTTTTAAAACATCACTCTGGCATCTGTGTAGGGAAAAGATCCTTTGGAAGACAAGATTGGAAGAAGGGAGGCCAGTCAGAGGCTATAACTATAGTCCAGGCAAGTGATGACAACAGCCTCCACCAACATGGAAATCATAGAAATGGTGAAAAGTGGTTGGATTCAGAATATATAGTGCTGGCGGTTCTTGCTGATGGATTGGCTGAAGGATTTGAGAGAAAAAAAAGACTCTGATCTTTCTCATCAAGAGATAAAAAATATAAGGCCGGGCACAGTGGCTCACGCCTGTAATCCCTGCACTTTGGGAAGTCGAGGTAGGCAGATCACCTAAGGTCAGGAGTTCAAGACCAGCCTGGCCAACATGGTGAAACCCCATCTCTATTAAAAATACAAAAAATGGGGACTGGCCTAGCCTCCCAGCCTACATCTTTCTCCTGTGCTGGTTGCTTCCTGCCCTCAAACATTGGACTCCAAATTCTTCTGTTTTGGAACTTGTGCTGGCTTTCCTTGCTCCTCAGCCTGCAGCTGGCCTATTGTGGGATCTTGAGATCATTTAAAGAAGATATCAAAAGAGGAACTGAAAAGTATTTTGACGGAGTCGCTTCCAAGATTGCCGAATAGGAAGAGCTCTGGTCTACAGCTCCCAGCGAGATCAACGCAGAAGACGGGTGATTTCTGCATTTCCAACTGAGGTACCTGGTTCATCTTATTGGGACTGGTTGGACAGTGGGTGCAGCCCACGGAGGGCAAGTTGAAGCAGGGCAGGGCGTTGCCTCACCCGGGAAGCACAAGGGGTCAGGGAATTTCCCTTTCCTAGCCAAGGGAAGCTGTGAGTGACTGTACCTGGAGGAACAGTACACTGCTGCCCAAATACTGTGCTTTTCCCATGGTCTTCACAACCGGCAGACCAGGAGATTCCCTCCTGTGCCTGGCTTAGCGGGTCCCATGCCCAAGGAGCCTTGCTTCACTGCTAGTGAAGCAGTCTGAGATCGACCTGGGATGCTGGAGCTTGGCGGAGGGAGAGGTGTCCGCCGTTGCTGCGGCTTGAGTAGGCAGTTGTATGCACACAGTGTAAACAAAGCAGCAGGGAAGCTTGAACTGGGTGGAGCCCACCACAGCTCGGCCAGGCCTACTGCCTCTCTAGATTCCATCTCTGGGGGCCGGGCATATCTGAACAAAAGGCAGCAGACAGCCTCGGCAGACTTAAACGTCCCTGCCTGACAGCTCTGAAGAGAGCAGTGGTTCTCCCAGCACAGCATTTGAGCTCCGATAACAGACAGACTGCCTCTTCAAGTGGGTCCCTGACCGCCGTGTAGCCTGACTGGGAGACACCTCCCAGTAGGGGCCAACAGACACTTCATACAGGTGGGTGCTGTTCTGCAGCCTCCACTGGTGGTACCCAGGCAAACAGGGTCTGGAGTGGACATCCAGCAAACTCCAACAGACCTGCAGCTGAGGGTCCTGTCTGTTAGAAGGAAAACTAACAAACAGAAAGGAATAGCATCAACATCAACAAAAAGGACATCCACACCAAAATACCATCCATAGGTCACCAACATCAAAGACCAAAGGTAGATAAAACCACAAAGATTGGGAGAAATCAGAGTAGAAAGGCTGAAAATACCAAAAACCTTGAACACCTCTTCTCCTCCAAAGGAAAACAACTCCTTGCCAACAAGGGAACAAAACTGTACAGAGAATGAGTTTGATGAGTTGATAGAAGTAGGCTTCAGAAGGCCAGTAATAACAAACTTCTCCAAGCCAAAGAAGCACGTTCTAACCCATCACAAGGAAGCTAAAAACCTTGAAAAAATGTTAGATGAATGTTACACTAGAATAACTAGTGTAGAGAAGAGCTTAAATGACCTGATGGAGCTGAAAACCACAGTACGAGAACTTTGTGACGCATACACAAGCTTCAACAGCCGATTCGATCAAGTGGAAGAAAGGACATCAGTGATTGAAGATCAAATTAATGAAATAAAGTGAGAAGACAAGATTAGAGAAAAAAGAGTGAAAAGAAATGAACAAAACCTCCGAGAAATATGGGACTGTGTGAAAAAACCAAATCTATGTTTGATTCGTGTACCTGAAAGTGACGGGGAGAATGGAACCAAGTTAGAAAACACTCTTCAGGATATAATCCAGGAGAACTTCCCCAACCTAGCAAGACAGGCCAACATTCAAATTCAGGAAATACAGAGAACACCACAAAGGTACTCCTCGAGAAGAGCAACCCCAAGACATATAATTGTCGGATTCACCATGGTTGAAATGAAGGAAAAAATGTTAAGGGCAGCCAGAGAGAAAGGTTGGGTTACCCACAAAAGGAAGCCCATCAGACTAACAGCAGATATCTCAGTGGAAACCCTACAAGCCAGAAGACAGTGGGGGCCAATATTCAACATTCTTAAAGAAAAGATTTTTCAAACCAGAATTTCATATCCAGCCAAACTAAGCTTCATAAGTGAAGGAGAAATAAAATCCTTTACAGACAAGCAAATGTTGAGAGATTTTGTCACCACCAGGCCTGCCCTACAAGAGCTCCTGAAGGAAGCACTAAACATGGAAAAGAACAACCAGTACTAGCCACTGCAAAAACATGCCAAACTGTGAAGACCATTGATGCTATGAAGAAACTGCATCAATTAACGGGTGAAACAACCAGCTAGCATCTTAATGACAGGATCATATTCACGCATAGCAATATTAACCTTAAATGTAAATGGGCTAAATGCCCCAATTAAAAGACAGACTGGCAAATTGGATAAAGAGTCAATACCCATCGGTGTGGTGTATTCAGGAAACCCATCTCACATGCAAAGACACACATAGGCTCAAAATAAAGGGATGGAGGAAGATCTACCAAGCAAATGGAAAACAAGAAAACAGCAGGGGTTCCAATCCTGGTCTCTGATAAAACAGACTTTAAACTGACAAAGATCAAAACAGACAAAGAAGGCCATTACATAACGGTAAAGGGATCAATTCAACAAGAAGAGGTAACTATCCTAAATATATATGCATCCTATACAGGAGCACCCAGATTCATAAAGCAAGTTCTCATAGACCTACGAAGAGACTTAGATTCCCACATAATAATAATGGGAGACTTTAACACCCCACTGTCAATATTAGACAGATCAATTAGTCAGAAAATTAACAAGGATATCCAGGATTGAACTCAGCTCTGGACCAAGTGGACCTAATAGACACCTACAGAACTCTCCACCCCAAATCAAGAATATACATTCTTCTCACCACCACACAGCACTTATTCTAAAATTGAACACATAATTGGGAGTAAAACACACCTCAGCAAATGTAAAAGAACAGAAATCACAACAAACTGTCTCTCAGACCACAGTGCAATCAATTTAGAACTCAGGATTAAGAAACTCACTCAAAACTGCACAACTACATGGAAACTGAACAACCTGCTCCTGAATGACTACTGGGTAAATAACGAAATGAAGGCAGACATAAAGATGTTCTTTGAAACCAATGAGAACAAAGATACAATGTACCAGAGTCTCTGGGACACATTTCAAGCAGCGTGTAGAGGGAAATTTATAGCACTAAATGCCCACAAGAGAAAGCAGGAAAGCTCTAAAATCGATACCTTAACATTACAATTAAAAGAACTAGAGAACCAATGGCAACCAAATTCAAAAGCTAGCAAAAGACAAGAAATAACTAAGATCAGAGCAGAACTGAAGGAGATAGAGACACAAAAAACCCTTCAAAAAAATCAATGAATCCAGGAGCTGGTTTTCTGAAAGATCGACAAAATTGATAGACTGCTAGCAAGACTAGTAAAGAAAAAAGCGAGAAGAATCAAATAGATGCAATAAAAAATGATAAAGGGATATCATAAAGGTTCTGAAATTGAGGAACTAATTAATAGCCTACCAACAAAAAAAAGTCCAGAACTAGACAGATTCACAGCCGAATTCGACCAGAGGTACAAAGAGGAGCTGGTGCCATTCCTTCTGAAACTATTCCAATCAATAGAAAAAGAGGGAATCCTCCCTTACACATTTTATGAGACCAGCATAATCCTGATACCAAAGCCTGGCAGAGACACAACAAAAAAAGAGAATATTAAGCCAATATCCCTGATGAACATCAATGTGAAAATCCTCAATAAAATACTGGCAAACCGAATCCAGCAGCACATCAAAAAGCTTATCCACCACGATCAAGTCAGCTTCATCTCTGGGATGCAAGGCTGGTTCAACAAACGCAAATTAACAAATGTAATCCATCCCATAAACAGAACCAATGACAAAAACCACATGTTTATCTCAATAGATGCAGGAAAGGCCTTCAACAAAATTCAACAGCCTTTCATGCTCAATAAACTAGGTATTGATGGAACATTATCTCAAAATAATAAGAGCTATTTATGATAAACCCACAGCCAGTATCATACTGAATGGGCAAAAACTGGAAGCATTCCCTGTGAAAACTGGCACAAGACAGGGAGGCCCTCTCTCACCACTCCTGTTCAACATAGTATTGGAAGTTCTGGCCAGGGCAATCAGGCAAGAGAAAGAAATAAAGGGTATTCAATTAGGAAAAGAGGAAGTCAAATTGTCTCTGTTTGCAGATGACATTATTGTATATTTAGAAAACCCCATTGTCTCAGCCCAAAGTCTCCTTAAGCTGATAAGCAACTTCAGCAAAGTCTCAAGATACAAAATCAATGTGCAAAAATCACAAGCATTTCTATACACCAAGAACAAACAAACAGAGAGCCAAATCATGAGTGAACTCCCATTCAGAACTACTACAAAGAGAATAAAATACCTAGGAATCCAACATCCAAGGAATGTGAAGGACCTCTTTAAGGAGAACTACAAACCACTGCTCAACGAAATAAAAGAGGACACAAACAAATGGAAGAACATTCCATGTTCATGGATAGGAACAATCAATATTGTGAAAATGGCCATACTGCCCAAGGTAATTTATAGATTCAATGCTATTGCCATCAAGCTACCAATGACTTTCTTCACAGAATTGGAGAAAACTACTTTTTTCATGTGGAACTAAAAAAAAGCCCACACAGCCAAGCCAATGCTAAGCAAAAAGAACAAAGCTGGAGACATCACGCTACCTGACTTCAAACTATACTACCAGGCCACAGTAACCAAAACAGCGTGGTACTAGTATCAAAACAGATATATAGATGAATGGAACAGAACAGAGACCTCAGAAATAGCACCACACATCTACAACCATCTGATCTTTGACAAACCTGACAAAATCAAGAAATGGGGAAAGGATTCTCTATTTAATAAATGTTGCTGGGAAAACTGACTAGCCATAAGTAGAAAGCTGAAACTGGATCCCTTCCTTACACCTTACACAAAAATTAACTCAAGATGGATTAAAGACTTAAATATAGGACCTAAACCCATAAAAACCCTAGAAGAAAACCTAGGCAATACCATTCAGGACATAGGCATGGGCAAAGACTTCATGACTAAAACACCAAAAGCAACAGCAACAAAAGCCAAAATAGACAAATGGGTTCTACTTAAACTAAAGAGCTTCTGCACAGCAAAAGAAAGTAGCGTCAGAGTGAACAGGCAACCTACAGAATGGGAGAAAATTTTTGCAATCTATCCATCTGACAAAGGGATAATACCCAGAATCTACAAGAACTTAAACAACTTTACAAGAAAAGAACAACACCATCAAAAAGTGGGCAAAGGATATGAACAGACACTTCTCAAAAGAAGACATTTATGCAGCCAACAGAAAAATAAAAAAATACTCATCATCACTGGTCATAAGATAAACGCAAATCAAAACCACAATGAGATACCATCCCATGCCAGTTACAATGGCAATCATTAAAAAGTCAGGAAACAACAGATGCTGGAGAGGATGTGGAGAAATAGGAACCCTTTTACACTGTCGGTGGGAGTGTAAATTAGTTCAACCATTGTGTAAAACAGTGTGGTGATTCCTCAAGGATCTAGAACTAGAAATACCATTTGACCCAGTGATCCCATTACTGGGTATATACCCAAAGGATTATAAATCATGCTACTATAAAGACACATGCACACGTATGTTTATTGCAACACTATTCACAATAGCAAAGACTTGAACCAACCCAAATGTCCATCAATAATAGACTGGATAAAGAAAATGTGGCACATATACACTATGGAATACTATGAAGCCATAAAAAAGGATGAGTTCTTGTCCTTTGCAGGGACATGGATGAAGTTGGAAACCATCATTCTCAGCAAAATATCACAAGGACAGAAAACCAAACACCACATGTTCTCACTCATAAATGGGAGTTGAACAATGAGAACACATGGACACAGGGAGGGGAACATCACACACCAGGGCCTGTTGTGGGGTCGGGGGCTGGGGGAGGGTTAGCGTTAGGAGAAATAACTAATGTAAATGACGAGTTGATGGGTGCAGCAAACACATGTATACCTATTTAACAAACCAGCACGTTGTGCACATGTACCCTAGAAGTTAAAGTATAATTTTAAAAATATACAAAAATTAGCTGGGCTTAGTGGCAGGTGCCTGTAATTGCAGCTACTCAGGAGGCTAAAGCAGGAGAATCGCTTGAACCCACAAGGCAGAGGCTGCAGTGAGCCAAGATTGCACCACTGCACTCTAGCCTGGGCAACAGAGCAAGACTCCATCTCAAAAAAAAAAAAAAAAAAGAGAGAGAGAGAGAGAAAGAGAGATAGTAGAAAATAGTCACTAAAATTTAAGACCAGGTGCCTACAATCCCAGCTACTTGGGAGGCTGAGATGGGGAAATACTTGAACCCAGCAATCCAAGACCAGCCTGGGCAATAGAGTGAGACCCTGTCTCAAAACAGAAAAAAAAAGTTTAGTTGCGTGAAAATATGTACAACCAGAATATTCTATACAAATAGGAATGTGAAAAAGATATCAAAGGTGAAAGATAACTTTGAAGTTTGTCAAACAACTACTTAACAGTAAAGCAACTAATTGGTGAATGAATTCAATCATCAGTTGTGAAATAAATGTTTAAACTTATTCTACCATTTCTTTCAACAATCTTTCTTGCGTGCCTACATGTTTATATTTTTGCCTATCTACATATACAACTGCTATGGTTTGAATGTATGTGTCTGTCGAAAATTCATACATTGGAACTTAAACCCAAAGATGATAGTATTAAGAGAAGAAGCTGTTGGGAGGTGATTAGGCTATGAGGCTCTGCCGTCAGACTTGGGATTAGTACCCTTATACAAGGGCCTGAGGGAGAGAGAGAGTTCCTTGTTTTGCACTTCCGCTCTTCTGCTATGTGAGGACACAGTGTTCATCCCCTTTGGAAGACACAGCAACAGGTGCCATCTTGGAAACAGACAGCAAGCCATTACCAGACCCTGAACCTGCCAGTGCCTTGATCTTTGACGTCTCAGCCTCCAGACCTGTGAGAAATAAATTTCCTTTTTTTTATAAATTATCCAGTCTAAGGTATTTTGTTATAGCAGCACAAGCACAAACAGACTTAGACAACAACATTTGTGGCCAAGTAGAAATCTATATCTCAAGAACACTAGGTCAGAAGTCTATGGATACTGGTTTTTAGGGCCTACCACTGTCGAACTTTGGATGAAAATGAAAAGTATGTAACTATTTAGTTATTCCCGACTACTTAGCTGGGTAGCTATAGCTTTTCATCTTTATCCAAAAATATAAACAGAGCAGACTGGGCACGGTGGTTCATGCCCATAATCTCAGCACTTTGGGAGGCTGAGGCAGGTGGATCACTTGAGGTCAGGAGTTCAAGACCAGCCTGGCGAACATGGTGAAACCCTGTCTCTACTAAAAATACGAAAATTAGTAGGGTGTGGTGGCGCACGCCTATAATCCCAGCTACTCGGGAGGCTGAGGCAGGAGAGTTGCTTGAACCCAGGAGGCAGAGGTTGCAGTGAGCCAAGATCATACCACTGCACTCCAGCCTGGGCGACAAAGCAAGACTCCATCTCAAAAACAAACAAACAAACAAACAAAATATATATAAACACAGCAATCATGTGAAGATAGTATCATCCCAGAATAGCAATGGCATATCATCACCTCCTTAATGACTGCCTTACTTAGACCTGCACAGACCCCAGAAAAGCACCCAGAATATAAAAGCATAATTAAATTGCAATTGGGCAAAAACACCAGGCATAATAAAACACTCAATAAATCTGAAGAAAATATTCATAAAAGCAAATAATACACAAAAAACCAGATGCTAAGATCAAAAACAAGATTACAGTGTCTTGCAAGAAACAAAGCAGTCAGTCCTCAAATGTGCAGTGGTTTATTTATATTTTTTAAAAATCAAAAACTTACATCTACCTGGTTTTTCTCATGCAATTTCTTCATATAAATCAAGTTACTCAACAATAACAACACTTAATATTAATAATGTGAAAGAACCTTCACAAATTATTCCAGAAAACATAGCAGTGTGGGAGTATGTAATTTTTTATGGATGAAGGATGAAAAAGCTCAGGCATAGCCCAAGCTAATGTCTTGCCAGTGGCAATTGAGCAAGTTAATGACAGAGCCAGGAGAACACAGAGGGACAAGCCGAACAGTTCTGTGCCGATAAAAGGAAAGATGTGAACTTAGTCCCACGTTACTAATTGACTCATGTATTTAATCATTCAGCTACATTGCTCCCTTTGGCATAAGTTGGATAGATTTTCTTTTTATTCTGTTTCAGCCACAGAATTAGAAACATTTTACAGTTAGAGACATGTAATATACATAATCAAAGCAACACTAATGAAAAGAAAAACAGGATGGAAAATGAAGGATAACAACTTTTAGAGTGTCAAGGAGAAGACAAATATATTAAGGATGTTACTTTTTAAGGTCACTATAAATGTGTAATCAAGTACATAAAATTTGGTGTGATACAATGGTAGATAACATTGCACTTCATCAAACTTTTATAAATTATGTCTTTAAGGAATCAAAAAAAGGGGTATACATGGAAAAATATATACACTGACTAATGCAGAGCTAGACGAAGAATTATAACCCAAGAAACAAGATAGTCAGAAAAACATAAAAATATCTTTTTTAAACGTCTTAAATGTATTTTAGGCAGGACTGTTGTCAGGGATATTGGCACATTAACATGACTTTTAAATATTCAGAGCAATCTGTTAATAAAATTATCAGCCAGAAAGAACTTTCTTAATTATAGAAAAAAGACAAAACAAAACCATCACTAGGGTACAAATTCTCAAGACCAAGACTTCAAAGAAACAACAACTTTATGCTAAGCTTTCAAGGTCAACAACCAGTCCAACAGACTGAGAAGTGACCAAAAATAGAGATAGATAGCAGACTTGCATCATAATGGATTAAGGGTTCCTAAAATATAGATTTTTTTCTTCGTGCTGCTGACTCATTGTGAAACAATGAAAAGGTTGCTCATGCACACAAGCTAAATTTTAAAACACTTTTGACCCAGAGCATGTAATAAATGCTATAAATGCTCTGTCTTTCTCCTGCCAAAATGTCCGTCAGTTCAGAGAGAGTTTGCCTACATAATGCCAGACATCTGTGCAAAAGCTGAACAGCTTGGTCAAGGATTTTAATGTTTTGTCGACATGGTGCCAAACATCTGGGTATTGGAAAAATATCTAGATAATTGACTGACTTTTTACTTTTCATCCAGATGTTTGGCATCAGAATTAAATACTCCCTTACTATATAAGTACATTTATCATGTAAAAGTGCTAACAATATACTCTTAATATAAAAAATAGGTTTAAATCTGCATATACAATGTGATCCCAGCTTTGAAAACAAAAATTGTATATATGCTCATAGAAAAGAACACAGAAGGAAACATACTGAAATGTTGAAAGTGATCATTCATCCTCTGGGTGGTGGGATTATTGTCAATCTTGATGTTACATGTAGTTTTTTTTTTTTTACTTTTTCTAATATTCTTCAATAAAGCATGTATTGCTTTCATAACCATAAAAGCATTTTAATTGTGTGATTAGATGGTATCAGTTAATTTGGAAACTGAAAGAGTATAATTTATGGCTTGGCATTGTATACATACAATTAACTATAGCTATGAACCTACTAGTAAGTTATGCTGGTTTGGGAAAAGCAAATGAAAAGTAAATTAGCAAAGATAGAAAAGCTCCAGAGATCTAATGACTGCTACGCACACATGACTTGAAACAACGTGCCTAACAGGTTTTTCCTCACTCAACTGACTGGAACTCTTTATTTTGCACACACCCCACTATATACCTGCTGGCACAAACACACAAGCCCAGAACACCAGGTGCTGTTCTCAACAACGTCCGGCGCTTGACCAGTGCATTGAGAAGGTTGGTCCCCAATAACATCTATCTCAAGACCACTTTCCACAGCCTTTTAATCTCCCACTCCCAGTCCTCTCTCTTTGTTCTCTTTCCACTCTGACGAATTAAATTTAGCCCTTATTCTTTTTCTTGCTTTAGAAAAGTTCCTCGAAGTTTAGACGTGTAGAATGTTAGTGTCCTCAGCATATCTCGCCCAAATCCCTCCTTTTATAGGTGCAGAGACTGAGGCCCACAGAGGTTAAATGCCAGGCTCAAGGTGGTACAATCAAGACTAGAACAAAGGGTCTGTTTTCAGATGCGGGCATTTTTTTTTTTTTTTTGCTACGCAATGTTACAATGGTTACTCTAGTCCCCAAATGTCTTCATCTATAAAGTAGGATAAATATTTGCATGCAAAGTGCTTTGGGATTTTTGAGATAGAAACTAAATATAAATATTAAGTATTATTTTGGCAACCTTTTTCATTTTATAAACTCTGCTATCCAGTAATGCTTGGAAAAATTAGATCTGATCTAGATGGAATCTCAAATAGAATTTTAGTAAAAATGTCAGCTCCTAAAAGCATCAAGACCTTAATTGTTCTGAAATTGTTAGGAAAGCAAGTGTTCTTCAGATGATCTAAACAATTCCAAATTAAATAAAGAACAAATGGTAAAGTTATCTGGAAACTTTTGAAATGAAACATCTGAGATCCTTTTCAAACAGTAACAAAAAAAAAAAAAATGAAGGACTCGCGTTGGGTGATTTTTTTTTTCCAGCCTTTGTAGAGACCAAAGTGACCATAATTGGCTGATGAATCCCATACACTCTTCAGTGGTTGTTAATCTTAAAAAGCTGTTCAATAAACAACACTTAGAGTAAAAAGGCAAACACTGTTGTCTTTAGTTTATTTTAAGGTTCTTCCCATAGTTCAAGAACAAATAGACTATCCTGAAATACACCAGGTAAACAGAACCGAAAAAGAAAACGGCTCCCACTTTCTAAGCAAATTTAAAGCTATGCAGCTTAAGAATACTATTTGGTAAAGCTTTCAGTTTTCCCATTCCCTTTCCGATAGGAGGGAAGAAAGAACAAAATAATCATTTCTAGGCAGTGAGCCCTGTAATTACATGCAACCTGCTTAACTCAATTCTTCAGAGCCAACCCAAGAAACACTTACACATTATAAAGAATGTAGCAAACACGTGCTTAGCTAGATCTGGAAACATCCGTAACTCTTAACACTTCCTGGTTTTTTAAAAAAGTATTTATTTGCTCAAGTCATATAAAATGTGAAAAGAAGTAAGAAGTTAATCTGTAAATATTTCATCTCTTCTATAGATTTAATGTTCTTTTCAAAGTATCCTTTCATGAGCCTGGGCTTGGAGCCACAAAGTTACTAGTACGAAAGCCCATTATTGCTCGAATGTATGTAGTACTTCTATTTTCAAAGCATTTCGCCATCATTAACTTCAATTTCACCATCATTAACTTCATGTCGACTAAGCAGGATATTGGTTTTGATGGGGAAATGATCTAATCCAGTATGGAAAATTCTGTATCTAAAAACACCTGAAACAGGAAAACTTTTTATCTTTTCATTTCTTTGTTTGTGTCTGAAACTTCTCAGTACAGAGGGCTCACAAAATGTGCCTCACATCACTGCAGAATGAGGACAACAGGGGTATCCTGTCTCGTGGAATGGTTTTTATGGTAACTGTCGAATTTGTGTTTGTTATTGGCAGTGATGGTGCTGTTTTGATAAATGTTGTTGATTTGGTTTTGTTTGGGATTGGTTTGGCTTCTCAGAAATGAAAAAAGGTGTTTAAATGAAGTAATTGTCAAGCTAAAAATTGGAGTCTGCTTGTGTTCCAAGGTAATTTAGCTGATGGTCTACTTGTACTACCTTTGAGATAAAACAAAAGATTTTTAGGAGTTAGGGACTCTAAATACAGTTTCCTCCGAAAAAGGTCAAATAGCCAAGCAGTCAATTAGAAGGAAAGTTTACAGTCAAGTTTTGATGAATAGAGCAGTTCCGTTCTTTGCACAATTGCTAGTTTTGCATCCTGTCATTCACTCTTTTCTCAAGAACAGTTCAGAGCTGCCGAGCTGTCATGAGCGTGACTTGATTCCTGTGAATTGACTGTGTTCCAAAAGCTCATTATTGGAAAACTTTTCCATTTGATGCTAAATATAGAGTATTATATAAACACAATGTATTATAGGTCAAATTCTGTTACCATAAATGCTAAGAGGCTATCCAATTTGGAGTTAGGAAGGGAGTATTAGAATCTTATAATACAGATAAAATGTGATTACAATTATATAAAGCAAAACTATTTTCAAGGCTTAGTCAATGGGCACCATATTTCAATTCTCAGTAGAAAATCCTTAAGAGTTTGTCAAAATGAGAGTTACTTTAAATGAAACATGAACAATTCTCAATCTTTTTCATCTCACAAGGATCTCACCCTCCTAAACTCATAGCGCTTATTCCCATACCACCACATAGAATGTAATAGTATATTGCTTTGTGACAATGCTCATATGTTGTTTAAAGCATAACATTATCTAGCATTTTCTATTTCTATTTCTCTCTTCAACTTGACTGTAAAGTCTTTGAGGGCAAATATCCAGTGTTTGACTTCTGTGTGTGTTTCACAGTGCTGAATCCACAGTAAGTCCTTAATGAAAAGGATGGAGAAAGGAAAAGGAAGGAGCGAGAAGATGGTGTGACAATTTCAGGCAGAATAGATAGCCCTTCGAGAGGGCCTCACTGAGACTTCAGGGGATTTTATTTAATAAGGAAACCTCTTATTCAACACTTGATTTAAAATAAAGAAGGGGAATAAACTGAGCATAGCTTTCTACTTATGAACAGACTAGGCTTATAAATGTCTAGCTCCCAAATGCATTACCCTATACAGGAGTGTGAGTTCATCTTTTAAGCTTTAGGATCAGGTTAATACACATTCTATCAGCCACCTTTGGGCAAAATGGATTAGTTTCATCTCCACTCCATGTGTGAAGAAGGAGGCAACTCCTGTCCGTGGTAATTTCTGCGTGAGCCTAGGGGACCACTCAGCAACTGTAGGATCTCCTTGCTGTCTACCTGCCCCAGACTCTGACATTGGGCGCATTTCGATGTGGGCCAACGCCAGGGTAAGGGGAAGGTAGATAGCAAGGACTAGGGAAGTCTTGCCACAAAAGTTTCATCAGGAACACTTTGGCCAGGCTTAGCATTTAAATTCTCAAGCTCCAAGCCCTCTCCTGAATTAACATTAGGCGAATAGGCTCCTCTATCTGAAGGTTCTACTTAAAAGTTTGTTAGGTTGGGGCACTTCTGTACTAATAAATATTAACCCTTACTCTTCAAGAGAATCTTTAGAATTTCAGTCTGACCTTGATCCTGGGTTACATTAGACTGAAAATACAAAACCAAACACTTTCACCTGTACTGCTAATTTTCTATCTCTTAAAGAACTAGGTCTTGAAAGAAGATTTTTATCCTAATCTTCAACTCCCAGTTCCTTGCAATCTTTGTAATCTTTACTTCCTTCCATTTACTCCCTTCTAATTGCCCTATGAATAGAGTGATCATATAATTAATTGTTCAAACCAGGAGACATTGAAGTTTTATGTTTTTGTTTGGGTCTTTTAGATTTTTGGTGTTGGCTTTTTTTTTTCTTTTTGCAATTTTAAAAATTGATATTTAATTCACATAAAATTCACCATTCTAAAATGTACAATTAATTGGTTTTTAGTATATTTTGTGTTTTACAAACTTCAATTCTATCTAGCTCTAAAACATTTTCATCATCCCTAAAGGAGACCCCACACACATTAAGCAGTGACTCCCCATTCTCTTTTCCCCCAGGCCCTCGAAACCACAGAGATACTTTTGTTTTGTATGGATTTGCCCATTCTGGACATTTCACATAAATGGAATCACACAACAGGAGCCACTATGCCCAGTCTTGTTATTTTCTCTTTTTTTGATTATAGTTATCCTCATGGGTGTGACATGGTATCTTGTAGTTTTGATTTGCATTCCGTAATGATTAGTGGTGTTAAACATCTTTTAACATGCTCATTGGCCACTTTTTATTTCTTTGGAGAACTGACTATTACAATTATTTAACAGTCCAGGTGAAGTGGCTCACACCTGTAATCCCAGCACTTTGGGGGCCAAGGTGGGCAGATCACTCCATCCCAGGAGTTTGAGACCAGCCTGGGCAACATGGTGAAACCCCATGTCTACAAAAATTACAAAAAATTAGCCTGGAATGGTGGCATGTGCCTATAGTCCCAGATACTTGGAAGGCTGAGGTGGGAGGATCACCTGAGCCTGGGAGACAGAGGTTGCAGTGAGCTGTGATGGTGACACTGCATTCCAGCCTGGGCAACAGAGTGAGATCCTGTCTCAAAAACAAACAAACAAACAAACAAACAAACAAACACCTTAAATGCCCATTTTAAAAGTGAGTCATCTTTTTATTGTTGAGTTGTAAGAGTTCTTTATCTATTACAGACACTTTAACCTGGTATATGAATTGCAAATATTTTCTTCAGGATATTTATAAGTGAAGGGAGAGAACTGTTAATACTTGCTCAGAGAATACAGACATACTGAGACAGTTTCAAGCAAAACAGGACATATGATCAACCTACCTGTGGAGGATCGTGATCCAGCAGGTTGAAGAATGAATGTTATTTCAATTTTAATGGGACAGTCTATCTAAATAATCAAACATAGTCAATCGAACCAAGTACCCTTTCTGCATTAGCTGCAGTGCTATATGCTGTGGAAAGGAATCTAAAAAAAAATAGTTTAAAATATTTGTGAGTGCTTAAGCAACTTTAAGGTCAAGATTGAAGGACAGAAGAAACGCACACATTATAAATGAAAGGATTTGTGTACTACGGTGGCTTAGAAGAAGAGATAAGTGTTAGGATACTTAGAGAAATTCTAGCTCTTTTTCTTTTTGTTTCCTCCTTTTTTTTTTTTTTTTTTTTTGGTCTCACTCTGTCATCCAGGCTGGAGTGCAGTGGGGTGATCATGGCTCACTGCAGCCTCTGCCACCCAGGCAAAAGTGACCCTCCTGCCTTAGCCTCCCGACTAGCTGGGACTACAGGTGCGTGCTGCCATGCCTGGCTAATTTATATATATATATATATATTTTTTTTTTTTTTTTTTTTTGAGACGGAGTCTTGCTCTGTCCCCCAGACCGGAGCACAGTGGCGCGATCTCAGCTTACTGCAAGCTCCGCCTCCCGGGTTCACACCATTCTCCTGCCTCAGCCTCCCTAGTAGCTGGGACTACAGGCGCCCGCCACCAGGCCAGGCTAATATTTTTGTATTTTTTGTAGAGACAGGCTTTCACCATGTTACCCAGACTGTTCTTGAACTCCTGGGCTCAAGTGATCCGCCCTACTCAGCTCCCAAAGTGCTGGAATTACAGGCATGAGCCACTGTGCCCAGCCAGTTCTAACCTTAAAGAACAGATAGCACTGAAACTAAGAGAATTCTTGTTTTGAAAAGGAAGTGAGTTGGCCAGGCACGGTGGCTCATGCCTGTAATTCCAGCACTTTGGGAGGCCAAGGCGGGTGGGTAACCTGAGGTCAAGAGTTCGAGACTAGCGTGGCCCCCATCTCTACTAAAAATACAAAAAGTACCCAGGAGTGGTAGCGCACCCCTGTAATCCCAGCTACTCAGGAGGCTGAGGCAGGGGAATCACTTGAACCCAGGAAGTGGAGGTTGCAGTGAGCTAAGATTGCCCCATTGCACTCCAGCCTGGGCAACAAGACTGAGACTCCATCTCACAAAAAAAAAAAAAAAAAAAAAGAATAAAAAGAAGTGAGTTAGTGCATCTGTTCAGGTTGCTTTAACAAAAGTATCATACACTGGGTAGTTTATAAACAACAGAAATTTATTGCTCACAGTTCTGGAGGCTGGAAAGTCCAAGATCAAGTTACCGGCAAATTCAGTGTCTGGTGAGGGCCCACTTCCTGATTCAGAGATGGTACCTTCTTGCTATATCTTCACATGGTAAAAGGGGCTAGTTAGTGTTCAGGAGTCTCCTTTATAAGGACCCTAATCCCATTCACATGGGTGGAGCCATCATGACCTAATCACCTCCCACATGCCCCACCTTCTGATACTATCACATTGAGGGTTAGTTTTGAACATATGAATTTGTTCAGGATGTAATAGTTACTGAGAGCTCTAGCTCATGTGTGTGACATGTGCTAGGGAGTCCAGAAGGGCAGAGCACCCTTGTATGCTCCTATGCTGAGAGAAGGAACGAAAAATAAGGGCTGTGTTTCACACAATGGTTTTGTTCTTCTCTTTCCAACCTCTTACGTTATCACCCCATTAGAGCAAGGAGAAAGGTTTCTAAAAATAAAAAAAAGGTATATATTATTCTACATTCCTGCTTTTGAAGAACACAGCAGCCATTCAGAGCACATTGATTCAATTCTGTTGCTACTTCGTTGCATTTCATACTGTCCCAACCGGAAATTAGCCCTTAATTTGTACTTGCCTAAAAGCACTTTTATTGCTAAAGGTTGACATCGATGCTTTCTAATAAATAAGTCAACTTTGTGAGGACAGGTGCTTTCCTGTTCTCTGGTCTAGTCCCATGTGAACGTCTTGGATCTGCCCCTGCAGACCTCCTGTTCACTCTGCTCTCTGCCTTTGCTCTCTGGCTGCTGCCCACACAGACTCAGCCAGTGGGCTCAGGTCTCTGCAGATGCTGGCTGAGTTCAGTCAGTGGGGATCCCTGGGTAGAGATTGGAGGAGGGAAGAAGGGTAAGATCAAGGTGTTGGTTCACCTGGCTCCTTTTCTGTAAGGTTCCCTGATCCTGCCAGCTCTCTCCCTGGTCGTGTTCCTTTGCTCGCTCCCTCTCCTTCAGGACCTACAAGGGGTGACAGTTTTGCTGGTGCTAGCCTTGAGTTCCTGCATAATCCTGCTTTACCCACACCTTTGAAATTAATCCCTTTTGTAAATAAACTCCCTCTGGATTATTGTAATTTGAATGTGCCATCTGTTTACTCTTGGGACTGTAACTGATATAAATGCTCATAGTGCCCAAAACTTTAGAAGGTGCTTAACAAGTATTTGTGGAATAATTAATAAATGCATAAATGAGAGCAGGTGCTTCTATTTCATCTTGTTTTCCTTGACAATTACCTGGTTAGAGAAGAGATTTTTGATAAGGGACATGAAACTTGTAAATTTTCAGTTTACACTTAATGTATAAGTTGACTTCATTTTGAGAAATCTATTTTTAATTTAAAGTGTAAGGTAGGCCAGGTGCTGTGGTTCACGCCTGTAATTTCAGGGCTTTGGGAGACTGAGGTGGGAGGATTGCTTAAGGCCAGGAGTTTGAGACCAGCCTGGACAACACAGTAAGACCCCATCTCTAAAAAAATTTTTTTTAATCAGCTGAGCATGGTGGTGCGGCACCTGTGTCTCAGCTGCTCAGGAGACTAAGGTGGGAGGGTCTCTCGAGTCCAGGAGATCAAGGCTGCAGTGAGCTGCGATTGCACCACTGCATTCCAGCCTGGTTGACAGAGCAAGACTCTGTCTCTTAAAAAAAAAAAAAAAGCCAGGCAACAAGTCTCATTGTATGATAATTCTGCCTTATTTTGTCACCACAATAATTAAGTATATTCTTTTCTGTGCACTAAGCAAAAACATGTAAGATTGGAAGCAAGGGACATTTTAACATTTTTTTCTACATCATGCGATGTAAGTGGTGTGTGTGTCTGCTCAGTATCAAAGGAAAAAAGAAAAATGTTGTTTTTTTCCTTATTTCAAAAACATCATACTTTTTCTTGCAATTGTTTTCTTAGTCGTGATGCCAATTTCTACCTTTGCCAATTGTCACACTGAGTGCTTCTGATCACAGGGCAGTAGTTCAGAAAAAGCCCTAGGGTATAGTACACTAAATTTTAACTTTAGTCTTACCTCTTTCAGTTTTGACTTCTCTTTGTTCACTCTGATATTTTTGTTTTGTTTTGCTTGTGGTATGTGTGTCTGTGCACACACACATATTTTCAACATGGCCATGCTACAGAGAAAGGCATTTCTTACCTTCCAGCATACTTATAAAAATATTACCTGCTTTCTCACAGAAGCAAGATATCCATAGCTACCTGCCCTACAAAGATCAATAAAACTTTCTTTTTGCTTTCATAAATGATTTCCTCAGTCCTCTAATTTTCTTGAGGACAAGAAGGAAAAAAAATTAGCATTAGCCTCCATTTTATCCCTTTGTTCAGGAGACTTTATAAGCTCCAAGAAAAAAAAAAAGTCTGTTAGAAATAACAACTATGCCTATGCAGATTCCCTTTGTCAAGAAATTTGATTAGAATAAGAATATCAAAGATTGTCAAAGATCAGTAATGGTGAATTAACAGATCGGGGGCTAGGCATGGTGGTTCATGCCTGTAATCCCAGCACTTTGGGAGGCCAAAGCAGGAGGATGGCTTGAGCCCAGGAGTTTGAGACCAGCCTGGGCAATATGGAGAAACCCCATCTCTAAGAAAAATACAAAAAGTAGCAAGGTGTAGTGGCATGCTCCTGTAGTCCTAACGACTCAGGAGACTGAGGTGGGAGGATCACCTGAGCCTGGGAGGTCGAGGCTGCAGTGAGCCATGGTGGCGCCACTGCACTCCAGCCTGGGTGACAGAGTGAGACCCTGTCTCAGAAAAAAAAAAAAAAAAAAGAAAACAAAGACCTAAGAAATGATGGCCATTTCAGCTAGTGTGGAAATGAAAAATGAAAGTATAAATTAACTATCAACCAGGGATTAGGAGAAAAAAAAAACTTGTCTCAAAGAAAAAGTCTGTGGAACAACTTTTCGGTGGATTCTAAGTGAGTCAGTCACTCTAAGTGAGTCAGTCACATCTCTTGGATGGCGAACAGACTGGACACAATGGGTGTGGCCGCCATTATTTGACTGGACACGATCCCTACTGCTTTCTAAATTGGGAGCTTGCTACATGATCTTTTTGGAAAAGTTTCTTTCAAATTATTGCCTGAGCTTGTCATGGCTTGCCCCAAAGCAGCCAAACAACTGTCTCCTATGTGCTTTTTCGCCCCAATCCAGCTATTGTGTGCTCTGATGCGACTGAGGGCTATGCTCCTAAGTCTGGTCTGCATCTTAAGGAGAAACGACAGGGAAAGAGTTTGGAATGCTCTAGCCCACTCAGTGACAATGTGTTAGAGTGTTTTCCTCAAATAAAATGCCATTCTTAATTATATTTTCCTCAAAAAATAATTCTCTGTGATTGCCAAAGAGAAATTCATTCATATGTATCTTTGTTACTCATTTTCTCGTGGATTCTGTAAAACAGATTATTATCACTGTAGTATGTGTGAATTTTCTATATTGCTTTGATTTCAAGACAAACTGAAATTTTGATTTGGTGATTTTAGCGAAAACATTTCAGGAAGCCTAGAATTGCTGAGCAGGCTCAGATTTAGCTTCCAAGGACAGGACAAATCGTGAAGGCTTTGTTGCATTTTGTGCATAGTTTGGGGTGAACATCAAATCTTGAAGTTTCCAGAAGGACAAAGGTTGTGTTAAATGGCATATTTTCTTATCCTTCTCTTTCTTTTTAATCCTTCTCATATAACTTGTTGGAAAAAAAAAGAAAGAACCATTTCTTTCAGAAAAATCAATTTAAATGGACTCTCCCATCAGATGGAAAAACTGAGCGAAATTGAAAAATAGCTCAGCTCATTAGAATACTTCCTGGGGACTCTCTGGGGGAAAGGCAGGGAGGGAAAAAAATAGGGATTTACAATAAAATTAGGGATGAAAACAAAAACAAAACCTCATTCCAAACTATTATGTAATGATGACCCAGGAATTATGGCAACGAGAGATATAGTCCAAAACTATACAGTAAGTGCCACAGTCATTGGCAAAGGAGCTAAGGGAAACAAAAGAAAGAATCAACGCTGAGAATGGGAGGGTTTTTGTGAATGTCTACACCAAGAATCTGTGAAGTTCTGTAATCCTATATTCTTCCACAGTCCTCTGGAAGGCACCTTAGGGGTTAATGTGACTACGAAGCTATCTGAGGCAAAAACCAAATTTTGGGCACCCAGCCCTGGAGCCGATAAAGGGGTTGTGGTGGTTTGACTTCAGGGCCCTACTGCTTCTCCCAGTTCTCCGAGTGAGCCGTCCTCGAATTGAAGTGCCGCTTTGGGCATGAGGAGCAGAAGTAGCAATGTGGAGGGGTGGAGACAGCTTGCTCTGAAGAGCTTTTTGTCTGGTGATTCTGTGACTAAAGATAATATTTGTTTATCTTGTATGTTTAACTTGTGTCTTGTAATCCAGAAAGCTGGAAAAAAAAAAAGTAGAATTACAAGTAAGTTAGTGAACCAACCCATAGTATAGGGTATAATTTCTAGGCATGGGAAGGGCAGGAAGAACAAAATCAGCAGTTATGATAGAATGTATTTTTTCTGTGCTCTCTCCGACCCTTCCAGTAGGATAATTTTACAATTAAAGTGCTGATTGCGCAGCAGTGTTTGATGTTGAGTTATTCTGCGCTATTCATGGAAGCAACTTTCTTACTTCTTGCATAGTTAAATGATTTTTAAAAAGAAAATAAAACATCAATCAATCAATCAAACACAAAAGTCTTCCAGTGGCACTCCAAGGCTGGGAAGCCCCAGGCTGCAGAACATGGAGAAGGATTTAAAACTCGAACATCCTCCCATCAACAAAACATGATTACAGTAGCTCTGTGAATATACCAGATATTATAATGAGTGTGGAGAGGCCAGAGGCGTGGGGGGTCTTGGGGCAACACGTTTAGGCTTTTAAAGGATAAAAGGCCCAGAAAAATTCCAGGAAGGAGAAACTGTATGTTCTATCACAGCAGTGTATTTTTTTCTCAGTGAGATCAGCTCCTCCTCTTTCTCTCGTTACAGGCTCGGCTCAATATTATTGAAGTAAAGCCAACAGCAAGTTAGCAAACCAGCAGGGGAGCAAATTGATTATACAGTTAACTGTGGAAAAACTGAAATTCTTTATTAAGGGAAAATGAAATACAGTTAATTTATGCTTCAACCAAGCCTTTCCCCACGTGGCATTTACTCTATTGGTTCTTTGACTTTGCTGTGAGGCTGTAACTCAGCCAAAAAATGACAGAAGCTTTACTGATTTAAAAATAAGGCAGGTTTTGAGCTTTTTTCCCCCCTTGCATGATGATTTTTCCAGCTACAATTACTGTAACTCACTCATTATAGAGGATAACATGGCAGGCAAACAGGCAAGAAAAAAAGTGTGGTAAAACAGTTGGCAGAATGTAAATTGAAAGTCTTTGCCATCTAATTTTAAACAGTATTTATAGAGAGCACCCATTGAATACAGCATTCAACGTCTCACACAAAATCTCTTAAGTAGTAGACACATTTGCTGAAGTTGTTAGCAAAACTAGTGGACCCTAATAAGTGAAAGAAATTAATAAAACTCTAAGCTCCAAATTTAAAAGATAGAATCAAGGTGAGGTCCATCAATTTCATGTAATTTTGAACTATAAAACCTAATGCTGGGGTGCCCCTTCAGAATTAAAAATAATATTAATGTTTTATACACACAAAGAAAGCTTTCAAAGATCTGCATTCTATATTTTGTCTTATTAATTCTTACAACAGCCCCAGGTTCAGAGAAATTGCTGTATTATTTTCTAACTTTTTATTTTGAGATAATTATAGATTTTCATACAGTTGTAAGAAATAATGTGGGGAGATCCCATATACCCTTTGCCCAGTTTCCCTCAATGACAATGTCTTGCATAATTATAGTACAATATCACCACCAGAAAATTCACACTGATGCAGTCCAGCAATCTTATTCTGTTTTATATGCACTCATTTACATATATGTATGTGTGAAGGGGTGTGTGTATATACTCAGTTCTATGCGATATTTTCACATGCATAGTTTGATGTAACCACCACCAGTGAAGATATGTAATAGTTTCATCATAAAGATCCCTCGTGCTACCCTTTTATAGCCACAGCCACAGCCACCTCCTTCCTACCCCACTCCCTAACCTCTGGCAACTACTAATCTGTTTTCCATCTCTGTAATTTTGTCATTTCAAGGATGTTATATAAATGGAATCGTACAATATATAGCCTTTTGAGATATCCTTGAGATCTATTCAAGTTGTTGTGTATATCAATAGTTTGACTCTATTAATGCTTAGTAATAGTCCATGATATGAATATACCACAATTTGTTTAGCTATTCACCCATTGAAGGACATTTGGATTATTTCCACTTTGGGACTATTACAAATAAAACTGCTGTAAACATTTGTTTACATGTTTGTGTGTGAACATAAGTTTTTATTTCTCTGGAATAAATGCCTAGGACAATTGCTCTGTGTGTGTGCGTGTGTGTGTGTGCAAGCACGCGTGTGTGCATGCTTAGTTCTATACAATTTATCTAATGCTAAGATTCATGTGACCATGACCATAGTCAGAATATATAGTATTATTCTTTTAGCAATAAAAATATAATATTATAGCCGGTAATTGCAGCACTTTGGGAGGCAGAGAAGAGAGGATCACTTGAGGCCGAGAGTTCAAAATCAGCCTGGGGGGCAATATAGCAAGATCACATCTCTACCAAAAAAAAAGTTTTTTTTATTAGCCAGGCATGGTGGCATATGCCTGTAGTCCCAGCTACTCAGGAGGCTAAGGTGGGAGGATCCCTTGAACCCAGAAGTTCAAGGCTGCAGTAAACTATGGTCTGATCATGCCAGTGCACTCCAGCCTGAGCCACAGAGTAAGACTTTGTCTCTAAACAAAATTTTACAGACAGATAGAAAAATAGAACAGAGCTACCCTGCAGCATGCTGAATTGGGGCAATTGCTCTGTTTCAATTCAATTATATTCAAAATATATACAAATATGCAGAAAATCACTGCTGTCTAAAGATAGTGATTCCTGTAAGTTATAGGCATAATAATAAATATATTATACCTAGTATTATTATTATTATTTTGCGACAGGGTCTCACTCTGTCACCCAGGTTGGAGTGCAATGTCATGATCAGACCATGGCTCACTGCAGCCTCAACCTCCTGGGCTCAAGTGATCCTCCTGCCTCAGCCTCCTGAGTAGCTAGGACCACAGGCATGCGCCCCCCACCACCCAGCTAATTTTTAAAAACTTTTTGTAGAAATGGAGTGTCACTTCATTGCTCAGGCCGATCTCAAACCCCTGGCCTCAAGCGAGCCTATCACCTCAGCCTCCCAAAGTGCTGGGATTACAGGCATGAGCCACCATGCCCAGCTATGCCTATTATTTTAGTAAATTTTTATGTCTTCGAGGAAGCCTAAAAGTTTTACATTTACTATGTTTTTGTTAGAAAAAGACTTGTTAAGCTTTTTTGTGCAATGGACTGCGTACGGATGCTTACCCGTAAGTGTCTAATTCTGAGTCAATATCACTGCTTTTATTTGGAGGATTCTAAGATAATGAAATGTGAGACATTGGAATCCTATCTCTGATCAGAAGAGGTATAAAATGGCTCAGAAGAGGTATAAAAGAGCCATTCCTACCACAGGACAGCTAGAATCATCCTCCAGCAGAAGCGACCTGGGGAGTGGTTATTAAAGACTTCAAGACAAAGGGAAAAGCCTTGGTATGTTGGGACTGCAACATTCTATTGAAAGGTAAGACCCTTTGCATAAGCAAATCAGAGGTCAGTAGCTGTTGGCAAAGCCTTGTTACAAGAAAATAAATACTGCTTAGAGGAATTTCACCCTGTGTTTCACAATTAGGCGTGTGCTATTTAAGTTAGCAAAATTTTCTAACTTAAGAAGTTTCCCTTTTCATGCAAATGAAGGTTTTTTCAAGCTAATTATGAGCTAAGAAAACCAGTACTTCAAAAGTATGTGAAAGGTTAATATACAAGAATGGTGACTATTTTTGTCTCCACCGAAGTGATAACAAAGGTGAAAATAAAGTTTCAAATATGTTGCTTGAGGGATTTATGTGTAAATACATCCAAGTAAACACTAAGATAACCTGAGGAAGTTGGTAAATGTTCTTCAGCCCTAAAAGTTTACTTCTATACATCTAGAATGGCTTAAAATGCATGTGTGAGCTAGGCCAGCGCGTGCCAACTTTAATGGGAACATTACCTGTGACTGTGACCCTGTTAAATGCAGCTTCTCTCATCGGCCTAAAGACCTGAGAGTCAGCCTTTCTCTTTCTTTCTTTCTTTCTTTCTTTCTTTCTTTCTTTCTTTCTTTCTTCTTTCTTTCTCTGTTTCTTCTTTCTTTCTTCTCTTTTTCTTTCTTTCCTCTTTCTCTCTCTTTCCTTTCTTCTCTTTCTCTTTCTTTTCTCTTTCTTTCTTTCCTTTATTTCTTTCTTTCCTTTCTTTCTCTCTTTCCTCTTTCTTTCTCTCTCTTTCTTTCCTTTCTTTCTTTCTTCTTCTTCTTCTCCCACCTGTGACTGTGACCCTGTTAAATGCAGATTCTCTCAGGGGCCTGAAGACCTGAGAGTCAGTTTGTCTGTCTGTCTTTCTGTCTTTCTTTCTTTCTTTCTTCTTTCTTCTTTCTTTCTTTCTTTCTTTCTTTCTTTCTTTCTCTTCTTTCTTTTCTTTCTCTCTCTTTCTTTCTCTCTTTCCTGTTTCTTTCTCTCTTCTTTCTTTCCTTTCTTTCTTTTTCTTTTCTTTCTTCTTCCTTTTCTCCCACCTGTGACCATGACCCTGTTAAATGCAGATTCTCAGGGGCCTGAAGACCTGAGAGGCTTGCTTGCTTGCTTTCTCTCTCTCTTCTTTCTTTCTTTTCTTTCTCTTTCTTTCTCTCTTTCCTCTTTCTTTCTCTCTCTTTCTTTCCTTTCTTCTCTTTTTCTTTCTTCTTTTCTTTCTCTTTCTTTCCCTTCTTTGCTTGTTCTCCCTCTCTCTTTCTTTTCTTTCTTTTTTCTTTTTTCTTTCTCTTCTCCCTCTTTGTTTTCTTTCTCTCTTCTTTTCTTTCTTTCTCTTTCTTCTTTCTTTCTCTCTCCTTTCTTTTCTTTGTTTTTCTCTTTCTTTCCTCTTTCTTTCTCTCTCCTTTCCTCTTTCTCTTTTCTTTCTTTTCTTCCTTTTTTATTTCTTTCCTTTTTTCTCTTTCCCCTTTCTTTCTCTTTCCTCTTTCTTTCTTTCTTCTTCCTTTTCTCCCACATGTGACCATGACCCTGTTAAATGCAGATTCTCTCAGGGGCCTGTAGACCTGAGAGTCTTTCTTTTTTCTTTCTTTCTTTCTTTCTCTTTCTTTCTTTCTCTCTCTTCTTTCTTTTCTTTCCTCTCTCTTTCCTTTCTTCTTTCTTTCTCTCTTTCTTTTCTTTCTCTTTCTTTCATTTCTTTCCTTCCTTTTTAAATTTCTTTCCTTTCTATCTTTCCTCTTTCTTTCTCTCTCCCTTTCTTTTCTTTTCTTTCTTTCTTCTTCCTTTTCTCCCACCTGTGACCACGACCCTGTTAAATGCAGATTCTCTCAGGGGCCTGAAGACCTGAGAGTCTGTCTTTCTTTCTTCCTTTCTTTCTTTCTCTCTTTCCTCTTTCTTTCTTGCTCTCTTTCCTTTCTTGTCTTTATTTCTTTTTCTTTCTTCTTTTCTTTCTTTCCTTTCTTTCCTCTTTCTCTCTTTCTTTTCTTTCTTTCTCTCTCTCCCTCTTTTTCTTTCTTCTTTTCTTTCTTTCCTCTTTCTCTCTTTCTTTCTTTCTCTCTCTCCCTCTTTCTTTTCTCTCTCTCTCTTCTTTCTTTCTTTCTCTCGCTCTCTCTTTCTTTCTTTCCTTCCTTCCTTGTCTCAGTCTCTCTCTCTCTCTCCCTTATCTCACTCTGCCACCCAGGCTGAAGTGCAGTGGCGCATCTCGGCCCACTGCCACCTCTGCCTCCCAGGTTCAAGCAATTCTCGTGCCTCAGCCTCCCGAGTAGCTGGGACTACAGGTGTGTGCCGCCACACCTGGCTAATTTTTGTATTTTTTGTTAGAGACGGGGTTTTACCATTTTGGCCAGGCTAGTCTCAAACTCCTGACCTCAGGTGCTGGGATTCCAGGCGTGAGCCACCACTGCTAGCTGAGATTACTCATTTGTTTCTTTCTTTCTTTTTTTTTTCTTGGAGACGGAGTCTCGCTCTGTTGCCCAGGCTGGAGTGCAGTGGTGCAATCTTGGCTCACTGCAACCACTGCCTCCAGGATTCAAGCAATTCTCCTGCTTCAGCCTCCCGAGACTACAGGTGTGCGCCACCATGCCCAGCTAATTTTTGTATTTTTAGTAGAGATGGGGCTTCACAGTGTTAGCCAGGATGGTCTCGATCCTCGTTTCTAACAAGCTTCCAAGTGAGATGATGCTGCTGGTTTGGAGACAACAAGGAGCTGTGCTACCAATGGGTCTCTCAGTGGCCTTTTCGGGTCCCAGAGTCTTTGGCAAGATTGCTCTCTTGACACCTTGTCTTAATTTTGAGGTACTGAGCACAGAGCATGTTGGGCTCCAAGGGAAAATTGGTATAGGTGGAGACGGGTTGGCGAGAGGCCCAGCACACGGCAGGCCCTCTGACAGGGGCAGCCCTGAAAGGACAGCGACGGGATGAATAGAGTCCATGCAGGCTTGATCCAGAAGGCTCCACCTTGGCACAGAGCAGCAGAAGCCTCCTCCGCGGGGCTGAGATTGTAAACTGAGCCAGGTGGGCATCTGGGTTGGAAGTCCTTCCTCAGCTCTGTTCCACCCTGGGAATGCCTCTGCTATTTTCTTACAGTACTATGTTCACCTTATCCACGTATTAGATCTTCCTTCTCTATCTGACAGTACACTTCTTAAGGCAGAGCCACGCGTTCTACTCATAGCACATAGAACTTGCTCAGTAAATTTTTTTGAATGGTTGAATGAATGAGGTATTGCATCTTCATTTGTGCTGTTTCCTCCCCCCGAGTGCCTTCCCCATCTTGTCTGACTGATCAGACCCAAATCGCTTAGAAGACTCAGCTCAAGGGTCACCTCTTCCCTGGTTTTCCCTGTTCCTCCTTCTCACTGGCCAGGTACTGTGGGGCACTGCTCTTCTTGAATGCTACCGCTACACTTTGTCCATGCGGCCACTACTCCATTATGTCTCTGTGAGTTCCTTCAGGGCAGGGACTGTGTTTAACTTAGTTTTGACTCCCTGGCACTTAGCACAGTGTTTGGACATAGTAGCACTCCATATATAACTGGGCATAGCAAGAGACATACAAACTTAGGAATTTAAACCACAGATAAAAGGAAAAAAAGGCAGTATTTTATATTGAATTAGTCCCTGTCATCAGAGGATATTATAGGACCTATACACAGCAATCCCTGTTAAACTTGGTTAATGGAGTAACTATTACTTTACCAATTTTCCCTAAGGATAACCTTAGAAAAAGAGTATAAGCCCTTAGAAAAGGACTTAGGCAGAAGCCCAAATTTCTGGATAGAAAGAGGACAATGCAGAAAACCATTGGAATGTAGGGCCTATAGAATGCCCTCTATTCAGATATCCTGAAACATCCCAATGACTACATTTCCACCCCCTCACCTCGGTGTTTGGTATCACATAGACTTGAGCCTTCAACTAAATTCTAAAATTGGAAAAAATAATCTAAAATTGGAAGAAACCTTTTGTCCTAGCTACTGGAAGCCAGTGTTATTTATTCCCAGATCAAGGTCCTTATTAAAATGCATGTATTTTTTAAAATAAATGTAAATTCAATGGCAACGAGTCCTCAATATAAAACTCTCCAATCAGGCCAAGTC
Source organism: Homo sapiens (assembly GCF_000001405.40). Taxonomy (NCBI): domain Eukaryota; kingdom Metazoa; phylum Chordata; class Mammalia; order Primates; family Hominidae; genus Homo; species Homo sapiens. Next base: position 70,438,627 of record NC_000008.11, on the reverse strand, counting down.
AATCTCTTTAAAATTTTCCCAACAGTCACAATTTATAAAACATGTAAGCCAAACCCAATAAATCAAGTAAATAGCATTGCATAATGGAGGCTTAAATATAGAACAAGACAAGCCAGAAAAGTTCAATTAAGTAAATGCTGTACATATGTCTAGCTTTGGTGAGGTCAGTATAATATATTGGGTTATTTTAGTATAAAGCCAAGTAAAATAAGATAATTTAATGATTAAATAAAAAAGAGGAAGAAAAAAGAATGAAATGAATACTTTAGGAAAATATAATGGACCAAAAAGTCCTAGAACAAGCTAGGGTTTTGAATTACAATACACTTTTAATAGAAACCCTAGAATTAGTAAATAGGAAAGTTGTGAAACTCTGAAAACAACACAAAAATAGAGTGAAATTCTCTGAATAATTAGTGCATACTATTGTAATTGTGATTTTTAAATCCTAAATTGTTTTCAGATAATTAATATGTAGCAAAAGCAAAATGTACATATATGATATAAAGTTACCATGGAGATATTAGGCCATTGAAGGAGTATGTAACTCTGAAACAATCGGATGAAAATGAAAAATGTATCTAATCATCCAGATGTTTTGTCTACACAGTTGCAAAATTATAATATTTCAAGCTATGTGGGTGATTTAATGAACTTACATTTTTCCTATGAATGTTTGATCCTGGCCAACAATGTTTTCTACCTCTTTGCAGTAGAAAGGGGATCCTATCAATTAGGAAAAACTTAACTCATGAAAAATACAACTGTTACATGTATGTATAATACAATATCCATGAGCAAATGTCTATAATGATTATGTTGTCAAACTAATCATGATTACCTTTTCTCTTCTAATATTTTTTGCTGTACATTCATTTATTTTGTTCTTCACTGATGCTTACAGGCAAAAAAAAGAGACTGTGACTACTGTAAGTCTTCAAATGCTTAGAAAAAATATATAGGAGAAAAACTTTAAGTGGAGAAATCTATCCATGAATGTATTGTCTTATGCACTGGGAAACAGGAGCCATTTTTAAATTTTACCAGAAAAACACTTTTGGACAATTTGTATGTCATCATTGTGTCTGAACATAAACTTGAAGATTATTTCTTCGGTCAAACCAGATTTTTTATCAGTTTCCAAACACACCTCTGTGCTTTCCTTGGCTCATATTAATTCATGTATTCATTCAATACCAATTATTAAGCACCTGGTAGGTGTCAGACATTCTGCCAGATGCAGGTAATACAAAGGTGAAGTAATACACACAGTTGGTGCCCCCGTGGAGCTTATGATCCACTGGGGCACACAGACTTCAATCAAGTGATCATACAAATGAATGGCATGAGAGCCTGTGTGAGAGGATTTGATCTCCAAGGCTTCCCTGAGGAGGTGGCACTTGGGCTGGGGTCTGAAGGATAATTAGGAGTTACATAGGTAAAAAGGTGGTACAAAGTTGTTCCAGCCAGAGGGAATAGCATATGTAGAAATCATGTGACAGGAGAGAGGGTACCAGGAACTAAGATGGGCCTATGTGGCTAGACCAGAGAAAGGACAGGAACATGTTCAGGTGAAGCTCCAGAGAGAAAGTATGTGACAGAGCACGCCCCTTGCAGGGCCTTGTAAATGAATGGAATTTCATCATATCCCAAGATATTTTTCCTAAAAGGCCCTTTGAAATCCTATATGGCCGTTCTCAAATGCCACCTCCTCCAAAATGCATTTCCCAATCCCCTCAGCTAAATGTGTTGTTCCCCTCCTCTATGCTTCAGATAACGGTGGTCATACCTGTGTCGTCTCATTATCCCTTTCTGCCTTGTATAGTGGTTATGTGTGCTGCTTAGTGTCAGGGTTGTGAGTTTATTCACCTTTGTATTCCACACATATGTAATAAGTGATCAATCCATGTTTTGAATAGCTTCAATTTAATCAGCACTCTGGTTCAGCAATTTGAGCCACTGCTTTTTCATAATCAAAACTGCTGGTTAAAGCCTTTAGTAGTTCTATGGAGTGGATAAAGGATTTTGACAATCACAGGTAAACTATGAAATGTGTGGCAAAATATTGTTACATCTAGGCAAACTGGAGGAGATATGACATACCTGGGTACATGGCTTACTGATATGGGAACACGAAACCATTTGTAGCTCAGTATTCAACTTCACAGCTGCACGAGAACTAATGGCCTTTACCATGTTGTGAAAGTTCCTAGGAATGCTGTGTGATCCTGAGATGTGGGTGACCTCCAAGGGCAGGTGCTCACTTTATACCTGACCAACTTTCACACATGTAATAAACGTTGGCTATATAATACTAAAAATTTGGAAAAAATTTTAAAATTTTAGTTGAACAGTCTACCAAATAACTCTGGTTTTATCTAGAATTGTGGTAATGCTTACAAATAATCAACGTCTGGGCATTAGGCTAAAACAGAAAATATGAGACATGGAAATAAAATGCATGCCTCTGAAAACTAGTACCTAGTTTTATTATTTGTTTTTTGTTTTGGTATCTAGTTTTTGGGGAAAGAATTACTTTTTTTCCTTTAAAAATATGGCTTTATTAAACACAGTTGAATAAAACTTATATGAAGTCAATTCATTCTTACACATCATGGAGAGGAAAAACGATCATGGATAAAACTAATAATAAAATGTTTTCTATGTCAGACGTCGTGGCACGCACCTGTAGTCCTAGCTACTCAGGAGGCTGAAGCAGGAGGATTGCTTAAGCCTAGGAGTTAGAGGTCAGCCTGGGCAACATAGCAAGACCTTGTCTCTAAAAAAGGTTTTCTAAATTATAAGCAGCAAAATTATTAAACACAAAGTGAACATTCACAAAAATAAATGTAACAAGATAAAATTAAAATAAAGAAAAGAAAGAGAGGAAGATCATATATATATATATATAAGTGTAAGTATTATACTTATATATATATAAGTAGAAAAGGAGTAATTGCTGTTTATGTGTTAGGCTTGCTAGGTATTTTACATGTGTGAATTTATTCAATCTTCACAGCACTCCTATGAGGACAGTACTATTATTATCCCCATTTTACAGAAGAGAAAACTGGAGAACAGAGAGATTAAGTAGCTTGTACAAGGTCACACAGCTAAAAAGCAGTAGAGCTAGGACCTCAGTTGGGGCAGTGTGACTCTCCAGAGTGTGTATTCTTTTTTTTTTTTTTTTTTTTTTTTTTTTTGAGACGGAGTCTCACTCTTTCGCCCAAGCTGGACTGCAGTGGCGCTATCCCGGCTCACTGCAAGCTCCGCCTCTTGGGTTCATGCCATTCTCCTGCCTCAGCCTCCCGAGTAGCTGGGATTACAGGCGCCCACCACCACGCCCGGCTAATTTTTTGTATTTTTAGTAGAGACGGGGTTTCACCGTGTTAGCCAGGATGGTCTCGATCTCCTGACCTCGTGATCCGCCCGCCTCGGCCTCCCAAAGTGCTGGGATTACAGGCGTGAGCCACCGCGCCCGGCCGAGTGTGTATTCTTAATGAGAGCAGAAATTGATTTTTAGGGGATAAAAACAAAATCTTAGATATTACCAAGGTTTGTGGCCCTCCCAAGGGACAGATACATAAACAGTCACATAGTACACAAATAGAATTAAAATCTCATGGGGAAGGAGAGATTGGTTAAGAAAAATATGTCTAAAATATCTCCTTAGGAGTGCAATGAAAATGAAGGCTGAGGGCAGTGGTTACACCTGTAATCTCAGATTCATTATATAAATGAGATCATTAGCATATGTGTTGTCATCAAAATCATGGGAGTGGATGAAATTGCACTTTGAGAAACCAAGGTGGGAGGATGGCTTGAACCCAGGAGTTCAAGACCAGGCTGAGCAACACAGTATTACCCCTATCTTTATGAAAATTTTAAAAAAATTATCTGGGCATGGTGGCACCCACATGTAGTTCTAGCTACTTGGAGGCTGAGGCAAGAAGATCACGTGAGCCCCGAAGGTCAAGGCTGCAAGGAGCTATGATTCCATCACTGAGCTCCAGCCTAGGCAACAGAGCAAGACCCTGTTTCCAAAAAAAGAAAAAAGAAAGAAAGAAAGAAAATGAGATTGAGAAACACTACGCTAAAGTTTGTGCTCATAACTCCTATTTAATAATGCCTCTCAAGCTTCATGCTGTGTTTTTTCTTTTCTCAGAGAGCAAATTGAAGGGGTGATGTTCACATTTCATTAATAATGTGGATTCATGAGCTAGCTCCATAATGATGTAGATTCAGTCTGCTAGAATGTGTCAGTTCTGAAATAGCTAATTTAGCTATCTCCAAGTAATGTTATCGTATCAATTTTATCTCCAAGTTATTAATTATTGAAGTTTTCTTAAAACTTTATTTATAGTATGCTTGTTTTTATGGTATTCTGCTACAGAACATATGTTCCGATGACCGAAGACAATCCTGAGGAAACTTACAGAGTGGGTTCTGTTTATCCTGCCTGGCACTTTCCCTATTATTTTGGAGCTCCTCCTTGACCTCTGAGTTCTCTCTTTTAATCTTCCCTGGTTATTTATTTATTCATTAGACCCAGTAACATTTACTGAGGACCCTGTGCAATTTCATTCACTTCCATGATTTCGATGACAACACACATGCTAATGAGTCTCATTTATATAATGAATCTGAAATCTTTCATCCCAGCAAATATTTTTTTCCCTGAAGTTCCAGAGGACCAGACTGCCTAGTGGACATTTCATTGTCAAGTCCCCCAAATTACATAAAACTTAACACATCCCACAGGGAATGACCTTTTTCTGCATGTGTGCTTCTCCTCCTGGTGCCCCCTTTAAGAAGCGGCAACTTCATCCATCTCATCACCCAAGCCAGAAACCTGGAAGCATTTGTCACCGGTCACATTCAGCGAGTGACCAAGTCTTGACAACTGTACTTCCTTAACATTTCTCAGATCTTTACTCTCCTTTCTAGTCAAATATATTACTAAATTCACAGTCTTATCACTTCTGTCTAGAAAACTGTTCCCTGCTTTGAAACTCTTCAGTAGCGGCATTGCATAAAGAATGTAGGCCCTATATGATCTGACCTCATTGGGCATACCATTCCATCACCACTCACACTCTACATTTTTGAGGCTTGTAACTCATTTTTAACAAGGTCACTTTGAAAATGTCTGAATCAGAGGCCCTAAATTGGCATATGGGAATCCACCAAAGCTACCTTTGACATATAGAATGGAAAACATGTCCTGTATTTGTTGCCTGAATGTGAATTCCTACCTAAAGTGGACTCCTCTTTTTTTTTTTTTAGTGTACTTCTCTTAAAAGCAAAGACATCAAACAAAATATATTGCTATCACCCCTACAGTGCCTTGTGTACTATAGATGCTCAATAAATATATTTTGACAAAAATCACTATTGACTATTATTCTACAGACTTGCATGTTCTTTCTCTTGGAAATAGAATTATGTTATGAGACCACAGTATTTCTTATTCATATAATTTGATGGGAGGGCAGACAAAATAAACTATAAATTCAATTTACTGACTTACTTATTGAGGAAATTGAGATATTACCAAGTAAAATATAAATATCCAGTCCACTTTTTCAAAAGACAGATATGTAAAAATATAGTTATTGCTAAAACTGGTTTGTGACATGCTTTCTCAGTTTATTTAATGTAATTATAGCCTGTAATCAATATATAAACAATAGAATTCCCAAGTAATACATAAATCACTGAAAGAAATAGATTAAAATCAGCTGTTTTTTGTTAAAATATTGGGGCTTTAACCAAAACATAGATTTTTAACTTTGCTATATCTAAACTTATTATAGGAAATATAAAAATACATATAAGCATGAAATTACCATTAAAAAGAATTTTTATTGTAATTTTATTTCCTGGGAATTCAGCATTTATTTGTTTTTGTGAGTGAACCCTAGGATTTTACTTTATTTTATTTATTTTTATTTATTTATTTTTTGAGACAAGGTGTCACTGTATTGCCCAGGCTGGAGTGCAGTGGTGCAATCCTAGCTCACTGAAGCCTCCATCTCCTGGGTTCAAGCAATCCTCCTGCCTCGGCCTTTCGAGTAGCTGGGACTACAGGTGCATGCCCCTAGGCCTGGTTAATTTGTTTTTATTTTTGTAGAGACAGAGTCTTGCTTTGTTGCCCAGGCTGATCTCAAACCCCTGGCCTCAAGCAATCCTCTCACCTTGGCCTCCCAAAATTCTGGGATTACAGGCATGAGCCACCGTGTCCAGCCAAAACCCAGAATTTTCTGAGTTCAATTTTGGTTGGCCAACTGCCAGTCTGAAATGAAGACCCTCTCATCTAAAATCTTTGTAGAGCAGATACATCATAGAAATATTTCATTTGTAAATCAAATCCACAGATCCACAGAACTGTTTCATTTCAAAACTGTCTACTTCAGCCTCACTGTCAGGGAAATTGTTAACAGATTCAAAACCAGTAATGAAGATGGACTTGCAGTATCTTTGCAATGATCAGTATTAGCAAGTAGTGTAAATACCTATCTAGGACTCATCCATATAATCATCTGTACCTATGGTTATCAACCACTGGTTTACTTTTATGTCCTCCCTAATTTTGTGTGCTTGAGAGCACGCTCTGATTTTACCATTTACTATTCCGTTCAAATAAACTTTGATTCCTAGTCTGGTGCTAAATACAGAGTGCTCAAAAACATGTCTTTCAAGTGTATGAATTGATTTGAAAATACGTCTGTATCTTTTAAATCAGAACTATATGAATAAAAAATATTTTAGTAAATTGTCAAATTAGGTTGGTCACTGCCATATCTTTCAACACTATGTAAACAGTAATTGAAACTAATAGACTATTTGAAACATATTTTAATTAAAATTCATATACAAACCCATGTATAAAGTATATGTTAAGCTATGTATTTTACACAGATTTCTGCTATTAAATTTATCTAAGCATATTCAAGGTTTGAAATGCATATAGCCCAAAGAACGAATACTTCATTCATCATGAAAGACTAATTTGTTTTATGAGAGTGTGGAATAAGCATTCACCACAAGAAAACATTTTAGTACAACCACCTTTCACAAATAGTGTATTTCTGGTTTCTTGCTCTACAGTGGAAGAGCTACAAAAAGCAAAAGCAAACACCTTTGTGGTAATCAATAAGTAGCATTAGTGCTACATATATTATGCTTCCAACAGAGTTGGGTCTATTTTTGTTTTATGTTTCAATGTACAGCATTATCCTTTGGCAATGTCAAGAGAATGAAAAATGTGCTGTTTATAAAATGAAGTATTGAGCTTATTTTAGATATCACATCTTACAAAAACACTCTCAAAATGCAAAAGCGAACCCTCCAAGTTCAATAGAATAATGTATATTGGAAAGGGGTAGAAATAAATTATTTATTATACATAATAAAATATTTATTTAATTTAAAATATATACACATAATTCCACAAGCCAGCAAAATTGAACTGTCATTTTTGAGATTCTCAGCCAGTCTTTACTTATCTGCATATATAATTTTTACATATTGTAATGGAATAAAATCACACTTTCATAAGATAGAGTTTAGTGTTTTAATGTCATTTGCAACAATTTGCCTTATTATTGACATAAAACTCCAACATACAGCTTGTTTTGAGCATTTATCAGTGGAGACCTTCATTTTTGGCCAGATTTCGTAAATCCATTTATTAACTAGAAATAAGTTGATAGATAAGGTAGAAAAAAACCCGTTATTTATTAAACTCAACATACCTTTTTTACTTCATTTCCTGGATTCTTGAATCTTTAATCCAATTAGCATTAGGCTGTGGAGTATGAAAAATAATCGGCAAAATCATTACTCAGGTGAGAGTTCCTTCTGATGACCTGTGTGTCTTCCTCCTCACTCCAACACTATTACTTTACCTTCCAGTTAAGAAACGAAGCAACCATTTTTTTTAATTGAGTGAAAGGGAACATTTTTGTTTTCCTTACAGATTATTAAACGTAATGCCGAACTAACCTATCATGACAGCCAATGAGGCAGTGGTTGAGCCAAAGAAAGGGGGTAGAGGGCAGGAAACTGAGCGAGGAACTGCCACAAGGCAGAAGAAAACATTTGGAGATGACTATGTTGGCTATCTCCATCAAGGTGGCGGTTTCAAGGATATATACATATGTCAAAATTTACCCACTGTAATTAACTGCTGTTTATTGTGTGCCAATTATCCCTTTATAAAGCTGTAAAAAATGTAGTGCTATTGTAAAAGTAAAGATAATTATTGAAGTAAAAGTAGTTATCAAATGTCTGTGATGTTATGCCATTTTCCTTAAAGGGGCAAGAGATTTTGCCTTTTTATCTCATTTTATCTGTAAGGTAAATTCAAAATTTTGGGAAAGCTTACTTAAGGCAAGACTAATTTTCCATATATTGTTTAGCTTGCTTTCTATTACAATTCATAGTTGCACTTCACCATTATTAAAAAATACAGGTTGGGCTCAGTGGCTCATGCCTGTAATCCTAGCACTTTGGGAACCCGAGATGGGAGGATCACTCGAGCCCAAGAGTTCAAGATCAGCCTGAGCAACAAAGTGAGACCCTATCTCTACACGAAATAAGAAAATTAGCCAGGTGTGGTGGCACACTCCTGTAATCCCTGCTGCTCGGAAGGCTGAGACAGGGGGATCGCTTCAGCCCAGCCATGATCACACCATGGCACTCCAGCCTGGGCTGACGGAGGGCGACCCTGTCTCAAAAAAAGAAAACAAAACAAAAACCCCACACACACAAAAACAAAAGCAAAGGTCCTTTAACTAAAAATAAAAATAAAACATGTATTAAAGCCCTACATTCTTTTTGAGTGTACAAATCACTTTTGCTGATATCTTTATGATTTTAGTCTTTAATCCTGTTCTTGAAATTGACGATTGAGATTTAAAACCTCATATGTATTACTTTTATACTCTCCATTTATGGTTAATTATGATTGTTCCATATTTCCCCTTATTCTTTGCCTGTATAAGAAGACAGTGAGATGTCAAACAAGATTCTTAGGGATGACTTTACAACCATCACAACTCTGGGAGAAATTGCCCTACATGTGTACAAAGTGACTCTAATCTAGAAAGAAACATAAATTTACAAATAAAGTAGCAAGCAAGAAAGGATGAAATGGAGGAAGGAAGGGAAGCAGAAAGAAAAATGCATACATTAAGGGGAATTACAACACAGTTACAGCACTCCTGCTTTATTGTAAAGGCATACCTAAGTAGCTCCACTTAATTGAAAGGCTTGTCACCTCTGGAACAACCTTGTGGATGCTTTCAGCCTCCACAACTCTGAGCAGAGAAATTGCCTTCATTTAGCAGGAGCAATCTTGAAGGTTGGTGCTCACCCTCATGCCCCAGCACCCATGCACATATTTTTACCAGGCTTCAAACATAAATGAAAGAATGGGGCCTATTATAGTATTGCTGCAAAACATCTCAAAATTATGCATTTATAATTCCTGAAGGTAAGCTGATGTGCACTGTACTCAGCTTGATCCAGACAAATATGTTTTGGCATGAGGCAGAATAATGAAAAATTGGTATTTTGAAATTTGTGAAGGTTTTGAAATGCAGAGACTCCAAAATAGTTAAATATTGACATCAGCCACAATATATCTTCCTTCTTCTTATATGAGATTGAAAATCATACAAAAACATATATAGTCGTTTCCCACAGTAAGTAGCTGACATGAAGTGATAGCTTTTGTTCTAAACTTTTTTTTTTTTAGCAAATTAGCTCGGCATGGGCACATGTTAGATTGCCACACAGAGGGCATATTGCTCGCTGAGCAATTTGCCCTACAGAATAGTTGCTATGCTGCCTTGCTTTGGGCACACTGCTAAGCTAAATTCCTGTCTCCTGTCATCATTGACAGTAGAACAGCTGGAAATTAAAGATTGCAAGATACATTATAATTTCTTCCTTAAACAATTTTTTTAGATAACAGCAAGTTATTTTTATTTTTATTTTTAGATATGGTCTCACTCTGCCACCCAGGTAAAGTGCAGTGGCGCAATCCCAGCTCACCGCAGCCTTGACCTCCTGGGCTCCAGCAATCCTCCTGCCTCAGCCTCCTGAGTAGCTGGGACAACAGGCATGTACAACCATGGCTGACTAATTTTTATTTTTATATTTATAGAGAAAGACAGGTCTTGCCCAGGATGAAGTGAAGTGGCATGATTATAGCTTACTGCAGCCTCAACCTCCCAGGCTCAAGGGATCCTCCCGCCTCAGCCTCTGGAGTAGCTGAAATTATAGGTGCATGCCATCATGCCCTGCTAATTTTTGTATTTTTTTTTTTTTGTAGAGACAGGTTCTCCCTATGTTTCCTGGCTGGTGTCAAACTCCTGAACTCAAGCAGTCCTCCCTCCTCAACTTCTCAAAGCACTGGGATTATAGGTGTGAACCACCATGCCTGACCAGCAAAAGTATTCTGAGAAAACCTTCGAGGGGAAATATAGCCTATTTTTATCAATCCTGCCATGAGAACCATGTTAATTTTCTCAATTTTTTTTCCTTATTTGTATGTCATTTTAATCAGAGATTCAAGTATATTTTATTCAAAATTTTAAACATTTTAGACTTTCCTTTTTCACTTAAAAAAAACCTCAAGAAGGACAGGTTTATGTGAACTGATTTTTGTGGCATATAATTGTGACATTTATCCATACGTAACTAAAATACTGAATTTATGAAGCTGGAAAAGCCACAACATCACAGTTATACCCTGCCTGGTTTGACTTCCTAGAAAGTGAATGTAAACCACTGGCTTGCAATCATGTTGACGGAGTGTCACATGGCATATGTCATAAATTTGGGGACCACAGAGCTCCTCTCCTGGCATCTTCCTCCTACGGCCAACTTTCAGCATAAATAGTTTGCTCCAGTAAGTTGAGAGAAATTGAACAGGGGCAGAGGCTGGGAGAAGGGGTACCACTTGTACAAATTGTGGGAAATCACTACTCAACTTTTTATAACATTAAGACACTTTGTAAGGGCTTTTAGAATATTCAAGCAGCAGGTTATCGAGCTATTTGCTTGGGGCTTTTTTTGGTACTAAAATATTTAAATGATATAACACTATTTCGCTGACCAATAGATAATCTGAGGAAATTTAACTGCTTTTAAATAGAGATGTAAGATTAGTAAATGAAAAGGTGTTACACTTTATATATCTGATTCTAGTAGATCATTCGTGTGAACACATCCCTACTTATGCTCAGATATAATTCTCTACCTGATGATATCTTACTCTTCCTTTTTAAAGTAAAACTTTTATATTTAAAGATTCATAGTTAATTTTCATTTTATTTCTCATTTTACTAGTTTCTCTGTTTTAATGAAATGCTCATTTTTCCTCCTGAAAACCAAATTATTACTAACTTCAAGGCCACTTTAAAAATATTAATTTAATTGAGAATTACAATTTGGCACAGTGTTAGAATATAATACATACTGAATATAATTTAGGCTTTCTTGGCTTAAAAAAACAAAACCAGGCCAGATATACTAGTATTACTGTGCTCACACCTGTAACCCCAGCACTTCAGGAGGCTGAGGTTGGAGGATCACTTGAGCCCAGGAATTCAAAACCAGACTGTGCAACATAGGGATAAATTTAAAAATTTAAAAATTAGTAGAGTGTGGTGGCACACACCTGTAATACCAGCTACTTGGGAAGCTGAGGCAGGAGGATCCTTTGAGCCCGGAAGGTTGAGGCTACAGTGAGCTATGACAGTGACACTGCACTCCAGCCTCAGCAAGACCCTGTCTCTAAAAACACAAAACCAAAAACCAATTCAGAGTTTTGTAGTGTCTCATCCTCACCACCATATTCATTCATTCACTCATTGATTCATTTCAGCTCTATTTTTTGAGTTTACTACATGCCGGGCACAGAACAAGGTGCAAGAAATTTTAAAACAAACAGATGCATAAGACATAGACCTTGCCCTCCACGAACTTGGATCAAATAATATTGAATGGGTAGATCAAAGAACCACTCACTAAAGCTTTCTAGTTGACAGCATGCCAGGTATCAAAGAGTTCACAGTGCCTGCCTTTAACTTAAAGCATGACAGGTTTTCTGCTGGTCTTTTAGTCAGTTCTTAGTTTATATTCCAGTGCCCATAATTATGTCAATTTGAATTGATTTCTTCAGTACAATTTCATGTAACTATATGAATAATTTATAAAATTAAATATATAAAGTGTAATACCTTATCATCTATTAATCACACTGATCTGTTGAAAGGCAGTTATTTTGTTTCTTAGTTTTATTTTAGTATGAATGTTTTTATCGGTCACAAAAATAGTGTCATATCATATACACATTTTGCTTGCTCTGAAACATGTTCAGTATCTCTAAGAGTGCATTAGTTTAGATTATCAGTTGTAATGGATGGAATGACTAGTCTACCTCCCAAACTTGTTACTTCCCAGTAGAAGGTATTAGGTCATCTCTCTTTTGGCCCAGAGGCATAAATTACCCCACTATGAAGAGAAGAGTTTTGCTGTTTACTTAGCATCTAATTTTTATTCTCTGCTCAGATTTATTTCATGAATAATATACCTGAAAGAGCTAAGGGAAATGAAGACAGTGATCCAGATAATTTTGGAAAATCCAGTTCCATTCACATTCCATCCTCTGATTGTGCCTTAGGCCTGTTGCTTGGAAGAGCAAATGAGTCGTGGACCCAGACTCAGGCTGGGGAGCAGGCAGTCCTAGGGCCATAGTGGCACACAAAGCCCCTAGCACCAAAGGCATCACCAGGCATGGGCAGTGCAGCCAGTGGGGAGGGTATGGGGTTTGCATCATCTTTTCTACTTCCCACATCTTCTCCCTTGCGTTCTGTCTGAATTAAAGACACCACCCAGGTGCTAAAAACTAGACTTAGTGTGCAAGCAAAGAAGACAGTATCAGGATTGACGTTGAAATTTAGGCTGGATAAGGAGGAAAGTGAGGATTTGATTTGGGTGAAGCACGGTGAAAAAGTAATAGAAACAATTGGTCATGGATCTGATGGGTGGAATAATTGTTGCCATTGAGGCAGTAAAAGGAATGGAGTGAAAGTGGCTAAGAAGGTAGAGGAATGGGGCAGGGAACAGGATGTGAGGAGTTCAGGGAGGGGAGTTAGTTTAAGCTTCAAATTCTAGTGTGGCCACCGAAGGGAGGGGCTGGGTGGGGTGACAGGCAGTCTTTAAAGGAGGGCACCACTAAATTCTCAGGAGTCACCACTAAAGAACTCATCCATGAAACCAAAAACCACCTGTACCCCAAAAACTATTGAAATGTTTTAAAAATGCAGATTAAAAAAAATAAAGGGGAGCACTGCAGGTACTGAGAGCCCAGAGTGAGTGATTCTTAGAGAGATGGTTGGAATGGAGATGGAAATAACAAGACCTCATGCTTAGTGCAAGGATGCCTTCCAGAAACAGGAGTGCTAACTGAATTCCAGCTTTGGGAGGGTATTTAGTATTGCCTAGTTTCTAGAAGATGCATTTCTGTCATCGCCTATCACCTACCTTCCGCACATGTTAATGTACAAGTAGGAGTTTAGTGGCTGAGATCTCTGTTTATGTATGTCCTTTAGAACTGTCCTAGTGGAGTGAGTGGCCCTCACTTCAGCAGCCTGGACATTTGAACACTCCACCCATTTGGGAGGTGGGGCACTTGGCAAATGATGATCCACGCTGCCTTTTGAACTGCCCTTGAGCTAGGGATGGTTTGTACATCTTCAAGTGGATGGAAACAACTCAAAAGAAGAGTAACACTTTGTAAGCAATGAATATTACATGAAATTCACATTTGCGTGCTTAAATAACGTTTTACTGCAACACAGACCACCCATTGTTTCACATTGTCTGTGGCTGCTTTCCTACTACAAAGACAGAATTGAGTAGTTAGGACGGGGATCACGTATTTCACAAAGGCTAAAATATTCACGATCTGGCTTTTTGCAGAAAAAGTTTGCTCTTCCACAGGAGGCCTGCACACCGCCGCTTGTGCTGCTGCCTTATCTCTTGTGATCCCTGAGAAATTCCAGCATATTTTGCGAGTACTCAACACCAACATCCATGTTGGCAGAAAATAGCCTTTGCCATCACTGCCATTGAGGGTGTGGGTCGAAGATATGCTCATGTGGTATTGAGAAAGCAGACACTAACCTCACCAAGAGCACAGGACTCTCTGAGGATGAGGTGGAACATATGATTGCCACTAAGCAGAATCCATGCATTCAAGATCCCCAACTGGTTCTTGAACAGGCAGAAGGATGGAAAGGCTGGAAACTATAGCCAGGTCCTGGCGAATGATCTGGATAACAAGCTCCGTGAAGACCTGGAGCAACTGAAGAAGATTCCAGCCTGTAGAGGGCTGCACCACTTCTGGGGTCTTCGTGTCTGAAGCCAGCACATTAAGACCACTGGCCACTGTGGCCATACTATGGCTGTGTCCAAGAAGCACTAAGTCTGTGGCCTTGTCTGCTAATACATAGTTTATATACCAAAAGAAAAAGGAAAAGAGAAAGTTTGCTGCTCCCTGCTCTAAACATTAAATAACCATTCATTTGTATATCCTCTGGAAAACAAACTATCTGCTGTATGCTAAGGATCCTCATCAAAAAATAAGATGTTAATCACAGGAGAGGCCATTGTGCAGCCAAGAAAAGAGATCGAGATCGGAGCTGAGGGAAGACTGGATTGGCGGAGAGTGTCGGGGACCCTGTGCTGGCTCTATTGCTGCTGTGGGACAAGAGTGTGCTGCCCAGGACCACTTGGCACAGATCTGGGGTGGATTGAACCCAATTTTACCCTGGTACCCCACTTTTGTAGCCAGTTACTCGTTCCTTTGAGTCTCCGCTTATTATTCCATGAAGTGGGATAGTGATTCCCTCACTGGGTGGTGACATGTGACAACCTTTACAGAAGGCCTTGTGTGGAGTCAGCCTTCGGTCATGTTCTCTTCCTTCCCCCTCATTAGGGCGAGACCTCCAAAAAGGACAAATTACAATTTATATCACCAAGAGACCATTTCACACACTGCAGCAATGAGAGAGAAAAATTTTCATCTTATGATCTCCTGCACTTCAGAGGATTCAATTAGAAAGTATAAAGAAAGCCCAGGCGCGGTGGCTCAATCCCAGCACTCCGGGAGGCCAAGGTGGGCAGATCACCTGAGGTCAGGAGTTCCAGACCAGCCTGACCAACATGGTGAAATCCCGTCTTTACTAAAAATACAAAATTAGCCAGGCATGGTGGTACATGCCTGTAACCCCAGCTACTTGGGAGGCTGAGGCAGGAGAATCACTTGAACCTGGGGGGCAGAGGTTGCAGTGAGCCAAGATCGTGCCATTGCACTACAGCCTGAGCAACAAGAACAAAACTCTGTCTCAAAACAAAACAAAACAAAACAAAAAACCACAAGAAAAAAAGAAAGTATAAAGAAGGCTCAGCCTTTACACTGAGCCAAGTGGAGGGAAAGAGTATAGTGGAGATGAAAACACACTGAGCTGTACCATGAACATCCCAATCAGGAGGTTAATACATTACAGTACAGCCATATGACTGAACATTATATAGCTCTTAAAAGAAAAATAATGAGTGGGGCACAGTGGCGGCCCCTGTAATCCCAGCCACTCAGGAGGCTGAGCCTAGGAGTTAGAGGCCAGCCTGGGAAACATAGCAAGACCTCATCTCAAAAGAAAAAATAAAAAGAAAACGTAACAACATTTTAATGACATACATAAAATATGAAAGATATGATAGTGAAAAATCAGAATATAAAATTGTATATACAATATGGGATTAACTGTATATTTAAAAGAAAAAAAACACAAAAAGAATAGGAAGGAATAAAAAGCTCATGAACTTTTTTTAAAAACAGCATTTTGGCCAGGCTCAGTGGCTCACACCTGTAATCGCAACACTGGGAGGTGGGAAGATTGCTTGAGCCCAGGAGTTCAAGATCATCCTAGGCAACATAGTAAGACCACGTCTCTACCAAAAACACGAAAATTAGCTGGGTGTGGTGGTGCACACCTGTAGTCCTAGCTACTTGGGAGGCTGAGGTGGGAGGATCGCTCGACCCTGGGAAGCAGAGGTTGCAGTGAGCTGAGATTGCACGACTTCACTCCAACCTGGGCAACAGAGTGAGACCCCAACACAAAAACAATGACAACAAAAAAAAAAAACACAGCATTTTGAGAAATAATTCACATACAAGGATATGCACCTTTAAGGCAAAACACGAGACTTCAAGAAAATTTGGACTTGCAGTGGGTGCTTCAGGTTGCCTTGGCTCTGAGCCACAGGCTACATTCTTTACTCTCTTAGAGGAATCTTGCAAGAAGCACTAGTTTAACTAAAGCTTTCAATTCCCTAACTTTGCAGAAAAGAAATTTGGGCCCCAGAGAAATGAAGAGACCTCCTTAAGGACACATAGCATCTTTTCTTTCTTTTTTTTGGTGGTTTGTTTATATTTTTACTTTTTTTTTTTCGAGACCGGAGTCTTGCTCGGTTGCCCAGCCTGGAGTGTAATGGCGCAATCTCAGCTCAATGCAACCTCCACCTCCCTGGTTCAAGCAATTCTCCTGCCTCAGCCTCCCAAGTAGCTGGGATTACAGGCACACTCCACCACACCTGACTAATTTTTGTATTTTTAGTAGAGATGGGGTTTCACCATGTTGGCCAGGCTAGTCTCGAACTCCTGGCCTCAGGTGATCCACCCTCCTCAGCCTCCCAAAGTGCTGGGATTACAGGCATGAGCCACTGCGCCTGGCATATATTTTTACTTTTTTAACTATATTTTTACTACATTTACTTTTTTTTTTTTACCAAAAGCCCAAACCTCACCACACGTATGCATCTAAATAGCAAAGTAGGAACCAGAACTTCAAGCTTCAAGTTTAATACACCTAAACATGCCAATCATTTAATATCTCTTTTCTAGTCCTCATCCACAGACACATATAGTTTTTATGTTTTCGGAATTATTATCGTATAGACACTAATTTAAAAAATACTTTTTTGTTGTTTGAGACAGGATCTCACTCTGTTACCCAGGCTTGAGTGTAGTGGTGCGATCATAGCTCACTGCAGTCTTGAACTTCTGGGTTCAAGCAATCCTCCTGCCTCCGCATCCTGAGTAGCTACGACTAGAGGCGCATGCTACCACACCTGGCTAATTGTTTTGTGTTCTTTTCTTGTAGAGATGGGGGTCTCGCTATGTTTCCCAGGCTAGTCTTGAACTCTTGGCTTCAAGTGATTCTCCTACCCTGGCCTCCCAAAGTGCTGGGATTACAGGCGTGAGCCACCGTGTCAAGATTTTAAAGAATTAGTATTCTAATACTAATTCTTTTTTCCCCTCTCAAGTTCTGTCATGTCAACTTTGATTCTTCTTTAGGCTTTCCTCTTAGTGTATTAGTCTGTATACCTAATACACTTGCTGTGTTTGCCTGCCTACACAGTATTTTTTGTAAAAGCCCCAAAAATTCAAAGAGCCCTTTTATTAGCATTTGTTAGAATCTCTGACCTCATTTTAAAATTTAAAATTAAATATTTTTTCCTTTTCAAAGTTTACCTCTTTAGATAGTACTTACAATCTTTCTCCTTAAGTTTTTAAAGATAACAGATACCTTAAAAAACACTTCTGGCCGGGTGCAGTGGCTCACGCCTGTAATCCCAGCACTTTGGGAGGCCAACGCAGGCAGATCATGAGGTCAAGAGATCGAGACCATCCTGGCCAACATGGTGAAACCCCGTCTCTACTAAAAATACAAAAATTAGCTGGGCGTGGTGGTGCAGGCTTGTAGTCCCAGCTACTCGGGAGGCTGAGGCAGGAGAATCACTTGAAACCAGGAGGTGGAGGTTGCAGAGAGCAGAGATCGCGCCTGCACTCCAGCCTGGCGACAGAGCAAGACTTGGTCTCAAAAACAAAACACAAAAACAACAACAACAAAGAACACTTCTGTCTCCAGCCACCCCCAGCCTCCTGAAGGGAGAAATGGACTCTTTAAACTCCCCACCTCCCTTCCCACAGCAAAGAACTTCTTTGCCACAATCATTAGAGACCTCGCTTTATTTTCATGCCCCTTAGAACATGCCATCGGTTGCTTCTCTCTTAGTTAGCATAGTAGTTCTCAGCCTTTCCTTCACATTAGACTCACCTGGGGTTGGGGGACTGGTGTTTCTAATTTATTTTTACTGGGATGGGGACATGATTCTCACTTTCAGCCAATTTCAGCCAAGATTAAGAACTTCTGCCTTGGATAAATAGGTTTAAATAAATGTGTTTTTCTAACGGTATTTTTGTTGTAAAATAAGTCCAGTTGGGAAAGTAAAAGACTTGGCCTTTGTGAAAGAAATTTCATTTAGTATCATTTGGAGCTGGCAGAGGAAGTATTTTTTGAACAAGACCATGGAAATTACACAACTAACTTTGTTCTCATCCATTCATTTATTTATTTACTATCCATTCATTAAAAACCTGCCCTGTGCCAGACACTAGAGATTTAAATATGGTTCTTGCTTTTAAGGGGCTTACAGTCTAATAGCAGGAGAAAAATACTCCAGCACATATGATAAAGTGACATATACGCTTGCCAGAGGCATGTGCACAGGCTTTCCCAAAATAAGGAATATGTTAAAATTTAATTTCAAGCATATTAACAAAGTGTATTTCTATAGCATTATACCTAAATCAAGTTTAAAAACTGTCGTCATTCATGGTTAATTGGAAGTCATGGGAAATGTATACAAACATTATAGTTATATCAATAGCAAATGGGAAGTTTATTTGAAATTGAAGTCACATTTGAGGGTGCCTTAAAATGACAAAACTGATTAACAGTTGGTGAAAAAAATAGTAAAAACTCAGTTTGGTAGATGACACAAATCATTTAGGATTATAGGAAAGGAGAGTTAAAGAGTTAGATGAAAAGCAAGTAAGCAATAAAAGTATATGAGAAAGGGACATTAAAACAGACCAAGAATAGAAAAGAAACAATAAGTAGGGACAAGAAAAAGGGCAAAAACAATAAGTAGGGACAAGAAAAGGGGCAAAAAAAGTAAAAGAGCCCATCGTAAAGAAAGTATAATCACTCTAGAATAGAGTTAAAATGTAGTTAAGATTATCACAAGTTAATGATATATTTAAAGGGAAGGAAAGAATTTCAAATTTTAAAGAAAACAGATTATGCATAATAGCATAGTACTTAAAAATAGATACTATTACACACATTTTCATTGACTATTTATTTAAAACATGCTATATAAAATATATCCTTTTGGTTCATTTAAAAAAACATCATTTTAGGAGTGAGCAGACTAAAGATAAAAACTCCTTGAAGAATTGCAACAATGTCCCTACTTAAAATTTAACATATGAAAAACCTAGCAAAAATCAAGAAAAAGCCAACAGTGAAACCAAGCCAAATACACTGGGAGGGTTTGTTCAATAAAGAATCTGGATATCTAGTTTTTTTTTTTTTTTATAAAATCCTACAAAATTCCACTATACTATAAAAAATCTTGAAATTATGCCCATGGGGATCCAAATCTTCTCAGCTTGGCACTGACAACCCATTATACACACTGATGGAAGCATACTGAATAGAGCACTCACTTTATTACTACAGATACATCACATTGCTGGTATTATGTTTATAACCAATTGTCAATTATAAATATGTTTTTTTGCATTTTAGAGCAAGTTTGCTAAAATGAATATATTGCAAATATAGTACTAGATTTTTGGTCACCAAAGAAAGTGAGTTAGATTGTTTTAACTACTATTTCAGTGTTATGTATATTCTTTTGAAAAATATTGCAAAGAGATGGTGCTTCTGAGCAAAGTGGTCTATAATAGTAGTTTTCACAGAAGCATTTTGTGCAGGGAAGGCATATCTATAACTAGAGTAAATGCTGCTTCTTTCATGTTAGAAGCAGTCCAATGTAATTGACCTACCACTAGGTAGCTAGCTGATTAGGGAATGGTGCCATATGGGGGACTCGGTGTGGTCTCTGCTGCTGGCAGACTGGGGATTTAGCAGTGGCATCCACTGATTGGAAGTCCATATTGCCATCATAGTCACCTTGTTTATGAGTTTGCTGAATGATGACAGGAGTCTCTGGAAGGAGGCTGACTGGTATCCACAGAACGGGACCTCCTATTCACCATCATGGCATTCTACACAGCATTGCTTCTGATCAAGAAACTCATTTTATGGTAAATGAAGTTCAGTAGGCCCAGGGTCATGAAATTCACTTGTCTTACCATGTTCCCCACCATCCTGAAGCATCTCTGGCTTGACAGTACAGTGGAATGGCCTTTTGAAGACTCAGTTATAATGTCAGCTAGGTGACAATACCTTGCAGGACTGGGACAGGGTTCTCCAGGTGGCTGTGTGTGTTCTAAGTAAGTGTCAATAAATGGTGCTGTTTTCTCCCATACCCACTATTCACAGGTCTGAGAATTAAGAAGTAGAAATGGGAGGGAGTATCGCTACTATGCTACTGATTCACTAGCAAAATTTTTGCTTCCTATTCCTGAGATTTTATATGCTGCTAATCTAGAGGTCTTAGTTCCAAAGGGAGGAATTCTTCCACTAACAAACATAACAATGGCTCCATGAACTGGAAGTTAAGATTGCGACCTGGCCACTTTGGCTCTCTCGTGCCTCTGAATTAGCAGACAAAGAAGGGAGTTAATGTACTGCTGGAATGATTTATTCTGATTGCCAGGGGAAACTAGTCAGCAACTACACAATGGAGATACGAAAAAGGCTGAAATGCAGAAGATCTATTAGGATGTCTCTTAGTCCTCTATACCCTAGAGTAAAATCAATGAAAAACTACAACCCAATTCAGGCACAACTACTAATGGCTTACTTAGATCTTTCATGAATGAAGTTTTGAGTCACCTGACCGGGTAAAAAACCACGATCAGCTGAGTAACATGCTTGTTGAGGGCAAGGGGAATACAGAATGGATAATGAAAGAAGGTAGTTTTGTTTGTTTGTTTGTTTGTTTGTTTGTTTGTTTTTTGAGACAGAGTCTCACTCTTGTTGCCCAGGCTGGAGTGAAATGGCACAAGCTTGGCTCACTGCAACCTCTGCCTCCCAGGTTAAAGCAATTCTCCTGCCTCAGCTTCCCGAATAGCTGGGATTACAGGCGCCCACCACCATGCCTGACAAATTTTTGTATTTTTAGTAGAGATGGGGTTTCACTGTGTTGGCCAGGCTGGTCTCAAACTCCTGACCTCAGGTGATCCACCCACCTCGGCTTCCCAAAGTGCTGGGATTACAGGCATGAGCCCCTGCGCCTGGCCTTTTTTTTTTTTTTTTTTTTTAATAGAGACGAGGTCTCACTATGTTGTCCAGGCTGATCTCAAGCTCCTGGCCTCAAGAGATCCTCCTGTCTCAGCCTTCCAGAGTTCTGGGATTATAAGCATGAGCCACCATGCCCAGCACCAAGAAGGTAGTTTTAAGTACTAGCTACAACCACATGACCATTTATAGAAATGAGGCTGTAATTGTTTCCTTATTTCATTTGAATGCATGTATGTGTGTATAGGGCAAATATCTTGTTTTCTTTCCTTTCCTCCCATATCCCCTTAACATATAACATAAGATGTATTGATTTTACATCAAGTATTTAAGTATTATCAACTTAACATCTGCTGTGGTTTAAATGTGTCCCCCAAAAAGCATGTGTTAGAAACTTAATCCCCAAGGCAATAGTGTTGGGAGATGAGCCTAATGAGAAGTGATTAGGCTATTACCGCAAGAGTGGTTCATTATAAAGGGCAAGTTTGATACCCTTTGTTCTCACTCTCTCACTCTCTCTTTTCCCTTCTGCCATGGGATGATAAAGCATGAAAGCCCTTGCCAGATCTGGCCCCTCAGTCTTGGACTTTCCAACTTCCAGAATCATGAGTCAATACATTTCTCTTCATTATAAATTACCCAGTCTCTAGTATTCTGATATAGCAGCATTAAATGTACTAAGGCAATATCATAGTAAAATTTAAGTTACAAGATATCAAGAAGAGTGAACATTACTCAAGGACTTTGCTTTCCTCTCTGGGGAAAGTGTTAGTGTATTTTTGGTTACACACAAGATAGTTGTATCATGTTAGGCAGAAGTATGAATTTTTTATTGTCTTCACTTGGAGATTAAGTATGGCTTAAGAAGACTGCATGGATCCAACTTGAGAAATAGTAGTCTGTGGTGATTTATTTAATGTGTCAATTTGTCTAGGCTGTGGTGCCCAGTTGTTTGGCCAAACACTAGTCTAGATGTTGCTCTGAAGGTATTTTAGATGTAATTAACACTGAAATCAGCAGTGCTCATTGAACATTTAAATCAGCTGAGCGCATTAAGAGAAAAAAAAAAAAAACAAAAAAACTGAGGTCCCCCAAGAAGGAAGGAATTCTGTTTCCAGACTTCCTTCAGACTGAAGACTGCAACATCAACTCTTGCTTCAATTTCCACCCTACTGGCCTTCTCTGCAAAGTTTGGACTTTCAAGTCCCCACAATTGCATGAGCCAAATCCTTAAAATTAATCTCTTTATTAGATATAAATATCTAATTTCTATTTCTCTAGAGAACTCTAATACAAAAATGTTTGGCTTTTTAGGAGGATTGCAATCGTAGTAATATCATAAAGAAGAAATACATTATGAATATCTATGAAGATGGGATTTCAAATGCAACTAATTATCATGGTCTAAAGCCTTTGTTACATTTGGTAAAATTCTGTCTTCTGTTACAATGCTACCGTAAATGAGTGCAGAGTTCTTGAAGTGAAGATGATAAATCTAAACTACTTGTAGATAAAATACACTTAGGTCTCAAAGTTAAAATTAGCAAAAAGGTATAGAGGTAGTGGTGGGATGGCACTTGTCTCCTAACCCGTGCCCAGCAAAGTAAGAGCCATATGGGCTGTAGAGGTGTTGCCTTTCTGGTCACAGTCACCCAATATTCCCGCCCACAATTACTTCAGTAGGAATAGGAAGTATTTTAACTTTGATTGCTGTAAAATTCCCCTGCCTAATTTATATTCTGCAACCCCTTCATTCATTGATTTCATTGAATTTTATGAAACAAAAATATCTATCGTATTCTAAGGGTTTTCTTAGGCACAATCACTCACTCCACAAATATTTATTGAGTGCCTAGTATGGGCCGCATCTGCTGTAAATTTCATTCAGATAGAGGAGTTTGTTTAGTACTGGGTCTCTAGTACTTTTTGTTTGTTTGTTTGGGACAGAGTCTTGCTCTGTCACCCGGGCTGGAGTGCAGTGGTGTGAACATGGCTCACTGAAGCCTCAAACTCCTGGGTTCAAGCGATCCTCACACCTCAGCCTTCCAAGTAACTGGGAACACAGGTGAACATTAGCTAATTAAAAAAAAAAATAAAAAACTCAGGTTAATTTTGAAGAAAGTTTTTTGTAGAGATGGGGGCCTTGCCATGTTGCCCAGGCTAGCCTCAAACTCCTGGGCTCAAGCAATCCTCCCACCTCAGCCTCCAAAGGTGTTAGGATTACAGGCATGAGCCACCATGCCTAGTCTCCAGTACTTGAACTAGAGTAGAAACTGAACAAATTTTCACTGAATTAATAAATGGAAAGAAACATACCCTATCTTTTTTTTTTATCATTTTGTGCATTATCTCCTGGGCTTCATGTCAAAGGTTGCTAATAAATGCATCTTAGTTATGAATATAACAAGTCCTTGAATGGCTATTAGTTGTGTCAAAAGGCTTTTTTAAAAACTGTGTTTTATGAAGGGCTTTGAAGTCTTAGATGGAAAGCACAAACAATCTTCATGCACTTATTTCCAAAGTTTACTTTTTCATTTATTGGTGGTAAAGTAAAGCATGTTTTTCTATAGAAACCAGATTTTCGAGGAGCCTAAATTCTCAGAGCTGTCTTCCTAAAACCTGTGACATCAATAATAGTACTGTACTGGTAATAAAACATAACCATCATATGCATTTTTGTGGAAAACTATGCTGCACTTGGATAGGGACTCTGCTAAACATGTATAGATGAAGATGGGGCACCTTGGGGTAATGTGGTTGCTCTGTCGGGGAATACTCAAAGTCACCTGGGCTTGGGATTTTATCTTAGGGATGGCAACAAGGGATCCAGAGGAAGGAAAACAATCATCTCCAGAGGGAGGTAGAACTCACATATGAGGCAATGGTGATATTGTCAATGAAACCACTATTAAAAAGGGAGAGAAACAGCTGCAAAGCCCACAGTAAGGAGAGAGAAGAGGAAAGAGGATAAGGGAAGAGGCAGGCAGAGGCAGAAAGAGAAGGGAGTTCAGACATGGAAGAGCATTGTTAGTCTTAGACGGTGGTTAGTTGACCATGTGTAAATCAGAGACAAAGTGTATGAGAAAGTACCCAATATTAGTAATTTATTTTAAAACTTGGTCTAAAGAAAAACAGGGTCTAAATGTTAGCTTTTGTTGTTTTATAAGAAAAGAATGTGATTAAGTAAAACAGTTATTATAGAAGGAATTTAAATTTTTTAAACTAAATATCATATATACACAGAAAATATTTATAACATGTGTGACAGATATAGGAATAATAAATATTCACATACCTACCACTCGGTTTAAGAGCTTGGACATTAATCATCTAAAAGGGCATGGGGGTGGGGCACGAGACCAACTGCAATCTCTCTGGTAGTCGCATGGCTGGAACTTCATAATTATTTTGGGGGAAAACTGAAAACAAAACAAAACAAACAACCCAGGGGCCGAGGCATTTAATCAAAGATGTTAAAAAACGACATTCATAAATAATGGACTAATAAAAGTATAACATTGATTGACTCTGTAAATATTTTGAATAAAAACAAAGTTTTGATTTTAGAGTTCAGAAACTATTGCTGGAGTGGGTGTTCAGTGGTAAGACTCTCTGTCAAGTGGTCCATGTTTATAAAGCCTATTTCAAAAGAAGTGAAGGGTATATTACTCTTCTGAAGATGGTTCTTTTCCTGAGGCAAAAGAACAATTATTTAGATGCAGTCTGTTTCGCAAAGGCATTATTCTATCCCAACTGTAACTGAACATTAACATAGGTTTCTGGATCTAGGGTTTTATAAAACTTGCATTTTAACCAAAGGAGTCTGTTTTTCTTTGAATGTTCTTTAGTTCCCGGATGTAGTGTTTCAGAGCTGCATGGAATCTTAAAAATGTAGGACTCAGGTAGGAAACTGAGTCCTAGATGCATTTAATTGCATGTCCAGAAGATTTGCTTGAAAAAATTCTAGAGATGGATAGTGTTGAGGGTTGCACAGCAAGGTGAATGCATTTAATGCCACTGAATTGTAACTTAAAAATAGCTAAGATGGCAAATGTTGTGTGTAAAGAAAGACACACACACAAAATGCCCAAGTCTCATTGATTATGCATTCAGATACCGGTTTAGAACCTTTAGAACCTATGTCTCTATTCTTTTTTTTTTTTTTTTTTTTGAGACGGAGTCTCACTCTGTCGCCCAGGCTGGAGCACAGTGGCACCATCACAGCTCACTGCAACCACTGCCTCCTGGGTTCAAGTGATTCTCATGCCTCAGCCTCCCAAGTAGCTGGGATTACAGGTGTGCACCACCACACCTGGCTAATTTTTATATTTTTAGTAGAGACAGGGTTTCGCCATGTTGGCCGGGTAGGTCTTGAACTCTTGGCCTCCAGTGATCTACCTGCCTTGGCCTCCTAAAGTGCTGGGATTATAGGTATGAGCCACTGTACCCGGCCCACTATTAACTTTTATGTTAAGTGGTGTTAAGTCAGGTGAAGCCAATACCTGGTGTTATGTCTATCTGTATTCCAATTTTTACATACTAGCAATACTCAAATGAGATGTGATTCTCACATTGGGCTTAATTTATTAGATTCTAGTTTTTTTTTTTTTTTTTTTTTTTTGAGACGAAGTAGTGCTCTGTTGCCCAGGCTGGAGTGCAGTGGTGTTATCTTGGCTCACTGCAACCTCTGCCTCCTTGGTTCAAGCAATTCTCCTGTCTCAGCTTCCTGAGTATAAATTCTACTTTTAATATATATCTAGAGCTTTCTTTTGGAGTTACTAGAGATAAACTAAGAGAAAGGAGATCTTTAGACAAAATGTCAATACTTAAATTGATTTTACATATCTTTATATATTTTATATATATATATAAAATATGTTGTTTTACTATTATTTGTACTTACACTAAAACTAAACAAATAGACTTTATTGGGAACTATATCAACTTATTTTTGTAAAGTAATCTTTTATTTTCTATTTTTATTCTTTTTAGAGACAGACAAGGTCTTGCTTCATTGCCCAGGCTGGAGTACAGTGGTGTGATCATAGCTCACTGCTGCTTGAACTCCTAGGCTCAAGCTACTCCTCCTGAGTAGCTGGAATTACAGCTGCTAGCCACCACGCCTGGGCTGTAAAGTAACATTTTATGAAGCAGCTGTGCTAAAATCTGTGAGGGATGCTAAGAAATCTAAAATATAATCCCTGTCTTCAGGGAGTTTACAGTCTAGTTAGGGAGCGAGATTCAGTAAATGCAAACAACAATAACATTTAAAAAATTGAAGTGTAATATACATAGGCACACAAGTCATTTGTATACCATGAATAAACTGTGCACAAATGTTTCATAAAATCAACATGTCCATGTAACCTCCACTCGGATTAGAAACAGAATATTCTCAGAATCCCCAAATCTCTCTCATGTGCCTTCCTAGGCCGCACCTACCTGGCAAAAGGTAACAACTATCCTGGTATCTATCACCATAGATTAGGTTTGCCTGTCTGACCTTTATGTAAATAGCATCATATAGTAGTGTTCTTTTGTATCTAGTTTCTTTTATTCAAGGTTATTTCTCTATGATTTATACATGTTATTGTGTGAAGCTATAGTTTGTTCATTTTCATTTCAGTATAGTATTCCATTGAACAAAAATGCTGTAATTCATTCAGTCTTCTGTTGAAGGACTCTATAGGATACATACTAAGGAACAGAATTATTAGGTCACCCAGGAGACATGCTCAGCTTTAATGGATATTGCCAAACAGTTTTCAATTTACATGCCAAATTTTCATTTTCTAATTGTTTCTAATATATAGTAACACAATTAATTTTTCTATATTGACCTCCCATTCTAGAGATCTTATTAAATTTAATTCTAATAGTTTGTAGATTCCTTTGCATTTTTCACATAAACATTCATGCCATCTGCAAATAATGACAGTTCTATTTCTCCCTTAGCAATCTTTATGCCATTTTTTCCCCTTTTATCACATTGGCTAGAACTGCCTGTACAATGTTGGTTACAAATGGTAATACTGGGCATACTATTTGCAATTCTCTTTCTCAATCTCAGGGGGAAGCTATAAATGTTTCAATATTGAGTACAATGTTTGTTATAGGCTTTCTGTAAATATACTTCATTATACTGGGGAACTTCCCTCTTACCCGGTTTTTTAAAATGCTAATAGTACTTTGTTTAGGTATAATTTGCATAAGTTAATAGCAAAATACACAAATCCTAAGGGTACAACTCAATACATTTTTGACAATGGTTTGTCAAAATGTAACTATCACCTAAATCAATATTAATCACCCCAGAATATTTCTTCATCCCTCCAAAATTCTGTCTTCCCTTTTTCCAGTCAATCTGCACCCCCCACAACCCTAGCATCAACTTTCATCATTATACATTCATTTTGCCTGCACCTGTAGTATTCTAGCATAAATGCAATTGTACAGAATGCACCCGTACGACTACTTTTGCTTAGCAAAATGCTTCTAAAATTCATTCATGTTATTGCATATTTCAGTAATTTGTTCCTTGTATTGTTGAGTACTATTCCATTGTACGAATATACCACACTTTGTTCCTCCACATAACTTGACGATGGAAATTAGTTTCCAGGTTTTCACTATCATGAATAAAACATCGGCCATGCTTGTGTTCCAAGCACTTTGGGAGGCCAAGGAAGGAGAATGGCTTGAGCCCAGGAGTTCAAGACCAGCCTGGGCAACATGGTGAAACTCCATCTCTAAAATAAATAAATAAATAAAAAAGCCAGGTGTGGTGGCACACACCTGTAGTCCCAGCTGCTTGGGAGGCTGGGTTATTATTATATTCTATATTATTAATGTTCTATACAATCTTTTGGTGAACATCTGTTCTCATTTCTCTCAGGTAAATACCTAGGAGAACTGTAGGGTAGAATTGTGTATACTTAACTTCATGAGGAAGTTTCTGTTTTCCAAGGTGTTTGTACAATTCTGCCAGCAAAGAATAAGAGTTCCAATTGCCCAACATTCTCCCCAGTATTTGATATTGTCAGTTTTTTGTTTTTTTTTGGACAAGAATCTCACTCTGTCACTCAGGCTGTAGTGCACTGGCACAATCTCATCTCACTGCAACCTCTGCCTCCTGGGTTCAAGTGATTCTCCTGCCTCAGCCTCCCCAGTAGTTAGGATTAGAGGTATGCTCCACCATGCCCAGCTAATTTTTGTATTTTTAGTAGAGACGGGATTTCATCATGTTGGCCAGGCTGGTCTCGAACTGCTGACCTCAGGTGATCCGGCTGTCTTGGTCTCCCAAAGTGCTGAGATTACAGGCATGAGCCACTGCACCTGGCTGCTCTCTCTTTCTTTCTTCTCTCTCTCTCTCTCTTTTATTCTTTCTTTCACACAGGGTCTTGCTCTCTTGCTCAGGCTCCAGCTCAGCTCATTGCAGTGGCATGATCATGGCTCACTGCAGCCTCAACCTTGCAGGTTTAAGTGATCCTTCTGCCTCAGCCTCCCAAGCAGCTGGGACTACAGGTGTGTGCCACCACACCTGGCTTTTTTATTTACTTATTTTAGAGATGGAGTTTCACCATGTTGCCCAGGCTAGTCTTGAACTCCTGGGCTCAAGCCATTCTCCTGCCTTGGCCTCCCAAAGTGCTTGGAATACAAGGATGGCTGATGTTTTCTTCTAGGAGCTTTATAGTTTGGTTTTTATCATTTAAGTCTATGATCCATCTTGAATTCATTCTTGTGTATGGTAAGAAGTCACTATTTTCTCCAAACTGATACCTAGTTGTAGCACTACTTATTGACAAGACTTTCCTTTTTCCATTGAATTTATTTGACAACTTTGTACAAAATTCATTGACTATAAGTTTGGGGGCCTATTTCTGAATTCTCTATTCTGTTCCATTGATCTGTTTGTCTATTCTTACACCAATATCACACTGTCTTAATTAGTGTAGCTTTATAGTAAATATTGAAGCTGGCAGTGTAAGTCATTCAACTCATGCTTCCTCAAGTTTGTCTTGGCTATTCTAGGTAATATGTATTTGCATATAATTTTTAGAATTAGACCTCAATTTTTACTTAAAAAGCTTGCTGGGATTTTGATTGGGATTGCATTGAATCTATAGATCCATTTGCTAAGTGTTGACATGTTAATACTGATGACATCTTAATACTGTTTTTTAAAACAGAAATGGAGTCCTTTTGCCCATTTCTGTTGCCCAGGATGGTCTCAAACTCTTTGCCTCAAGTGATCCTCCCACCTCAGCCTCCCAAAGTGCAGGGATTACAGGCATGAGCCACTATACCTGGTCCCATCTCTTGTTTTAAAAATTTAATGTTTTGGTCTGGCATGATGGCTTATGCCGTAATCCTAACACTCTGGAAGGCTTAGGTGGGCAGATCACTTCAGCCCCAGCAGTTCAAGATCAGCCTGGGTAAGACGGTGAAACCCCATCTCTACAAAAAAAAAAAAATCCAAAAAAAAAAAAAAAAGCTGGGTGTGGTGGCACACACCTGTATTCCTGACTATTAGGGAGGTCAGGGCTGCAGTGAGCTGTAATTGTGCCACTGCACTCTCCAGCCTGAGTGACAGAGTAAGGTCATGTCACACACACACACAAAAATTAACTTTTTAAGAGACACAGTATTGCTATGTTGCCCACGCTGGTCTACAACTCCTAGGCTCAAGTGATCTTCCCGCCTCAGCTTCCCAAGTAGCTGGAACTACAAGCATGTGCCACTGTGCCCAGTCTATTTCTGTTTTTAGGCCATTGTGAATTTCTATTAGCAATATTTTTTTCTCAATGTAGAGATCATGTGACATCTTTCATTAAATTTATTCCTGAATTTTGATTTTTAAAATGCTTTTGTAAATGGCATTTTAAAATTTTCATTTTCCAGTTGTTTCATGCTAACATACAGAAGAAATACAATTGACCTTGTACCTTGTGATCCTACATTCATTTTAGTAGTTCATGGATTCTTTTGAATTTTGTACGTACACTATATCATCATTAGTGAATAAGTTTGGTTTCACCTCCTTCCAATTCATTTTCTTGTCTTATTGCACTGATAAAATTTGCAGAGATGCCAAATAACTTGCCCAAGTTCACCCAGTTAGTAAGAGCCAAGATTGAAACTCATGTCAATCTCACTCAGAATACCCTGGAATGAGTGTGGGTGTATTAATATTTGTTTTTGCTTGAGAAATAAGGGAGGTATGAATAGAGGGGGAGAAATAAGGGAGGTATGAATAGAGGGGGTATATCAAAGAGGTTCTTAATCTAAGATGAAGGATTTGAATTGTATTCCATAGTTAATGAAGGATCATTAAGTGTTTTCAAGTGGGAAAGTAACAAAATAAGACTGAGGGGATCAATCCTGTGACAGTGTACAGTATGACTTGAAGGGAGCCCATTCATTCATTTATTCATTCTTTTCATGATCATTTATTGAGTATGCATTATGTTCTAGGAGACAGAGTCTTGCTCTGTCACCAGGCTGTAGTGCAGTGGTGCGATCTTGGCTCACTGCAACCTCCGCCTCCCGGTTCAAACAATTCTCCTGCCTCAGCCTCCCAAGTAGCTGGGACTACAGGAGCGCGCCACCACACCCAGCTAATTTTTTTTTTTTTTTGTATTTTTAGTACAGACGGGGTTTCACCATGTTGGCCAGGATGGTCTCAATCTCTTAACCTCGTGATCTGCCTGCCTCGGCCTCCCAAAGTGCTGTGATTACAGGCGTGAGCCACTGCGCCCAGCCAATGTGTTTCTCAGAGTAGTAGAAATACAAGTGATGAAGAGTAGAATCCTAACACAATCTTAGATATGCAGCGAAGGCAGTTCTATGACTTTGCATTAATTTACTTGAAGTCTCTGAAGCTCAGCTTTATTGTACATAAAATGAGAATAATATACATACAATGACTACTTCAGTAAGGAAAAAATTTATGTAATATGCTTGACTTATATTAGACATTTGTTTATTGTAGTTATACTATTTAAGGGATTTAGAAGAGAGCAAACAATAAGAATGAAACATTTCATCACAGTCGTTCAATAATCAAATTGACAAACAAATGTTTTAACTGACGCCCCCACCCTATGATTACATTTTAATAGAATGAACTATAGATTTTTGCTTTGGCAATTTAGGAATGCACCAAAACAGAGATAACTGTGCTACATATTAGCTGACATAATAATATTCCCTTACATCTGTATAAAGAGCTTGATAGTTAACAAAGTACATTTATTTACACCATTTTGAGTCTTGCAACAATTACACAGATGAGGAAATTGCGATATTTAGTGACTTGTTTGAGGTCACACAGTAACTTACAGAGACCACTTCACATCATATTTATTTGCTTATATTCTATAGCTCTTTTTTACCATACTGTTACCTCTAATCTCATGATGTATGCTAGTAGTATTAACTCAAAAATAGTATAGAATCTCCCACTTTTATGCAGTTTACTTATGAAAAAAGTGAGTACTTTGAAAACTGTGGAAGAAAAGGCAGACAAAAATAGAAATTCTTGTCTTGTAGCAGTCATATTGTTCTGATTATTCCTAGGTTATATTGTTAAATATATAATTTGTCATTTTCTTTACTTTTCCATGCTGCATTTATGATTCTGCTGACATTTTTGGTGTTTCCTTGCCTCATCCATTCACGGTATGTTATTTCTACTTCCACTAAATTTCAATAATTTCCTTCCCCTTTATGATCTGCACCCACATATTTTTTCCTTGTTGTTCTCTCTTGGTAATATACCTAGTTCCTATATCTTTGCCTTCTTTTTTCTTTCCTTCTTCTTCCTTTCTTAATTTGTGTCATTGAGCCAACTTATTTACCGCCTCCTCTACCTTTTCATTTTACATTATCATAGTGATGATTCACTAAAAATTATGGCTAGTTTTAATAAACAATTGTTCTGAGGTCTCATGGGAATCAAAGTTCTTTCTAAGTATGGAAGATGTTTTTTATAAACATGTTTTATGAGCAAGGGATTGGAAGATGAGGTGGGGAAGAGGACATGAGGATCGGAATAGATACTATTATTTATATTTCACAAATTCAATGAAACAACAAACATCATACATTCCTTGTTAGGTGCTATAGCATGTACAAACAAGAACAAGACTAGGTCTTGGGCTCTGTTGCACTTACAATCTAGTGAAAGAGAAAGACAAACATATAAACAACTCTAGTGCAAGACAGACTACTGTTACAGCAAGAGCCTGAAGTTCAGAGGGCACCCAGAGATTGTACCAGAGCGCGTTTAAGTCACACAATTCAATTCAAGCTCAGGCAATTGAGTAGCACTTGGGCATGGAACTCATCTACTATGCTGTCAGACGTTTTTGTTTATTTCTTGTAAGAAAAAGTCTTCAGCCGTCGTAAGACGTTTTATTGGGTAATACGGGAATGCAATGGGGGGAGTCATTTGTTTGCAGAGGTATCATGGGTAGTTTTAAAAAGTGTGAAATCTACGATTGCAGAGGACTGATAGACTCTGGACTTCTGCCAAAATGGGAGGGATAGCAAGCAAGAAGGAGAATCTTTTTTTTAAATTTTTATTTATTTATTTATTTATTATCACAACTCCTGATAACTCACAGTTGGGGGTGAGGACAGGAAAGCAAATCGGGAGTTCAGAATTGTGACAAACCTCAGGTGACTACTACCCCATTGTAGACAAGCTACAGACTGGTATTAGCAGAAGATAGGCCATAAACAAACTCTCCATTTCCTCTCAACGCTTTGGGAACATAATTCTATTATTCCAGCTAGCTAAAAAAAAAAAAAAAAAAAAAAAAAAAAAACCTTTAAAAATATACATTAATACATAGTCAATGCAAACATTTCAAACATTAGATAGGTGTGCAAAATAAAAAGTGGAAGTGCCTCATCACCCACTTCTTACACTCCCCAGCGCTAACATTTGTTGTTATAGGCTTCCAAGCATTTTCTATCCACAAACAAACACAGACACACACACCCCACACATTTTTTTTATTCTTTTCCCAAATAAAATTGGCGGTACACCCACAAATTTTAGGATGAAGACATGTTTAAAAGCATGGGCTTTGGAGCTCACCAGAACTGGGCTCACATCCTCTCCAACTACTGGCTGTGACCCTGGGCAAATTACTTTAAGCTTCAATTTTTTGTGTGAAGTGAAAAGCGGCAATGACTTCGGAAGGTTTGAGGATTAAGGCCTATAGCATATATACATCACCTAGCACAGTCAGATTCACAGTAAGTGTTCAATAAACACTCTTATTGTCTACCGCAAGTGACCTTTCTCATTATAAGATTAAAATCAGGGAATATGTTCCTCTCATAGTTTGATAACTGCCATTAAACAAAAGTTTTTTTTTTCAACTAATTACCGTATAAGTTGGAAAAAAAACTTGCTTTTCCAAAGCGTAAAACAGATTGGTCTAAGTAACACTTAAATGGGGGTTCTCGCATTTTCAGTGCCAATCTCCTACGTCCCCTCAGTACTTTGTTCACGGATGTCTAGAGAATGGACTTTCCAATACAAACTTATGATTTCATGATGTGCCGAAAATTCTCAACCAGGTTAAGTTTCACACTCTGTGTGCAGCATTTGCTTTATCCCGCAATTGCCGGGTGGTGCCCCTTCCAGCTCCCACAGTCGCGCCTCTCCATCCCCTCTGGAGCTAGGACTGCAATGGGAGAAGCCTCTCCCTGTTGGAGCCGTAGGGGACTTGACGGATGCGGGGCGCCTCCGGGGAGCAGCGGCAGGACCGGGAGTTGGGTAGGGTGAGGTGCGCCCGAGGGGGTGCAGGGTGCTGGCCGAAGGGTCCGGCCGGACGGGCGCGAGGGTCCTCTGCTGGCGACCCTGGAACTCGGCTCTCCCCGATCTTCGTCCTGGGGCACCGTCCCTGCCGTCTGCAGCCCCCAGGCCCCACTGCCTCTAACTCAGCGGCCCAGGCCCGTCCCAGTCGCTAGTTTTCTTTTTGGCATTGCCCTTTGCCCTCCCATGCAGTCCTCTGTTGACTCTCTCTTCAGTTCCAGTCACCTCTAGGTCACCCTCCCTCTACCACAGTCACCCATTTTGTCCCCTGTCCCCTTACTCTTCTTCACCTCTCCCCGGGCCGCCTTCTCAGAGGACTCTGCCGACGGAGATGCTGCGGACCCCGCGGCCAGGGGCTGCTCCCCGGACAACCCTGCGTCCACCTTTGCCCCTTCCTCGGGGGCGCGAGAGGCAAGTTTCCGCCCCGTCCTTTTCCCGGTGACAGGACTTGGCGGCGGCCACTGCCGGGGAGGCAGAGGGAGGGACGGCCTGGCTCCCGAGCCCCCTCCCCTGCTCGCGAGCTCGCGCTGTCTGTCTCTCCGCAAGTGCGGAGACGCGGAGGAGGAGGAGGAGGAGGAGGAGGAGGAGGGAGTTGGGGGAGGATCTCCATTGAAATAAACAACCAGGCAGCAGTTATTAACACGGGAACATGGCGGCCGCAGCCTCGGCTACAGCTTCGGCGGCGAAGGTCAGCGCCGACGGCAGCCGGCACCTGACGGCGTGACCGACCCGAGCCGGTAACCGCGCCTTCCCCCGGGGCCGCGAGGGCGGGCGGGGGGCGGGCGGCAGGCGGGGGGCGCCGCGTCCCCACCCCCGGCCGCGACTGCCCTTCCTGCGCCGAGCTCCGACAGAGCCGTGCGCCTCCGAGAGGCTGTTTTTGTGTGCGGGGACCGCCGCCGGAGTGCGCGGAAAACGGGAGTTGCATCCCGGAGGCGCAGCGACGCTGGGGAGTTGGGGCTTGGGGGTGGGGAGGGCGGGAAGCGACGGGGAGACGCGGAGTCCCCGGGAGAGAAAGGAGGCGCTCCAGCGCCTTGCGAGAGCTCAGGAGACGAGTCCCGGAGCGCGAGGCGGGCGGAGGCTGCAGCCCGCGGCGCGGGCGAGAGGTGAGCGCCGAGGCGCGGCCGGGGGTGCGGGCGCGGCCCCCGCCCCGAGGAGCGAGTGCCCATTGCCCAGCCCGGTGCGGGGTCGGCGGAGACCGAGGCTCTAACCCCTCGGGGGCAGCGCGGCAGAGCCGAGAAGGTGAATCCTGGGAAGGTGCATTCTTTAATGGAAGCGCGGAGCGGCTGCAGCGGAGAGTGGGAGCCGGGCGAGGGGAGGCAGGACTCGGGAAGTGCTGGGGGTGTGTGAAGGTGAAGCGGGGTGTCGGGGCGGCCGGCGAGCTGCAGCGCGGGGCGGGGAAGGGGAGCCGCGGCCCGGCGGGTGGCCCGGGCCCGTGTCAGCCCCGGGGGTGGGGGGCGAGGGGCGCCGAGCACCGCGGGCGGACGGGAAGGAGCTGCGGCGGGCGGGGCGGGCGGCGCGCTGGGGCCGAGCAGGCCGGGCCGTGGTGGGGGCGGGGAGCCGGGGGCCGGGCCCCGGCGGCGCCGAGCCGGGCTCGCCCCTGACTGAACTTTCTGGGTGCGGGCGTGTATGCAGGAGGCGCGCTGGGGCCGGGGCCGGGGGCGGGAGGCGGACCGGGAGGTTCCGGGTTGGCTCGCCAGCGCCCCCTTTTCTCGCCCCCTTCTCTCCGCCCCTGAAGGGACAGGCCCTCGGGGCCCCAGGCGGGAAGCGGGAGGGGCCCTGTGGCCGCCTCGCGACGGTCACGCCCCGGGCACGGGGACCCGGCCCTCTCGGGCCCCTGGGGGGTGCTGGGGGAGGGGGCCGGGGTCGTCGCTGCCGGCTGCGCTCCCCGCCTCCTCCCCTCGGGGGAGTCCCAGAGGCGCCTCTTCCGAGACCGGGGGTGGGTCGGTCCCTGGTTAGATGGCCCCTCCCTCTTCCCCTCCCTCTAGTGGTTTCCGGGGCCTGCGGGACCGAGGGGCGGGAATCGGGGACTGGAGCCCCCTTCCGCTGGCCCGGAGCTGGACTGGGCCTCCCGCGTTCTGGGTCCGTCACTGGTAGGGGAAACTTTCCCAAACCAGAGACCGAGCCTGAACACCTTCCTCCGCCACCTCGTCCTCTAATCCCACTCCCTCTCCACCTCCTCCGACGCCTTCCCCTCCCACCGACCCGAATCTCGGTGCGTCTGACTGATGGGGCAGTGAGCCAATCGAAGGCAGGGAGCTGACCTGCCGGGTGTCGGTGAGCCAATCGTGCGGACCGGAGGAAGGAAGGGGGCGGGGTTTCTCCTGACCAGTTAGAGCAGAGTTGCATGCGGGGCGGGGGAGTCATGGAGACGCTGAGAGCCAGCTACTCTTGTCCATCCCCGAGTCACCCGCTCCTTGATTTCTGGGGTTGTGTCACTTATAGGGGCTCCGACCCGCAGAGGCTGCCGAGGCACTCGAGGTCCTGTATGTCTTTCGTACCGAAATAGACGTTGTCTTAGACACGACGAAGTCTAAAGCCACTTTAGGATGTGGCAGTAACTCACCGAGGCCGGTTTCTAAAATGGCATATGCTGTAGTGATCATGTCCTGGACCTCAGCGTCCGGTTTACATGCTAAGGGTCACAGAAGACAGAAGTTACCCGTTTACCTCTTATCTCGGTTTCACTCAGCTATGCCAGAATGGGGACAATGAAATTTGAAAGGGAACCCTGAGAATGAAGGCATGGGAGCAGTATCACGTCAACTGATTATTGGTAGTAGAAAGCATCATTGTTCATAATGGCTTCACTGGTTTCTTGTTTAATTAGAGCTCCAGTTCCCAAAGTGTACTTGAAACTTCGGCATTGGGGATGTCATTAAAAAAAAAAGTTGTGGTTTATGGTATGCATTTTTTTTTCTTTTTGCAAACAAAATGAAGTTGGGAACTAAAGCATCACTGATTGAAACATTAAGTGTGGGTATTTAAGGAGCAAAGCTAATCAAAGAATATTTGTCTACAGGAAAAAGTCTGAGTAAAATGTAGTTTGCCAGATTACTCCCACACAAAAGATTCTTAAAAATAATTTTAATTTTCTTAAACACTGCTGAATTGTACAGTGTGTGGGTACTTTTCTGGTTTATACAAGGTTTGGAGACATCTTTGGTTTTAACTGTTTATTGCGCGTTCAGTCAAGTGACTTTCTCAACTCTTGACTTTTAGGAACAGAGGTCTTTGATTCTCTGTAAAGATCACAGGTTGCTCTGCAGGAATAGCAGTCTTTTAAAAAGAAAGCAGCTGCTACAAAGCATGTGTGTGTGCGCGTGTGTGTGTGTGTATGTGTGTGTGTGTTCCTGTTCTTTGTTGGTGAGGTTAGGCACACTGACAGAAGTAATGCTCCCTTTCTCACCTGGAATTTGTAGAATCTTTGGGAGCTCAAAGAATGAAAAGTGTTAGATTAAGAATGAATTCATTGATTTTTGTCATAAGTATCCCATGAATTTAATTTTGGGAGTGTTTTCTTTTAGGTATCTTATGTGGAAAATGTGTATCTTTTCTATAAGTCAAGCTTTTATTAATCTTGGGTTGCTAAGAAAGAATCGAAGGGGACTGCAGTTCTAGGGAACAGTATTTGCCAAATCTTACAAATGTGTTCTGTTGTAATATAGTGTTTTCAAATTTACCATGAGAATTCCCAATTCAGGATCATTTTGGGTGCATGTAGACAAGAATTAATTGCATTTTGCTGTGGCTCTTGAGATGTTTTTTGTAATAAAATAGTAAAAACAGAGAAGGTAAACCAAACACTTAGACTGACAGAGAGGTAAGGAGTATTAAAAACAACATTCAAAATTTGACAACATTCAAAACCCCCCACCATTTGTTAATTTAGTTACTTATGGGCACTCTGACATATGCCCTTCTCTCTTTTGTATGCTGAAGAGCAACACATTATTTTACTTAATTCTTTGCAACAATCCTTGAAAATGTGGTAAGATTCTTGGTGGCAGAGAGAACCAAGTCTCCTAATGGCTGGCTTGGGGGGAAAAAAACCTCTCAAGCATATGGAGACATCTAGAAAAAGATGTGCATCGTCAGCTGTGATTCCATTGTGTGCTCTCAGACTGGATCTGAGCTTCCTTCCTCCTGGGAATTTCAGTCTTAAACAGAGGAGTTCTTTGACTTTTAGATGTCAGTATACTGAAGCAGGAGGGTAGAAAAGGAGCTCACCAATTACGGATTTATTATGTTTTGAGTAGTTAATATGTTTTGGATTTTAACCCTTCATTGGTTAAATATAATTTAGATGAGTGGCTTAGTGTTAGAAGAGCATTTTATTGGAAATATAAAATGTAAGGCTTGGAGGGGGATTTGGGCTGTGGATAAAGGGGTAATGCTCCTTAGTTGTCTTTATTTATAGTTGTATCTTATTAAAGCTTTCCAAGCTTCAGTAACATCAAGGATCTGTGAGCAGTCCTTCCATTATATGCCCTGTATTTAAGGATTCAGTACCGTAGCTGTTTCAAATTACATAAGGTTGAAATGTGACCCATAAGTTGACAGCTTGGATTTCTTAGGAAAAATTGTTTGTGTTGTATTGAGTTGAAAAGCAATTCTTTAAGCACTCTTTAGGATATTGGATAGTAAAGGAAAATACAAAAGGGGATGGTCTCTTTAAACAATTTTTCTGAAATGCACAGCATGTGCCCTCATTTGATATTTTGGCCATTATTGTGTCATGATCGAAGTTATATTTAAAAGCCAAGTTAATGCTTATTTATTGTTATGAAAAAACTGCTATTTAAGAAATTACTAACTTTAGTATTTTGCGTATGTAGTTTTGTTTAGTAATGTATGTTATTACATGCTTTATTGATTTTAGATTAAGAGAATAGGAGGGAGAAAATAAGTCACTGCTTTAAGGTATTGGTCTTTTATTGCAGCAAATCATAAAATCAGCAACAAATCAGGATCTTTTTCCATAGTATAAGAATAAGACTATAGTTCATACCAAAAATGAAAGCCATTTAAGGGAAAATGGAACAAAACCTTCAGTTTTTTTGTACCCTTTCATATTTAAGGCTAATTTTACCTCTCTATGCCTTACTTTTCTAAACAAACAAAAAAGGTTCTAAGTGTTTGTGTTCTAGGTGTTTGTGTTTTTCCTTTTTTGTTTTTAAAGGCTTCTAGTAGGGCTTTATGAATTGCAAGCTGTAAAAAGAATATGTCATATTACTCTCTAAAGTCTATTACAAGTAATGGCTGGAAAAGCTATGAAATACAATTTTAATGTTGCAGACCTTCAATTCAGACATCATAAAGAAAACACATCTTTATGGATTCTAGATGCTAATTTCTAGATAGAGGTGATCACGAATGTGACTTTTGTGGGTATTTTAGAAGCTGGTGTAGTTCTCTTAGCTGTGGTAAAACATTATGAAAAGGAGTGGAAATCTTAAGGATAAACTATGAAGGCAACTGAAATTAAAAGACTAGGTGGTCTGTAGGTAGATCCTAATACTGTTAGCTTTTAGGGCAAAGATTTTATGTGTTTACTCTATGAAATGTTGATCAATGACCACATTTCTGGGTCCCCATGGCTGTGATGACATAATGCAATTGTGGAAATGTTGATTCCAGGATAATTTTCAGTTGGTTCTCTGGTTGGAAATTTCTAGAGAAGAATTAAATGACAAGGGAACCTATGGTGGTGTTTTACATAGCTGTTTTTGAGGCTTTGGACACAGAATCATATAGGTAGAAGTTACTCGCAACTGGTTAAATGTTCTAAAGGAAAAAGAAAACATCTTTACTTTGACTAGGCGTCAGCTGACAGATAACGTGGAGAATTGAAATTAGCCTGTTAATTCTGGCAGAATTTATGCTTTGTAGGCAGCCAGTTCCGAATTGTTTGAGTTCCCCTGGCCAACTTAAATCTTACTTTGGTCTTGCTGTTGTTGTTATTATTATTATTATTTTGAGATATGGTCTCGCTCTGTCATCCAGGCTGGAGTGCAGTGACATGATCACAGCTCACTGTATAGCCTTGACCTCCTAGGCTCAAGTGATCCTCCTGACCCAGCCTCCCAAGTAGTTGGGACTACAGGTGTGTGTCTCCACGCCTAGCTAATTTTTGATATTTTTTGTAGAGATGAGGCTTGCGATGTTGCCCCAGGCTGGACTTAAACTCCTGGGCTCAGGCGATCCTCTCCCCTTGGCTTCCCAAAGTGCTGGGATTAAAAGCATTAGCCACCGTACCTGGCCATCATTTTGGGCTTTTTGGACCTTGTGTTTGCCTTCTTGTCTGACTTTACTATTGCTTCATTCATTTTATCGTTTAGTCGTTTGATGAGTACTGTGTCCTGGCCTTTTCAGTGTACTTTGATAGTATAAACCATCCATTACAGAGCCAGTAATTAAAGGGGGAACATAGAGTGGGTGATCACTTTTTTTGGTTGGGGAGGTGGGAGGGGACATATATGCCTTAATTTCAATTTGCTTTAGTACTAAAGATCTGTTCTTTTTGTGTGTATGTAATTTTAATTATATAATGTCAGCACATTGTGCTTTGATTTGGGTTTGGGTTGTCTTTTCCCTGAAAATGGGGTTGAAATGTTTATAATAAAAAATATTGTAAAATGTCCCCTTAACTGATTAGCTTACAACCGAATAGATTTCATGTAATGAAGGTATGAATATTTATAATTCTTTTTGTTTTATTTCCTCTGGAATCATGTTTTGTGCTCTCTGTCCTTGAGTCCTGTGTGGTGTATGGTAAGGATGGCACTCTTTAGTTGGGCGAAGGTGATAGGCGTTGCCTGTGTATTGTTGCTGCTTTAGGACTACTCATTTTGGGCCTTAACTACCTAGGTTTCTAAAGGATGGAATGCTCCTGAGTGCAGCCTTGTGCAAGTATTCTGCTATGGTTGTCAGTTTTTCTAGATGTAGCTTGTTCTTGCTCTTTTTTTTTTTTTTTTTCCTTTTTTTGAGACAGGGTCTCACTCTGTTACCCAGGTTGGAGTGCAGTGGTGTGATCTCAGCTCACTGCAACCTCTGCCTCCCGGGTTCAAGCGATTCTCTCACCTAAGCCTCCTGAGTAGTTGGGACTGCCGTCACATGTCACCACTCCCAGATAATTTTTGTATTTTTTGGTAGAGATGAGGTTTCACCATGTTGGCCAGGCTGGTCCTGAACTCCTGACCTCCTGCCTGCCTCAGCCTCACAGAGTGCTAAGATTACAGGCATGAGCTATTGCACCTGGCCCATTCTTGCTCTTGACTAAAAGGTCTGTATTAGAAGAGTAACAATGATAACATAAATGATAATAGCAGCTATCATTGAGTGCCAGGAACCTGATACAGGCTTTTTTGATGTGTGCTTCATTCTTTAATTCTTGCCACAACCCTATAAAATAGAGGTTACCTCCATTTTCCAGAAGGAGGCTGAAGCTTAAAGTGAGTTTAAGTCCTGTGCCTGTGAGCAAAACTTTGGCGAGGAAAAATTAACTTTGCCACTAAGTGGGGGAAATAAATAATAAACATCAGAGGGAATGGTTGAATCTGAAAAAGTCTTTCTTTTAGGAATCTGATAAAGCAAATGTTTGTGGGACATTATAAGGCTCAGTCTACTTGTTAAGTCCGTAAGAAGGATGAATAGATTTGAATAGTTCCAGTCCTGCAAATTGTATCAGGAGGCATCTTCCAGACTGTTGCCTTAAGGAGGGCTTATACCTGCACAGAGGTTATTTATTTTAAGACCCATGAATAGTCTCTAGCTTTTTTAGTCATCAGCTCAGTTTTTAACTATTCTTGAAATTATAGATTTTTTCTTTTAATTTTCAGGAAATAAGAATTATATGGGTGAAGTAAAATAGTTAACATTTATTGAGTGCTTACTGAAAACCAAGTGCAGGGCAAAGATGACCGTACAGTACTCTTGTATGTTTCTTACTGTAGCATTGAGAGGTAGAACCCTGTTCTTGTTAGCTCTCTTACCCAGTGCTTTATTGAAGTAACATAGATCAGTAATTCTCTGCTAGTGAAAAGGAAAAGAGTAGGGAGTGTATTTTGCAAGAGCATATTCAGGTTGCCTGTTGTTCTCACAATAAAAAGCTCAGAAAATAAAGCTCAAGAAAACTTGATTGTGGGGGATAGGTAGAACATAGATTGACAGAGCACTATAGAGGATATAGGCTTAGAAAGGATAGAATGCTGATACAGGTATTTGGCTTCTTATGCCCTTAAAACATTTAATTCTAGTATTGTTTAACTGTTGTGCGCAGATTGTGTGATGCATGTTTTGCAGATGTTTTGTAATCATGTAGCATGGATGACTAGGTGTTGAGGTATTGTAGTCCCAAAAAGAAGGCTGATAATATATTCAGTCATCTGACTTCTGCTCTGCTATTTGTGGAATTCTTCTGTCTGCTCAATTGTTTGCACGGAGCGCGGAGAGCTTTCAGGGAACTCTTTCACCTGCACATATAGGATCAGCATGCATTGCTTACAGTGTTCCAGCTGCTGAGACTGAAGACCTGTTGTCATCGACGAGAATATAATGCACGGTATTTTCTATTATTCATTTAGTGTGTCCATATGAAATATGACCCAAAACCTTTCAAGGCTTAACTTGGAGAGTGTTAGTTCTGGTAGTTCCTGTTGGTGCTGACTGATCTCTGCCCATTGAAGTCCCCGTCTAAATGAGGATTGTCTTTACTAGCAGATCATTCCTGCTTATAAAATCAGTACATGATTTAAATATGAAACAATTTCCCTTGTCTTTGGTATTGTAGTAGCATTTGTCAGAATATTTAATATTAACTTATCTTAAAATTTCTAATTGTACTGTTAATATGCTTAAAAAGGAAAAGCTTTCAGTTATTGTCGAAATGTTTTTAGATTCCTAAATAAGGAATACGGAAATTCCGTAGTAGAATTGAATGTCGGGAGTATATGAATTTCTACAAATTTAACCTAATATTACAGCATTTCTGGAAATTACAGAAGCAGGTTGTAGTTATGGAGACAGGCATTGGGGGCTTGCCGGTGCTTGAGGCGGTTCTGCTGTCCTGCATCTGCCATCTTGTGCCAGCAGCCTGTTCTGGATGTAGCATAGGGTGTGCCTGGCATTAAGACCAGACTCCAGTAGCTGACCACTTACTACGCAGTGCTTTGACATCAGGGTGGAATGATAAATAATGATTCAAACTTCTGACCACTTCACTTTGGGTATGAACCTTTGCACATCTTTCTCCTCTACCTCCTTTTATCTTTCTTCTTCCCTGACTTTAATTTTTTCTTCAAGTTGAAGATTAAATATAAGTGGTAGTGAAAAGAATACAATCAAGATTACGGGGGAAGTCTGTTACTATCATTAAGGATTTCATGTATGTAGATCATGTCTGATCATGATCTACAGTTTCCCCTTTACCAAACAGATTTACTCTGCCAAAAACACTTAGTGAAGAAGTCAGCTGTTTGTTAAGAAAGCAGTTATGTTGTGCCTGTGTTAAGATCGCTTAACCCAAGAGTGGTGAGGTATTGGCTGATTTGTTGTTGGAGTTAGTTGCTGGACAACATTGTGGTTCAGAAGACTGGGGCTGAGCTTCTATTGTAGTAGGATCGAGTATTACATTCCTTAGCTTTTATATCTGTATTTTATTTTTTCCCTGTTTAAGGATATTGTTATAAACCCTACAGTGTTAGATGTCATGAAAATGGTGATTAAAGCCATCAAAATGGTGTTAGCTGAAAATATTAAGACAATTTAAGATTGGTGAAAACTGTAGTCAAATTGCTAAAACTTGAAGAATGCCTGCCTCTTTGGAGTTTCTCAATATATTTTCAACTTCCGTAATTCTATTTTGAGACTTATTTTGTGTGGTGTTCTTGTTACTGTTTTAAGTAATATTAATGTTTTGATTCCTTAAAGCTTTTTCATACAAGTGTGATGTAAAAATATTTATTTCATTTCAACATGTTATTTTGGCCAGGCGCGGTGACTCACGCGTGTAATCCCAGCA
Source organism: Homo sapiens (assembly GCF_000001405.40). NCBI lineage: Eukaryota > Metazoa > Chordata > Mammalia > Primates > Hominidae > Homo > Homo sapiens. Next base: position 70,394,418 of record NC_000008.11, on the reverse strand, counting down.
CTTTGGGAGGCCGAGGTGGGCGGATCACCTGAGGTCAGGAGTTGGAGACCAGCCTGACCAACATGGAGAAACCCCATCTCAGTTAAAAATACAAAATTAGCCGGGCATGGTGGCGGGCACCTGTAATCCCAGCTGCTTGGGAGGCTGAGGCAGGAGAATTGCTTGAACCCAGGAGGCGGAGGTTGTGGTGAGCCAAGATTGCGCCATCGCACTCCAGCCTGGGCAACAAGAGTGAAACTCTGTCTCAGAAACAAAAACATGTTATTTTATTATATTTGAGCACCACTGTACTCTTTTCTAAATAGGCAGTACGTCATGAAACCTAGTGAAGGAAATGGGAAACCACATGACTATCTTTTCCTTATACTGTGCTACTTTTTATTTTAAGCAAAGGGTTGTACAATCAATTAACGATCCTAATAGAATGGAATATTCTAAGCTATTACATGTAATACCAAAAAATGACATATTCGCTGACTGAACTTACTGACAGTGAACAACAACAATAGAAGTCAACAAAATGCCTGGACGTTGAAGGGCATTGGAAAACAAAACTGGAGCATTATTTCCTGGTTAAAGGACACTCATGCAATCAATAGCAGCATTCTCACGATCGTTTATTATCTCATTTCTAGTATTAAGTATTTTCACTTTAAGAAAACACATTTAGCGGAGAAGAGAACCAGGAGACAAGGGGAGCCCAGATTTTAGGCTCCAGGGAAGCAAAGGCTTGGGCAGGAAGGAACTGGGCCTGGGCACACCTGGCCTGGCCCTACATGTGGGTTTCAGGGTGATCTGAGACTCTTGCAGGCGTCATGAACTGGGAGTCACTAGGAGAGGCCTCAGCTGTTCCCTGCCTCCTCTCACTGTGTGTATGGGTGGGGGTGGAGGATGTTGGGGGCCAGCTGCTGACCTTTGGTGGGGAGGGAAGAAGAGAGGAAAAGAGGGAGCCTTTGGTAGGTAGATAGAGGATGGGACAAGTCTCAGCAGGTGGAGGCCCTAGATGCTCACTTGCACTACAATTGTACAATTCAGGATATCCCACCAGGAGCTCATGTATAGAGAGAGCCGTTTAATCCGAATCCTTAATTGTGGAACAGAATGGCAATGCTGATGGCCTGTGCCCTTCAAGCACCACTAAGCCCCAAAGCTCTTCTGCCCTCATCCTCTGTGTTACCAGACTGAGCATTTGGGGGATTGTTTTCCCCTTCTTAGGACAGAAGTGATCTTGGATCTGCACCCAAGATCAGATAAAGAGTAGGTAGTCCTAAGGCAAGGGAAGGCTTTCTGGGGCTTGTGGTTTTCAGAGGCTGAGTTCCCTGTCTTCACTGGGCTTGTGTACCTCTAGGGCCCTTGGAAGGAGTGAGGGGAGGCAATGTCTTCCCACCGAGGGGTAAAGAGAGTTTTCCCTTTCCCATCTCCTTCCTATTTCCTTTTGAGGTTCAGGTATCCCTGGGAGCTTAATCCCACATTTTCTGGGACTACCACAGGTTTTCATAGATGTTTACTCCTTTAAGGCAGTCCTCTAACCTTCAAATCAGAAACAATAAAGAATTAAATTTTTGGCTTTGTCACTTCAGTAAAATTGGACATTTTTCACACCTGGACTTATTAAATTTTCCCCTGCAGAATATTTTGCCACTGGAGTGAGAAGAGGGATTAATAGTATCAGTTTTTAGTGGATAGAGGAGGAAAAGGTAAAGAAAACCTTGGGGAAATTCAGTAGTTCTGAAAAGGTAATAAAACAAAACCAAATACAAAGAAAGTATACCAGGGTTGGCACTTAACTATTTCCATTGAAGAAGTGATAAAAAAAGAGAATGAAGGCATCACTTAAGGGCTGATGTCTTAATAGATAAATAATGAAATTCTACAACTATCCAAGGAGCAAAGACCTTCCAGTTCACACATTAATATATACTTGTGGCAACACTTGTAAAAATGTTCTCAACGTTCTTCCCAAATTTCTCCTTTTAATAATAATTTCTTATTTTGTGGGATGTTTTTATTTGCAGAATAAGTCAGAAGGCTATCCATCTGTCTGTCATTTATTCATTTTCTGCCACCAACCAATGAACGTTAAATCGTAGAAACACTGTGCGACTCAGATGGAAAAGTGGGCGGCGCTTTGTGCAGTGTCCTGTTGCCCTCCTAGCTCCCCTGATCCTTTAATAATGTGGTAGAATGAGAGGCTAAATACTGTTATTTCAGTGTGTTCTTGTTTTCAGTTCCTGACAAAAAAACCTGCTAGAAAAGTATTGGGGTTTAGGGAGGACTAAGGATTTCTTTGGTCCCAACTTTCTTTATGAAAAATTTCCTACACACAGGTTGAAAAATAGTACAGTGAATCCCTGTATAAATTTTGCTATAAATGTTTTTAATTTCTCCTCCTACCCTCTCCACGGTGTGGTTGTGAGTATGTATATTGGATAAACCATTTCAAAGTAAATTACAGATATGATTCTTCATCCATAAAGTGCATTGTCTTAAAATCAAGGCATTATCTTAGGTAACCACACACACAGTACCATTATTAAACCTAAGAGAACTAATATCATCTAATATCAGCTCTATTTCAGTTTTTCAAGCTGTCCCCAAAATGGCTGTTACAGCTTTGTTTTTCAAACGAGGATCTAATCAAGTTTACTCATTGCATTTTGTTCTCTCCCTTTCATCTCTTTTAAGGTGGACCAGTTCCCGTGGTTTGTTTTGTTTGTTTAGACTTTTTAGAGTCTAAGCCAGTTGTCCTGAAGAGGATGCAATTGTTCTATCAATTTTGGGGTGTCAGACTTCAGTTTCTCCAGAACTGTTAGGAAATTAAGTTGTTAATGTGTTACTGAGTTTGATCAGGGCTGAAGAAGCACAGCCAACCTTTGAGAGCTTATTGCTTGAAATGATGGCATCCTTGGACCTTTTCATGGCATGTTCCTTCTGAAGTCTCTAGGTCTGGGCCTAGACAAACTTTCTACTGGCAGATCATAAGGAGATGCAAATGAAGAGGTAGTATCTGACCATGAGACATTTACCGTCTAACAACTTGAGATATTTTTTCCCTCCTGGGAAGTAGATTTCTGTTTTAGGCTCAGATTAAGGAGGGGGATAGAAATTGAGACACTTAATTTTACAGCCCCCTTGGCTAAATAGAAAGCTTTTATTCAAACACTTATTTGGAGTAACATTATGGAGACGAAAATTTCCTGGAGCTTTTCGGAGCAATAGTAACTTCAGTTTCTTGAATACTTGACTACTTCATAACTTTGAATTTGGAAGTTTCTGTTTCTCTCTTCTGTTTTTCTTTGCAATGTCTTCATCTGTTCTCCCTGTTGACTTTTCCTGTCCTATAATTATTTCCATCTTCTTTACTTTATACCTAACCTTACCTTTTCTCTTTCCTACTTTAGGATCTTATTAGAAGTGTGGTAGAGCCCTCTCTTCCCTCTTGGATCACAGTGTGCATAGGGGTTCATTCTCACTTTGAGAAATAGACCATAAATGTAAAAATCATTCATAGGTATGTAGTAGACACCAGAGAGAGGTACCTGGTCAGTCTCACTCACCTAATCCAGTGGAGAAGTAGTAGTAGTAATATTCTTCATATGTATGTGTGTGTGTATGTATGTATGTATGTATTTATTTATTATTGTTGTTTTAGAGACAGGGTCTTGCTCTGTAGCCCAGGCTGGGGTACAGTGGCACGGATCATAGCTCACTGCAGCCTCAAACTCCTGGGCTCAAGTGATCCTCTCACCTCTGCCTCCTGAGTAGCTGGGACCACAGGTGTGCGCCACTATGTCCGACTAATTTTTTTTTTTTTTCTCTATAGAGATAGGGCTTGCTATGTTGCCCAGGCTGGTCTTGGACTGGGCTCAAGTGATCCTTGTGCCTTGGCCTCCCAAAATGCTGGGATTATAGGTGTGAGGCACTGTGCCTGGCCTCATAATTATATTCTTAATTGTAGATAGAAAAACCTTGGTGTAAGAGTAGTGGGCAGGAAAGATTTTGTCACCCAAGAAAACAATAAGAATTATCACAAGCATTTGAATAACTCCAGAAAAACACTTGGCTTGAAACTTTTAAGCTTTGGAAAAAGCAAAACACAATGAAGTTATCTCCTCTGACTCAAAGTAAGTCCTCTTAGAGTCATTGTTAGGCTAATGGCCTTGAATCAGGCCCTGCACTTTTCTGAATGGGACATAGAGACCTAGACAACATCTCCCAACCCCAGGATAGAAAATGCTGCTTAAAAATAATGCAGATATTATTTTGTGGAATTAATATTTAAAACTGGGAAGTCATATACTTAGAAGATAGAAAAAAGAATGGAAAGAAAAGTGACACTGGTCATAGACCTTTTTTGTTTAACAAATCTGGGCAATTTTAAGGTGACTATGAACTTGAAATAATATGTGACTCGGATTTTTATTTTTATTTTTTGTAAACATTTTCCTGAAATGGCCGGATATGGTGGCTCATGGCTGTAATCCCAGCACTTTGGGAGGCCGAGGTGGGCAGATCACCTGAGGTCAGGAGTTCGAGACCAGCCCACCCAACATGGTGAAACCCCATCTCTACTGAAAATACAAAAATGAGCTGGGTGCGGTGGGCACCTGTAATCCCAGCTACTCGGGAGGCTGAGGCAGGAGAATCGCATGAACCTGGGAGGCAGAGGTTGCAGTGAGCTGAGATTGCACCATTGCACTCCAGCCTGGGCAACAAGAGCAAAACTCCGCCGTCTAAAAAAAAGTTTTCCTGAAATGTCTTACAGACATACTTGATGACATTCTCCTTGTTCTTGTCATTCTGTATGTATTGTGCTGCTTTTAAAAAAATGTTGGCGTTGGCCAGGCATGGTGGCTCATGCCTGTAATCCCAGCACTTTGGGAGGCTGGGGCGGGCAGATCACCTGAGGTCGGGAGTTCGAGACCAGCCTGACCAACATGGAGAACCCTCATCTCTACTAAAGATTCAAAATTAGCCAGGTGTGGTGGCGCATGCCTGTAATCCCAGCTACTCCGGAGGCTGAGGCAGGAGAATCGCTTGAACCCCAGAGGCGGAGGTTGCGGTGAGCTGAGATGGTGCCATTGCACTCCAGTCTGGGCAATAAGAGCGAAACTGCGTCTCAAAAAAAAAAAAAATTTGGCCTGTTGGAGGGAGTTTGCCAAAATATTGGAGTTGCACACTGAGTGGCTCTGCTACAACCCAAACAGATGTGATAGTAGCTTGGGTCAGTTGGGAGGAAAATACTTAAATAGTCTGAAGTGTAACGAAAACAGGGACATTAAAAACAAGGGGGAACAACAAAAATAGTATAAAGACAGTGATATTATTGTAAAACAGTAACTATATAAAACCCCCAGAAAATGAGATCTCTTGCTTGGTTCTGTTTTTTATTCCTTTAAAAGGCACCTCCAATTTTAAAAGTAGTCACTTAGGAGAAATACTTATAAAATGAGTAGTATTTCCCTCTTTACTAAACTTACTTGAAATGTGCAAAAATTCACTGAGATCTATGAGATCTTTTAAGATACTGACCTGTCTCTCTCCACTAAGTAATTGTAAACTGTAGACCCTACACTAAAGAATTCTAGGCTTTTACTTAGTTTCATCTTTGTTCCCTGAGACCTCTTTCTGTCTGCGTGTGTGTGTGTGCGTGTGTGCTTTTTAAAAAGAACAGTTCATTTCCTCTTTTCTAATATTCTGTGTTTTATCTGCTGTGGATTTGGAAATCAGATAACCAGGTTTGTTTGTTTATTCAGCAAAAATTTAATGAGTGACTCGTATATTGCAGACACTAGTATACAAAGATTAAAAAAGAAATGTTCCTATCCTCGAAGACCTTACGCTTAGGGAAGGCAAAAGCCATGTAGACAAATAATTATTGTATAATATATACATTAGAATAAAAAATTGTATTAGAGTGGAGGGCTATACAGATATGTTACGTGAGCAAACTGCATTTTGCAAGGTGAAGGAAGGCCTCAGAGCTGCTGTAGTGTTTGATTTGAGCCTTAAAGACCGGCCTAGATGAGATTTCATCAGGGAAAAGGAATCCTAAAGAGGCCTATGCATAGGATGAAGACAGAAAATATTATAGTATGTTTCTATTTTTCCTCATTTTACATATACCTTTAATAAGAGCTGCATGATAATTTGAGAGACTTATCAATAAAGCTAGTGATCTTTAGTGCACAGAATGTGGAATATTTATTTTGAATATAGGGAAAGCAGCCTTAAATTCTTTGCTTCCTTTTCAGTTTTTTCCTTGAGTTCTGAATCAGGGAGTTCTATTTACTATTGCTGCATTATATACCATCCCAAACTTGGTGGCGTTATGCTCACAAATGTTGTGGCTCAGAATCATAAAAGGTATGATTGACACAGCTTATCTGCCCCATGATGTCTGGCACCTCAGCTAGGAAGACGCAAAGCCAGGGCTGAGTCTATGACTGGGGAGCTGGAATCAGCTGAAGCCTTGCTCACCTGCATGCCTGGCCTTTCCTACTGGCTGTTGGCTGGGATGTAGGCTAGGTTGCAGGCTAGAATATCTACAAATTGGACTCTCCTTGTACCTGCTTGGACTTCCTCACAGCATGGCGGCAGAAGTTCAGTGGATGAAAATTCCAAGGAAGCTGTGTTCCCTTTATGACTTAACCTCAAAAGTTACATAGGATCACATATGCCCTTAGTCCCAAGCTGCCCCCCCGCCCTCCCCCTCTATCCCCCATCCAGATTCATCAGAGAGGAAGCCTTGATTCCAGCTGTACTTCAGAGGAATTCAGCAGGGAGGAAGCATTGATTCCAGCTGTACTTGGAAGACACATTATAAGAGGAGCATGTGGGATAAGAGATTGCAGTCGTGTTGGGAGCCACCATCTGTCTGTCACAGGCTAATTTGTAGAAAGTTGAAGCGTTACTGTCCTTTCCTTTAAAATAAGAGAGGAAAGAGGATTTATTATTTCTGAGACGTATGAAGTGATTCAATATGAGATATAATGACCAGATGTTCTTTAGTTTACAAAAGAGAGCATTCTTAAACTATATCTAAAGGGATTTTAGACAGACATTTAGAAGAACTTTCTGATATTGCCAACATGGCAGGGTGGTGCATACCCAAAGCCCCAGCTACTCAGGAGGCTGAGTCAGGAGGACTGCTTGAGCCCAGGAGTTTGAGGCTACAGTGTGTTATATGAATAGCCACTGTACTGCAGCCTGACAACATAGCAAGACTCTGTCTACAGTAGGTAAATAATTTTTCAAAAAGTTTATAGGCTTTTTTCTTGACTAGAGGACATTTGTATGATTTAAAAGAAAGTTTACCAGACCGGGCGTTAAAGCGAGACCCCATCTCTACCAAAAATAAAAGAAAAATTAACCCAGCTACTTGGGAGGCTGAGGTGGGAGAATTGCATGAGTCCAGGAGTTTGAGCTTGCAGTAAGCCATGATCATGCCACTGCACTCTAGCCTGGGCGACAGAGTCAGACTCCCATCTCTTAAAAAAAAACTAAAAATATTAAAAAAGGAAGTTTAATAATGGTTAAGTATACTGCCTCTGGATGGACCTGTTGCATTGGACAAGTGCTTTATTTCTGAGTCCCAAATTTCCTTTTTGTTGGATGGGGATAATAACACTTGAGTTGCTGCTGAGCATCAAATAGAAGATTTTTGTTATTCATGAAGCCAGAATGAATTAGATGATTTTAAAGAAGTCTTCTGGGATTGGATTCTCTGGTTATCACTAAGGAAGATTGAACGGCATTAGTTAATTTTTTAAAAATTTTTCTTTACATTCTAGAATTATCTTTTTTAATAAAGAAAAAGTATGGCCCCTCTCTATTGTTTCTTCTCATATACAGTGTGTAGAACTCTTGATTAAATGACGATGACATGTATTTTTTGGACTGTTTATTTTACCACAAGCGTTTCCAGGGAGTTAGCCCTGAAAGCCACTTATAAGTAATAATGAACACAGTTCTCCCTGAAAGCACTAGAATGATGCTGCTTCCCCAGATGATCCATTTTGTAGATTAAGGCAGCCTTTTGTAAAAAGATGCAGGGCTTTTTACATGGTGAGAGCATGGATGATAGAACAAGTCTCTCATCCAAGAGTCTATACATTTATTTTAGAGTATATAAATTATCTACTTTGCTTATCAAAGTGGTAGTTCCAAGATCTCATTCACTGAGATTTATAAAAGTATGGATGCATCTAGAAATCTGTTTGTAATTTTAAAGAGAGTTTTCAAGTGACTTTTGATAGATATAGTGGGGAACAGTACTTGAAGATCCCTTTGTCTGGTCCTAAGCACAGAGGGTCATGGAATCCTCTTTCCCATAAGGAATCCTGGTAACCTGAGAAGTGTGGAGATTACTGGCAAGACTGTCCATCAGTCTGCACGTACTGTTTGGGCTCACTCTTGCGTATTAAGAAATTTCTCAATAGCAGAAAGAGAAGAAAACCGTGCACTAAAGTAACTAATGTGTGTTTTGTGTACCACAAGTTACACACAAATGCCTCAGAAAAGGCATTTCAATTCTAAGGATAAAATGAAAGTAAAATATTTCAAGATACTATGATTAGTTTTTTTTTTCCTCATCACTCTTACAAGGTGATGCCTAAAAGGCAGAAAAATTGTAAAATTTGTGGAACATTCTATTGGAATATGTTAAGTACCTGCAAAATTTGGAGGTCTTGGCTGGGTGCAGTGGCTCATGCCTGTAATCCCAGCATTTTGGAAGGCCAAGGTGGAAGGGTCACATGAGGCCAGGAGTTGAAACCAGCCTGCCCAACATAGTGAGACCCCATTTCTACAAGAAATTAACAAAATTAGCTGGGTGAGGTGGCGGGCACCTGTAGTTCTAGCTACTCAGGAGGCTGAGGTGGGAAGAGTGCTTGAGCCAGGAGTTGTGGCTGCAGTGAGCTATGATGACACCACTGCACTCTAGGCTGGGTGACAGAGGGAGACTCTGTTTCAAAAAATAAAATAAAATTGGAGTTTCTTGAATACAAGAGTATTTGTTTTTCAGTTCTGTGAAGGCAGTTTGGTGTAGCACTGTCTGGATTGCCATCCAACTCCATCACTTAAACAAGTGTGACCTTGCGCCCCAATTTTTGTAAATGTTCGCTGTTGTTATTGTCACTTTGAATCACCTGCAGTGATAGGTATTTGACATACAGTTGGTGTTCAATAAATCTTGGTTAGTTATTTGGTATTATAATTCAGAGTAGATTATTTTAAATTCAAATAGAGGATGTTTAGAAGAACTATGAAAAAAGTTAGTCTTGAAGACAAGACCCACCTGTGCATTCAGGATTATTTATGGTCAGGTTTTTATGGTCCTTCTTTATCAATTGAAGGGTGTAACAGAAATGCAATGGGTGATGCAGCACTCTGTAGTCCATAAGGATACATTATGAATTATTTTCTAATTATTCACTGTTTAGAGTAACTGTGTTTCTACTTTGTTTGTTTACAGAATGATTATTATTACAATCCCTTAACATTTTAGCACTTGGTAGGTCTGATTCAATGGTTCTCAATGGATGGGAGTGGGGAAGGACAAAGATGATCTGATGTATCATTTGGCTTACCAACATTCCTGTCCCTGTTACATTCCTGTGGTTTCATGGTGGTTGAAGGTGAACCTGACAGTGCTGTTTTACAGAGAAGATTGAAGGGAAGGTGTTTTAAGTCAATAGAGTTAAAGCTCTTTATGTTTTGGAAAAAATTTGGGGGTTATTTTAAAAACTACTCAGAGGTGATAGAGTATTGTAATTATCATATGGAAAATAATCCAAGAAATATAGTATATAAAATTCACATTTCATTAACCTGGAAAATTGACTGATTGTTTGATGTATCTAAGTGTTGGACTTAGAAGTGGACAGTATTATATTCTCGACAAAGAGATTATATTTAGATTTCTCAGAGAAGTGTGTAATGATTAAACTCAATGTTGGAACCATTTGGTTAATTTAATTATAATTTAAAATAAAACCCCTTTTGAGAAAATTCCTGCATAAGACTTAAGTGTTATTTTTGACTAGTTCAGACTGTGGCTTAATATACAATAATTTTCTCAGAAAAATGAAGCTCTTGCGAAGAATGGTTGGGCATATTTCACCAAAATCAAGTATTTGTGTGTGTGTTTTTTTTTTTTGGAGTTTGAATATAATCCTGTAAGTAGATGCTTCAAAACCACTTGAATCACCATGGAAAGCAAATCTCTTTAGTTATTCTCCATCTAAGCAGCCTTTGCCGTACAGTTTAATTAAATCTAATCATCAGTAATAGTTCTCTTTTCCATAGGGATAAGTTGGTTCTTTGGGTTTTTCAAGATTTGGCCTGTTTCAAAGATAAATTCACATTTTACAGAGGTTTGCCCATGGTTATACACAAATGGAGTACACTGATGTTCTCAGAGGTGATGGAAAACTTGGTATAGCTAAATTCCCTGATGGAAAATTTCCAGATCCACAGGGAAAGGTGAGATATTTAGATACAGTTACCAGAGAAGACTATTTATAAGCTCTGTTTATGAAGTTCAAAGGAATAAACTTTTTTTTTCTTAGAAGTATGAGTAGAGCATTCAAATAGCAATAAAGAAAATTTCTAGGCCAGGCACGGTGGCTCACGCCTGTAATCTCAACACTTTGGGAGGCCGAGGTGGGCGGATCACCTGAGGTCAGGAGTTTGAGACCAGCTTGACCAACATGGAGAAACCCTGTCTCTACTAAAAATACAAAATTAGCCAGGTGTGGTGGTGTATGCCTGTAATCCCAGCTACTCGGGAGGCTGAGGCAGGAGAATCGCTTGAACCCAGGAGGCAGAGGTTGCAGTGAGCTGAGATCATGCCATTGCACTCCAGCCTGGGCAGCAAGAGCGAAACTCTGTCTCAGAAAAACAAAAACAAAAACAAAAAAAACTAGGATGATTTTAGTGTCCCTCTTCTGTAAGAACATAACCATTTAAAATGTTGGATTTCAAGTATTCCAATTTAAACATGATTTATAAATCTCAGTAACACTGCATAGGTTAGACCAATAACTTCTAGTAAAACTTCTGACAGTGTGTCTGTCTTAAATGAGTAATTATAGGTCAAGGGATTAAACAAAAGGAGGTAATTCCTGGTCCAGCTCCTCCTTGGTGAGGTGTTTTCCTCTTAGATCTGGTTGCTGTACATTCACACAGGCGATAACACAGCCCCATCCACTATCTAGCCCTGGCCTTCATATCCCAGCTTCTTGGTGTCTTGATAGGACTTCTCTGGAAGCGCGTACCTGTGTGCACGAACATCTGAAGGAAAGGTGTGCTCTGGGCGCTCTGTCCAGAGTTCACCCTTTCAGGTAGATGCCTCTGCAGTGGGTATGAAAATTGACTTTCTACCATTTTCTGTAATTTTTCGTATTTGTTTTTAATCTTGAAATAGGAACATTTATTAGTAAGTCAAATGAGCTATTCACTCAGAGCTGTGGAAACTGCAGAGTACCATCTGTGTAGTTTGTGATGTGCCATATCAACTCATATTTGAGCTTTTAGCAGGAAAAGTGACATAAAATTGCGAAGTATTATTATTAACACGGCTGATCCTACAGTGAATCAGGGTGAGGAAAGAATCTCTGTGGTACAGACTGCTTTTCCATATCGGTTGTATTAACCCTTCTGGAACGCGTGCAAGCATTTGGTAATTTTACCAATTGGTACCCACCAATTGATCATCTTGGTTATGTCAAGAAAGAAATGCCTCCATGTTCTGACTTGGATCAGATTCATTTTTACAAATTATAATTTTCATTCAAAATAGATATCTACTAGCTTCCCTCCCTGGTTCTTCTGGAATTCCTGAACAACAATGCCTAATAGCTGCTGTTTGTATCTAGATAAAACTGTTGGTGGACCTGGTGCAACAGATATTCAAACTTTCCCAACATGGAATATTAGTCTTTCCTGACTTTATCACATTGGGGCCAAGATTTCTTTGTTCTCTTTCTTCCTTGTGGAAACGACATTTTAAATGTAAGCCTTACACTATGCTAAACAACCCTTTATTCTAGCCAGTTTATTTATTATTGCCAGTTTCTTTATTGGGAAAAGTGATCTTCGAAGTCAAAAAGCCGTCTGCCTGCTTGTGTCAGGTGGGCCTCCTCCTGGCCTCGGGGCACTGACTTTTCTTAGAAGAAGCCTTTTTTAGCAGCTTCGGCCCTCAGCACTCTCCTCTCCTGATCCTAACTGGTGCTTATTTCCCAGACCATATGTTGGCTGTTAACCTTACGATAGCTTATTTTATATTCTGGCTTTTTCTGTATGTATTTAGGTTTTATGCTGCTAACAAAATGATAAACTCCTTCAGTGGCAGCAGCAGCCTGGGATAGTGGAAAGTGAAAAGAATTTGGATTTAGAGGATGATTTGGTATCAGTCTCGCTCCTCTATCCCTGAGTTGGAAGCACAGGCAAATTCTAAAACATATTCTTTAAAAGTAGTCTCATGTAATAATACCTGACTCACAGGATTTTGTGCATTTTATAATCTATATAGATTAAATGCTTTTTACCTATAAAATGCCATTACGGATATTATTTATTGTGGTTGTGAGCACATGGGTAAGCCACCCAGTACCTGGATCAGATTTTACATGAGAGCTTCAGAGGTTCTTGGGAAATGTCAAGTAAAATGTGTTATATTTTCAAAACCTATTAGCTTTGTTCCCTCTGCTGCATACTTCATTATCTCAGGTTTAGTCTTGTATTTCTGTTATCATCTCTATATAAGCTTGAATAACAAAAGAAATATTATTATTTTACATTTGGTAATTATATGGTGTCACTACAACAATCCCAATTCACCTGCTAGGCTGGAAAAGAAACATACTTTTCCATGATTAATATTAGTGCTTATGTAGCATTAGTATTATACCTTCGTAGGGTTCCCTGTAATAACTTTTATCACAGAGTCCTAATACATTTTTCATTGAGAGAGATTAGCACTACTGCCTTCACTTTAACAAACGAGCCATTTGAAACAATGGAAACTTGATATTTATAATCGAGTTAAGATTAGGATTTAGGATCCCATTGTGTATTAAATAGAAGTTACATTTTAATATTCTGTTGTTATTACGCTGTTTTTCTGTGCGGCTTCCTGAAATTCCTAAAAGTTAAAGTTTTTGGTATTGGCAAAATATCCCTTTACAAATGGTTACAAAAAATTACTATGGAAAAGTTTAATAATAATAATGTAATGAACGCCCATGAACCGGTCATCTATACCTTTATCTATTACTCCCCCATCTGTTTTGAGGCAAGTCCCAGATACATCTTTTCATCCTATAGGCATTTTTTTTTTTTTTTGAGACAGTGTCTTGCTCAGTTGCCCAGGGTGGAGTGCAGTTGTGCCATCTCCACTCACTGCAACTCAACCTCCTGGACTCAGGTGATCCTCCTACCTCATCCCAAGTAGTCGGGACCACAGGCGGGCACCACCACACCTGGTTAATTTTTTATATTTTTTGTAGAGGTGGGTTTTTGCCATGTTGCCCAAGCTGATCTTGAACTCCTGAACTCAAGTCATCTGCCTAACTTGGCCTCCGAAAGTGCTGGGATTACAGACGGGAGCCACGGCCACAGGCCTTTTTTTTTCTTTTTTAAAGAAGAAAATTTCGTGTGGTATATATGAATTAACAAATGCTCACTCGAACAAAATTTTGGGCTGTATAGTCCTTGAAAATTTTTGTTCCGTGGTAGCGTAATAATAGTGCAATTAGGCTTGGAGAATGAGGGCTGTACAGAATGAATACCAGTAACAGGCATATAGTCTAGGGGAGAGAAACATTAATAAACACACACAGTTCTAAGCTCTGTGACAGCAGAAATCTTTTTTGCCTTGCACAGTGTCTGAAACAACGTAAATGCTAAGCAGTTTGTTGAGTGAATGAAAAAAATTAGTAGAAAGTGGAATTCTTGGGAACATGAGTCTTGTTATTTGTGTTCAGTGTCATTTGGGATTTAAAGTATGTGTGTGTGTGAGTGAGTGAGTGTGGCACTGTGCGAGTGAGGAGTATGAATTAAGAATTTGCCTTGACAGAGAATTTAGGTTTGCCCTAAAACTGAGTTCTGAAACCTAGTAGGATCTCATCTTACAAAAGTATTATGAAGTGCATAGGTAAATGGAAAGTAATTCATGCAGCTCTACTAAATGAAACAGAATGAAATGTAATTTTAGAACTTGTACATATAATTAATTATTCATTCTTTAGGCTGAAGTTGACTTATGGCATTACTGATATTTATTTTCTTTCTTTCCTTTTACATTAAGAACCTGCTTGACACTTGTTTCCTGTCTTATTTATAGAAGGCTTAAGCTGTATGTTAATTACTCATGTTTGCATATTCAGAGCACTTAGAACTAATCCGACTGCCTTTTTTTTGAGCCTCATTAAGTTATTTATAAAGTTCATACTCATTGACACCTTTATATCCTTCAGTGGGAAATTTAATGTGAGAAAACAGCATTTCAGTTTATAATCAGCCATGCGTCATTTTTGTATGAGTTTTAGTTGATGCAAACTGGTAGTTAAAGCATGATACAGAAACGATAGAATCAGAAGTTTAGTTGCTCTAAATTTTATGTATAGGATAAGGACAAGACTCTGTTTTTGCTACTAATATATATTTTTTAAATTTTTAAAAAAATCTCAATCCTGCTTCTTCTATAGCTACTTATCTTAATATGTAATATATTAAAATTTTGAATGGGCAAAAAGATGACTTTTTTCTCTTCGGGTGTGCTTTGTATAAGCAGTAAATGCAGTTCATTTTTCCCAGATACTGTCTTTGATAAAATAAAATGGTGGCAGAAAGAGATAAAATGTCAGTGACAACATGAACTGCTGATATGTGGAAGACAGGCAGTCCGATGCCTCCATCACACAGCAGTGCATTTGTCTGGACCAATTCGTGGAAAAGGCAGAAGTCTGCTAGGGAACTGAAAAGATTGTATGAAACCACATGATATTAAATCTTTATTAGGGATCTTGAAAGGTTTGATTCTCCCCGTCATGTGCTATGTATGTTTAACAAATATTTCTAAAACATAGGGTTTGTCCCGTCCTTATCAAAATAAATGAATTGAAGTGGAAGGACAATAGAAGCTTTCCTAGATTGGAGGGTGGGTATAATGCTTTGAGTTTACCCAAATCTTTTAGAAACCAGAAAATCATTGTAAGTATTTTTGATAATTTAGGCTTACATGGTGTTAAATTTTAGCTAAAATAAGGAAAAATTACCATATAATATTTATTTTGTAAAATGCTACTTAAAACATTAAGAGATTTATCTTGGGATAGACTTCTTCCCACATTTTCTACCCTTATCCTTTAACTGCTTGTCTTCAGGAGAGGAAGGCATCAAGCATAGAGATTAAGGGTATGGCTGAGGAGCCAGGCTGCCTGGGTTTGAAACCCAGCCATGCCCCTTAGGAGCTATGTGGAAATCATCATCATGGTGTCTGCGATTTGGTTCTGTTGCTGTGAGGATTAAATGAGGCACTGACAACAGTGCCTGGTACATAGTTAAAGTTGTATATGTGTTCACAATTACTAGTCAGCATCATCAGGCTGCTTTTAGCAGAGTTGATTGAATAACATTTCTTCATTTTATGTTTTTTTTTTTTTTTTTTTTAGCATAGCCTACAAGTGCAGGGACTTTGGAACTCGAATAACTTGCATTCTCATTTGCTGTTATTTTACAAATTATTGGCCTTGGGAAAGCTTTTCAAATACATTGAGCTTCAGTTTTCTCATTTTTGAATTAATACACCATAAGATTGTGGTAAGAAATCAATGAAACTATATTTGGAGTTGCTAGACCCGTTCGAAAATCTACCAAAGCTACAAACCATCTCCCTTGAAGAAATGGACCCCTTCCCTGCATTTTGCATACTTCAGCCATCTGTGAAGAAACATGTGGGGATCTCCTACTTTATAATGGCGTTGGGTTAGGTGTTCCTTCCCATTTCTACCTATGACTCTACTTCCCTCAATTTAGAGCCAAGCATCTGTCAGATTTTCAACATTCAAAAATATTTTTTGTAGTATATAAAAGATTTAAAATAATATTTTCTTTTTTATTTTAAAATTATTTTTATGGCGATGGGGTCTCACTATGTTGCCAGGCTGGTCTCAGACTCCTGGCTTCATGCAGTCCTCCCACCTGGGGCCTCCCAAAGAATTCTAGGTGTGAGCCACTGCTCCAGGTCAGTTTGTGGCTATTTTATTCAAGGTGGTTTATATGCTGTGTAAGCGGTATCTCTTAAGCCTATGTTACTGACCTTAATCTTCCAGGAAATAAGTAACTGGAGGGAATTGGTCCATTTTACTTGCAGTCTCATGGTTCCAACTTGGGTGAAATTTTCTGCTTCCTTCTCAAACCCAAACTGATTTTGGCACTGATAATTAGGCCAGTATCAGTCTATGGAAATCAGAGTCAGAGTTATCATTGTTAAAGACTGGAGTACTGACTATCAGACTTGTCATTTCCTTGGGAAACAAAAATAATTAAAATCCTGTGCTTTTTTGCCCATTTAATTTAGATTTATAAGCTCCAGTGGTAGCAGCTGTCTTATTTTAGATTTTGTGCAAGAACTGTCACATTTTTGGTGCTCAATTAATGTGTTTTTACTTTTTATCTAAATTAATGATTCTGCCCATGAACTAATTTACATATTTCCATTTTCAGTACTATGGAAATGGGAAACATTCTTTTTAATTCAATGCCTGGAATTCTAGACTAAAAATTCCAGATCATCAGGCAGTAGCATAAAAGACAGTTTGATTTGAAAAATGTGATTTCAAATCACAGTTTGATGTGATAAAGGATTTTTTTTAAAGCTGTTCAACCTATTTTGCTTAGAAAGATGGCTCAGAATTGCCAAACTGATTAAAGATAGAATGTTAAATGATTTAATCCTTTGTAACATACTTTGGATACTAAAAAATGTAATGTACTAAATACTAAATTTTTATTTATTAAATTTATAAGGTACTATTCCTTTTCTAATTATTTTGAGGAAATATAAATGTGTTAGAATTGTTAAGAGTTTTTTTTTTCTTGTCAAGTTGACACGGAGATTTCTAATGGATAGGAAATATAAGTTTTTAAAAAAAGTTTCCATGTAATCAGGATTTTAGGAGTATATATGATCCATGATATAAGAATTAGTAGAGATATTTCATTCATTTTTTTCATTTTGGTTTTTGACTCATTAAGGGAGCTTTGATTAATAGGTCCTACAAATAAATACATAAAGCACTTTTGTTTTCCTGTGTTGATCATAGTCTTAGTGTATAGAAAAAAAAAAACACAACGTATAAGCACATTTACTACAGAAAAAGCCATCATCGTCATCTGTGGAAAATCAATATATATTTTTCAAAATTTAGATTGATGATCATGTGTTAGCAGTGTTAGCTAAAGCTTGGGGGCTGCTCCAGGGGTCAAGTACAGGCCAGCGGAGCTCTGGCATCATCAGTGACTATGAGATTGACTTTCTCAGGCAGCTTACCTAGCGCCGGCCCTGAGCGCCCTGGCTGAAGATGAAAGATACACCTGAGTAAGATTTTGACAGGAAATAGTAATAAATAAGTGTTGTGTTGGTCTGTATCTATAACACTGCTACCTTTGGCTAAGCCCAGTAGATTTTGCCTGTCTATGAAAATTGAATTTTGTTGGTCTATTTTTATGGAAATTTTAGAATAAAGTAAACCATTCAACCATAGATCTTTAAAATAATGTTGCATTTGCACTTATTTATCTAACAGAATTCTAAGATGTTAAATCTATTCACACCCTGGTCTCTTGATTCTGTAATAGAATTTTTCAAACTGAAGGTCACAATCAACTAGTGTGTCCTGAATCACTTTAGTGGATTATAACCAGCTTAAAAACAAAACAAAACTAGAGAATATAATAGAAAAATCCAGACTGTATTGCACAGAGTTTAGGCAAGTATGAAGGTAGGTGCATACACACGTTTGTGTGTGTGTGTGTGTGTGTGCGTGTGTGTGTACTGGGCCACTGTGTAAAATGTATTTTTTACTATGGTTGCACTCAAGAAAGTTAGATATGATAATATCAGTTACTCTCCCCGAAGGAGACTGACTAATGACCTATTCAAATTTTGAGGACACTTATTCCTAAAATAGGAAGTGATAATGTGCCTTCTGGTGAGTATTGTAAAATTGCCACTGCATTTTGTATTTGGAAATACTTATCCTCCTCCTGCCCTGTTTCTACTTTTATGTATGTCTTCTTTACTACTGGTGTATTACGGAATAACGACTCTCAGACAGTGTTCCTATGGACTGAGGTATTTTACTACTAAAGTTGAATGGAAGAGTATTTTTCCAAATCTTAGAAAATAATAATGAATAAAATTATAGTTCTTCTCTCATAAGTTTTCCATAAGTCTTCGGTGACTCTTATTGTCAGGGGATAAAATTAAAGTGAAAAGAGCAAATGGGTATTAGTAGGAAAAGTCATGCTTAATTCAGCAGTGCTATCTTTTTCATAAACATAAAAAATTGTATGCTTCATGTATATAATATGGTCTTATTTTCTGCTATTAAAAGGTTTCTTGTTCATAGGGTGGAATTAGAGATATTGACATTTCATGCTGTTCGGTAAGGTAGTCTGATATTTGAGCAAGTCTGAAAATGACCCTGGTTGTGGAACTCTAACCAGGTTCACCTCGATTTTCTGATCAGCAATTGAAGTTAGAATCAGTATCACAAATGTGGACTGAGCACCAGTAGCAACATTACAGTGACCTGAGATGTGTATATTTAACAATTTTATTACAAATGTGTTGAAATACAGCCTTTTTCTTTTAAGTCTCATTATTTTTGCCCTCAATTTTAATTTCTATCTATGTTTAGGGGTTACTGAAATAGCATATTCTGTTTCCTTCTGATTCCCAAGGACACATGATGAATCCTTTTTGAGTTTCCTGAAACAGCCATCTCACCTGATGCCACTGCAAATTTCTAGCCAAGCAAAGGCTTTTCTTCATCTTAGAATTCAAGTGACAGACAGTTGGCATTTTTGGCATACGGAGTTGGGTAGCCTTCCTCTGGGATGATCTTTTCATTATTGCATCAGTTTAACTAATAGCACACAAACACGCATATGCACAAGTACTTTATTTTTATTGATGAATATTTAGCTTTTCTTAAATACCTGAAATACGGTCATTATAATAAAACAACCAAACATTAATAGATGTATATAAAATAAAAAGTGAGTCTTCATTCTTCTTGGAATAATCACTCTCCCCCGATGAGAGTTAATAGTTTGCAGTTTATTGATATCTTTTTTTTTCATTTACCAGGATGATATGCGATGTTAAAAATGCAGACGTAGGGTGACTGAACTTTTTTTCTACTTAAGTTATTCTGTAGATTTATTATATATAATTGTTTTCCTTATGAAATTGTTTATTAAGGAAACATTGGAAAATATAGATAAGTAAAAAGGAAAACTTAATTTTCTGTAATCTCATCTTTTAGAAAGACTTTTTTTTAACGTATCGGCATATATGCTTTCACTTTTCTTTCTTTTTTTTTTTTTTTAAAGAGACAGCATCTTTCTCTGTCTAGAGTGCAGTAGCATGATCATAGCTCACTGCAGCCTTAACCTCCTGTGCTCAAGCGATCTTCCCACCTCAGCCTCCCGAATAGCTGGGAGTATAGGTGCACACCATTGCCCCAGCTAATTTTTAAATTTTTCGTAGAGATGGGGTCTGGATTTGTTTCCCAGGCTGCTCTTGAACTTAAGGGCTCAAGTGATCCTCCTGCCTTGGCCTCCCAAGTTGTTGGGATAACAGGTGTGAGCCACAGCACCTGGCCTCACTTTCTTTTATGTGTGTCCATTTCTTTTTTCTTTTTTTTTTTTTTTGAGACAGAGTCTAGCTTTGTTGCCCAGGCTGGAATGCTGTGGCGTGATCTTAGCTCATTGTAACCTCTGCCACCTGGCTTCAAGCAATTCTCCTGTCTCAGCCTCCCTAGTAGCTGAGATTACAGGCATGTGCCACCATGCCTGGCTAATTTATGTATTTTTAGTAGAGACAGGATTTCACCATGTTGGCCAGGCTGGTCTCGAACTCCTGAACTCAGGTGATCCGCCCACCTCAGCCTTCTAAAGTGGTGGGATTATAGGCGTGAGCCACCACACCCGACCAGTGCATGTCCCTTTCAATATAGGCTTGATTTAATGAAAATGGGATTTTATTTATATATTTTTAAATTCATGCTATTTTGACAAGGGGATTATATTTTCAGTGTTGTTTTCCATACTACTTTTTTCCCCCATTCAGCAGTGAGTGAAAAATTATAGAAATTGACAGGCTGGAACTAAAATTCATATGGAAGTGCAAAGACTTAGGATACCCAGAATTTGTTTTGAAAATGAAGAATAAGGTTGGAACTTTTACACTCTCTAATTTCAAGATTTATTATAAAATCTTCAAGAATGAAAGTATTGTGGTCTTACCATAATAATAAACATATAGATCAATGGAGCAGAATATAGCCCTCAAATAGACCCACGTTATACGGTCAATTGTTTTTTAGTCAACAAATGATGTTAAAACAACTGGATATTGGTATGGGAAAAAATGAACCTTGTCTACTTGACCTTTCCCTCATAAAATACATAAAAACTAATTTGAAGTGGCTCATAGGCCTAAATAGAAAAGCTAAAACTATGAAAGTTTTAAAAGTAAACTTAGCACAAGATAATATCAACTTTGGTTAGGCAAGGATTTCTTAGAACACAAAAAAGTACTAAGTGTAAAAGAAAAAATGATAAATTAGATTTTATAAAAAATAAAGCTGTCTGCTGTTCTAAAGAAGCTGTTAAGAAAATGAAAAGGTAAGCCACATATTGGGAGAAAATATTTGTAACACAAAAGTCTTTTATCTAGAATATGTAAAGAACTCTTATAACTTAAATCAACCCGATTTTTAAAATGTTCAAAAGACTTGGACAGATGCTTCACAAAAAATTGAAAGTACAGGAAAAGATATTCAACACCATAAACCATCAGGGAAATGCAAATTAAAACCACAATAAGATGGAGTAGCTAAACTTTAAGAAAAATGTGAGAATACCAAGTGCAGGGGAGACTATGAAGCAAATTAGATCTCATTCTTTGCTGGTTGAGGTGTTCTTTGGAAAACAGGTTCGCAGTTTTTTAGAAAGTGTCTTGTAAAGTTTAAAGTATACATACCATATTCCTAAGCATTAATCTTATAGGAATGTAAGCACATGTCCACAAAGACTTTTTACATGAATGTTCCTAGTAGCTTTATTGATAATATTCTCAAACTGGATAAAACCTCAAATGTCCATGGGTAGAGTAAATGGTTGAATACAGTGTATTATTCATACAATGGGATACTATTTAGCAATAAAAAAGAACAAACTAGTGATAAACTAACACCATATGGATGAGTCTCAAAAATATTATGCTAAATAAAGAAGCCAGACATATATTGTATATTTCCTTTCATATGAATCTTAAGAACAGGGACAAAGTAAGCTGTAGTGGTAGAAATCAGGCAAATGGTTGCTTGGGATGTGGTGGGGAATTAACTGTAAAGGGTGATGAGGGCACTTTTTGGAATGGTAGAAATGTTCATCATATTGTGGTAATAGTATGCATTTGTTACCTGTGTGTTAAAACATACCAGACTTACACATTTATACACATCAGTATATTTCATGAAAAATAAGTTTTGGTATAGCTATGCTTTATTTAAATGATGGAAGGGTGCCTTTGAGAAGTGTATGAATTCTGCTGTTCCCCTACTTCCTAGCCACACAATATGACCTAGGCTGAATCATAAAATAATTTAAAATGAGCATTTGTGGCAATTCTCTGAAAAGAGTAGGATTTTGGGTTGGTGGGGTTGGTTTGTACTTGTTAATTGCTTCTTTGGAAGCTGGCTATGCGTGCTCAGTTTGCATAACCCCCAACTAATCTCAGCACTTCTGAACATGTTAAAGCATTAAATTCTAATTTCTGTACTAAGAGTTATATTCCTTTTCCCTCTTCTCCAGTAACTAAGAGAGCTTTAGTAGTGATTTTTGTATGAGTGGATGACCTTTGAGCTTTTTTAGAATTTTAGAACAGAATCTGGTTTCCAGAAATAATGTTTTAAAACCTGCTTGGAATTTTTGGTTTTTGTCTGTAGGGTTTCAAAATAAATGTATTTTATGTCTGGGCTTTTTGTGTTTTATTCTGGGTTTCTTTCTTCATTAACTCGGTATCCAGCTCACTAACTTTTCCACTTTTCCTTGCCCAAATCCATGTATGGTTAATATGATTTTTAGCCTAATAACATTTTTTCCCTAATACTTTAGAGGTAAAAAAATTATAAAGATACACAGTGTAGATTTGTGAATATTTGTTAGTTTTTAAACTAATGAGTTTTACTTATTAGACATCAGATGAACGTACTTTGTTATATTATCTAATAATGCACTTTTAAAAACTTACAGTTTTTAAAATAGCTCTCTTAAGAGATCCCTGTGATGCAGGCTAGAAGTGATAAGAAATTTTCTTAGAGTTTTGAGGAAACTGTTGCTGTAAGTGTATTTTAAAAGCTGCAGTAGTGTTCTTATGTCCTCTTGGGACTGAACTGTTTGCCCACGTGTAGTACATTTGTGTTTATGTGGTTAAACAACAACAACAACAACAGAACTGTAGATTCATGTTCATAAGATCAAAGTTTTCATTGCTAGCCAATAGTAAAATATCCTGTATCAGAATATTAGGAATATCTATAAATCACTTAAAACTTTTTAGTATCTTTGTAAGTGAAATTGCTTGTCCTTTTTTTCCATAAAATCAGGCTATATATATGTTAAATAAGAAATCTTAAAAATTTGATGTCTCTGTGTTAAGTATAAGAATTCTAGATTATTCTGTGCTATTCTTACCTTTATTTTATTTTATTTTGTATTTTTTTATTGTGGTAGAAAAAGACATTTCAGAATTTACTATCTTAACCATTTTCAGGTGTACGTTTACATTGTTGTGGTTACCTTTATTTTTATTTATTTATTTATTTATTTGAGACTGAGTCTCACTCTGTCACCCAGGCTGGAGTGCAGTGGTGCAATCTCAGCTCACTGCAAGCTCCACCTCCTGGGTTTATGCCATTCTCCTGCCTCAGCCTCCCGAGTAGCTGGGACTATAGGCGCCTGCCACCACGCCCGGCTGATTTTTTTGTATTTTTAGTAGAGACGGGGGTTTCACTGTGTTAGCCAGGATGGTCTTGATCTCCTGACCTCGTGATCCGCCCGACTCGGCCTCCCAAAGTGCTGGGATTACAGGCGTGAGCCACCGTGCCCGGCCGGTTACCTTTATTTTTTAAGGTGGCTTAATTTAAACACACGTATCATTATTGCCCAGCACAACAAAGGATATGTGGGTTTACTTAGAGTTTTCTTTAATTTAATATCACTAGTCTAGAATTCTAAGAAGTTGATTCACACACCATTTATTCCTGGTAAATATTCTCTAATTGTTTGACTAGTAACCTGCATATTCTTTCTATCATTCTTCTAATTGTGGCCTCTATTCCTTAGGATATTCCCTTCCTTCTCTTTTTTTTCCTTTTCTCACCTGTTCACAAAAGTATTTTTTTTTTGAAATAAGGAATAAATAACGTACGTGGAGGAAACAGATGTGTTCATCTTAAATTCATTATTTTTCTTACATAGGTTTAGATTTTTTTTTCCAGAAGAGTTGATCTTATGGCATATGAAGTATTCTTAGAACATATCCAGGTGAAGCAGTCATGGCTGAGACACAGTCATAGTTAAATGATGGCATTAGGAAGAACGTGGAATAAATAAATAAGACCCAGTGTGCTGATTTTCCTACTGCCTGAGTCCTTTTAGCTGCCACAAACCCATGATGGAAAGGAAATAAATATGTCAAGAAAAAGTAAGTTTTTTTGACATAGGATTTGTATTTATGGAAGTACAGTAAAAGTTTTTATTTCATGATTGTTACTATTTAAAATATACTTTTCTCATATAGGTGGGAAATAATTTCTAGAGAGCTCCATGAAAGGAAGCCTGACATTTTTTGGACATAATATTCTTCATTTGTGTGTTTTCTCTTAATTGCTCTCGCCTTTTCTTTGCGTGTTTTTAAATATTTAGTTTAAAGGCTGGGCACGGTGGTTCACAGCTGTAATCCCAGCTCTTTGGGTGACTGAGGCAGGTGGATTGCTTGAGCCCAGGAGTTTGAGACCAGCTGGGCAAGATGGCGAGACCTTGCCCATACAAAAAAATAAAAAAGTAGCCCTTTGTGGTGGCACACCCCTGTGGTCTCAGCTCCTCTGGAGGCTAAGGTTGGAGGATTGCATGAGCCTAGAAGGTTAAGGCTGCACCACTGCACTCCAGCCTGGGCGACAGAATGAAACCCTGTCTCAAAAAATAAAATACTCAGTTTATAATCCTGAAAAAAAAAAAAGATTAATGAGGCACTATTCTGCCTTTAGTACTTTGTAGCTTCTTGTCTTACTCCTTAGGCAAGCACAGAAGGTATAATGTGCCTGGGACAGAAAAATCTACTATGTGCCCAGAGCTTGACTCAGGTTGTCTTGTGAAAACCTGACAGTATTACTAGGAAGTAGGTAATAGCATCCCCTGTCAGCCCCCCAAAACACATACATTGACTGTTTGGATTGCTTGGTGATATCTCAAATTAATCATTGGCAGAAGTAGGATCTAAATCGAAGGATGATGATAAAGATTGTGTGCCTTCTGCTCTATCTTTAAAGCTGCCTCATGCTGCCAGGGAGCAAGACACAGTGAAACTCATTGTGGATAATTGGGTCCATGCCTCACTAATCAGAAAACTGAGTTGCAATATATTACATTTCTCTGTTCTATTATGATGGGAGTAATTTCATTATAAGTGAGTTTTTATAGCACCATCTAAAAAGAATATACACTTTAAGAAAATCTAAAATCCAAACTTAGAAAGCCAGATTAATCAGGGATATTTATTCACTTTACATTGGTGTCTCTCAATTTTATAAAAGAACCAATTGTACTACAGCCTTCCTTAAATGGACATCTTCCAAATGTTTCGTATGTTTAAACTATTTGAGTTACCAAAATTGAATTTGTGTGGAATTTTTTAGACTACGTCAGTGTGTAAAATGAACTGAGTTTCAAGTGAAGTCTATTCATTTTGATAATGGATAGAAAATCACATAGCATTTAAAATGTTGCTCAAGTTTATTATTTTAGGCATACTGTTAACTCTAAAGAAATGGGTAAATGTATAATGAAGTAGTTAATGGGACAGAAATGGAATTATCCCTTTTTTTTCCTTTTTTTTGAGACTTTACTGTTATTTTTGGAAAACATTTAATAACTCTTAATATTTTAGTAGCCATTATATCAGAGATGCTACTTTTGTTTTTGTAGAATAGATTTACAGAGTACATAAGCAGCCAGACTTTCCCACAGGGAGTGACAGAATAAGTTGTGCAGTTTTGGGAGGGGTTACATTGACCAATAAATGATTTCTGTCAGTACCCAAAGGGCACCCTTACGGCCCAACAGAATTAATGAAACTGTGCAGCAGCATTAATTTCCTTTTGAAAGGCTTAGGACCAATAATACTGTCCTTATTTTCTAAATTAAAGTGAATTTTTATATAAATACAGTTTGTTATGTGACACTTAAGAAATACAGTGAAAGGTTTTAATAAACAGTCTAAACTATACTTAAGCTGTTTTATAAGAAAAATAAAGTGAAGAGTTGGTGAATTTCATTGATATAGATAACGAGTTACTTTGGTCTCAGTAGCAGATTTTGACTTGAAAAACTAAATAATGGCTGTATTTCTCTGCCTCATTTAATTGTGCACCATTTTGCTTTTTTGGTCTTTTATCTATAATCCATCCATTACTCCCCTTTGAGATTAAGTTTTCTAAAACTCTGCTTTCATTCCTCCCTCAACTTTTCCATGTCTTATAAATTGCCTCTTGGTTAAAGTCCCAGCCTAGTGTATTTTACAGCCCCATCTCCAAGTATTTCCCTATGCGGCCTTGCACTTCAGCCAGATGTCTCTAGCCAGCACTTGTGACACTCTCTTTGTCTTTCTTTCTGTCCACGTCCTATATATGCTTTACAGCATAGAAGAATAAGCCACATTTAACTTTCCAGACCAAGCCAGCACACTTGTATGTCAGGTTTTGAAATTGTTGCAGCTTTGAGTATAAAAGCTGTTATACTTTGCATTGTCTTCTAAGATTTCTAAACTCTTAAGTTATTTCTCTCATTTCCTAGTCTTCATTTGGAAATTTACTGAGAGCAGAGGCCTGCATCTTATACTTCTGAGTCTATGTTGAATTCATTCCTACAGTGTCTACTTCTATGTAACAGTATTTTACACATATTGAAACCCTAAAAAAGACACAGAATTAAGTCATAGAATTTTAGGGCTAGAAATAATTTGTAAAAGGTTGTCATTTATAGTTGAGAATACTGAGTCATAGAAATGTTGATTTTGATTAATAGTATCTTGAAATCATGGTATGGCTTGGAGAAGTGTTATCTGTTATTTTTATTTTAGTAGGGTCTTTGTGGTGGTTTTCACTTTGATTCTTTCTGAAGAAATAGCTTTAAAAATCCTTAGCACTTGGATATGTAATTATTTTACTAAGATAATTTTCAAACACTTTGAATAGTTCTACTTAATACACGGAAACTGATGATCAAACATTTAAATTGAAACTGTTTGGACCTGTGAACTGGTTTTTACTAAAAGCTGGAGTACTGTGATTATTGGTCCCTCTGTGCAGTAACTCCAAAATCTATGTTATACTCTCAGCAGTCCTATTTATATATGTTATTGGTGTAACTATTACTCTGTTGGTAGTCTTTTCACTGTATCTGGAAATGCAGTCCACCTCCTGAGGAAAAAAGGAAAAAAATAGTAGTACTTAATACTATTATTCCCACAGAGCTTCAGAAATTGGCACAAAAGTTTTCATGTTAATCTCACAAATGCTGTTATTTTGAATTTATTTAATTTCAAAACAGTATTCAGTGTCTTTTCATGAAATGCAAACTTAAACAAGGTCAGCATTATAGAAGGAAATGAGAACAGTCTTAGGAGTTTGTATTAAAGGAGATAGCTATGGTTGAAAGGAAAATCTGGGCTACTAGTAACTTGTGTTTATTTCTAAAACAATAATTTTTCCTCCCCCAAGGCCTGGTAGGGTGTTTTGAAGGTTGTATGTAAAGTCAGACATGATCGGGTTGCTATTATTGTCCTTTAGGAGAACTGTAGAAGATTTCTGCTGTGCAGTGTCAGGAACAGGTTGCTGTGGATGATGAGAGTATCCTCATTGGCCACTATTATTCTGTATGAATCTTCTGCTTTTATGAACCTTTAGCACATCTAGGGGTAAAAGGCGTGTTTTATTTCAGAGCTACGAGGTCAGAGTTTGGATGATATGCTGCCAAAGTGTGTGAATTGTGGCTACTGGAGTTCTGAGATCCCATCTTTGCCTAAAATCAGAATTCTAGAACAGTAAGCATTCAATAAGCACTCCAAGCTTCCAAGTAACCTTTTTTTTTTTTTTTTAAAGCCAATGGCTGCTTAATTTTATACAATGGTTTTCTTGCTTGTTTTCTGAATGTTGTAGATAAATAACTTATGCCGGCAATGGATATATAATTCTCAATCAGATTCTTAGGGAAAAAGCCAAAGTAGTAAAGAAAACCTTTTATATCAAAAAATATAATTTGTAAATTTGAGGTTTAGATTTAAAAAATAACATTAATATATACATATTAAATATATATATATATGAACTCTTCTCCCCCCGAAAGCCCCTGAGTATTAAATATTTTGGTCTTACCAAGTCGTGACTAAGGCATATTAAAGCCAGTTCACATGGAAACATTTAATAACCTTTATATTACTATTTCCTAGATTTATAATTTGTATTAGATACTGTACAGAGCCTGCTAGAGAAGCTTTGTGAACCTGTGCTCTGTGTATTTCCCCCCTCTTTTAACAGTTGAGAACATACTTTCATCAGTCTGTGTCCTTTTCTCAAATCCACATACTTCACTTTTGGGATGCTATTTTTCCCCCTAGAATGTGGTCACAAGAGCCTTGTGGTCATAGGAGGGCTCTCGTGGGATCTTTGGAATTGGCCTAGATTCAGGCTTGGGTGCCCGAAATTGGTCTTGTGGCTTTTGAGGCCAGGCAGTGAATGAACAGTGTTTAATGCTGGTAAGAGAAGCACATGCTCATGGCTTTGTTAGCTTTTGTTTAAAGCTCTTTTCCCTGAGTTGCATGAGGTGCAGATTTAATAATTATGTTCATCTCTTGCTTATTTCATTATTTTCCCTCACTGTCTCTTCCTTCTGTCATTAAAATGAAGGTGTTTGTTGGGCTGGTGATTGTTAAGGGCCTGGCTCTCTTGCACCTGTGGTTTTGCTGGGTGATAATCTTCTTTCTCCGTTTTAAAATTTATCCTCTTCTTTCATTGTCATATTTACTCATTTCTTTCTCTTTTTTCTCCCTTTTCATTGTGAAGGAGAACTTAGAGCAGTGTTTTCTGTTCTTCTGCCACCGGCAATGGCTTTTATAGGCAGAAAGAACATTGGTGTCTCTAGTGTGGAACACTTATAAGGCATTTTAAAAACATTTACGTCTGTAATTGGAAAAGGGCACCATAGGAAAATATGAGCTTTAATCATTAACTTTCTAGAAGTTTATAAGATGGGAGTATTTTCTCCTGAAAGAATACCTATGGTCTATTTGAAGCTTAGGCTGAAAAAGAGTAGGATGCTGTATAATTTGGTTCAGAATTAGATGATTTAGAGACTACATAGATAATCAGAGAAGGAAGAAAAATTTGGCTATATGTAGATTCCTTGTTTTTAACTAGAATAGGACTTCTTTCTCTGGGCATATTATTTATGGTTGTCATACCTGTTTTTTTTGTTTGTTTGTTTGGATTTTTTTTGTTTGTTTGTTTTTTGAGACGGAGTCTCGCTCTGTCGCCTAGGCTGGAGTGCAGTGGTGCGATCGTGGCTCACTGCAGCCTCGACCTCGCAGGCTCAATCTGTTTTCCCACCTCAGCCTCCCTCGTAGCTGAGACTACAGGTGTGCTACCATGCCCAACTAATTTTTGTATTTTTTTGTAGAGATGGGGTTTCGTCATTTTGCCCAGGCTGGTCTCAAACACCTGAATTCAAGTGATGCACCCTCCTTGGCCTCCCAAAATATTGGGATTACACACATGAGCTACTGAGCCCAGACACATATGTTCTAAAGAGTTGGCACTTCATAAGAATTCATTGGATTGAAGTGAATATATTTTTTCCAAATTTCTTAACCACATCACTCGGCCATTGTAATAAGACCCTCCTAGACTTGCAGAAACACTTGGAACCACATCAGAGTAGATGAACAGAAATGGTAATCTCTACCACAGAATCTCTATGCTGATGTGCACAGACTGGGGGAAAAAAAAAAAAAAACAAACCTTTTTACTTTATAGAACTGGTCTGGTAGTTATTGAATATATTACTTTGCTCCTGAAATTTGCTAGTTTTTTTTTTTTTTTTTAAGTATTGGGAGATGGAATAATGTAGTGGTCAAGAGAGACTGTGTCAGATGCATTTGGTTTTGAGTCTTATCTCTTCCATTTATGCCCTGTGACCATAATCATCTGTGGGATTAGCATGCTAGCTTAAGAATTCTCATGTTCATCTTTCATAGCTCAGAGTACACTAAACTAATAGCAGTTATTAGCATTTTTACACTTCACCATTAATAGACTTCATTACGCATCATCTGATTTAGTTCTGCAAGGTTCCTCGACGCTGTTTCTTGCTGTTTTCAGTTTGCCACATTTTGTCTTCAAAAACATTGCATTTTTCTGAAAAAGTCAGAGCTGGTGTTACCATCAAATTAAACAGTTGACTAAACATTTTTCCCAAGTAATTTTTTTAATGCTTTTTGCATACACCTTTTCTTCCTTTTCTCCACTTTCCACATACTGTATTTGAAGAATGAGTTTTGTGGCTTTGCTTTCAGATATGACATTTCCTTTTTTTTTTCAGTCCTAAATGTAAAACTCAAAAGTTTTAAGCCATAGCCCCTTTATTTGGTGTTGGGATTAACAGCTAAGGTAATGCTTCCTCTCCATATTCTTCCTGGTTGTAGAGACGTTAGTCACATCTGCTTTCAGTTCTTGTCTTTCTAACTGGAGACTGTGTCCCATAACGCAGCAGTCTTTCTCTTCAGCATTTTTTTTTTCCATTCTTTGAGTCTTTATTTGTGGGTTTTTTTTTTCATTGTTGTATCCCACCTGTACTGCATATAGCATTCAAGTTGTGGGAATAGCAGTTTTATAATAGCATAAAGAGGGGTTTTGTTTCCCATACACTCCTGAGGATGGCCGGCATCTTCTTGACCTTGAATTGAGGGCTTTAAAAAAAAATCAGTTTATATACAGTAAGATCCATCTCTTTAAATGTGTAATTCTGCAAGTTTTGGCTGATGTATGTAGACAAGTGTATGTAGTCAGAAATTTTACTCTGCTTCTTTTTGGTCAGTGCCAACCCTACCCTCAGTTCCTGGCAACCACTGATCTGTTTTTCTCTTTCTGTAGTTTTGCCTTTTCTAAAATGTCATGAAATAACAATCCTACAGTCTTTTGAGTCTGGCTGTTGGGTGTATGAGTAGTTTATTCCTTTTTATTGCTGATAGTATTTCATAGTATGGTTGTATCAGAGTTTTATCTATTCACATATAAAAGACATTTGGGTTGTTTCCAGTTTCTAGCAATTATGAATAAAGTTGCTATAAACTTTTGCCTACAAATTTAGGAACATAAATTTTTATTTCACATAGGTAAATATCTAGGAGTGGGCTTACTAGGTTGTGTGGTAAGTTTAAACTTGTTTACTTTTTTTTTTTTTTGAGATGGTGTCTAGCTCTGTCACCCAGGCTGGAATGCAGTGGCGTGATCTCTGCTTACTGCAAGCTCTGCCTCCTGGGTTCACACCATTCTTTTGCCTCAGCCTCCCGAGTAGCTGGGACTACAGGCGCCCGCCACCACGTCCGGCTAATTTTATGTATTTTTAGTAGAGACGGGGTTTCACTGTGTTAGCCAGGATGGTCTCGATCTCCTGACCTCGTGATCCACCCACCTTGGCGTCCCAAAGTGCTGGGATTACAGGTGTGAGCCACCGTGCCAGGCCTTTTTTTTTTTTTTTTTTTTTTAAAGACAGAGTCTTAACTCTGTCAACCAGCTGGAATGCAGTGGCAGGATCACAGCTCACTGTAGCCTCGACCTCTCCGGGCTCAGGTGATCCTCCCACCTCAGCCTCTCAAGTAGCTGGGACTATAAGCATGCATCACTACACCTGACTAATTTTTGTGTTTTTTGTAGAGACGGGGTTTTGCCATGTTGCCCAGGCTGGTCTCAAACTCCTGGGCTTAAACAGTCCTCCCACCTTGGCCTCCCAAGGTGCTGGGATTTCAGGTGTGAGCCACTGTATTCAGCAAGCTTATTTACTTGTAAACTTAACTTGTTAAACATAAACTTTATAAGAAACTGCCAAATAGTTTTCAAAGTAGCTATGCCATTGTGCATTCCCACCAGCAGTATATAAGGTTTTCAGTTGCTCTGAACCTCACCAGCACTTGGTATTGCCAGGTTTTTTCTTCTTTTAACCATTCGGATAGGTGTATAGTGGGATATGTAATTGAGTTTTCATTTTCTTGGATGACAAATGATATTCAGCATGCTTTTGTGAGCTTATCTGCCATCTGTATATCTTTTTTTGGTGAAGAGTCTGCTAAAATCTTTTGCACGTTAAAAAAACCTTTTTTTAATTGAGTTTTGAGAATTCCTTATATTTGCTGATCAGAAGTCTTTTATCAGATATGCGACTTGTGAGTTATTTTCTCCCAGTTTTTGGCTTGTCTTTTCATTTATCAATTATTCTTTGATGGATTGTTTTGAGCATTGATTTTATACTATATGAAAAAAGGTTTTAAAAAGTCCATCTAAATATGTCTATGTGCATTAACGTAGACGTATGGTTTTGATTATCCTTTTTTCTTGTTTTCCCTCTATTGTTTGACTTGGCCTTTCTATATTCTCCCCTTTGCTCACATAAACACATATTTTCCTTATTTATTTTAAAATTAGGTCCTTTAGGGCAATACAGTAAATATCTGTGCTCCAAAAAAATCAATCCTGTCACACCAATGTTTAACGGACTTTGAAAGAATGCAGCTGTATGGAGGAAATGAATTCTGTTCTCTGTCAAAATTGTAAAGGACTGCTTGTTTTAACAGCTACTGAAGATGGAAGCATTTATACTGCGGCCATACGGCTTGTCAAAACTAGATATGTTCCTGTGTTTAAAATATTTGGGATTTTCCAAAAGTTACCATTTTCTCTTGATCCTTCTTAAGGAGTACTAGGTTTCTGATTACAGTTAACTCCTACTTCACTGTTAAACTGTCTCTGAATAGACTTAAAATATTTAGCCCATTTAGATAAATGATTGAGCGTCGTAAGTATTGGCATTCCATTTTGGACATTTAGAAATGTATTTACATATAATTGGATTATTTCAGATTTCTCTATTAATGGAACAGGTTGGTTCTACGTTCTGTAAAAGTAGATTTTTAGGGAAAGCTGAAGACAACATATTCTTTTGAATAATGGTAGGAGATAATATATGTCAAAATGTCCTCATTTTTATGCATATTAAAGAGTTAGAATATGTAAACATCTAAAATGAATTAAGATTTCATACATGTTATTTTTTTCTATTCAATCATGTTTTTCTTCTTTCTTTCTTTTTTTTTCTTTTTTGAGACGGAGTTTTGTTCTTGTTGCTCAGACTGGAGTGCAGTGAGCCTCCTGGGTTCAAGTGATTCTCCTGCCTAGCCTACTGGGTAGCTGGGATTACAGGCACCCACAATCACGCCTGGCTAATTTTTTTGTATTTTTAATAGAGACAGGGTTTCACCATGTTGGTCAGGCTGTTGATCTGCTCACCTTGGCCACCCAAAGTGCTGGGATTACAGGCATGAGTCACTGCGCTGGGCCCTCAATCATTTTCATAAAGCTAGAATTTTCATTGTAAATGTTTGCTCTGTAGAGACAGTTTTGTTTTGAAGAAGCTAGTATTATAAAATGATAACAGATTAAGATCAGGGTCATTTTATTTAACAATGCAAAGTTATTAGCAATGGTGGATTTAGGCATAGAATTTTATCTTAATTTTTTAATTTAATTTGGCCTTTTAGAAAAACAGCTTTTGCCATTAAGCAGTGTGTTTGGCCAGAGGCCACAATGAGATCAGTATTTTACAAGTAACTTTTTTTTTTTTTTTTTTTTGAGCTGGAATCTCCACTCACTCTGTCACCCAGGCTGGAGTGCAGTGGTGTGATCTTGGCTCACTGTAATCTCCTTCTCCCAGGTTCAAGCAATTCTTCTGCCTCAGCCTCCCTGGTAGCTGGAATTACAGGCATGGGCTACCACGCCTGGCTCATTTTTGTATTTTTAGTAGAGATGTGGTTTCACCATGTTGGCCAGGCTGGTCTCTAACTGCTGACCTCAGGTGATCTGCCCACCTCAGCCTCCCAAAGTGCTGGGATTACAATCATGAGCCACCGCACCCGGCCTACAAATAACATTTTAAATGACAGATTATATTGCAGTCTTCTGTTTATGTGGAAATGAATGGTTTTGTGAAAACTCTGGCTTTTAAACAGGTGTATTGCAAGAAACTCTCTTGGTGGGATGAAATAACCATGAACATAAAATCTTCCAATGACCTCTTTTAAAATCTCCTGTGCTGTAATTAACTACCCTTTAAATATAAGGGTTCTGTTTGTACTGCTAATTAAATTCATAGTTAAGACTTGTAGAATAGCATTTAATTTATGTGTTGTTTTGTCTTGGGACTTCACTAACTTGAAAGGTGATGAAGGTATAAATAGTGAATTTTCATTAAAATGTACCAGAAAAATATGTGCTAAATTCTCAGATAATGACTAGCTTGTCTGAAAACTAAACATATGGCTAAAAGGGACAAATCAACGGTTTTCTTGCTGTATGCTACAGTTTTATGTTAGGCTCTTTCATTTGCTCATTGATCCTGATTTGATTTTGGAGGCATTTAAAATGTACTAAAATTTACCTGATTACTTATAAATTAGCTTAATTAGTGTGGGCTTCTATAAATAAAAAATACTGCATTTGTTATAGTTAATTCAGAGTAGGGATAACCTCAAAATATTTGTGTCAAAGTTTTTGTATCTGTTTCTCTTTCCTAAGGGATTGCAGCAAAACTTAGAGCCTAGGAAGAGAAAGAGAAATATCAAAGATGGAACTGGGAGAGATAGACACTGCAGAATTAAGCAAGATGAAATGATCCACATTCAAAGTAAAATTTTAGGGCAGGGTATGTATATTTGAAATGCAAATAAAATGTAGAGTGATTACCTCAGTGTTTATTAGAAGAATTTGTCCTTTTGCAGGCCAGCACAGGAGGGTATAAATCTCTGTTAAGGAGTCTAAGACAAAGAAGATATTAAAAAAATTGAGGTGAAGTTGAGTTAATAATATAGACTTAACCTTTTTAAAGCAAACAATTCATTGGAATTTGGTACATGCATAATATTTTGTAACCACCACCTCTCTCTAGTTCCTAAACATTTTATTATGGCAAATGGAAACTCAGTATCCATTAAACAGTTTTTCCTTGTAACTTCCCCTTCAAGAGTGGCTGGCAACCACTAATCTGCATGTTGTCTCTATGAATTTACCTATTCTGGATATTTCATATAAATAGTATCATATTCTATTGTACCTTGTTTCTTTTTCTTAGCACAAATTTTCTAGGTGCATTTATGTTGTAGCATATATCAATTCTTTATTCCTTTCTATGTCTGAATAATATTCCATTGTATGGATATACCACAGTTTACTTACCTGTTCATTCATTGATCGACATTTTGGCTGTTGCTACCTTTTGGCTATTTTGAATAGCTGTCAATATGTGTACATGTATTTGTTTGACTATCTGTCTACACTTTCAGGTATATACCCAGGAGTGGAATTGCTGGGTTATATGGTAATTCTGTGTTTAACTTCTTGAGGAAATGCCACACTGTTTTCCACAGCAGCTGCACCATTTTATATTCAGCAATGTATGAGGTTTCTAATTTCGCTACATCCTCACCAACACTTGTTATTAGCAATTTTTTTCAAAAATTGTAATATAGCCATCCTAGGGAGTGTAAAGTGGTTATCTCATTGCAGTTTTTATTTAAATTTCCCTAGTGACCAATGATGTTGACATCTTTCATGTGCTTATTGGCCATTTGTATATCCTCTGGAGAAATGTCTGTTCAGGTCCTTTGCTCATTTTTTAATCGGTTTCTCTTTATGTTGCTGAGTTGCAGTAGTTCTTTATTTTAGATACTAGACCCTTATCAACTATGATATACATATAGTTTTCACCAATGCTGTATGTTGTCTTTTAGTTTTCTTCATAATGTCCCTAGATGCACACACACTTTAAATTTTGATAAAGTTTGATTTATCCATTTTTCTTTGCTTTTGCTTTTAGTGCCAAGTCAAGGTTGTAAAGATTTGGC
This sequence comes from Homo sapiens, assembly GCF_000001405.40. Lineage (NCBI taxonomy): Eukaryota > Metazoa > Chordata > Mammalia > Primates > Hominidae > Homo > Homo sapiens. Next base: position 70,358,675 of record NC_000008.11, on the reverse strand, counting down.
CTGCTGTGTTTTCTTCTGAGAATTTTATGGTTTTAGTTTTTACATTTTGGTGGTTGATCTATTTTGAATTAATTTTTTATATATAGAATGAGGTGGGGGTTCAATTTCATTTTTTTGTATGTGGATATGCTGTTGTTCCAGCATCACATGTTGAATAGACCATTCTTGCCCCACTGAATACTCTTGACATCATTGTTGAAAATTAGTTTGCCATAGATAATGTATTTCTGGACTCTGCATTAAATTCCGCTGATTTTTATATGGGTCTTTATGCTGGTACCACACTGTTTTGATTATGATAGCTTTGTAGTAGATTTTGAAAGCAAGAAATATGAGTTCTTCAACTTTGTTCTTCTTTTTCAATATTGTTTTGACTATTCAGGGCCTCTTATATTTTCATATGAATTTGAGGATTGGTTGGCTCTCATTTCTATTAAAAAGGCCATTGGAATTTTGATAGGAATTGCATTTAATCTTTAGATCACTTTGGGTATTATTACCATTTTAACAGTATTAAGTCTCCTAATGCATGAACAGAGGATAATTTCCCATTTATTTAAGTCTTTAATTCCTTTAGGAGTGTTTTGTAGGGTTTTTTTTGTTGTTGTTCTGTTTTGTTTTTTTTGCGACTGAGTCTCGCTTTGTCACCCAGGCTGGAGTGCAATGGCATGATCTCGGCTCACTGCATCCTCCGCCTCCCAGGTTCAAGTGATTCTCCTGCCTCAGCCTCCCAAGTAGCTGGGATCACTGGTGGACACCACCAAGCCCAGCTAATTTTTGTATTTTTAGTAGAGATGGGATTTCACCATGTTGCCCAGGCTGGTATTGAACTCCTGACTTCGGGTGATCCACTCGCCTTGGCCTCCCAAAGTGCTCACATTACAGGTGTGAGCCACTGTGCTCGGCATCTTCCCCCCACCGCGCTTTTTTTTTGAGATGGAGTCTTGCTCTGTCGCCCAGGCTACAGTGCAGTGGCGCACGATCTAGGTTCACTGCAAGCTCCGCCTCCCAGGTTCACGCCATTCTCCTGCCTCAGCCTCACTAGTAGCTGGGACTACAGGTGCCCACCACAACGCCTGGCGAATTTTTTGTATTTTTAGTAGAGATGGGGTTTCACCGTGTTAGCCAGGATGGTCTCGATCTCCTGACCTCGTGATCTGCCGACCTCGGCCTCCCAAAGTGCTGGGATTACAGGCGTGAGCCACCGCACCTGGCCTTTTTCCCTTTTTAAGGCTAGTCAAGTAAAGCAGTGAGAGTGGAGAAGAAACAAATAAATCTGTAAATGGTTGTGATCAGTTAGTTGTAAACACCACTGCACTCTGGCCAGCCGTGTTTTGTAGTTTTCAGTGTAAAAAAAAAAAAAATTTTTTTTTGCCTCTTCAGCTAGGTATATTATTCTTTTGGATGCTATGGTAAATGGAATTTTCTTAATTTTTTTTGGATTGTTCATTGCTGGCATATAGAGACACAACTGGTTTTTGTGTGTTGATTTTGCACCCTGGTAGAGGAGGGCATTTCAAATAAATTTTGAAGATTAGAATTTGATAGCTAAAATAATGTGGGAGGAGTATGTTTGAAGCAGGCGGAACTCATTAAGCAAGCATTTGTTAAACTGCCACCTTCATGTATAGGTAGTGGAGGAAACAAAGATTTATAAAATGTAGAAGCTACCCTCAAAGAACTATGTTAGGGAAAATAACCATATATAATAACTCTAACAGGAAACAGACTATGAGACATGAAATGCAGGGAGAAGGCCAAGAAAAGATGACTTTAATCTAGATTAATGATGTTCCCTGTTATGTAAAAACAAGTAGTCTTTTTAGTCATGCCATCAAATATTTTGGTAGCTAAATGACAGAATGAATGTGAAAATACCTTTTGAGGTAAAAGCATTATGGTAGTATACATACTGTCAAAGCATTATGGCAGTATTGTAAGGTGAAGTTATTTCTCCTCTGCTGTGGTTTTTACGTCATCAGTCTGGGTAGCAGTCAACTAATAGGAAAAGCGTTCTGCTTTTAGGGATGTTCAGTAGTTTTAAAGGGTTAATCAGGAATTTGTGATCTGCTTGTTTTTTAGGAAAAAGGATATTTATTTATAACTATTAAACACACCGTTAGAATTAAAATATGTAGTATTTGAAACTTTCTAGCCTTTATTCTCCACTTGTCCTTTTTAAAAATCATTGGTTCAGTAGTTTCTGTAACAATTTGTCATAATTCATGGTTCCTTAGGAATACAGCTATTAGAGCTATGTGCCTATGCTGCTGTAGAATGACTAGTGGAGTGATTTTACTTGTTTTTGCTGCAGGGATACTTATTGGGAAGAAAAAAAGCAATCAACTCTTTCTCTTTTTCTTTTTCTTTTTGGTATCATTTACAGACATTGGGTCTTACTATGTTGCCCAGGCTGGTCTTGAACTCCTGGACTCAGGCCATATGCCTACCTCAGCTTCCCAGTGTTGGGATTATAGGCATGAACCACTGAGCCTGGCTGTGATCAACTTTTTATAAGGGAGACATGGATTATAAAATTATCTCCCCATAGTCCTTCTAAATTCTAAGATGGCAGGTAAAAATTATTATTATAATCATATGTTTAGTCTGAGAAGTATGAAAATACTTGTGTAGCCCTTGGGTAGACAGTAGTTCCATTTAAATGTAGTATCCCTCTACTTCTACTGGAGATAACCATTTAGTCCCATTCAGAATCATGAGAGAGATTAGCATAAAACTTTATATTATTAGATTAAGTTTTATGTAATATATAAGTAGAAGTATGAGAAAATGATTTCCTAGAATGAGGATGGCAAATTTAAGTTCCCATTCTGTCTTTAGCTGTTCAGCATGTCCATAACAGATATACTAATGAATTACAACTTTTGTTTTGAAATTTGCACATGGCCTTAAAAGCTTTCTTAGCCTAGGGCTTCAGGCAGTATTTTGGAGTGTGTAGGTAACAGGAAACTATTTGCATTTCTTAGAGCAGGGGTGTCCAATCTTTTGGCTTCCCCCACATTGAAAGAAGAATTGTCTTGGGCCACACATAAACTATGCTAACACGATAGCCGATGAGAGAAAAAAAAAAAGAAAAAAACAAAAAAATCTCATGACATTTGAAAAAAGTTTATGAGTTTGTGTTGGGCTACATTCAGAGCCATCCTGGGCCATGGATTGGACAAGCTTGTCTAAGAGAATACAGGTTCCCTGAGGATAGTTCTCACCCCCTCATTTTATTGATCACACTGTATCTTCAGTGCCTAGAATAGTGTCTGGCACATGTAGGCTCAATATCAAAGTAAAGAGTGGAAATCTGTCTTAGAAGGTGTTTGCGAGATATTCTGGCTTGAAGGACTCGTAACTGTGCTTCCTTTGTTTCAGAGTCAGAATCTGTTCCCCTTCAGGTGGATGTTTGTGTGTTTTTATTAACTTAGGTCAGCACTGTCTTCTGGTTTTGAATGTTCTTCTGTGTTCTTCATACTGAGCATGGCTGATCTGGCCATGTGCCACACATATGGTCAACATAGTAATAGAGATAGAAGTACAATTGATAACTTGATCAGCATTCATTTCGCCATATATAATAGCTTGGTTTGGTTGAATTTGCGTTTAAAATATTATACAGAGTGTGCTAATTACTGCAGTGTCAAAATGGATTAGACAGCTGACAAAGCAAACATTCGAGGACCAACATCTGTGCCAAAACACCTTTAATTACTGTAGGCTTTGATCATCTTAATTTTTCCCATAAATAAATTCATTATATTGGTACTGTTCACATCTCAGAGAATAATAAACTATCAGCTTTTTCACAGTTTATGCCATATAAGAATAAATGTCTTTTCCCAGTCTTGCTTAAGTGAAGTTCTGCCATTTTTTCAAGATTGTTATTATGCAAACATATTTTTCATAGAATTCCTTAGCATTAAGTAGAGCTTAAGTATCATTAATATTAAACTCTTAATATTAGTTCATCTAAGAGATACGAGTATTTTCCTAGTAGATACCATTGTCAAGAGACTTGGAGATTAGAAACATATTGTTAAATTTCTTCAGAGATGAAGGGCCAGGTTTCTCTAGTCCCTGGCCCATTGGGTTAGGCCTATGTTTCAAATTTTTGTATGAGTTTCAGACTGTAGAATAGTTATTCTGTGTTAAGAAAGCACATTTTCAAAGCATATGTTTTCTAGAGAATGTTTGCTACTGCCTTAAAGTAGAAGAGTGCATACTCCTGAAATCTACCTTAGAACTATCTTCGGGGGAATCATGTGAGAAGGTGCAGACTTTTCATTGATTTGTAGTTGAGTATGAATTTTTCCTCTGAGATAACTTAAGCCACATCAACAAAACATCAAAATAAATCGTTATAAAGTTCAGTCAGATTTATGATTTGGTATTTCAAAAGATCACATGGTTACATAGTGGTGATTTTTAAAAATAACTGTTTAAATCACTTTTATAAAAACAGTTCAAACAATGCCCTAACGATATAAGAAAAGATAAGAATGACATACATTTTCATATTATTGGTGATGCTCTGTAATGGGTTTGGAATTACAACTGAAACCTTCTTGGTCATACCCTTGGGAGAAGGTAGATTGTGCAAATAAAGAGAGTAGTTCCTTTTTTTAAAGGAGAAATGGTTTCATTTGATAGTTACAACTCTGATGGATTCCAGAGCTAAGGTTTTGGCATTCATTGCATGCAATTAGGGAGATTAAAAATGGAACTGATTTTCAAGTAGTTTTATTGGGTAAATTATATTACCATATTTAACCATTTATAAGGGTCAGTGTATTTATAAGACATATCTAAAGGTCTTAATGGGGAGTTAAAATGTATATCCAGCAAACAATTCTAGGACACTGCGCAAGCTTACATAATCAAGCGTACTTAAATCGTATAGGCCAAACCATAATTACCTTAGAACTTAGATATGGGAGATTATCAGGGTTGGCCATTGTTATTGGTATTGATATTTGGAAGGTATGGACAATGTGTCACATAGTGGAAAGAGACTGAACTGCTGACAGATAAGTAACAAGGTTCTAGTCCAAGTTTTACCATTAAAGATGTGTATGACTTTGGCCAAATCACTTAACTTTCTAAACCTTTAGTTTTTTTCATTTTTGAAATGAGTTTATATGATCATTTTGATTTCTAAGGTCTCTTCTGTCTTTCCATCTAGTATGCTAAAAAAGATTTACCAGATAAAAACTTTTTTTTGGAGAAAAAGTTGGCTTATAAACATAATGTTTGGCCAGGCATGGTGGCACCCCCCTTTAATCCCAACACTTTGGGAGGCTGAGGTGGGAAGATCATTTGAGCCTGGGAAGTTGAGCCTTCATTGAGCTGTGATTGTGCCACTGCACTTCAGCCTGGGTGACAGAGGGAGGCCTTGTCTCAAAAAAACAAAAACAAACACATGTTTACGGATGGTTTAGGTTTCTTCAAATATCTTAAGGTGGTTGGTTTTCCTAAAGAGGTTTCTTTAATGGTGATAGACTGTCACTGTGCTATGACTTTAAGCTAGATTGCAGTAGTTACTTTTTTAAAAAGAAATGTTTTTAAAGTAAAACTTGAGTTTGCATTAATAGTTTGGCTCTAACAACCTAATATTTTCAAATTAGGAAAAATTTGAAGCTCTCACAAGTAATTCAGCATTAAATATGAGAATGTACTAAAGCATAGGGTGGATTGAGGCACTGTATGTTATGCTACTACTAAGGTAGTAGCAAAATAAGCTCTTATGGGTGTTATCTGCTGCCAGGATGGCCAGATTGAATCAGAAACAAAGTCAAGATTTCAGCTGGTCAACCTGTTTTATTTAGGACAATGTTTGGCAAATTGGAGAGTGTGACCTGTAAGTGGGTTGTAAAATTAATTTAGTGGATCACGACCAGTGTTAAGAAAACTGTAATAGAAGAGAATAGAAAAGATGACAGTATGTTACATGCAGTAACGGTAATTACTTGTTTGTTGCAGTTGTTGTATGTATTGGTTCATGGTGTGAAATGTATTTCTTAACTACATGGTGTTTACTATGAGCACTTAGCACAGCTCATAGAACATTCAAGATAATAGGCAGTCAATGAATGTTCAACTGCACTAAATTTAATTTAAACTTATATAGGAAAAAATTGCACAAGTAATTTCAGAAAAGTTTTCTAACACAAAATGGCATTAGGAAAATTGGTAGAACTTTAACTGTTGTGCTGGAATTATCTTGTTATATGCCTGTGACCTTCTTGGGTCTGTGGGGACTTAGCTTTATATCAGTGTGCATGATGGAAGAGCCTGATTTTTAGAGTCAGAAAGAACTGCGTTCCAATTTTGTCTCTTGACCCATATAAACTTCTGGACATTGGGCAATTTTTTTCAGCACTCTGAGCTTCAAATTCCTCATTTAAAAAAGACGACATAATAGCACTTACCTAACGATTAAGAGAGGGATCAATTCTAAACATCTAATACTTTGCCTGGAACATAGTAGATGCTTAATAAACAGTTAATTAAAAGGGTATGAAACATAATTGAATACTAGTATATATTTTAAAACACTGTTTTGAGTATCCAGGAAAAAGTATGAAGTGTAAGAGTAATTAAATCACATGCATGGGTAGAAATTCCTTGTGACCTTTTGAAAAATTGAAAAAAAGCATAATTGTAAAAGATTGCTTCCTTTTTTAAAAAAAAAATTGCCCAGTTAGCATAATATGCAAGATGTAAACTAGAAATTAAATGAGCCAAAACCAGAGTTAGTTGCTTGTAAAGATTAAAAGTGAACTCACACTGGGTGTGGTGGCTCACACCTGTAGTCCTAGCACTTTGGGAGGATGAGGCTTGAGCCAGGAGTTTGAGAACAGCCTGGACAAAATAGTGAGACTTTATCTCTACTTAAAAAAAAAAAAAAAAAAAAAATTAGCCGGGGTGGTGGTGTGTGCCTATAGTCCTAGCTACTCTGGAGGCTGAGGTAGGGGGATTGCTGGAGCCTAGGAGTTTGAGCTTGCAGTGAGCTACGATCTTGCTTGTACTTCAGCCTGGGTGACAGAGCAAGACTTTAAAAAAAAAAAAAAAAGGAAAAAAAGAAAAGGTGAACCCAAATAAATGCTCTCAAGTCAAGAAACCTAGATAAAGATTCATTAGTAATTATTGAAATTGGTTGATATTCATGTGTAAATTATATACTCAGGGATGAAAAAATAGGGATATGTTTAGATGGAATCTTTATAGAAATTTTCTTTTAGAATTAGAAGCAGACAAAACTTTAAAGAATAGAATATCCTGGGTTTAATTAGCAAACAAGTACAATCAGTTGATAAAATGGTGTTCACTCAAGAGTTTTCAGAGAATTAATAGGTAGAGTTATGGAGCTGTTGGCTAAAATGTATAACCTATTACTCTTCATATCAATCATGTTCATATAAAGGTAGGTTGTCGGTATATGTTTACCGTGGTTTCAATGCCCTCTCTAAAACTCAGGTTGAAATTTAATTGCCATTGTGACAGTATTAAGAGGGATCATGAAGAGGTGATTAAGCCGTGAGGGCTCTGCTCTCATGACTGGATTAATGTCATTATTGTGGGAGTGGGTTTGTTATTGCAACAATGGGTACTTACAAAAGTGAGTTTAGCTGTCTCTTGCTCTCTCATGCTCTCTTGTCCTTCCACCTGCTGCCATGGCACAGAGGCCATCATCAGTTGCCAAGCATCTTGATATTGGACTTCCCTGCTTCCAGAACTGTGAAAAACAAATTGCTTTATAAATTACTGAGTCTGTGGTATTTTGTTATAGCAACACAAAATGGACTAAGACGATGTCCCATTATAAGAACGTTTGTAGAGGACTTACAGATAACTATGGGTCAGCTTGTCTTGCTATATTTTTAACACTCAGGAGTTTAGAATAAAACAAATTATTGAATTTGGTTTTGTAAACCAAAAACCTGAATGATTGGTATACTGGAGTTATTTAGGGGATTATGGAGTATGTTGAAGAGAAACAGTGAAAATAATTTATGTAAACTTTACAAAATCTTTCAAGGTTCTAATCTGAAAGGAATAAAATCTTTTGTGTTACCATAGGATGGAGGAGAAATGTTTATTCATGGAATCACATTGATTTAGTAAGTAAACATCAGTTGTGAACTGTCACTCTTTAGAGGAAAAAGTGTATTATGTGGGTCCCCAAGTTGGGGCCAATTTAATTTCACATTTTAATAAATGGTGTAAAAGAAGGTGTATGTAGTCAATTTTTAGCTCTTTTGGATAGTGAAATATCCCAGGAAAAAAACCTAACTGCAGATAATGAGTGAGCAAAAAACTGAGTGAACTCATGTGAGATAGTTTTCAGTGGTATATTTGGGGGAAAAAATCACATGAATTATAATTATTAACTGAGGAGTCTTGAATTTAGTTAAAGTCAGGAAAAGAATCTATAAGCTATCATAGATGATTATGGATACTGTGCTAAGAAGATCCACAGTATGCTAGACATTTTTTGAGAGTATGGGAATAGTAAGTTATCTTGCCATTATTCAAAATCATACCTTATACACACCCAAGATAAATACTATATGTTCTGTTAAATAAAAATAATGAAGTGTCTGGCTACGTAACAGTATACTAATAAATATTTATTCCTTGGGGCTTTTAATACTAAGGAGGAAGTGGAGGAGGAAGATGTAATTGAGGTTCTAAAATGGGACCTTGGATGAATTACTCAAATTCCATCATGCTGGAATTGTGGGCAGAGTATGGGTGCTTCTAGGAATTTTATAAAAGTCAGTTTAAGATAAATATCTTAATTATCTATATAATATTAGAGAGTAAGTTAGTGGAAATTAGTACCATAAGATGGGATATAGACTGAACAAATTTTTTATGAAAATTAGATTCACAGATGATACATACATAATAGAATAGTAAAGAAAATCTGAGATATTTAGAACATATTTTTTCCTATTTGAAAAAATGACATGAAGATCTTCATTTAGTGTCAGACAGAATCTAGGATTTATGGAAAGCTTAGGAGTTAAAACTAGTGAAGTATAGTTGGTTGTGACTGGAGACCACTCAAAATGTATAGTGGGGTTATCAATACTTTTTATCAGGTGAAGGAAGAAGCTTCCTTCTATACGGAGTTTGCTAATAGTTTTTTTCTTCTCTAGTTTGCATCTATTGACATGATTATACAGTTTTGCTTTTTTTATTTGTTAGGGGATCTCAGGTAAAAATTCATAGATTTTTAAATTTAACTTGAGATAATTTTGGTAACATACATTTCTTTAGAATATTACCCATATGTAAATTTGATAATGTCTGTTTCTCTAGAATATTACCCATATATAAATTTTCAAATATTGGCATAAAGTTGTTCATAATTTTTTTTTATTGTGACAGCTCTGTATCTATGGGTGTAATGATGTCATTTTTCATGTGTGTATGTTTTTGTTTGTTTTTGCTTGATTTTCTTGACGTCACATTTTAATAGTAGGGACTATACTGTTACTCGTCATTTTACCTCAAATATAATACTCACAGGTAACAGGCTCCAGTGAACTTCCAGTGAACTGAATAACCTTGACTTTAATTCTTCTGTTTCTGGCCAGTCTTCTCTGTGTCCATTGCTAACTTTCCTTCCCCTTTTCCCTCCCATCCCCCACTGCCATGCCCCCCACATTTTCAATTTTTTCCCTCTCTTCTATGCCAGTATGCCCTTTTAATTTAGTGATCTTATGCAATCCAAGCTTTTGCCTTCTCTTATTTACATAGCTCCCAAATTTATAACCTTAACCTGACCTTTCTTCTAAGCTTTAACTGCTGGCTTGACATTTCTCCCTGGGTATCTCCTTGCTTCCACCTTCAGTGCAGCACAACCAAAGTGAAACTCCTTACTTCCCTCCACCCAAACCAGTTCTTTGTCCAAATTTCCTGGTTTCTATTAATTGGCACTGCCACTCACCCAGGCTCAAAATGTCAGTCATTCTGAGACTCTTCTCTCTTATCTTACATGTGCTCATCTGCAAAGCTGTACATTCTACTGCTACAACCTCCCTATATGTATACATGACCTCCCTTATCATCCCTTCAGCCACCACCTTTATTCAGACCCTCACTGCTTTGTACCTGGACTACTGTAACACCTCCCTGTCTGATTGAATCTAGTTCATCTGTTACACTGAGGTGAGATTAAATTTGCTAAACACAGTAATTTTGTACCACTCTTTAGCCCCAAATTACGTAGTTCTCATAGCTGCTAAAATAAGAACAAACTCTTTAGCTTTTCCAGGTCTTCCATAATAATGCCCAAATATACCCATCTTGGCTTGTCTTTCCCTTACTACCTTACTGGCACCTGTATTCTAGCATAAGTGTTTTATCTCTATTGTACTTTTTAAAGTTTCTGCTCAGCTGTTTGCTCTTCAGGGAATGCCATTTCCCTTATCTCTGCCTGTTGAAAGGAAGCTTGTCGAGGGTAATCTCTTAGATTCTTTGCTAGGCTTTATGACCCACAAAACACTTTTCTTTATGCTTTTTAGGGCACCTACCTCACTTTGTATTGTAGCCAATTGTTTACTTGCTTAATATTTCAGATTATAAGCCCCTGGGGGGTAGGAACTATTTTTTACTCAGCTCTTTCCTTTTTATTGCTTTAGCAAATTAGCATGGACAAGAAATATTGATTGAAAATAATTAAAATGATTACAGTTGTTTTTTATTTCCTTCAGTGAAATTTCCTACACTCTCTTCTTAAGAAGTTTACTCCAATGCAAATTAACAATACAGAAGTCCAGTAAATTTATCTATTTTAGAGATGTAGCTGCATGTGTACAAGTCTTGTTCTTGGAGTGTTTTGTGTTACTTTTCTAACAGGTGCTATCTTACAGTATAATAAGGTTTCTGCTTGAAGTGAGACCAGAGACATTATAGTTGAGGCATTGATTGATTGTGCTGTAGCGGGGCTAGGTTATATCTACCTCTACACTTGTTCTGGATATCTAAAAATTTTTTTAAGACAAGGTCTCGCTTTGTCACCCAGCTGGAGTGCAATGGTGCAATCATGGCTCATTGATTGCAGCCTTGACCTCCCAGGCTCAAGTGATCCTCTTACCTCAGCCTCCCAAGTAGCTGGGACCGCAGACATATGTCACCATGCCCAGCTCATTTTTTTTTTCTTTTTTTTTTTAAGATGGAGTCTTGCTCTGTCGTCCAGGCTAGAGTGCAATGGCACGATCTTGGCTCACTGCAACCTCCGCCCCCTGGGTTCAAGTGAGTCTCCTGCCTCAGTTTCTCGAGTAGCTGGAATTATAGGCACCCGCCACCAAGCCTGGCTAATTTTTGTATTTTTAGTAGAGACAGGGTTTCACCACGTTGGCCCGGCTGGTCTCGAACTCCTGATCTCAGGTGATCTGTCTGCTTCAGCCTCCCAAAGTGCTAGTATTACAGGTGTGAGCCACCGTGCCCAGCCGATTTTTTTGTATTTTTAGTGAAGACAGGGTTTCGCCACGTTGCCCAGGCTAGTAAGATAAAAGTACATGTGTGTAAATTCAACGTGGATAAATTTAAGAAGTAAATCCCACTATCGTAGTTTGTTCCTTAATCCATAGAATGAAGATGATTAAAAGAGAAGAGATTGAATTTTGTTCACATTAAAGAAAACTGTTATAGGCCAATTTAATGTGAATCTGCCATTATATTTTACATTGATGATATTGTCAATTATTAAAATGATGCCTTTGTAGTTGAAAAGTCATGATTAACCTGTCCATTAGCCTGTCAGCAAACTGAACTGATGAAATGTCCTCATAATAAAAGATTCAGGAATACAGGGAACAGATGCATATGGAAATTACATTAAGCAGTAATTCTGTCATTTACAAAAGTTAGGTTTCTCTGCAACCTAACAGCTTGAGTACTTGTTAGCTACATCTTGGTTCTCTAACTTCTACTCTTTCCTCCCTGCCTCCCTTCCACTGGTATTTTCGGTAATATGAGGTAGGCACTAGGCTGAGAACCAGCAATGCATTGGCGAATAATGTACACTCAGAAGCTGCCTCATTGAGCATCCACTCCACTTTTGGATATGTGTGATAAATGATGTTCTTTGTTTTGTAAAATAGTTTCTTATGACAGTGTTTATCTTTTTAAAGGAAAAAGGCAGGCAACTCAAGTTCAGATTGATAGTCATTTCAATAATAATGAAAAGTTTAAGCTTCAGCTATCTAAAAAAATTACTGAGCTCAGTGCAGCTACAGGCCTTAATCTGAATCCCTTTGCTTATCTCTGTCAATAGGGATATTGTGAAAAAGAGAAGTAATAAATGTTTAGCAAGCAGTTTGATATTTACACCCAGTGGCTGCAAACAGTTATTAAAAGCCATTGCATAGGTCAGGATAGCAGGTTCGGTGGCTTGGCCAGGACGAGGGCTAGAAGAGCACTGTCTTTGTGGCTTCAAAGAAGGAGATACACGTGAAATTATTCTACTCTTGATAAAACATTTTCTTATTAAATGCTTAGAGTTAGGATTTTGTCTGTAGATTTCTGTACACTTCAAAACATCCTGAGAAATTCAAGTACTGTTTGTGAACACAAGCAAGTTGATTATTTCTTGATTAGGATATTTTATATACAATACTATAGATTTTAATTCCACTTAGTAAAGACAGCTCCCTGACAAGGCCTGGAAAGGTCATTTCGTGAGACTACAACAATCACAACCATTCATTGTGTTTGGAGGCAAGTATTGGGGCTGGAGTGGGAGTTCCTGTTTGGTGTGCTGGGAGGATTGTTGGACATGGGACCCTGGTTCTAGCTGCCTTCTAGCCTCAGCTCTGCTTCTGCTAGCTGACCGCCTGAACTTAAATCATGTTTTCCTGTATCCTTTGGGCATTATTTGATTTTAGGCAAATCACTTGGCATCATTTTGCCTAAATTACTTAAACATTTTTGAGGGTGTTGGACTAGATGCTCTTTCAGATCATGTCCGATTAAAAAAAATCTGTGATTTGCAGAGCAACAGTAGCAGAAAAATACTAAGCACAATAAGTTGATGAGAAGTATTTAGTGCTTGTGCAGCATTTAGGATTTTATGGCTAAAACAAATCTAAATTATGAATGATTCATCATTTTAATAGGATTTTACAAGGTACTTGGAATGGGTCCAAGCATTATATGTACTTCTAAAAGTCAAGGTTTCATTACTAACTGCTGCTGTTGTTTTTGTAATCCCTCAGACCCCTTGTGAAGAGAGAAGATAGTACATATTGGGTCAGTTGTTGAGTGGATGTGCTGTTAATCCTGTGGGAAAAAATTACATGTCTCTGAAAATGCTTTGAACTTTTATCTGGCTGAAAAAATACATTTCTAAATTTGAAGACAACTCTGAGCAGAGAAAAACTTTATGAATCCTGCATGATATGTTTACAAATTATTTGAGAAAACTGCCTGTGAATGTCTTTGGCATGATTGTTTACCCCTAGAGTCCCATATGTCACACATTGCCTGTTTACCCCTGGGGAGTAACCATATTGCATTATTTGTGATCCTTTGGAGTTGTATGAAGGATAATTTAACTTTTCAGATGTGGTTAATATACAGGCCCTCATTCCTAACTATTAACATACATAGCATGACAGGCTTAAATGTTTCCAGGCGTGATTGAGGAATTTGGACATTAAATTACTCTTAGATTATCTTGGCCATTGTAATTTACTACAGAACTGCAGTTTGGGCGTCAACACTTGAAGAGAGTATGTTAACATGAACACCACTTGAGGCACATTTTACATTAAATAAATTGTCTTCTTGAGACACTTAAGTGTTTATTATTTTTTAAAAATACAGTTTAGAACTCTTGTCTTTTGAGTGCTTGAAGTTTTGTTAATAAGCAGGCCTTGATTTACATAATCCTGACTGATGTTGTGAGACATTTACTGTAGCTGGAGCACTCTCTCTCCTGCTCATGGAACTTTACTCCCCCCAGTCCTGCTTTTATCCCTGCCCTAGTCCAGAGAAGCCATCTATCTTTCATCCACTTCACAGAATAGAGTCTCATTTTCCTCCAGAAACAGCTCACCATTAATCAGTGCATAAGAGGGCCCATTTAATACTGCCGCTGTTTGCAGCTAAAATCCTTAGAAATCTAGAGAGTTTGTTATTAATGGAGACATAAGAGAGGCTGTGTTCTATTTTGTAGCGGACCAGAGGAGGAGCAGATGAGGTGGGCAGAGGTAGCAAATGAGGTGAATTGAAAGAGAGGCAGAAGGCTGGCTTGGGCTGAGAACTGCTTGCTGTTATAGCTCTGTGGGCTGCCGCCCCGCACACTCTGTTCCTTACCCATGTCTATCTTCTCTCAAGCTTAGTACCTACCCTCAAACTTCCAGTCCCCATCTGGTCTTCAGCCATTCTCAAACCTTTCCCACCTCTCCACCTCATTCAGTGGGAGGCACTGCCTCACTGCAGCAAGGTAGAGAGTCGATGGATTCCTGATGCCCCCTAATTGGAATTCTGAGTTTTCTCACTGAAATGTTTGTGCTCATGCCAGTTAGTCCTTGTAGAACTGTAAGTATACTGTAGTGCTATACAGTTAGAATACACGGGTTTAAAAGGCTTTTGTTGCTGGCCATAGAATACATAGATTAAAAAGGCTTTTGTTGCTGGTCCTAGAATATATAGATTAAAAAGGCTTTTGTTGCTGGTCTGGGGTAACCTTATAATCATTTATGACATTGTTCACAAGAGTGTCCCAGGTTCTAAACAGTCAACCTAAAATGGATTTTTGAAACACATTTTTCTAGAAAGATTATGTTTTCCCATGGAACTCATGTTCAATTGTCTTCTCTTTCACTTTTTTTTTTTTTTGAGATGGGGTCTTGCTTCATCACCCAGGCTAGAGTGCAGTGGCACGATCTTGGCTCACTGCAACCTCTGCCTCCCGGGTTCAAGCGATTCTCCTGCCTCAGCCTCCTGAGCTGGGATTACAGGCACCCGCCACCATGCCTGGCTAATTTTTGTATTTTTAGTAGAAATGGGGTTTCACCATGTTGGCCAGGCTGGTCTCGAACTCTCCTGACCTCAAGTGATCTGCCCGCCTCGGCCTCCCTCCCAAAGTGCTGGGATTACAGGCATGAGCCACTGTGTCCGGCCTTCACTTTTCCTTAACTCTGAATTAGAATGAAAGCTTCAAGTGATACTAGATCCTTAATGAAAGAGAAAGTAGGGATCTTTTGTTCTTAGAATTTCAAGTTGGTCACCCATTTTAAAGTGCTATAAATAATCACTGATTATTTGATTTTTTTGGATCAACTTTGAAATGGTACTGGTGTGGAAAGGTTCATATATTATTTTAGTTTTTTGTGACCTTCTAGGAAGGATATTATGTATGACAGAATGGAACTTAAGAACCTGAAAAGGCATAAGTAGAAATTTTACACTGATTTCATTTATTAGAATGCAAGTTTTTAAAGGGATATTTGATCCAAGGCTTCGAATAAACTTCAGTTCTACTATTGACTTTGTCCCTTGAAACTTTTTACTAACCTATGGAGTTACAACTTTAGGCACTTGCTAATGTATTTGCAATGACTGTTGAAATAATTCAAATTTATTGACCATAGGAGGATACTAAATATTTATCTTTCCTGTTTAGTGCCTGTAGTGAAATAGAATATAAGTTAATGGTTAATGGCTTATAGGCTATTATTTCTGAAATACTATCTTCATGTACTCTATCTAGTGGTATCATTTATATTTTGTATGTGTTAAACAGCATATTTGGAATCTACCTTACATAAATTTTGCAGCTTGGGTAAAAAAAAAATTCCAGGAGAGATTTTCTAACCATGTAGGGATGTGTGTGTGTGTGTGTGTGTGTGTGTGTGTGTGTGTGTGTGTGTGTAATTGCAAAAGAAGAAAAGTGTGTAAGTTTGGGCTAGGGAGAAGTCCTTTTTAAAAAAAAAAAAGGTAATGTAGTAATATTATAATGTGTATTCTGGCACTCCTGCAATATCTAGTGCATTCTAGAATGTCTCTGCTTGGCATTAATTCAGCATGTGACAATCTGTGGCAAGTATGTTAGCTTAGTATTGGGATGACCAAATGAAAAATGTGTTTGTAGATGTAGAACCAGAGAAGGAAGCTGAAGTATTTAATGCAGTATTAAACCAAAAGCATTTTAACATAAAAGTAATTTAATTTGCATTGGTATAAACATTAGAGGGAACAAAAGGCAATATTTTTATGTTTTAAATTTTGAGGGTAATAATTTATAGAATTCTTTTGAATTTTCTGAAAACTTCAAAGTTGACTTATGAAAGCCACTTAGTAAGAGAAGCTTTGATTTTCTACAGGCCTCAAAGGACTGCCTTAGGGTTTATTGTTTTGTTTTGCTTCCTGTTTAATTTTCAAGATGCTGAAAGTGATTGCTTATTGTGGTTAATTTAAATAATCCAGATATTTTGAATTTTAAAACTATGAGGACTTTAATGTCATTCATTTGTCAAAACAGATAAATAATTTAGAAGTGGTTGGTTGGCTGAATAATTCCTTACGCATGTAATATCAGCTCATGGAAGTATTAGGTATATTATCGAGTTCTGTAGTACAGATAACAAATTTTAAAAATACATCAAATCCTAGCAGCATTTTTTAAAAGTTTAAAAAGTTTGTTTTTAGGAGAAAAGAATCCTCAGAGCTTTTTAATTAGTTATATTCAGAAGTTGTCTTAGATAAAAAGAGATGTGTATTGAAAAAGTTTTTGTATGGAATATGGCATTTGCACAAAATACATTGAGTAGACAACATGGTTTTGAACATGTATTATTAAATGGAATGCATTTGAGCATTGGAAAATTCATCCTAAGGTCTTTCTTTTGTTCCTTTTGTATCTTCCAATATTATGGAAGATTATATAGCTTATCCGTTATATTTTGTTACACTAAAATTTAGAATTCACTCATTAAAAGAGTATAAACAAGACAGTAATATTTTAAGTACTAAATAAGAGCAGTCATGAGTAATATTTGTTACCTTTGTTAAAACAAAATTCATTGCTGATTAACAAAGCAATTAAGTTGCTTTTTTCCCTCAGGCATGCATCATTGCAAGACAGTTTTACCAACTTTAGTTATGGACAATTAAACTGTGTGGCTATGTATGTGTATATTGAGGAACTAACACATTTATAAATTGGTTGAGGCAGCAAGACTTCATTGACTGCCCTTGTAGTGTTGGCCAGTTTCATAGAATTTTAACTACTGATTTATTTTTATTTACTTAATTTGTTTTGAGACAGGGTCTTGCTCTGTCACCTGGGCTGGAGTGCTGTGGCACAGTCATAGCTTATCCTAACCTCAAACTCCTGGGCTTAAGCGATCCTCCCACCTCCCAAGTAGCTGTGACTACAGGCATGTGCTGGCATGTGCTACCATGCCTGGCTAATTTTCAAAGTGTTTCTAGAGATAGGGTCTCACTATATCAGGTCTTGAACTCCTGACCTCAAGCAATCCTCCCACCTTGGCCTCCCAAAGTGCTGGGATTACAGGCATTGAGCCACCATGCCCAGCCTATTTGTTTCTTTTTTTTTTTTTTTCAACTTTTTAAGTTCAGGGGTACACATGCAGGATGTACAGTTTTGTTACATAGGTAAACATCTGCCGTGGTAGTTTGCCACACAGATCATCCCATCACCTACGTATTAAGGTCAGCATTCATTAGCTATTTTTCCTGATGCTCCCTGCTACCCCCAACAGGCCCCAGTGTGTGTTGTTCCCTACCATGTGTCCATGTGTTCTTATCATTCAACTCCCACTTACAAGTAAAAACATGCGGTGTTTGTTTTTCTGTTCCTGTGTTAGTTTGCTGAGGATAGTAACTTCATGTCCATTCATGTCCCTGCAAAGGATATGATCTTGTTCCTTTTTATGGCTGCATAGTATTCCGTGGTTTATATGTACCATATTTTCTTTATCCAGTCTATCATGTTGATTCCATGTCTTTGCTATTGTGAATAGTGCTGCAGTGAACATATGCATACATGTATCTTTATAATAGAATGATTTATATTCCTTTGGGTGTATACCCAATAGTGGGATTGCTGGGTCAAATGGTATTTCTGACTCTAGGTCTTTGAGAAGTCGCTACACTGTCTTCCACAATGGTTGAACTAATTTACACTCCCACCGGTAGTGTAAAAGCATATCTTTTTCTCTGCAACCTCGCTAGCATTTGCTGTTTTTGACTTTTTAATAATCGCCATTCTGACTGGCGTGAGATGGTATCTGTCTCCTTGTGGTTTTGATTTGCATTTCTCTAAGGATCAGTGATGTTGAGCTTTTTTTCATATGTTTGTTGGCTGCATGTATATCTTCTTTTAAGAAGTGCTCGTACATGTCCTTTGTCCACTTTTTAGTGGAGTTGTTTGGTTTTTTCTTATAAATTTGTTTAAGTTCCATGTAGACTCTGGATATCAGACCACTGTCAGAAAGATAGATTACCAAATGTTTCTCCCATTCTGTAGGTTGTCTGTTTACTCTGATGATAGTTTCTTTTTCTGTGCAGAAGCTTTTTAGTTTAATTAGATCCCATTTGTCAATTTTTGCTTTTGTTGCAATTGCTTTTGGCATTTTCATCATGAAATCTTTGCCCATGCTTATGTCCTGAATGGTATTGCCTAGATATTCTTCTAGGGTTTTTATAGTTTTGCATTTTACATTTAAGTCTTTAATCCATCCTGAGTTAATTTTTGTATAAGGTGTAAGGAAGGGGTCCACTTTCAGTTTTTTGCATATGGCTAGCCAGTTCTCCCAGCACCATTTATTAAACGGGGAATCTTTTCCCCATTGCATGTTTTTGTCAGGTTTGTTGAAGATCAGATGGTTGTAGGTGTGCAACAGTTATATTACTGAGTTCTCTATTCTGTTCCATTGGTCTGTGTGTCTGTTTTTATACCAGTACCATGCTGTTTTGGTTACTGTAGCCTTGTAGTATAGCTTGAAGTCGGGTAGTGTGATGCCTCCAGCTTTGTTCTTTTTGCTTAGGATTGTCTTAGCTATTTGGGCTCTTTTTTGGTTCCATATGAATTTTAAAAGTTATTTTTTTTTCTAATTCTGTGAAGAATGCCAATGGTAGTTTAATGGGAATATCATTGAATCTATAAATTACTTTGGGCAGTATGGCCATTTTCATAATATTGAATTTTCCTATCCATGAGCATGGGATGTTTTTCCATTTGTTTGTCTCCTCTGTGATTTCGTTGAGCAGTGGTTTGTAGTTCTTCTTGAAGATGTCCTTCACTTCCCTTGTTAGCTGTATTCCTAGGTATTTTATTCTCTTTGTAGCAATTGCGAATGGGAGTTCATTCATGATTTGGCTTTCTGCTTGCCTGTCTTTGGTGTATAGGAATGCTAGTGATTTTTGCACATTGATGTATCCTGAGACTTTGCTGAAGTTGCTTATCAGTTTAGGAAGCTTTCGGGCTGAGACTATGGGGTTTTCTAGATGCTGGATCATGCTGTCTTCAAACAAAGACAATTTGACTTCCTTTCTTCCTATTTGAATACCCTTTATTTCTTTCTCTTGACTGATTGCCCTGGCCAGAACTTCCAGTACTATGCATAATAGAAATGTTGAGAGAGGGGATCCTTGTCTTATGCCGGTTTTCAAGGGAAATGCTTCCAGTATGATACTGGCTGTGAGTTTGTCATATATGGCTCTTATTATTTTGAGGTATGTTCCTTCAATACCTAGTTTATTGAGATTTTTTAACATGAAGGGATGTTGAATTTTATTGAAGGCCTTTTCTGCGTGTATTGAGATAATCATGTGTTTTTTGTCTTTAGTGCAGTTTATGTAGTGAAGCACATTTACTGTTTTGTGTGTATTGAACCAACCTTGCACCCTGGGGATGAAGCATACCTTGAAGCCACCTTGATCCTGGTGGATAAGCTTTTTGATGTGCTTCTGGATTCAGTTTGCCAGTATTTTATTGAGGGTTTTTGCATCACTCTTCATCAAGGATACTGGCCTGAAGTTTTCTCTTTTTTTGTATTTCTGCCAAGTTTTGGTATCAGGATGATGCTGGCCTCGTAGAATGAGTTAGGGAGGAGTCCCTCCTTTTCAGTTTTTTGGAATAGTTTCAGTGGAAATGGTACCAGCTCTTCTTTGTACCTCTGATAGAATTCAGCTGTGAATCTCTGGTCCTGGGCCTTTTTTGGTTGGTAGGCTATTTATTACTGCCTCAACTTCAGAATTCATTATTGGTCTGTTCAGGGATTCAGTTTCTTTCTGGTTCAGTCTTGGGAGGGTGTATGTGTCCAGGAATTTATCCATATTTTCTAGATTTTTCTATTTCATGTGCATGGAAGTGTTTATAGTATTCTCTAATGGTTGTATTTTGTGGGGTCTGTTGTGATAATCGCCTTATTATTTCTGATTGTGCTTATTTGATTCTTCTCTAGATTTTCTTCTTTATTAGTCTAGCTAGCAGTCTATCCATTTTATTAACTTTTTCAACAAACCAGCTCCTGGATTGGTTGATTTTTTTTTAAGGGTTTTTTTGTGTCTCTATCTCCTTCAATTGAGCTCTGATCTTGGTTATTTCTTGTCTTCTGCTAGCTTTCGGGTATTTTTGCTCATGGTTCTCTAGTTCTTTTAGTTGTGATGGTAGGTTATTAACTTGAGATCTTTCTAGCTTTTTGATGTGGGCATTTAGTGCTACGAATTTCCATCAACACTGCTGTAGCTGCATCCCAGAGATTCTGGTATGTTGTCTCTTTGTTCTCATTAGTTTCAAGAACTTGATTTCTGCCTTAATTTCATTATTTACCAAGAGTCATTCAGGAGCAGGTTGTTGAATTTCCATGTAGTTTTGTGGTTTTGAGTGAATTTCTTAATCTTGAGTTCTAATTTGATTGCGCTGTTGTCTGAGAGACTGTTATGACCAGTTCTTTTGCATTTGCTGAGGAGTGTTTTATTCCAATTACGTGATCAGCTTTAGCCTCATTTCTTTTACAGAAACTTGTATAGTGTTTACCATGGGCTAGGCATTGTTCTAAATACCTTTGTTAATATTGACTTACTTAAACCTGAGAGCAACACTGTGAAGGGGTTTTGACTGTTTTCAGTGTTACAGATGGTAGAGTTATACAAGTTACGCAGAGGCTGGGTAACTTGCCTAAGGTCCCACAGCTATTATGTATAGGATCACTATTCGAGTCTCAGCAGTTTGCCTCCTGAATTTTTGACCTTAACCACTGTCCTCTGTTGCCTATTCAGAAAGGTCTCTCTTGGAAAGTTGCGTCCAAATTCTTTCCTTTGTGAGACTCTTTCCTCTCAAGCTTTTTCTGACCAGACAAGGGACCTTGGGAGGGACATGTTGGCAGGAGTTTCTTACATTCTTGCTCTTCTTGATGTTTGGGAGGCAGTGTGGCAGCTGTGTTACACCACACACACACACACACACACACACACACACTCCTCAGCAGTGCTGGGTAGGCTAAATTGTGTGTACAAACACTTAGAGTTGTCAATTATCAGTCCATACCAGGTATTCAAAAACATTAATGAGTTTATTTTGGCACTCAATTTGTTTTGTGAGTGCTCCTGCTCCATGGCATCTTTATAAATATAAACTTGTCTCCGTCAGTATATATATTTGTGGGACACCTATTGTCTCTTATTTTTGGCTATTTTGGAAGATGACTTTTTTCCATTGTGGTGCCCTAGTCCTCTCCCCTCTTCACATGGCCCCTCCAGAGTGGACACCTGTGTTCACAGCACCATTATTTACAATAGTCCAAAGGTAGAAGCAACCCGGGTGTCCATCAGTGGATGAATGGATAAGCAGAATGCGGTATATACATTGATTTGGTTTTGCACTGTGTCCCACCCAAATCTCATCTCAAATTGTAATCCCCACATGTTGGAGGAGGGGCCTGGTGGGAGGGGATTGTATCATGGGGGTGGATTTCCCCCTTGTAGTTCTTGTCATAGTGAGTGAGTTCTTACGAGATCTGGTTGTTTTGTGGCATTTCCTCCGTTTTCTCTCTCTCTTTCTCTCTCCCTCTCTGTCTCTGTCTCTCCTGCCACCATGTAAGATGTGCCTTGCTTCCCCTTCACCTTCCACCATGATTGTAAGTTTCCTGAGGCCTCCCCATGAGGAACTGTGATTCAATTAAACCTCTTTTCTTTATAAATTAAGATACTTCTTTATAGTAGTGTGAAAATGGGCTAATACGTACATATAATTAAACATTAATTACCTTTAAAAAAGAAGGAATTTCTGATACATGTTACAATATGGGTGGACTGGCTAAGTGAAATAAGCCAGTCACAGAAGGACAGATCCACCCATGTGTCACATAATGATTTTTCAGTCAGCGACAGATCATATATACGACAGTGGTCCCATAAGATTATAAAGGTACTTAAAAATTCCTATCATCTAGTGCCATAGCCATCAGTATGTCTTAGCCCAGTGCATTACTCACATGTTTGTGATGATGCTGGTATAAACAAACCTACCATGCTGCCAGTTCCATAAAAGTTCGCAGTAATGTCATAGGTATCCCTGTTCACTCACCACTCACTCACTCACTCACTGACTCACCCAGCATCTTCCAGTCCTGCAAGCTCCATTCATTGCAAGAGCCCTATGCAGGTATATAATTTTTTAAAAATCTTCTATACCTTAAAAAAAATGTTTCAGACAGTATTTTTACTGTGTCTTTTCTTTGTTTATATATATTTAGAGACACAAATGCTTGCCACTCTGTTGCAGTTGCCCACAGTATTCGGTACAATGGCATACTGTACAGGTTTGTGGTCTGGAAGCAATAGGCTATACCATATAGCCTCGGTGTGTAGCAGGCTCCACCATCTAGGTTTGTGTAAATATGCTCTACAATGTTCGCAAAATGATGAAATCACCTAACGATGCATTTCTTGGAAGGTATCCCTATCATTAATTGACACAGACTGTAGTGTATGATTCTACTCTTATGAAGTACCTAGAGTAGTCAAATTCATAGAAATAAGATAGAAGAGTGGTTGCCAGGAGTAGGGAGCAGGGGTGCGGGAGGAATGAGAGTTGTTTAATTGGTATAGAATTTTGGTTTTACAAGGTGAAAATAGTCCTGGAGATTGGTTGCACAACAGTGTGAATGTGCTTAACAGTAACTAAACTGTCCATTTAAACAGAATCATGGCAAATTTTTGTTATGTGTGTTGTGTCACACACAGAAGAAAGCCCTTCAGATTTGGTGTAAAATCTGTTTAGCTGTTGTAGTGTGTTGCTTCAGTAGACAAAAAGACAAAAAGACAAACCAGCTCAGTTCTGCTTTTGAGATGACACACATTGTGGTACCTGTGTGAATGTGTTTGTATCAATTCAGAAAAGGCCTGTTGTGGAAGTTGAAGAAAGGGAAAAGCCAGTATGGGGGGCAGTGTGAGCAGAGATCATGGAAGCAGAAATGAATGGAACATGTCTAGGGTGACTGAGAAAATGGTCATAGGGAGAGATCTTTTTTTTTTTTTTTTTTTTTTTTTTTTTTTGAGATGGAGTCTCATGCTGTTGCCCAGGCTGGAGTGCAGTGGCACAATCTCAGCTCACTGCAACCTCCACCTCCCAGGTTCAAGAGATTTTCCTGCCTCAGCTTACCAAGTAGCTGGGATTACAGGCATGCACCACCACACCTGGCTAGTTTTTTTATTTTTGTAGAGATAGGGTTTCACCGTGTCGGTCAGGCTGGTCTCAAACTCCTGACCTCAGGTGATCCGCCACCTCGGCCTCCCAAAGTGCTGAGATCACAGGCACATGCCACTGCGCCCAGCCAAGGAGAGAGAATCTGACCAGAGCAAAATGAATATTACTAAGAGCTGGTATCAGTCTCCATTTTTTCAGTCTCTACTTTTTGATAATTGAAGTTTGGTCATTTTGTTTATATTTCATTTCTCACCACATCTATCAGGTAGAGTATTTGATGCCTTTTGCCAAGGATCATTTCAGGGAATGCTCTGCGCTGTGAGTTACTAGGATTGATGTAAGGATAAGTCTACAACCCCCTTCCCTTAGAATTTCATGCTCTAATAGGCAAGATAAGAAACGTGGACCAGTATAACTAAAATGCAAGACAGAGAGTCGAGTGATATGCAGTATCAAGAACGTTGTACATAGACTAGAGAGATGGAGTTCTCAGAGGGAAGACCAGGGAAGGTCCTAAAGAAGTAGGAGCGGAACTTTGAAAGAGAGGAAGGATGTTAATAGGTAGAGCTAATAAAGGTATAGATCCAGGGTGAGCACATGACACAGAAAGATACAGGGAAGGCTTAAAGTGTGGGAAGACAGTGCATTGACACCATCAGAAGGTCAAGCCAACAGATGCTGTGTTAGGAAGCATGAGGGTTGATATATGGGCCATTTTGTGATTGTTCAGTGATACGGCTGATTTGATTCTTTGGTGTCCATCTGAAGTAGGAAATTAGCTTGGATAAATAAATAAGGAGGATATAAATTTGGCCTTAAAAGTTAGGCATAGGGGTTAAAATTTGATTGAGTTCACTATATAGAGCTATTGAAAGAGTTCTGAGCAGAGTTTTATCAGGTAGGTAGCAGTATGTAGAGTGAATTGTATTGATGAGAAAGACTGGGTAGTTCAAAGGCTATTGAAGAGTGAAAAGCATGAAGACCTGGACTAGGGTAGTAGTAGCAACAGACACCAAAAGAAGAGAGGATTAACCTGAAGTAGAAGAAATAGTGGAAGGAAGGAAGGAGGGAAATTAACAACTAAGATGCATATTTTATTTGCAAAGCATTTATTGCTTGACATTAACTGGCCAGTGTTACCCACTCTTAGAGAATAGGTATGTATATTGCTCAGGCAAGGGGCATTGTCATGTAACAGTCTGGGTGAAGAATCTTTGTTAGAGCAAGCTGATGGGGAGGGTCTTGGATGGCTTTTAGGACTGGTGAATTGACAAGTGCAGGTAGTGGTCACCATTAACGTGTACTGGGTTTGTTGGCTGTGTCCACTGGTGTGCCTAGGCCAGTGGTTCTCACCCTTCCATGCCTTGATAAATGGCAAATTCTGTTAAATTTTGAAAGTTTGTGTTAATTTTTTGCTGCTGATGTGTATTCATGTCGCCCAACAGAGTGTGAAAGAGAATCTAACCCAGCAGGTTATTCATGGCAGTGTTGGAGCAAGGCAATGATTGCTCTTAAGAAGCAAGAGGCTTAATCTCTAGGCCAGTGCCCAGAACTGCCCATTGCTGGCAGAGTTCAGGAAATGTACTTCAATAGCAGTGGCTGCTATTGGGAGTCTGGGACTGATGCAGCTTCAGGGTGATGGGACAGCATTGGCACCCCAAGGTACCCATCGGTGTAATAGTGAATGCTTAGGAATACTCTGGGCATGGTTCAGTTTAGATGTGGGTTTTTAAATTCATTCAGGTCTGCCCAAAAAAAGTCCAGTCTTTGAACATGCCCTGCAAGCAGTTGGAAAAGACCGGTCCAGCCAGCTCTTTGATAAATGCTGCAACTACATAATGGGGTGGATGAAGGTAGGGTGAAAAGAGAATGGAATTTGGAAAATGAAATCATAAGTTTGAATCCTTGCTTTGCCACTATCATTGAGACCCCAGGCAAGTTATCTCAGAAACTGAGAAATCCCAGTTTTTACAGTTTCTTTGTAAAATGAAAGTAATCATATTTACCTTTCAGGCCTAATCTGGTAACTGTAGTTAATGACTATAAAGTTCTAGGCATTGTACTCCATGAATAAAAATAATTTATTTCCTGTCTCCACTGTGGGATGACTTCAGTGCTTTATTCTTCTCTGTATTAAGCAACCACATCCCAGCTTTCGTAAAGCATGTGTTTCTCTGAACTATGGACTCCTGGAGTTTGATCTTTAAAGATTAAATAGGCTTAGAGTAGTCAGGCCAAGAAAGCAAGTGTTGGTCACTTGTGAATTATTTAAAATGGAAAAAAATAATTAGATATAAGCATCAAAATTTGCTGTTAAAAATCTATTTAAATTGTAATACATCTGAATACACAGTCATACACATTATGAAGCACCTTTAAAAAAGGCTCCACTTGCCACCCCCACCTAAAAACAGCAACAGCAAAATTTATGACTAAAATAGTCAAAGGGGATTTTGGCAGACTTTTCTATCAACTTCCACAGAAAAAGACCCATTTTCCTATTTAGAATTAGGAAGAAGAAGTTGGGAAAATGTTTTAGAGCAGCGTAGAGTCAGAAATATCATATTATAATATATTGTAGTATTGTGGAACATATTCAAGTGTAGGTAGTTTTCTTTTAATTATTAAGCATAGTTTTAAACCTGCTTACAAATGTAGCCATTTTAATTCACAGTGGGCTAAACTTGGCACAGATATTCTCTGCTCAAACACAAATGTAGTTGCTTTTTAACTGAAAAAGTTGACTTGCTCCTTTTTCAAAATTCCTAGAGATTTAAAAAAATGTATTTACTTTGTCCAGTTTTAGCTACAAGCAATGGTGTTGGCTTCTTCCCCAACCACTTCTAATTCAAGTTACTGTTTACTATATACTTTTGTTTTTAGTAAAATAGTTGATTTACAAGTCTTAAAATGGCTTCTCTCATCGCATAGTGACTGCTTTTCATAAGTATTGTTTTTGAAACCTTAATAAAGGAGCGCATGTAACATGAATATAAAAGAAAATCCTGTTGACCTTGAGGGTACTTTGCATTCTAACATTTTCAGCATCTCTATTCATGTCATGATGTAAGTCATGTTTTATTGTTTAAAAGTGTAGTTTGTCTATGTATGTGAAAAACTGCATTTATTCATACTGCCTTTGCT
This sequence comes from Homo sapiens, assembly GCF_000001405.40. Taxonomy (NCBI): domain Eukaryota; kingdom Metazoa; phylum Chordata; class Mammalia; order Primates; family Hominidae; genus Homo; species Homo sapiens. The sequence goes on along the minus strand of NC_000008.11, from coordinate 70,331,827 downwards.
GGGACTGTAACATCTTAATGATTTTATTTTGTTCACAATATGTTTGATTGCTCCTTCACTGAATATGAGATTTTTGCTTTAGAAAATTTAAATGTAAGCATTTAAAGATACAGCTTAAATGAAAATTAAAGCTTAGCTTAAAATGAAGTTGGCTAAAGTCTGACTTTTACTTTGATTTCTCTGGTCGTATGCAGTTTAATGCCAGAAAAAAAATGTAGATCTAAAATAACATCAAAATGTTAGACTTTTTAGAAGTTTCACATAAATTAATACATAGCATTAATTTTAGACATTTTAACGTAAGGAATATCTGTTACTTGTAGCTATGAACTCTTAGGCAACTGAAGAGATCTGTAAAAAGGAAAAAATCTGTAATTTAATACAGTTTTAGCAATTTAAAAATTAGCTTAAAATTTGTAGTACCATTTTATATTTCAGCAAGCTAAAATTTTGAATTAGAGTAAATTCAAGGACACATAAAAGCTGTATTAAAAATTTAAAGACTAAAATGATTACTTTTCTGATTATGTGCTATACTCTATTGTGTTGTTTTAGTTTGTTTGTTTTAGTAAGAAAGCTTTATGCTGTTGTTTCTATGTGCCAGAAATGATTAGCAGGTGACAGTTTTACTCCTGATCATTATTGTACGAGAAAGCCCAGTAAAGAATATCTTAAAAATATCATACATTTGCTATATATGTAAATGTAGAATTTGCTTTTTTTTTAATTAAAAGCTGTACCATATGAGCATTTCAGGATGTAAATAAATTCCTCCTCCATGTTAGAACTGTTTTCTTTACTGACTGTTCTTAAGTAAGTGGGAGTACGGGAGGCTTTAAAATGAATTAGCTAATTGAAAGTTCTTATTTAGGAGAGAAATATTATATATTAATTCCTTATCTATTTGCTTTGCATAGCTGCCATTTCCAGATAACTGAAGATAACCAGCTCGTAGGTGTTAGAATTGCTTTTATTTTATTTAACCACTTCAACTGGAAATTTTTTCTAAGTGTATTGCACACAGCCATACTTTTTAAGATTGCGTAAGCATAACCTGTCTTTTTCTTGTGACTCAGTAAATACTGTGCACGTTACTTTTTGTTAACTTGTGTTCAGCATTTTGCTTTTGTACTATGACATAAGACTTTTCCAAATTTTAATTTCTGGTATCTGATTTTTTTCTATGACTGCCAGCTATTGTTTTTACTAATTGACATTCATCTTTTTTTTGTTTGTTTTTTGGGGTTTTTTTTTTTTTTGAGACATGGTGTCTGTGTCACTCAGGCTGGAGTGCAGTGGCATGATTGGAGCCTACTGTAGCCTAGACCTCCTGGGCTCCAACAATCTTTCCATCTCAGCCTCCTGAGTAGCTGGGACTGCAGGTGTGTGCCACCATGCCCGGCTTATCTTTTTATTTTTTGTAGGGACAGGAGCCTCTCTATGTTGCCTGGGCTGGTCTTGAATTCCTGGCCTCAAGGGATCCCTCTGCGTTGGCCTTCCAAAGTGTTGGGATTACAGGCATGAGCCACCGTACCGAGCTCATACATTATTCCACTGTGTTCCTTATTTGAAGCAAATAAGAAACCAGATCATCATCATCATCATCATCATTATCATCATCATCATCATCATTTATTGAGTGTTTTATAATCTTCATATCCTGTGTCAAAGTCATTATTCCCATCTTGTACTGGAAAAAAAAATAGGTTTAGATAGGTTAAATAACTTAATGGAGGTAAGGCAGTTGGAAGTGGTAAGATGGAATATGACTCAGATGAGTTTTTCTATATATATAAATATGTATGTGCCTTTGTAAATACTACCCAGATGAAAACAGGATATTTATATCACTCCAGAAGGTTCCCTCTCCTGTGCTCTTTTCCATTAGTATTTCCCCAGAGATAACCGCTGTGGTGACCTTGGTCCCTATAAGATAGAGCTCTGTTCTTTGTAATTAGTTTTACCTGTTCTTGAACTTTATAAAAGTTGAATCATATAAGACGTACTTTTTTGTGTCAGGCTTCTTTGCTGTGCATTGTTGCATCCATGAGATTTCTGAATGTTGTAGTATATAGCGTTAGTGCTTTTGTTTACATTGCTTTGTAGTATTCCATTATATGAATATATTAATATTTATTTATCCTATTGATGAATACATCAACATTTGGGTCACTTTCTATTTTGGTGTTATGAATAAAGCTGCTGTGAACATTCCTATTTGTGTTTTTTGTGGACATGAGCCCTCACATCTCTTGGGTATACCCAAGATCAAAATTGCTGAGTCTTGGCTGAGGCATGTGGACTCACACCTGTAATGCTAGCATTTTGGGAGGTCCAGTTGGGAGGATGACTTGAGGCCTGGAGTTCAAGACCAGCCTGGGAGACTCCATCTCTACAAAAAATTAAAAAATAAAAAAGGTCAGAAACAGTGGCTTATGCCTGTAATTCCAGCACTTGGGGAGGCTGAGGTGGGTCGATTGCTTGAGCCCAGGAGTTTGAGACCATCCACATGGCGAACTCCCATCTCTACAAAAGGACAAAAAATAAGCCAGGTGTGGTGGCTCACGCCTGTAGTCCCAACTACTTAGGAGGCTGAGGTGGGAGGATTGCTTGAACACATTGGGGGCTACGGTGAGCTGTGATAGCACCACTGCACTCCTGGGCAGCAGAGTGAGACCCTGTCTCAAAAAAAGAAACCAGAAAACAGTAGCCAGGCATGGTGGTGTGCATCTGTGGTCCTAGCTCCTTAGATGGCTGAGGCAGGAGGATTATTTGAGCCCAGGAGTTCAGGCTGTAGTGAGCTATGATCATGCCACTGCACTCCAGCTTGGGTGACAGAGTGTGAGATCCTGTCTCTAAGAAGGAAAAAAAAATTGCTGGGTCTTGAGAATAAAGTATATTGAGCTTTAGTAGGTACTAGGTACTACCAAACAGTTTTTCAAGTGGTTGTATCAGTTTATATTCTCATCAGCAATGTTGTGGAAGTTCTAGTTGCTCTGCATCCTCATTACTTGTTGGTATTGTCCTATTTTTTCTCTTTGTTTTTAATTTTATTTATTCTGGTAAGGTATCTAGTTTGACACCAGAGAAATGCAAATGAAAAGTTATTTTTTAACATGAAAAAATATTTAATGTGAAAAATGTATTCTGTGTGTACAGATGAATAGGTGTGTACATGGTCTTGAACCTTGCTGAGTTTTTTTCCTCTTAACCTCAGTTTTTATAAGTGAGCCTTGATTGCCTGCTTAATCACTGATATTAATAGAGTTCTTCTATAACAAGGACAAGTTCAGTATTCTAGAAACCACTTGTTTAGTTTAGAATTTTATTTAAGGAAATTTATTCAAGGAATTTAAGATGGTAAATGTCTATTCAAAGAATCCAGTTTATGAATGATGTCTAGGAGACCTAGAGAGGACAAGAAAAATTGTACCCAAGAATGTCACAAACTTATTGCGTAGAAACATACAAATTGTCTTGTAGAAGAACTGAGGAAAGACCTTTACAGCTGAAAAATAATCGGTTTCTTTCACTGAAATATAGCAGGTACATATAATCTATAAGACTTAGAATTGTATTCATTCGATGGTTTACATAATCTCATAGCTATTCTGCTGAAAAGTTCTTGAATTGATTAGTTCTTGGTTTTCCAAGTTCAGTGCCATTTACAGGTCTTCAACTTTTCTGTATGTGTCTCAGGTACGCTGATTAGTCAGACGGTCTCATCTGAAACTAATGTATAATAGTGCTAAGTTGTGTAACTTGCCATACCAGTTTTACAGTGTTTTTGTTTTGCTCAAAGTAGATGAAAGGTTTATTTAAGTGTGGCCACACTGGTACTGCATTCCTGGTGATCTTGGTAAGGTTAATGACAATCTTTGTCATAGAAATCAGGAAATGTGGGTTGAGCCTCTGGGATGCATGTAGCTGGTTCGTTAAAATGCTGCTTCCCAAAGGAGTGGAGATTGTTGGAAGCTCTTGGTAGGTAATGTAGCTTTAAAAACCCATCTGTCTGTCTGTCTGTCTGTCTCTCCATCTATCTACATTCAGCTTTTTTAAAACTCTCTTAATACATCAGTGTTTAATCATAATATCTACTGTGTGATTGCTTTCTCTAGTAACATTAAAAACCGCTTTGGAAATCCAGGTCGGTTTTTTTCCTGGTTTTGTTTTAGTTGGAGTGTTTTGATTAGTAGTGATGATGGTCATATAGTGAGATTGTACTTGTACTTTAACTGGTTGACTTTTAACTACATTAATTTTGTCTGTTGGTATTCTGATTTATGCCACTGCTATTTACTTTTAGAAGGTGGATTGAAGAGTTGCTTAAAATAAATGTCTTTGAAACAGAATCAGTTAAAGCAATTAAAGCAGTTTTGGTACTCACTTAACTTTGAGGTATCCTTTGGACAATATTTGAATGGATTATATTAATGAATTTTGCAAAAATTTCAGGCTTCTCACAAATGTATAAATGTAGGCATGCATTTATGTGCAGAGAATACATACTGCATTCTTGCTTTCTGTTGAGTATGTTGTTACCAGGCACACTTTACTTAATTTGTTTCAGATATATTCCTTAATGACATTATTCAAAATGCAAATGAATACAAGGCAAGATTGTTGCTCATTTGAAGATTTGTTCATTTCAAGACTTTTCATGTGTGCCTATGTTTTAAGGAAAGTGATGACAGAAGCCGAATGTATTAATCTCCTCGAGCAAACTTCAAGAATATACTTAATCTTGAATATGAATGGAAAACTTTGAAGTTAGGCAAGGAAAGCTTAAGCAAAGGCAGTGAAGTGAGTTAGTGGCTGGTAAAGGACTACTGGGACAGGACTGAGTGAAGTTAAGATTGTCCTTAGTGTGATCTCTAGAGAAGCTAGGAGATAAGTTATGTATTAGAACCACAGTAAGGTAGCTGAGGCCTTTAATTTTTTAAAAGACTGTTTCTGCATTTTGTAAAGTTAGTGTTGAATTTAGAGACTATTTCCAATACTTCAAAGGCTAAAACTAATGAAAGCTGAATATATCTCATTACATTTTCTGTTCTTCTTTATGCATCTGGATGATCATGAATATTGAGTTACCAGTATGTCTAGGAGTGAATCTGTATAATGGTCAAGTAAACTTTGCTAGCTTTTGAGCTTGAAATCTTCAACACTGGATCACTGGAGGCCGTGACCAATGATCTCCATGATTTGTTATATATATATCATGTAAGAAATTAAAAATTTGCTATCAGTTTTCCTCATGTGAACCCCCCTTGTTTTATATTTTATGAAAGACATGTCCTCCAAATTACTTTGTTTTCTGTATAATTTTAGGAATCACAGCTGTGTGTGTGTGTGTGCATGTGTGTGTGTGTGTGTGCACGTGTGTGTGTGTGTGTGTGTGAGAGAGAGAAATGCAGAAAGGGTAGTTTTCTGTCATTTTATTTGTATTAATTTTATTGCTGTCACTATTTTGAACTAACAGTGAAATGCCTGTATCCTTTCACATGTATATGGGAGAACTTAATAAAGGTAAGAGCATATGTACTTTATATACATATATACACGGACTTATTTATGTGATGGTGACTTAATTATAAAGGGTAAGAGGATGTATACTTCATACATAGATGTACACAGACTTACAGTTTATATTACATGTAGTAGACTACTTTGAAAATAGTATTAATTGAACCATATCATGGGTACTAGGAAGAATTGACAAAAGTGTTTATATGATTAAGAACTGTAGGAGTTTTGGTGGAAGCCTATTAAACTGTAACTCAGTGTTTTTGGCTTGTCTTGCCAGTTGTGAAGAGGTGAGGAGTAGTGCAGGCTAGTTTCCTAGTGGCCTCATTTGAGCTGCCTCTGCTATTAGAATGGTAGGTGTGTCCCAGGGAGAGCAGTCAGCTACTTAGAATGTTGGTGGTAATGGCCTTCATTTGTGAGGTGATGAGGTTAGAGATGATGAAGCTTTGGCCAGAAAGATCAGAATGGCAGACCAAGTAAATGGGCCACCCATGTGAAAGATTCTGGGGGATAGCTAGATCCCATTTTAGCCTCGATAAAGAACAGACAAGATTCTTAAATGAAAAGTATAAGTGAAAACTTGCAGTTAAGATGTTATTTTCAGCCAGGCACGATAGCTCACGCCTGTAATCCCAGAACTTTGGGAGGCCAAAGTGGGCAGATTACTTGAGTCCAGGAGTTCAAGACCAGCCTGGGTGACACGGCGAAATCCCATCTTTACAAAAATTAGCTGAGTGTGGTGATGTGCACCTGTAGTCCCAGCTACTTAGGAGGATCACCTGAGCCAGAGGAGGTTGAGGCTGCAGTGTGCCGAGATTACGCCACTGTACTCCAGCCTGGGCGACAGAGTGTTTAAAAAAAAAAAAAGATGTTATGTTCTACTTTCTATTTATTAAATTAGTAGAATGAGTGAATGAGTGAGAGACTGCCCTTTGTTAATTAGATTGTGATTGAAAGAGCATTTTCAGGAACTAGTCTTTGGTATAAATTGTTACTACTTTTCTGAAAAACCACTTTGGCTTTGTATAGCAGAAGCCTTACCAGTTGAGCATATCTTTTGACCAAGGAATGCCTAGGAAATAATTATATAACCAGACGAAGATTTGTGTTCAAAGATTTCTGTCATACAGTTTCTGTAAACAGTGAAACAATGGAAACAGCACTGTTTAACAGGAAAGAAATGGTTAGGTACATGATGCCATATTCTTAAGATAGGAATAACAGTAATGGTAAGGGCAAATAGCTAAGTAGTAAATTATTATGTTTAAAGATATGGATAGTAAAAACATCTGAAAGAAATAAATTAAAAAATATTAGCTAAAATACTAAGAGAAGTTACTTCATGGGGGTAGAGATAGTGGTGAATATTTCTTCCTCTCTTTTATGCTTTTTTTCTATTTTTCAAAATTTCCAAAGTAAACATAAAAAGGAAAATTTAAAAAGATCAGAGTGAATGATAACTTCATTAAAGGGGGAAAGGTAGAACTGACTGCATTTGAAATAGTTGGTTCAGATATGAGGCCACGTTTGGAAACAGTACCTAATATCTTGTCTCTTGGAACAAGTCCCAAGGATAGCAAAATCTTCTTGGAATGAGTAAGAAAGGGTTATTAATTTTCTTTTAAAGGTTGTTGATCTATAGAGTTTATCCTATATGAGTACCTTTTTTTTTTTGGGGTTGGACACCATGGCTCGTGAGCTTTTGGGAGGCCAAGGCGGGTGGATTGCTTGAGGCAGGAGTTTGAGACCAGCCTTGACAACATAGTGAGAACCCTGTCTTTACAGAAAATAAATTAAAAATTAGCTGGGTGCAGTGGCACGTGCCTACAGTCCCAGCAACCTGGGAGGCTGAGGCAGGAGGATCACTTGCGCCCAATAAGTTTGAGATTGCAGCGAGCTTTGGTCACATCACTGCACTGCAGCCTGAGTGACAGAGCGAGACCTTGTCTCAAAAATAAACCTAAAAAAAACAAAGATATTAATACAACTTTTTTATATCCTCTGGCACCTGGTACTTGATGAGTTCATGAGGAACTAGAGAATGAATGAATGAAATTTGCACTGCATTTTGGTCACAAATTGACAAGATGTCTCCATATACTTTAGGGATTAGATAGCATATATTGATAAGATGGAGAAAATAGAGATATTTGGAGTAGAATAATCACCAGCTTACTTAGTATATTTTATCCTAACATGTGTATCCTAGGCATATACATGTCAGTCTTGAAAAATGAAGTCCTTTATTAAGACGGATTTTCAGAGGGAGAGAAAAACTAGTAGCAGAACCAGTTAAGGTGGTATGTGGGACCAGTAATGGGTAGGGGAAGGGCTGGGCCTGGGAAATGGGACCCCAGACTGTTCAGGGAAGCATGTTCATCCCCACTGAAGATTAGGACTGTCCTGGAAATACCATGTTAACCTACCATATGGTATTGGATAGTTGTGTTTGTATATACATATTATTCTTTAAATTTTGGATCTTTTTGGGAGTTCATTTTAAAAACTATTTTTTTTCTAGAAAACCAGAAAATTAGCACATAGGCTCATACCAGGTGTCAGAAAGGTTATTGGAGATAGTTGGGTAGATAGTATTTATTGAGTGAGACAATGTTATAATCATATAATCAGTAGTCTGATTTACACATCGTTTATGGTAATAAGTATCCCCAGGCAATAATCTCCCCCCCTTCAATAATTAGCAAAGGACTTAATGTATCAAATAATTATTTTTTAAAAAAATTTTGTTAAATTTCCAGATTAGGCTGTTAGCACCCTTAATATCAATGACCTTTTTGAAGTTTGCTAATTTTTTTTCCTACCTCAGATAAATCTGCTTTTCACTGTCAGCATTACTTATGTTTCATCCTGTGTTCGTGTGCTTTCTCGCTGTTGCTACATTCAACATCCAAATTGTAATTTATATTTATAACTGCCTCTCATCTAATTATATTCTTTCTCGTTTTTAAAACACAGCAAAATCAACTTTAGCTAGCCATTATACTAAAACATACTACATTTTCTTTTAAACTTCTTTTAGTTTGTTTCCTCTAGATGGTAAACTCTACTCAGGCAGGGATTATGTTTGATTATTGATGTGAATGCAACTTTTTAGAACATAGCTGCGTACTCAGTGGACTCAGTACATACTGACCAGTTGTTGAAAAATCTGATGCAGCCTCCCTAAGTGTTTAGCATAGCCAGAGTAGTTTACGTATTCGTTAAATCTGACTCAGTAATTAGCAGACCTAGTGTTTAAGTACTGGGGAAATACCTGCTTGCCTCTCACAGATGTCAAGAAAGTACCTGGTAGAAGAGTCTTACGACACAGCCTAACTTGTGTAGGACAGAAGATACCATCTGGACTTTGTAGAACCCAGAAATACAAGTCTAAAAATATCTTGATAACAAATTCTTTGAAATATTTTTGAAGGTCCTGAGCACTTCACTTTTTTGGCTATATTATTAGGAATTGTTTGATCTCTGCAATTTCAACAATGATTACAGTAATCACTGTCATTATCAAGCATTTACTATGGGCCAGACCCTTTCCTAGGTACTTTACATACAATATATTGTTCTGTTAAAAACTTAACAAGGTTTGTATTATTATTTTACAAATGAAGAAACTAAGGCCGAGGGAGGTTAACTAACTTGCCCAGGATCACACGTATGGTAAAGGCAGAAGTAAATACTTGAGATATGGTTTGTTGAGTTCTAAAACTTAGGTGAATTTTACCTCCTAATACGTCTCAAGGATGTGGGTACTGGAGGAAGAACTGTACTGAAATCCAAATATTTGGTGCTAGCTGTTTTGTATAATACTAGTAAATATTCATATTGCCCTTATGGTATTGCTTATGATCATACAATAATTGGTTCTTGCTTATATAGAAATCTACAGTTTTCTGTAGTGAATATATGTGTTACAGCAACCACAACTATTTATCTGAAATATCAGTAAATATTTATCATAGGAATGAACATATATTAAGTCTTGACAGAGCTCTCGAGGCATAATGACTTGGTTGAAAGTAGCAGATTTCAGTAAGAACCATGCCAAAAATATTAAGCTATAAGTTATTAGTGTACCTAGTTTTAATGGCAAACATGATGATTTTCTTAGTGCCATATGATGAAATAAATAACTTACTAGAAGTTTGTAGACAGGTTTTTTTTTCCCCCTCTGGAGACAGAGTCATGCTTTGTTGCCCAGGCTGGAGTGCAATGGCATAATTTTGGCTCACTGCAACCTCTGCCTCCCAGGTTCAAGCAATTCTCCTGCCTCAGCCTCCCACGTACCTGGGATTACCATGCCTGGCTAATTTTTGTATTTTTAGTAGAGATGAGGTTTCACCATGTTTGCCTGGCTGGTCTCGAACTCCTGACCTCAGGTGATCCCCCCGCCTGGGCCTCCCAAAGTGCTGGGATTACAGGCCACCTCACCTAGGCTAGATAGTTTTATTCACTTGGCTGTTTCACCAAAAAAAAAAAAAAAAAAAAAAAAAAAAGGTATATTCTGAAACTTAGGAAAGCATTACCTAAGAATCAAGTTTATAAATAAAATATATTCTTGATGAAGGAAAAAAGCAAAGCATTTCTGATATATTAGAAATTTCAAACCTCATAGGAAAGAATGCTGTTTTGCTTCTTGTGTGGCGAAGGGTGTCTTAGTAAGTCTACTTCCTCTGTGAGAAAGAAAATGGATGTGCACAGCCTGCCTGGTACCTACTGAAATCTCCTTTGGATAAATAATTTCTTTTTCAAAAATTTTAATTTTGTAAATTGGCAATTTGTAATTACATACTTATGGGTTACAAAGTGATGTTATATTTTATGAATATTGGCTGGGCATGGAAGCTCATGCCTGTAATCCCAGCACTTTGAGAGGCTGAGGCAGGTGGAGTGCTGGAGCTCAGGGGTTCAAGATTAGCCTGGGCAACATGGTGAAACCCTATCTCTACAAAAAAAAAAACAAAGTGATGTTATATTTTATGAATATAATGTGGAATAATTAAATCAAGCTAATTAACATATCCCTCATTTTGAAAACTTTATGTGGTGAGAACATTTGAAATTTAAGAATTTTGATGTGTATAATACACTGTTGTTAACTATACTTTCCATGCTGTACAATAGATCTCAAAATGCAAAACAATAGAAAACCCATTGAGGCTTTCCAGGGGCCTAGAAGAAAATCCCAAAGTTAATTTGGAGCTCAGAAAGTTAATTTAGAATTTGATTTTGGGAAGCTTGTCAAAATTATTGAAGGTTTAAAACACTTGATCAAAATAGGATCACAGGTCACTGCGAAATAGTAGTCATTCATTTAATCAGTGTGATAATAAAAGGATTTCAAAAGGCAAATACAGAAAGTTATATATTTGTAGATAAAACCTTAGTTCTTTAATAGAGATAACTCATAACACTTACTAAAGACAATATGCACAGTGAATCATACTGATAAAACACAGAATCCTTGTTTTCGAGACCAGTTACCTAAAAGATAAAAACCTTTCATTATTTTTTATTAAGAGCAGATCAATACTCCTCCAAGAAAACCTTTTTTTTAACAGAGTATCAGATTACCTGTTTTGTGTTAGTGTATTTTGATATATATGCTCAGTTTTTAGAAAAACTTTTAATTTCCTTGCAATTTTAGCCAGTTTGATTGCATGTAAAATTTCTTTTGCAAGTTTCATTTTCCACAAACCTTTTACAACCCTTCTTATAGCCTATGCTTTTTATTCATATTGGAACAACCAGTCACTCTAGGACAAAAATTACTATCTTTTTCTCTTAATAAAACCATATCTTTCATGTAAGCCTGACTTACCAAAAAACCACATTCCTTTCCTTGCATAAAGAGTTTTTTCTCTTATTTCTAGTTTTAATTATCATATAGTAGAGTTTTTAACTTAGTGATTTTAATTTATAGAGAAAACTGAGGAAGTAATAAGCAGTTGTGAGCTGTTGTGTATCAGCATTTTGTAGATGAGCACTGTTTCAAAATTTTTAGAACACTTTTTCTCATAATGTAGTTTCTTCATGTTTTTTTTAACAGACCCAGATATATAGCTTCCATATAAAAACAAGATGTCAAAATACATATACTTTAAACTTGTATTCAGCAATTAATGTTTCAGCATTTTAACTTACATAGAAATGAGGCAGACATTTCATGAATATCTATTTAAGATTTCACGTTACTGCAAAGGAATTTTAAAATTTTGAAAAGTGAATTTATAAACATTTATACTATTCACATTCACCTAATTTATTCATTCTTAATAGTTATGTTTGAATTGCTCATGGAAAACAAGGCTACCCATCATCATATTTTTTGACAAATCGGACAGTTAAAAATATCACAGAAGCAAAGAAACCAATAACTTAAACTTGGTTTTTCCCTCTTCCTTTTACCTCCATGTCTGACATGTATCAAGCAATTTATTTTCATGAGTATTCTGCAATAAGCTTGGATTTATAGTTTTAAGGTCTTAAATATCTAGGAGATAACAAGCCTGTTTGACTAGTAAAACTAGGTTTAAAGAAAGTATGCTTGCATTATAATTGATGTTAGCAATTCCAAAAACATTTTTAACAATAATTTTAAAACTAGCTTTATTTACCAAAGATTATCTCAGATCACCTGAAGTAAAAGACATTAGTTTCTGTTTTCTGAGAGAATATTTATTTAAGCATCACTTTTTAAAAGCCAGCTAAATAGAGCTTTTATTTATTTATTTATTTATTTATTTATTTTTGAGACAGGGTCTCTGTTGCCTATGCTAGTGTGCAGTGGTGTCATCACGGCTCACTGTAACCTCCACGTCCTGGGCTCAGGTGATCCTCCCACCTCAGCCTCCCAAGTAGCTGAGACCATGGTCCTACACCACCATGCCTGGCAAATTTTTGTATTTTTTGTAGAGTCAGGGTTTCACTATGTTGCTCAGGCTGGTGTCGAACCCTTGGGCTCAAGCGACCTGCCCACCTCAGCCTCCTAAAGCATTGGGATTACAGGTGTTAGCCACCATGCCTGGCCTAAATAGAGCTCTTTATAAATTTCAGAAACATCATCCAAGGTATATAACATGCATAATAGACATACACAAATGTACAGATGCCAGTTTCCCAATAGTTTCTCTCCCTGTTTCAGATTATCCGTCTTTCCCGTTTCATTGCTCTAGTCAGTTGTTAGCTAGGCAACCCTAAATTTGTACTTGGAAAGGCGTGAATGTTAATGTGGAAAGTTTACTTCTCAAAGGCACTGGGAAAAAATGGAAGTTTTTTTCAAGAAAGAGCTTAGGGCGTATTGCCTTTTGTCAGAGGTCAATGGTATAGAGACTGTGGACTAAAATTTAGGTCTGAATATCTCCAGAGCTCATCTGGGTGGACAAAACACCCATTTTCTGCTAAAACTGGATACAGTGTATTTTCCTATGACTTGGTCTTGAGATTTCTGCCTGGGGAGTGGCTGTAAACTGTAGTCCTGCCCTGATGGGCCTATTGAGATAGCCCCTCCTTCTTTTTTTTTCTTTTGAGACAGGGTCTCCCTCTGTCACCCAGTCTGGAGGGCAGTGGTGATTACAGCTAACGGCAGCCTCAACCTCCTGGGCTCAAATGATCCTCCCACAGCCTCCCGAGTAGCTGGGACTACAGGCAGGCGCCACTAAGCCCAGCTAATTTTTTTGGTATTTGTTGTAGAGATGGGATTTTGCCTAGTTGCCTAGGCTCACCTCAAACTCCTGGGCTTAAGTGATCTGCCCTCCTTGCCTCCCAAAGTGCTGGGATTACAGGCATGAGCCACCATGCCTGGCCAGCCACTTTTTAAGAGCACTGAGCAGGAGGAGAATTAGGTTCAGGTGTGTCAGTTAGGGAGCCACAGAGGAGGATTCAAAAGATATGCTGAGGCAACAAAAAGCCATAGGAATTCACTGCAGAATTTTACAAGGAAGTACACAGATGAGCCTAGGAGAACATTCAGAAGCCTATTCAAAATAACCGCCTGAATGCCAGAAAGGCGTATTTTGGAAACAAATTTTGTTAGGTGGCTTTTCAGTTTAGCTTCTGTTTCTTCACTGGCTTATTGAGTTCCAGGTGGGGCACATTAACAAATAGGGCTGATTAAGCATTATGACTGCACTCAGCATGGAAAGCTCTGAAAAAGAAGCAAACCGGCTTGACCTGAGGGCCTAACTTTTATAAGACTTTCCCAATGTTCCTTTGTTTTTGTGGTGAGGTAGTAACTAAGTGAAATGGCCTGCAACTTGAATTTTTTTGTCAACTAGTTTTAAGTGTTTCATTTTCCTTTTGTAAAGTGTCTTAAAAGTGGCAATAAACAATTTTTTTTGAAAACTTCATTTTTTTTTGTTTTTTAGAGACAGGGTCTCACTCTGTCACCCAGGCTGGAATACAGTGACATGATCGTAGCTCACTGCAGCCTCGAATTCCTGGCCTCAAGCAGTCCTCCTGCCTTGGCCTCCCAAAGTGTTTAGATTACAGGTATGAGCCACTGTGCTGGCCTGAAATCTTTTTAGAAGCTTCTACATACCAATAGATGCCCCTGGGTTGGCCTGAATTAGGACTCCTTATTTTTAAATGGACTTCTTAAAGTGCAGTGCTGTTTATCTGAAATGCTCCATGTAATGGCCATTGTAATTCTAAATTATCTTTGTTGTGATTTTGCCATTTTTGCCAGTATTTTGTAGCTTCTGGGACCTAACACTTACTCATATAAAAGACAGGTTTATCCAGAAGGTGGAGTACTTAGTTCTTTAGAAATTAAGGATCTCATTTTTTATGTTGAATATTGGATCTCTCAAATCTGAGGTAAAAGCCTAAGAGGGAAATGCCACAGTGTTGGGTTGTGCAATGCTTTTGGTGTGCCTTCTTGTGCAGATACTTCCTGAAGGTGGTGGCACTGCTGTGTTTTGTGTCCAGTTTATCCTCTCACGACAGTCTTATTTTTTCATGTCTGGTTAATCTAACAGCTCTTAAGTGCTTGAACCAGGTCCACCAGTCAAGTTGTGACTTTTGGCACTGGGATCCCCTTGACTGACTAGCCAGTGATTTCCCCCTACCAAAGCACACAAGAAAAAGAAACAAAGAGGATAGAATCCAAATCTTTGTGAATTCTGAAACCTGGAGATCACACCCTCTGCAATCATAGCCACTCATTGCAACCGCGGTACATTGCCTTTAAAACTGTAGCTCTTGCTAGCCACTGCAAACCCCAAGAGTTCATGTGCTCTCTTATAGCACAAACTAACCCTGAGTTCAAAAGCCAAAACTATCCAGGGGCTCCACGCAGAGATCAGAGTCTGAACCGTGAGGAACTTACAACCTTCCGAACAGTGTGAGGAAGACAGGGGACTTTAAAAGAGGTGGGCAACACCTCTCCTGCATTCCCCATGGGTCTCGGGCGTCATCAGCAGTGTTTTTCAGGTCCCACTGTTGGACACCAGAACTACCAAAAGACAAAATTACAAGAAGTTTAGTTATAGATTTGATTGGCTTTTATTTTATTTAACATCAGGTTACTTCGGTTACTTTCTGGTAAGGGTTAAAGCACAGGGGACTTCCTTATTACACTGGCTCAGGAAGACTGTAATCTCCCATTTTCAGAAAAAAACTGATCTGTTTTGGGATCTATCTCCTACCTTGAAGTTTCCGTTTGGTTATGTGGCATAGCATGAGTAATTCCAGTTTGGTTTGGTCTGGTCTGTTGGGACCTAGTGTAGGAGCTCAGTCCAAAACAACGGCCTCCCATAATTTTTGTTTAACAATACCCAGAAGTGGGATTGCTGGATCTGAATGAGTAATTTCTTGAATGATCTGGAAACAAAACCAGAGTGCTGTTTTAGAGAGTTCTATCGGGATTGAGATGAAGTGTTTGGCATTTGTGTAGGAAGGTGTCTGGCTTCTTGGAGTTGGTTGAGGTAGTATCATGAGGGACACTCCCAGGACTTGGTAAAAACATAGTGCCTTTAAAACAGCTCATTGAACAAGTTTGAGCCCTCATAAACCAGTTCAGTCTCCAAATCTAATAAGACTTTGCTTTCAGCCATATGGTGCTTTGACTCGAGAGGAAACGAGACTCTTAATGTTCACACAAACATAGTTTATTTACTGAGAGCAGATTTTTCATCTAGGCATACCCTCTGTATTGTTTCTGAAGGTGATGCTGCATTTTCCTTACCTTATGCATCGTGCGGATGACTCTCCCTAGAAAGCATGTACTGCAGTACTTCAGCTGTTTCATCATTAATGGAAGAGGCTCACATTCAAAGCAGTGTTCCTTTAGGAATTTTCTTTAGAAGTTCCGTCATCTATTAATTCCTGCCTACCATAATATTATACCCCAGCAGGGCAGTGTTTCATTGGAATCAGATTAGGGCTCAATTCAGTCCTCAGCCCTCCTGATTTCTCTATCTTGGTTCCTCTCTGGAAGGCTCTCAGGGCCGCCAGCCGTGTGGCCTGTTTGAAAGCATTAGGTTGTGGATGAGGCTTGTGGCAGGAATGTGGGTTTGCTATTAGTGTTGCAAAATCACTTCTTATAGAGAATGGTGCCTTCCTCCTGCCTCCTGCAGTCTGGTTTTAGATTATTTTTCTTGTGGTTTTGGTTTGTGAGTGTGTCCTCATGGCTTTCTTTTCCTTTATTCCTTTTCCCTTTGTTAACACAGATAGGGAAGAAAAGAATAAGCAAGAGATACTTCTGTATTTGTTTATAGTGTCAAGTTTTATAGGCGACTTCCCCTTTGTCTTGTGTAGTATAAGGTCAGGGTAGTTAAAATGTTTGGAATCATTTAACTTACTTTCCCAGTAATGCTTTTATTGTTTTGGTATTAAATATAAGTATTAATAATATGGTTATAATTTAGAAGGCGTGGACATGAAAGAATCTATCCATAATGGCGTCATCCATACACAACCACTTTTAGTGTTTTAATGTATTTTCTTTTGGGTCTCTAAGAGGTTATTCTGTTTGTTTTGTTTTTTAAGTGTTTTTGCTGGAAATGAAATTTCATAGGTTGGAATTTTACCTCATTTTCTCAATTCTTTCTTTTTCTTAGAGGTGTTGAATGCCCAAAAAGACACCTGAAAGAAAAGAGGAAGAAATCAAACATAGAATGACTTTTGTATCATCAGCATCATCAACAAGCTAGATGATCATCCCTTTATAATCAGTGTCAAGTATCTTACTTGATTTCTGTAAGACATAGGCAAAAAGTGATTGTGAGGCACAGTGCATTGCCTTCCTTAGCTCGTCAAAACTTCTTTACCTTCCAGTATTTTATTGAACATGTTGGAGATTTAGGACACTCAAATAAATGAAAAGGCTCAGATATGTAGGAGTGAGTGGTATCAACCCACATCAGCGTTTATCATTTCTGCCTTCCTGCTAGATAAAATGAATAAGTTCAATGAAATGTCTACTAGAAAGCATTGATTACATAGCACACTTGCGTTTCTCTTGTAGGCCTTAGGAAACATGGTTCAATTCTCAATTCATTATATAACTGAGAAAGACAACAGTCTTGTTCACACATACAATAATACAGTTTTAATATTCTAAAAAAGCATAGCAGTTGCTGAAAAACAATTTTGGAATGCTTAAATAACAATCCTTTTCATTATTTTTTAAATTATATTTTACATTTAGGAAATGAATGCTGCTTGGTTTCATATTTAAAAAACATTTCAAAACCCTCACTTTTCAATGTTTCAGGGATTTTGTTCTAGTTTAACAATCTGCAGAGTGTAAATTTCTTGTTATATCCATCATACAGGCTTATTACATCATGGAATTTAGGCACTGGAGATGGTAGTTCAATTTTTTTAATGTGACCTTCCAAAATATGCTGTTTGTTATTGTTTTTGTAAGTAGTTTAGACATAATTCCTTAATCTAGCATTTGGAGTCTAAACTCACTTGCAGAGAGGTCACTTTATATAATTTTAGTCCATAGATAGAAATAGGATAATATAGGTTGGTGAAGCATACTGTACTTTGATGCCTTTATGAGTCTTTGTGGCATTCTGTACTTTATTTTAAAATATGACTTACTCATTTATTTGTGGACATGACAGTTGCTTTTTTTTTTTTTTTTTTTTTTTTTTTTGGAGTCAGAGTCTTGCTCTGTCGCCCAGGCTGGAGTGCAGTGGCGTGATCTCGGCTCACTGCAAGCTCTGCCTCCCAGGTTCACACCATTCTCCTACCTCAGCCTCCCGAGTAGCTGGGACTATAGGCGTCCGCCATCATGCCAAGCTAATTTTTTGTATATATATATATATTTTTTAGTAGGGATGGGGTTTCACCGTAGCCAGGATGGTCTTCATCTCCTGACCTCATGATCCGCCCTCCTCAGCCTCCCAAAGTGCTGGGATTACAGGCGTGAGCCGCCTTGCCCGGCCAGCAGTTGTTTTTGAAGTTTACTTTCTGTTTATGGCCTGGTTAACAGATCACCTTCTGAATTATAAAATGGATATAATAGGGGGATGGTGGAGGAAGTG
This sequence comes from Homo sapiens, assembly GCF_000001405.40. Classification (NCBI taxonomy): domain Eukaryota; kingdom Metazoa; phylum Chordata; class Mammalia; order Primates; family Hominidae; genus Homo; species Homo sapiens. The sequence continues at coordinate 70,313,789 of NC_000008.11, read as the reverse complement.
GGGAGAAACTTGTATAAACATTTTAAGGATTAGGAAGTGACTGAAATATCTAAAATCTTTTAGCCAACACTGAGTACTTCTATTCCTAAAAATTTTTTCGTGTGTGTACCTTAAAAGTAAATATATAACTTACTCTGTTGTTAATTCTTCCAGTTTTAAACAGAAATTTGATTTGTGAATTACAGAAGCATAACATTTCATATATATGAGGTGAAGGGTGAGGTTTGAGACTAGAGCCCACAATTTCTTATTTTCTCAAAATAACTCTTTTCAGCTTCCCGAGTTACCACTATTACCAGTGACAAGTCATACCTCTTTGCCTGAAGTGGTAAGTTATACCACTTCTAAAATACCATTACTAAAAACAGCTTATTTCTAAGCTGCCTTACATTTTCAAAAGCATTTGAAAGTATTTTTGGACTTGCTAAACATTATTAGTTAGAAGTAAAAAGAAACTTGTTTGGTTATTAGGGAACTCATCGTTGCCTAGAGGAAGGGTTAGAAATGCCTAATCCCTTTGGGAATAAATAGATATATCTAGTGTTATAAAATCATGAGCACAAGATAAATTCAGATTAGCTAATTAGCCTTTGCCTCATCATTTGCTATTTTATAAATAGGGCAAAACCACACTTATATTAATAGTTACTTCCATGTTACAAGTAGGTTAATGGGCTCAGTGATTAAGTAATTTATCTTCCCCTTTACCTGTAAATGTTTGTTCCCAATTTTAGATACAGATCTCTGTAATAGTTTAAGATGGATTCAAATGTTATTTCTCTGATGTACATTTTCCCCCAATTACCTGTCTTTGCTAATATGTATTTAAAGTATACATTTCATCTGAATTGAAGTCTCCCCAGATTTTTCAGTATTAGTTCTGGGTATGTGATTTAGCTAAGAAGGAGACCTTTTAATATGATGTCATGTCATTTGTGTCACGAGAGTACACTTTAAGATTACGAGAAGATTTTTTACCATAGTTCTCTATTCCAAGTTGCTGTTGATTACGAAGTACGATATTGGGTCAACAGCTTTTCAGGAAATGAAAAAAGGGACACTGTCGTGTTAAATGTACAAATAGTAAGATAATTTACCTTTTCAGAAAAGATGAAAATGTGGATGTTAGAGAAATAAGGAAAAATTATAATAATTTTGTTTTTTATTTAGGAAATGATCATCTTTTAAAAATACACAGAAGTGTTTTCCAAGATGATTTTGTTCATTGGAACAAAAGTGCTTTAGAATGACCGTTGGTATTTTATAAAAAGTCTGAAGTATATATCAGTCAGCAAATTTGTGAAATGCTAGATTAAACTAAAGACCTTATGTGCATTATTAATCTACAAATATTCCAAATCTTAATTTCATACAGACCCCCTTTTTCCCCAAGAAAGATACATTGATTTAGGAAATCCTGATAGATGGTAATATTTTGATAATGTGTTAAGCCACTGGGATTTTCTTGTTCCAGGAGTCTTGAAAATAATTTTGAGATATAAAGGCCTAAAATTGTACTGTTTTAGGGAATTTAAGACTATGACATTGGATTTAAAGAAACAGTATATTCATTTAAAAATAAACACCATTTTTTCCCCTTCCTTGTAGTTCTTGTGAATTTAAAAGTGGCTTGTTTCTGGAAATCTCTTGCGTGAGCACTGAGCTAGAGTCAGAAGATCTGATTTCCAGGTTTTTCTTGGCTAAGTGACTTTAATCAAACCATGTCACCTCACTCAGCCTCCCTTTAGGCATTTTCCTAATGCACATCAAAATTACAGGGTCAACATACCTCACAGAGTTGTTGTAAAGATAAAATAAGAAAGTAGTCTATCTCTAGGCATTTGAAACTTGTAAAGTGTTTAGTGCAAGATTAAGGAAATAATTGCACCTTAAGCAAATAGAAGATGTGGATGCCTTAAAACCTTGTTTAGACTAATGGCTCTTTATTTGAGGATGGTAGAATTTTTTTAGTCCTAAACAGGATTTAGGGACAATTGTGCCACTCTCTCCTTTTGTCACTGAGGAAACTGAGGACTAGAAATGTTAAGTGATTGGCCTTGGGTCTCACAGAGATCCAGGAAGATGGCCAGGTCTTCTGACGCATGTTCTGATGCCATGGCCAGTCTCTAGACCAGTCTAGAAGAGAACAATGAGCTGTCTGTTAAGTAAGACATTCTTCAATATCTTCTTCCCAGATATTGCAACTTTTTATAATGGAATGTTGGTATTGTTATTTTAAAGATCCTGATGATGTTCTTGTGCAGTACACTGTTACGACTTTTATACTGTGTTTTGGGTAAAAAATTAATAAGTTGCTTTTTAGCAGTGATAATTTTTTTCTTTTTTGCATCATATTTTAAAAAAGAAATTCTGACAAATTACTATGTAATGTGCTAAAACTGAAATTATGAGAGAAAAGAAAATACAAGTTAGTTTATAATTCTGTTACTGCTTCATTGTCATCTGTGCGATACTGACATTTAGAGCACATAGCACTTGTTACCACTTTCCCCCACCCTATTCCTTTTAAAATATTTTCAAGAGAAAATGAAAAGGGCAGGTATGTTTCTTTGTGACCTCTTTTGAAAACATTTTTTTTCTTTGCCTCAAATATTACTGGGATAAAAAAATAGGATTGCTTATTTTTCTTGGACACACTTAAAAAAAAACTAGGAAATAAATGTATTATCAGTCAACAGACAATTGCTGAGAATCTACTACCGAGACATTGTGCTAGGTGCTAATGATTTTAAGACATACTACGGTCTTTTGCCTAAGAGACCATAAACATAGTTATTTACTGTGTTGTTCTTTTACAATGTGATATCAGACATTTTCTTTTATTTAAAAATACCATGTAGAATAATTTTCTCTATTTGTGTTCTTTTTGGCATTGTATGAAATTTGAATAGAGAAATGCTACAAATAGAAAGGTGTGAATAATTTTAGAGCCCTGAGGATGATATTATGAAAGGTTAAATTGTCTATGCTTTAATAAAAGGAGCAGTTAAAAATTATTTTAGTCACTGGAATAGTGAGTGTGTTTGTTTGAATTGTAGCACACCTAGACAGAAATAAATCTTGTTAAAACAACAGCTTACTACTGACCTTACTTGCTTTGCCCATTTTAGGCCCTAGAATCTTGACTATAGTAAAATAGAAGAGGTCTACTATGTACATTTGTAAGTGTATCTTTAAAAGATATTTTAACCTGATACTTTATGAAGAAAAAATAAAAAGAATTCATTACGCATGCCTTGAATTTATGGTCTGAAATCAGAACCCAAACATTTTATTATATACTATAGTTAACTAAAGTGTGTTTAGATACTACAAACTACAAATAACTTTTTGTGGGATTTTGATTCAATCTTCACTTCCTTCTCATAGAGGAACTCAAACTCTCGGTCACTCTATGAGATTTTTTTTTTTTTTTTTTTTTTGGGAAGACAGAGTCTTGCTCTGTCACCCAGGCTGGAGTGCAGTGGTGTGATCTTGGCTCACTGCAACCTCTGCCTCCTAGATTCAAGCAATTCTTGTGCTTCAGCCTCCCAAGAAGCTGGGATTACAGGCACCCCCCGCACCATACCTAGCTAATTTTTGTATTTTTAGGAGAGACGGAGTTTCACCATCTTGGCCCCTTGCTGGTCTTGCTGGTCTCGAACTCCCGGCCTCAAGCAGTCCTCCCTCCTTGGCCTCCCAAAGTGCTGGGTTACAGGTATGAGCCACTGCGCCTGGCCTGTGTTTTGATTTGATCTGAATTGTTGGTTATGTCCATAAAAAGCTAGCTATTTTTTGTTTGGTTTCGTTTTTTTGTTTGTTTGTTTGTTTGTTTTCGAGACAGGGTCTTGCTCTGTCTCCATGCTGGAGTGCAATGGCGTGATCACTGCTCACTGCATCCTCAATCTCCTGGGCTCAAACGATCCTCCTGCCTCAGCCTCCTGAGTAGCTGGTACCACAGATGTGCACCACCACACTCAGCTAATTTCTTGTTTATTTCTGGTAGAGATGGTGTCTCACTATGTTGCCCATGCTGGTCTGGAACTCCTAGGTTCAAGCAATCCTCCCATGTCGACCTCCCAAAGTGTTGGGATTACAGGTGCTTGCTACTGCGCTTGGCCAAGGCTAGCAATTTTTGTGGGGAAAAAAAAAATTTAAGTACTGTATATAGAAAGATACCACTATGATACATAATGTTTTCTTGTAAGTTCCTTGAAGGTAGGACTTTTTTTGTTTTTTTAAACCATTATATTCCCAGAGCCTTTATATATCCCTGTTTATATATCCCTTGTATATAAATCTTTGTTGGGTAAATGAATTAATTAATTTTTATTTATCCTTAAGCATCGTAATCCTTTTTTGTGTTTGTTGCCATTCTGGTTTCCAGCTTGTCTGCCCGAGATGTTTCTTTTTTTTTTTTTAAGTCCTTATTACTATTTATGAAAGGCGATTCATTTTTGTTCTGGTGATCTATCTATTGTTTAAAACAATAATTTATTATTAATATAGCTCATAATTCTGTGGGTTAGGAATTTGGACAGGGCACAATAGGGATGGTTTGTCTCTTCTGTATCTGGAGTCTTAGTTGGGAAGACCAGGAACTGTCAGGGGCTATAATAGATGGGGCCTGGCTGGGCATTTAATTCTCTTTTTTCATATGGCTTTTCCACATGGCCAGCTTGGGCTTCTTCATAGTATGGCAGCCTCAAGGCAGTCATACATACGTAGCAGCTCAGAATGCTAAGATCGAGGGTTTCAGGAGTCCCAGGCTGAAGCATCAAGGCTCAGAAGTCCCAAAATACTGCTGCTGCTATATTCTCTTGGTCAAGCCAGTCATTAAGGCAACCCCAGCTTCAGGGGAAGGGCGGTTACACTTCAGTTCTCAATGAGAGTAGCAGCAAAGAGTTTATTGCTGTCTTTAATCTTTCACAGTTTCTGTTCAGAGTTTTTGTTGTCTTGTCATTATTATTAACACTATTAGGCTGTGGTTTATTCTAGGATGTCTAGCAAAATAACTATTTCCAAGTGTTTAGATATCAAATGGTAATAGCTCCTCTTTTCTCTCCATGCTGTAGTTTGTGGCCTGACTGCCTAGAGTGCTCTTTGTCCTAGATGGGCTAGAAAGAGGGGTGTTAGATTCCTTTTGATAGAAATAAGAACTTCCCAATTGGGAGTTCATGCTACAAATGAATTTCCCCCATGGAATAGAAATTCCCAGAGGAGAATACCTGTAACTATGTATCTATATCTATTTGTATGTGTTTGTATATACATGTTTTATATATATATATATTTATACACACACACACATATATGTGTATGTATAAATACACTCACAGATACACACACACACACCTCATTTCATAGTAGATAACTTGTAGGCCAGTAGTACCCAGATTATGATTTCATGTTTCTATTTAAAAATTTTTCCCAAATCTGCAAACTGGCATAGGAGTGCCACAATTTCAATTTTGTCAAGTCATTATATGAAAATGAAAATGACCACTTACTAGCATCACCATTTCAGAAAATAAAAGGAAAATTTAGCCCCATGAAACAGTAAGCTCATAATCTATAATAAAGTCAGATTCTTCACATTTACTGAAATTTAGCTTTATAAAAAAGGATTACATTTTTTCTTTTAGTTTTAAAAGACTTTGTTCTTTAGTTACAGTTCAGAGACATATTTTGGGTACCACTGGTAGGACCTTTGATTTGTCAGTGAAATTTTTGGTAAACAAAACATGTACATGAATGATTCTTAAAATCTACATTTTATGGCCATATTTATTATGTAAATAATTGGGAATGTTAACTTGGTTAATGGCTCCTATGAAAAGCAGCCAGTTTAGTATGTTACTAGATTCCTTTTCAATACAGAAGATTTTAGTTTAATTAAGACCTATAAAACAAAAATAGATTTACTAACTAAATATAAACAAAACTACCAAATCGATAAGATTTAAATTAGCACTACCATGCAAGCGTATTTGGCTGTAACAAAATTGCTGTGTATAATCTGCTGAGCTCAGGTTACATTGAGTTCAGCATGTACTGCTAGTAGCTGTGTGAAGATGTTTCAAATACTCCACATGAATTTTCTTTACTGAATTCATAGAAAACTTTCCCTCTCAAGATTTGACTTCAAAGAAATTAAAATACTCATCTTTAACACGAATGTAAGCACAAATGGAAGTCCTGAAATTAAATGGCAATAAGTTATCAGTTATATAATGGTCGTCCACATGATTTAGCATATCCATATGTTAAGTAATTTCAGATTTTCATCAAAATGAAAGCATGAAATTAGAAAATTTCATGGATGTTTTATGGACATTTATATACATTCTTGGTCTCTGGGACCCCCAGTTTGAAGAAAAATTTAGCCACAATAGATTGTTTTCCTAGCTGTCTCCCACCTTAGGTTTCAGAATTGTCTTCTTTTCTAATGAAATTCCTTGTGTCAAGTAAAGTTCTCATTTTGTCACAGCCTTAAATTTTTTTTTCTTCACTGTCTTTTATCCTGCAATATTGTATTATTTCTTCTATTTTTTTTTTTTTTTTTTTTTGCTTATGTAGGTACAACAGCCAATAACTGAATAATCTTGTTAGTGAAACCTTTTTGGGTAACTCATTGTTAAGTTGGTGCTTGTGACTGCTGTGTAAGGCTGGCTTTTAGAAAGTATCTTCTTGATATCAAATCCTTTTCTTTGAGGGAATAAGGAGTTGGGTAGAGCAAGAATTGCAGAGAAGGGAGCCTGGCAGAAGAAGCAGTAATAGAAGCAACCTGGGAGAGTGGAGGCCTTGAATTCAGAACGACCTGGATTCAGTTGGTATTTCTTCCTCTTGCTTTAACTTGAGTAAATTGCTTAACTTCTCTTAGTTTCCTCATCTGTAAAATGGATTTTTAAGAGACATGGTCTTGCTCTGTCACCCAGGCTGGAGTGTGATGGCACAAACATAGCTCACTGCAGCTTCAACCTCCCAGGCTCAAGCAATCCTCCAGCCTCAGCCCCTCAAGTAGCTGGGACTGCAGGCACGCGCCACCACACCTGGCTAATTTTTGTATTTTTTGTAGAGACGACGTTTCGCCTTGTTGCCCAGGCTCATCTTGAGCTCCTGAGTTCAATAATCCTCCCACCTCAGCCTCCCGAAGTGCTGGGATTACAGACATAAGCCACTGAGCCCGACCAGCATGTAAAATTTATAGCAGGGGAACTGGCATCTGTTTCATAACAAAAGGTAGCTCCTGTTATTCTGTATGCTTAGGGTGTTGGAATGCTCATCTCAAGATCTATCCAGTTTTATTTATGTTTTGTATGTTAGATATTTTATCAATAAATTCTAGCTTCACAACTAAGTTAGAAGGCCCTTTCACACCTTTTCATGTACATAGTGCCCTTCTGTGACGTGGAGGTTGAATAGCAATTGGTTAAGATAGGATAGTGAGGCCCAAGTTTTAATGATATATTTGTTCCTGGGTTCATAGAAACTCTGTTAGTCATGAGGACTGGGAGAAGTCCTGTCATCAGTAGAGGTACTAATCTCTTTGAGCCCCAGATTTCCATCTGTGAAACTCAGTAGTTGAAACGTGATTTCTAAGTTTGCTCTAGATCTCAATTTTTTCCCGAAATGGTACTGTTGCCATAGGATCCAGTTTTCTCCAGTATTCCTCAATGTTTTTGTTAGAACCTAGGCACCTAGTAAAATGAAAAATCCCATTTTTAGTTTTTTAGGAGGACAAAAAACTCTATATAGTCTCACACAGTAGGGCCACATTTCTAATGAAATCTGTTTTCTGATAACATTTCTTCTGAGTGACATTTGGATCCATGGGATGACTCAGTAAAATACAGAAAGTTGATTAAAATGTGGCTAGGTACTAACTACTCCACAGGTAAAGTTCTTCACTGTCCTACACAGTGAGTTGCAAAGCTTTTCTCTTAGTCTGGTGCTAGCTTTTGGAATACTACATTCTTTCTACAACTCTGTAAAATATTGACATACTTAATCGCATAATACATAATTATAATTTGAGTCAAAGAAAATAAACTTATTTTTGTTTGATTAAAACATTATGGCTATGAATACCTATTATACACACTTGTGAGCTGTTTTCAATTTTTTTTCTGTTTAAAATACTGTTCATTTGGTGCTTGCTATCCTTTGTTTTGGTGGGTCGGTGCTGCCTAGCAGGCAGGCAGAGCAGTAAAAATACAGGTCCTGTGCTCGGGCAGTCCTGGGTTTGACATCCGGGTCCGTTTTAAGTTTTTTGACTTTAGATAAATTGTGTTACCTTACTGTCTTCCTTTTTAAGGAGACACCTCCTCTCTTGCCCTCGTACATGCTTTGTGTGCATTTTAAAAAATTAATGTTCTCTTTATTGTATTGAAATAATGATTATATCTTAATGCGGTCATGTTGTGTTGATAGATTTGACCTCTCTGTAGGAGATGAGAATTGACAGTGACCATCATTTGGGGAAGGGTGCCTTTGGTGGCAAGTTTGTGCTGGTTCCTCTGAGGCTGTCTTTGAGGGTACTTTAGGTGTTGGAAGTTAAAGACTGCCGCTGCCCTTTGTAGTTACATATATAATGTTAATGTTGGCTGGGGTGGTGGGTCACGCCTGTAAAACCAGCACTTTGGGAGGCCTAGGTGGGAAGATCACTTGAGGCCAGGAGTTCCAAGTCCAGCCTGAGCGACATAGCAAAACCCCATCTCTACAAAAAAAAAAAAAAAAAGAATGAATAAATAAATATGAAAATCAGCCAGGTGTGGTGGTGCATGCCTAATATAGTCCTAGCTACTCAGGAGGCCGACATGGGTAGATCAACTGAGCCCAGGAGGTCGAGGCTGCAGTGAGCTGTGGTTGCACCACAGCACTCCAGCCTGAGCAATAGAGCAAGACCCTGTCTCAAAAAAAAAAAAAAAAAAGCTAGTTACTTCTGGTCCACTTTCTTTTCTTACCCATAGTCTTAAGATATTATGCATATAGTTGCCAGGCATGGTGGCTCACACCTGTAATCCCAGCACCTTGGGAGGCCAAGATGGGTGGATCATGAGCTCAGGAGTTCAAGACCAGTCTGACCAAGATGGTGAAACCCTGTCTCTACTAAAAAAAAAACAAAAAAACAAAACAAAACAAAAAAACAAAAAAATTAGCCGGGCATGGTGGCGGGCACCTGTAATCCTAGCCACTCAGGAGGCTGAAGCAGAGAATTGCTTGAACCTGGGAGGCAGGTGTTGCAGTGAGCCGAGGTCATGCCACTGCACTCCAGCCTGGGCGACAGTGCAAGACTTGTCTAAAAAAAAAAAAAAATATGCATATAGTCACGCATCACTTAGATGCATTCTGAGTATTGCCTCATTAGGCAAGAGTGTACTTACACAAACCTAGATGGTCTAGCCTGCTACATACCTAGGCTATCTGGTGTAACCCATTGTTTCTAGGCTACAAACCTGTGTAGCATGTTACTATACTGAATACTGTGGGCAGTTGTAACACAATGGGAAATATTTGTGTATATAAACATGTCTAAATATAAAAAAGTGCAGTAAAAATATGGTATTATAATATTACAGGACCACTATGGGATATGCAGTGTGTCATTGACAAATGTTGTTATGCAGTGCATGACTGTATATTATACAGAATCTTGAAGTGTTTTATAGGCTCGTCTGTATTGTACCCAAGGGATATAAAAGGAATGATTCTAGGCTCAGTTGTGTCAGAATGGTCGTTGCAACAGTAATTAGGGGAAAAAAGCTAAGGAGAAGATGAATTTCTGAGGGGAGTTTATAATCTAAAAATTATCCACACTATTGGGAGAAAAACAATAAAAATTCTACTTATAGTGTGTTGGGGCCTTTTTACTTGAGGTGGGGGTGGATTGGTTGTTAGGGTGGCATGCTCTAGTCTTGGTGGGGAACTATCCCTGAGCCTTTTACCTCTGTTTAAGAAAGATTAATTTCTGCCCAATAACTTATCTTCCCCCTCCGCCGTAATTCTGTTAAAGACTGTTGTCAGTTTTTTGGCAAAGCACCCTAATAAAAGCCCTAGGACTTCTGCAGTTGTTTAAAAATTACTAGTCCAGCAGCAGGTTATTGTCTTACTCAAAGATGGATGCAACCTCATCCTTGCCCTCAAACAGCTCACAGTCTAGAGGAGAAGATAAATTTTAGTATAAGATAATGACAGCAATCATTTGTACATGCCGTATCCAAATTCTTATTTCCTTTTCACATGTCAACACTTCAACCTTCTCTAGCCTGATTTATATCTTTATCTCTCCATTGAAACTGTCCTTATAAAGGGCACCAGTAATTTCTGATTGCCACATCAAGTAGAAATCTTAATTTCCAGTGTCATTGAACAATGGGGACCACCCTCTCCTTCTTGGAATTATCTCCTCTGGAATTTTATAGTACTTGTCTTTGCTGGTCTTCCTCTTGTCTTTTAGGTAATTTCTTCTCATTTTCCTTGGTCAATTCCTTTTCTACATAGTTTTTACCTGTAGAAGTTCCTCAAGACTTAGTTCCAGTCTCCCATCCTCCTTTCTTTATATTTTCTGCCAAAGAAATCTTAACCATTTCTATGGATTCAAGTGCTATTTTCAAGTCAAGGGCTGCCAATTTAGTATCTTTCATCCTTTTCCAAATTTGAACTTTGTACATTCAACTACAGATATGAGATTAATTGGTTGTCTAGGTCTATCTCTGGGCAAGAATACTAGTCTTTACAGAGTTGCTGTTTTATTATAGTTGCTTTATTGTATTGCCTCTGACCATGGTAGGCAAGAGACAAGATGGAAAGGAATGGGCATAATGAGATCCGTGAGTGTGATGGATATATTATTTTTCACTGTGTCATATATGTAAATAGTGGATGTGTATGTAACTGTAGCTTAAGAATTTTTAAACTGATATATTTTTTCTATATATCTGTTATAATTATGGCCTATGAATTTTTTTTACATTTAGTGAGGATGAAAATTTATTAAATTGTATATCTAAATCTCTACTTGTTTAACTTATGACTAATTGTACTTTCAGAAGCTTTTTATTAAACTGAGTTGAAATAACAAAAGAACATCTTAAGATTGACTTTCAGTTAACTTTAAGCACTGGTTTTATTAACCTAAAAATTTATCTGTATTAATTTGTATACCTTAATAGGCAAAATGAGTAGTTGGAAAGAATAAGTAGGAGGTTAGTTAATGTTTACCTGTAAGTTATCAGGGCTAAATGTTATTTTAAGGGAGTTTTGCCATGATTCTGTTGACCTTACAGAGGACTTTGGAGAATGAAAATTACCTTTAAACATTTTCATTAGTTAAGAGTTATTGTCTGCAGTGGAGGTATAGCCTTTTAAACAGAGAAAGAAATCATGAGCTTGTCTGCAGTATATATAGAAGTTAATCAGTCAATTTATAAATTATTCTTCTGAGGTCTAGATGCTTATTAGCACCATCAAACTTATTGGGAAACAATTTTACTTTGCATGTCTAGTCCTCATTCTTTATATT